>NC_000007.14:107506779-108131779 GCF_000001405.40 Homo sapiens
ACCCAGCTCCCTAGCTTGTGGCTACAGGACACTTGCCACTCACCCTCTGGTTCTGGCCTAGGAAATTCTTCCTCATTCGAGGTTATCATGAAATTCAGTTGGGAGGTTCTTTCAACCTGTGACTGCTTCCTGAGTTAGCTGGCGGACTTCCATGAGATACACTGTGAGGCAGAATAATGAATGGCTCCCCTTGGTCTACTCTGCAGACTGGGAAAGCACGCAAGGCTGCTCCCACTGCCGTTCCTACTTTTATATATGTCACCACTTCCTAAATCAGTTCCAGTGTTGAGTAGGATAAAGGTCTTCCCCTGTGGGTTGGATTGTCAGGTTCCCCTGTAGGGGTGTGTATCCTGGAGGCAGTCTCTTCCACTCTCACCCTCTGGGGACTTACAGTTTTTCACCTGGCTCACAGTATAGGCTGTAGCCTGCAGCTTCTTTCAAAGCTCATGGTTTATTTTCAACCTTTCCTATCAATGAACAATTTTAATAGCCTTGAAATAAAACTTCCTTTTCTTTTCTTTTTTTTTTTTTTTTGAGATGGAGTCTCGCTGTCACCCAGGCTGGAGTGCAGTGGTGCAATCTCCGCTCACTGCAAGCTCTGCCTCCCGGGTTCACACCATTCTCCTGCCTCAGCCTCCCGAGTAGCTGGGACTACAGGCACCCACCACCATGCCCAGCTAATTTTTTGTATTTTTTTTTTTTTTTTTTTAGTAGACACAGGGTTTCACCATATTAGCCACGATGGTCTTGATCTCCAGACCTCGTGATCCACCCGCCTCAGCCTCCCGAAGTGCTGGATTACAGGCATGAACGACCACACCCGGCCGAAATAAAACTTTCTAAAATCTTCACCAACTGCAACATATTATAGACATCTCAAAAAACATTAATTACTTCAGTAATTAATGGGTCCCTATTGTATGGCAAGGTTATATAAATCATACTTTCATCTATACATAAGTGAGAAACGTTTGCCTATAAGTATTGTTTTATCAGATTAAGAAATATCATAGCTACAATAAGAACATCAGTGGATGAAACAAGTTTAAACTACCCCTCTCTTCCACAATAAATGTATCATAATGCTTCTATGACGTATTTGGTTTTAAGAATATTCTCTCATGGGGTGGGTGGAGCTAAGATGGCTGAACAGGAACAGCTCCCAGCGTGAGCGACGCAGAAGACGGGTGATTTCTGCATTTCCATCTGAGGTATCGCGTTCATCTCACTAGAGAGTGCCAGACAGTGGGTGCAAGACAGTGGGTGCAACGCACCATGCACGAGCCGAAGCAGGGCGAGGCATTGCCTCACTCGGGAAGAGCAAGGGGTCAGGGAGTTCCCTTTCCTAGTCAAAGAAAGGGGTGACAGAAGGCACCTGGAAAATCGGGTAACTCCCACCCTAATACTGCACTTTTCCAATGGGCTTAAAAAAACGGCACACCAGGGGATTATATCCCGCACCTGGCTCGGAGGGTCCTATGCCCACAGAGTCTCGCTGATTGCTAGCACAGCAGTCTGAGATCAAACTGCAAGGCAGCAGCAAGGCTGGGGGAGGGGCGCCTGCCATTGCCCAGGCTTGATTAGGTAAACAAAGCAGCCCCGAAGCTCCAACTGGGTGGAGCCCACCACAGCTCAAGGAGGCCTGCCTGCCTCTGTAGGCTCCACCTCTGGGGGCAGGGCACAGACAAACAAAAAGACAGCAGTAACCTCTGCAGACTTAAAGGTCCCTGTCTGACAGCTTTGAAGAGAGTAGTGGTTCTTCCACTACGCAGCTGGAGATCTGAGAATGGGCAGACTGCCTCCTCAAGTGGGTCCGTGACCCCCGAGCAGCCTAACTGGGAGGCACCCCCCAGTAGGGGCACACTGACACCTTACACGGCCGGGTACTCCTCTGAGACAAAACTTCCAGAGGAACGATCAGGCAGCAGCATTTGCGGTTCACCAACATCCACTGTTCTACAGCCACCGCTGTTCTGCAGCCACCGCTGCTGATACCCAGGCAAACAGGGTCTGGAGTGGACCTCTAGCAAACTCCAACAGACCTGTAGCAGAGGGTCCTGTCTGTTAAAAGGAAAACTACCAAACAGAAAGGACATCCACACCAAAAACCCTTCTGTACATCACCAACATCAAAGACCAAAAGTAGATAAAGCCACAAAGATGGGAAAAAAACAAAGCAGAAACACTGGAAACCCTAAAAATCAGAGCGCCTCTCCTCCTCCAAAGGAACGCAGCTCCTCACCAGCAATGGAACAAAGCTGGAAGGAGAATGACTTTGACGTGTTGAGAGAAGAAGGCTTCAGAAGATCAAACTACTCTGAGCTAAAGGAGAAAGTTCGAACCAATGGCAAAGAAGTTAAAAACCTTGAAAAAAAAGTAGACGAATGGCTAACTAGAATAACCAATGCAGAGAAGTCCTTAAAGGAGCTGAGGTAGCTGAAAGCCAAGGCTCAAGAACTACGTGAAGAATGCAGAAGCCTCGGGAGCTGATGCGATCAACTGGAAGAAAGGGTACCAGTGATGGAAGACGAAATGAATGAACTGAAGCGAGAAGGGAAGTTTAGAGAAAAAAAGAATAAAAAGAAATGAACAAAGCCTCCAAGAAATATGGGACTATGTGAAAAGACCAAGTCTACGTCTGATTGGTGTACCTGAAAGTGATGGGGAGAATGGAACCAAGTTGGAAAACACTCTGCAGGATATTATCCAGGAGAACTTCCCCAATCTAGCAAGGCAGGCCAACATTCAGATTCAGGAAATACAGAGAACGCCACAAAGATGCTCCTCGAGAAGAGCAACTCCAACACACGTAATTGTCAGATTCACCAAAGTTGAAATGAAGGACAAAATGTTAAGGGCAGCCAGAGAGAAAGGTCGGGTTACCCACAAAGGGAAGCCCATCAGACTAACAGCGGATCTCTCGGCAGAAACTCTACAAGCCAGAAGAGAGTGGGGACCAATATTCAACATTCTTAAAGAAAAGAATTTTCAACCCAGAATTTTCATATCCAGCCAAACTAAGCTTCATAAGTGAAGGGGAAATAAAATCCTTTACAGACAAGCAAATGCTGAGAGATTTTGTCACCACCAGGCCTGCCCTAAAAGAGCTCCTGAAAGAAGCACTAAACATGGAAAGGAACAACCGGTACCAGCCACTGCAAAAACATGACAAAATGTAAAGACCATCAAGGCTAGGAAGAAACTGCATCAACTAACGAGCAAAATAACCAGCTAACATCATAATGACAAGACCAAATACACACATAACAATATTAACCTTAAATGTAAATGGGCTAAATGCTCCAATTAAAAGACACAGACTGACAAACTGGATAGAGTCAAGACCCATCAGTGTGCTGTATTCAGGAAACCCATCTCACGTGCAGAGACACACATAGGCTCAAAATAAAGGGATGGAGGAAGATCTACCAAGCAAATGGAAAACAAAAAAAGGCAGGGGTTGCAATCCTAGTCTCTGATAAAACAGACTTTAAACCAACAAAGATCAAAAGAGACAAAGAAGGCCATTACATAATGGTAAAGGGATCAATTCAACAAGAAGAGCTAACTATCCTAAATGTATATGCACCTAATACAGGACAACCCAGATTCATAAAGCAAGTCCTTAGTGACCTACAAAGAGACTTAGACTCCTACACAATAATAACGGGAGACTTTAACAACCCACTGTCAACATTAGACAGATCAACGAGACAGAAAGTTAAAAAGGATACCCAGGAATTGAACTCAGCTCTGCACCAAGCGGACCTAATAGACATCTACAGAACTCTCCACCCTAAATCAACAGAATATACATTCTTTTCAGCACCACACCACACCTATTCCAAAATTGACCACATAGCTGGAAGTAAAGCACTCCTCAGCAAATGTAAACAGAAATTATAACAAACTGTCTCTCAGACCACAGTGCAATCAAACTAGAACTCAGGATTAAGAAACTCACTCAAAACCGCTCCACTACATGGAAACTGAACAACCTGCTCCAGAATGACTACTGGGTACATAACGAAATGAAGGCAGAAATAAAGATGTTCTCTGAAACCAACGGAAACAAAGACACAACATACCAGTATCTCTGGCACACATTCAAAGCAGTGTGTAGAGGGAAATTTATAGCACTAAATGCCCACAAGAGAAAGCAGGAAAGATCCAAAATTGACACCCTAACGTCACAATTAAAAGAACTAGAAAAGCAAGAGCAAACACATTCAAAAGCTAGCAGAAGGCAAGAAATAACTAAAATCAGAGCAGAACTGAAGGAAATAGAGACACAAAATACCGTTCAAAAAATTAATGAATCCAGGAGCTGGTTTTTTGAAAAGATCAACAAAACTGATAGACTGCTAGCAAGACTAATAAAGAAGAAAAGAGAGAAGAATCAAATAGATGCAATAAAAAATGATAAAGGGGATATCACCACCGATCCCACAGAAATACAAACTACCATCACAGAATACTACAAACACCTCTACGCAAATAAACTAGACAATCTAGAAGAAATGGATAAATTCCTCGACACATACACCATCCCAAGACTAAAACAGGAAGAAGTTGAATCTCTGAATAGACCAATAACAGACTCTGAAATTGTGGCAATAATCAATAGCTTACCAACCAAAAAAAGTCCAGGAGCAGATGGATTCACAGCCAAATTCTACCAGACGTACAAGGAGGAGCTGGTACCATTCCTTCTGAAACTATTCCAATCAATAGAAAAAGAGGGAATCCTCCCTAACTCACTTTATGAGGCCAGCATCATCCTGATACCAAAGCCTGGCAGAGACACAACAAAAAAAGAGAGTTTTAGACCAATATCCTTGATGAACGCTGATGCAAAAATCCTCAATACAATACTGGCAAACCGAATCCAGCAGCACATCAAAAAGCTTATCTACCATGATCAAGTGGGCTTCATCCCTGGGATGCAAGGCTGGTTTAACATATGAAAATCAATAAATGTAATCCAGCATATAAACAGAACCAAAGACAAAAACCACACGATTATCTCAATAGATGCAGAAAAGGCCTTTGACAAAATTCAACAACACTTCATGCTAAAAACTCTCAATAAATTAGGTATTGATGGGACATATCTCAAAATAATAAGAGCTATCTATGACACATCCACAGCCAATATCATACAGAATGGGCAAAAACTGGAAGCATTCCCTTTGAAAGCTGGCACAAGACAGGGATGCCCTCTCTCACCACTCCTATTCAACATAGTGTTGGAAGTTCTGGCCAGGGCAATTAGGCAGGAGAAGGAAATAAAGGGTATTCAATTAGGAAAATAGGAAGCCAAATTGTCCCTGTTTGCAGATGACATGATTGTATATCTAGAAAACCCCACTGTCTCAGCCCAAAATCACCTTAAGCTGATAAGCAACTTCAGCAAAGTCTCAGGATACAAAATCAATGTGCAAAAATCACAAGCATCCTTATACACCAATAACAGACAAACAGAGAGCCAAATCATGAGTGAACTCCCATTCACAATTGCTTCAAAGAGAATAAAATACCTAGGAATCTAACTTACAAGGGATGTGAAGGACCTCTTCAAGGAGAACTACAAGCCACTGCTCAGTGAAATAAAAGAGGACACAAACAAATGGAAGAACATTCCATGCTCATGGGTAGGAAGAATCAATATCGTGAAAATGGCCATACTGCCCAAGGTAATTTATAGATTCAATGCCATCCCCATCAAGCTACCAATGACTTTCTTCACAGAATTGGAAAAAACTACTTTAAACTTCATATGGAACCAAAAAAGAGCCCACATTGCCAAGTCAATCCTAAGCCAAAAGAACAAAGCTGGAGGCATCATGCTACCTGACTTCAAACTATACTACAAGGCTACAGTAACCAAAGCAGCATGGTACTGGTACCAAAACAGAGGTATAGACCAATGGAACAGAACAGAGCCCTCAGAAATAATGCCGCATATCTACAACCATCTGATCTTTGACAAACCTGACAAAAACAAGCAATGGGGAAAGGATTCCCTATTTAATAAATGGTGCTGGGAAAACTGGCTAGCCATATGTAGAAAGCTGAAACTGGATCCCTTCCTTACACCTTATACAAAAATTAATTCAAGATGGATTAAAGACTTACATGTTAGACCTAAAACCATAAAAACCCTAGAAGAAAACCTAGGCAATACCATTCAGGATATAGGCATGGGCAAGGACTTCATGTCTAAAACACCAAAAGCAATGGCAACAAAAGACAAAATTGACAAATGGGATCTAATTAAACTAAAGAGCTTCTACACAGCAAAAGAAACTACCATCAGAGTGAACAGGCAACCTACAAAATGGGAGAAAATTTTTGCAACCTACTCATCTGACAAAGGGCTAATATCCAGAATCTACAATGAACTCAAACAAATTTACAAGAAAAAAACAGACAACCCCATCAAAAAGTGGGCAAAGGATATGAACAGACACTTCTCAAAAGAAGACATTTATGCAGCCAAAAGACACATGAAAAAATGCTCATCATCACTGGCCATCAGAGAAATGCAAATCAAAACCACAATGAGATACCATCTCACACCAGTTAGAATGGCGATCATTAAAAAGTCAGGAAACAACAGGTGCTGGAGAGGATGTGGAGAAATAGCAACACTTTTACACTGTTGGTGGGACTGTAAACTAGTTCCACCATTGTGCAAGTCAGTGTGGCGATTCCTCAGGGATCTAGAACTAGAAATACCATTTGACCCAGCCATCCCATTACTGGGTATATACCCAAAGGATTATAAATCACACTGCTATAAAGACACATGCACACGTATGTTTACTGTGGCACTATTCACAATAGCAAAGACTTGGAACCAACCCAAATGTCCAACAATGATAGACTGGATTAAGAAAATGTGGCACATATACACCATGGAATACTATGCAGCCATAAAAAATGAAGAGTTCATGTCCTTTGTAGGGACATGGATGAAGCTGGAAACCATCATTCTCAGCAAACTATTGCAAGGACAAAAAACCAAACACCATATCTTCTCACTGATAGGTGGGAACTGAACAATGAGAACACATGGACACAGGAAGGGGAACATCACACTCCGGGGACTGTTGTGGGGTGGGGGAAGAGGGGAGGGAAAGCATTAGGAGATATACCTAATGCTAAATGACGAGTTAATGGGTGCAGCACACCAACATGGCACATGTATACATATGTAACAAACCTGCACATTGTGCACATGTACCCTAAAACTTAAAGTATAATAATAATAAAATAAAATAAAATAAAAGAATATTCTCTCATGACACGTGGTGTTAATATATTGCAGCTAGGCAATAAAAATGTAAAACTCAGAAAATAGACCATAAGCGATTAAAATTAGTAGAGGAAATATTTTCTATCATATCCAATTGCTTGATTATACTTTTAAAAAATGATTCTTCAATAATGCAATAAAGCTTTAAAATAGAATATTAAGTTACTAACAACAGTCAACCCACAATCCTAACATAAAATACATTTTCTATATAAACATGGCCTATTTTACACACACACACACACACACACACACACACACACACACACATATTTTATATTTTGGTTTATTATGAGGTTATAGCTCAATCAGAAGTCATTTTCTCATTTTCACTTAATTATAATATACATTTAAACCTATTTTGTATAAAGTATTCTTAGAAAGTACAATAATAATGTGATTTTTTTAAAGGACACTGGGAGACCTACCAATAGCAGAAATCCCTTTTATGAAGCAATTAAATGCTGCCACAGAGTTTAAGAAAAGAGTATAGCATTGGTGGTTTACCAGCTCAGGCTTTAGAATCAGATTTTTACAGATACACCAGATGGGTGTCCTTAGGACCCACTGGAATATACATTCTACAAAGGGTAGGGGGTTTCTGTTTTGTTCAGTGTCTTGTGTTTTCAGTGTCTGGAATAGCACATAGCACACATAGTAGATATTCAATAAACAATGGCTGAATAAGTAAATGAATTTTTCCAAGTTTTATGATAAAAGAATGACCAAAGTTTTTTTTATTGTTACTTCATGCAAAGTGCAGATGAGCCAAAATAGGAAGACTAGGCAGAGACTGGTTTACCCCATGGATATTATCATCATCATCATCAATATATTGTTGTTGTCATTATCAGTTTTATGCTGAGTTTATAGATAAGGACAGATCTTACACTTCTCAAACACAGAAACTGCATTTTACTCACTCTGTAGGAGATTCTAACAAGCTACAGGGCTTATGTATATTGAAACCTAATTGTTTGATAAATAAATTAAACGAATTATAAATCATGATTTTCATAAACAGACTAAAGAGTATTCATTCATGAAGGTATGGTCTGGTTACTTTATGGGAAATTTTTCCTCCTTTAATCTCTATTTGTAGGATAAGTCAAAAATAGATTAGATAATACTAAATAGCTACCTAGAATTAATGTTATCATGAGACTCAATATGTGGGATATAGATATATTATTGATGAAAACTAAAAATCTTGCTAGATATATAAGCAGACTTCATAAAACGAAGAGATTGATTCAGCCAAGAACATTAAAAAAAAGATACAAAGTTTATCACGGTAACCTATACATTTCAACCATAAATATACTAACAATTCTGTTTTCACAAGTGGGATTAGTAGAGAATCGTTCTAACATTCGAGAGACTAAATGCATTAATATACAGAATTGGGAAAATTTCAGAAGGATGAGTTGTCATTATGGTGTATAAGAGATACAGTCATCCTCACCCTCCTGTGAATCCCATATTCCATTTCCCCTCAAAAGCAGAGTATCCATCGATGGGAGGTGGAGAGGAGAATGATGAATCCTTCCTGCCTCAATTGAGGACTTTAATGTAAAAGCTGGGCTGTCAAAGAAACTCCCTACAAATCATCCTTCTTTTACTCTTGTTGCTAGCCTCTTTTTCATTATCTTTTGATTTACTGTTAGTCAAATTAATGCCCTCTTTAGAACAAGTCAGGCAATAAAATATCTATAAACAATTATTAAATCAATTCTCAGTATAGCAAAATAAAGTTTCTAAGCCAGAAAGAGTAAGAAAGAGAACAGATCCTGGATTATGACAAATTTACCCAGGTAAATACTGTCTCTTGGCAGCCATGAATGTAGTTAAGTACATTACCTTACTCATGCTTAAATAACATCACCACTTTGTAGTAATGCCTATCTAAATTTTCATCTAGTCCCAAGACTCTTCTTAAAGAAAAATCATGAATCTATGTGATATAACTTAATCATTCAATCTACACTTTGTAGTTTTATTTTTTAAACTATTACATAATAACCTGCATTAAAAAGTACAATAAATATGTCTGCACTAAAATAATTCTGCTTATTCTCTGACAATAAGATAATAGTATACTTTTCATTTTCATTTCCCTAATGCCTAACGATGTTGAGCATGTTTACAGATGCGTATCTGTCATCATCTTGGGTGAAGTGTCTGTTCAACTCTTTTGCCTATTTTTTAAGTGGGTTGTTGGAGTTCCTATTAAGTTTTGAGTCTTTTGATATGTCTGGATGCAAGTCCTCTATCAAATATACTTTGCAAATATTTTCTCCTTGTCCACAGTTTGTCTTTTTATTCTCGTAACAGTATCATTTGAAGAGCTTCTTAAATTTTGATGAAATCTAATTTATCAACTTTATTCTCTTGTGAATTGTGCTTTGGGTAATATCTAAGAATCACTGTCTAATTCAAAGTCACAGAAATCTTCTATGTTTCTGGGAGAGACCTCCCAACAGGAGTTGACAGACACCTCATACAGGAGAGCTCCAGCTGGCATCAGGCCAGTGACCCTCTGGGACGAAGCTTCCAGAGGAAGGAGCAGGCAGCAATCTTTTCTGTTCTGCAGCCTCCACTGGTGATACCCAGGTGAACAGGGTCTGCAGTGGACCCCCAGCAAACTGCAGCAGACCTGCAGAAGAGGGGTCCGTTGGAAGAAAAACTAACAAACAGAAAGCAACAACAACAACAACAAAAAGACCCCCACACAAAAACCCCACCCAAAGGTCATCAGCCTCAAAGATCAAAGGTAGATAAATCCACAAAGATGAGGAAAAACCAGTGAAAAAATGCTGAAAATTCCAATAACCAGAATGCGTCTTCTCCTCCAAATGATCGCAACAGCTCTCCAGCAAGGGCGCAGAACTGGACGGAGGATGAGATGAACTAATTGACAGAAGTAGGCTTCAGAAGGTGGGTAATTACAAACTCTGCTGAGCTAAAGAAGCATGTTCTAACCCAATGCAAAGAAGCTAAGAACCTTGATAAAAGGTTACAGGAGCTGCTAACTAGAATAACCAGTTTAGAGGGGAACATTAATGACTTGATGCAGCTGAAAAACTTAGTGAAGCATACACAAGTATCAACAGCCGAATAGATCAAGTGGAAGAAAGGATATCAGAGTCTGAAGATCACCTTGCTGAAATAAGGCATACAGACAAGATTAGAGAAAAAAGAATGAAAAAAAAATGAACAAAATCTCGGAGAAATATGGAACTATGTAAAAATAAAGAACCTATGATTGATTGGAGTACCTGAAAGAGATGGGGTGAATGGAATCAAGTTGGAAAAGACTCTTCAGGATATTATCCAGGAGAACTTCCCCAGCCTAGCAAGACAGGCCAACATTCAAATTCAGGAAATACAGAGAACACCACTAAGATATTCCATGAGAAGATAAACCCCAAGACATATAATCATCAGATTCTTCACGGTTGAATTGAAGGAAAAAATGTTAAGAGCAGCCAGAGAAAAAGGTCAGGTCACCTAGAAAAGGGAAGCCCATCAGACTAACAGCGGATCTCTCAGCAGAAACTCTACAAGCCAGAAGAGAGTGGGGGCCAACATTCAACATTCCTTTTTTTTTTTTTTGTGATGGAGTCTCACTCTGTCGCCCAGGCTGCAGTGCAGTGGCGCAATCTCGGCTCACCACAACCTCTGCCTCCCAGGTTCAAGTGATTCTCCTGCCTCAGCCTCCTGAGTAGCTGGGATTACAGGTGTGCACCATCACGCCTGGCTAATTTTTCTATTTTCAGTAGAGAAGGGGTTTCACTATGTTGGTCAGGCTGGTCTCGAACTCCTGACCTCGAGATCTGCCCGCCTCGGCGTCCCAAAGTGCTGGGATTACAGGCATGAGTCACTGCGCCTGGCCTCAGCATTCTTAAAGAGAAGAATTTTCAACCCAGAATTTCATATCCAGCCAAACTAAGCTTCATGAACAAAGCAGAAATAAGAAAGGAAATCCTTTCTAGACAAGCAAATGCTAAGGGATTTCATCACCACCAGGCCTGCTTTGCAAGAGCTACTGAAGGAAGCACTAAATATGGAAAGGAAAAACCAGTACCAGCCACTGCAAAAGCATACCAAAATGAAAACACCAATGACACTATGAAGAAACTGCATCAACTAGTGTGCAAAATAACAAGTTAGCATCATGATGACAGGATCAAATTCACACATAACAATTTTAACCTTAAATGTAAATGGGCTAAATGTCCCAATTAAAAAGGTACAGACTGGCAAATTGAATAAAGAGTCAAGATCAACTGATGAGCTATATTCAGGAGACCCATCTCACGTGCAAAGATATACATAGGCTCAAAATAAGAGGATAGATGAAAATTTACCAAGCAAATGGGAAACAAAAAAAAGCAGGGGTTACAATCCTAGTCTCTAATAAAAGAGACTTTAAACCAACAAAGATCAAAAAAGACAAAGAAGGTCATTATATAATCATAAATGGATCAATTCAACAAGAAAAGCTAACTATCCTAAATATATATACACCCAAGAGAGGAGCACCAAGATTCATAAAACAAGTTCTTAGAGACCTACAAAGAGACTCAGACTCCCACACAGTAATAGTGGGAGACTTTAACACCCCACTGTCAACATTAGACAGATCAACGGGACAGAAAATTAACGAGGATATTCACGACTTGAACTCACTCTGGATCAAGTGGACCTAACAGCCATCTACAGAACTCTCCATTCTAAATCAACAGAATATACATTCTTCTCAGTGCCACAAGGCAGTTATTCTAAAATCAACCTCATAATTGGAAATAAACACTTGTCAGCAAATGCAAAAGAATGGAAATCATAACAAACAGTCCACAATGCAATCAAATTAGAACTCGGGATTAAGAAACTCACTCAAAACCAAATAACTACATGGAAATTGAACAACCGCTCCTAAATGACTCCTGGGTAAATAACAAAATTAAAGGAAGAAATCAAGAAGTTCTTTGAAACCAATTAGAACAAAGAGACAACATACCAGAATCTCTGGGACACATTTAAAGCAGTGTTTAGAGGGAAATTTATAGCACTAAATGCCCACAGGAGAAAGCAGGAAAGATCTAAAATCGACACCTTAACATCACAATTAAAAGAACTAGAGAAGCAAAAGCAAACAAACCCAAAAGCTAGCAGAAGACAAGAAATGACTAAGATCAGAGCAGAACTGAAGGAGACACAGACACGAAAAATCCTTCAAAAAATTAATGAATCCAGGAGCTGGTTTTTTGAAAAAATTAACAAAATAGAGCATTAGCTAGACTAATAAAGAAAAGAGAGAAGAATCAAGTAGACACAATAAAAAATGATAAAGGGGATATCACCACTGACCCCAAAGAAATACAAACTACCACCAAGAGAATACTATAAAAACCTCTACGCAAATGAACTAGAAAATCTAGAAGAAATGGAAAAATACTTGGACACATACACACTCCCAAGACTAAGCCAGGAAGAAGTCAAATCTCTGAATAGACTAATAACAAGTCCCAAAATTGAGGCACTAATTAATAGCCTACCAGCCAAAAAAGCCCAGGACCAGACGGATTCACAGCCGAATTCTGCCAGAGGTACAAAGAGGAGCTGGTACCACTCCTTCAGATGATATTCCAAACAACTGAAAAGGAGGGACTCCTCCCTAACTCATTTTATGAGGTCAGCATCACTCTGATACCAAAATCTGGCAGAGACACAACAAAAAAAGAAAACTTCAGGCGAATATCCCTGATGAACATCGATGTGAAAATCCTCAATAAAATACTGGCAAACCGAATCCAGCAGCACAGTAAAAAACTTATCCACCACGATCAACTCGGCTTCATCCACGGGATGCAAGGCTGGTTCAACATATGCAAATCAATAAACATAATCCATCACATAAACAGAACCAATGACAAAAAAACATAAGATTACCTCAACAGACACAGAAAAGGGCTCTGATAAAATTCAACACACCTTCATGTTAAAAACTCTCAATAAACTAGGTACTGATGGAACATATCTCAAAATAATGAGAGCTATTTATGACAAACCCATAGCCAATATCATACTAAATGGGCAAAAGCTGGAAGCATTCCCTTTGAAAACAGGCACAAGACAAGGATGCCCTCTCTCACCTCTCCTATTCAACATAGCATTGGAAGTTCTGGCCAGGGCAAGCAGGCAACAGAAAGAAATAAAGCGTATTCAAATAGGAAGAGAGGAAGTCAAATTGTCTGTTTCCAGATGACATAACTGTATATTTAGAAAACCCCATAGTCTCAGCCCAAAAACTCCTTAAATTGATAAGCAACTTCAGTGAAGTCTCAGGATACAAAATCAATGTGCAAAAATCACAAGCATTCCTATACACCAACAACAGGCAAGCAGAGAGCCCAATCATGAATGAACTCCCACTCACAACTGCTACAAAGAGAATAAAATATCTAGGAACACAGCTACTAAGGGAAGTGAAGGACCTCTTCAAGGAGAACTACAAACCACAGCTCAAGGCAATAAGAGAAGACACAAACTAATAAGAAAACATTCCATGCTCATGGATAGGAAGAATCAATACTGTGAAAATGGCCATACTATCCAAAGTAATTTATAGATTCAATGCTATTCCTATCAAACTACCATTAACATTCTTCACAGAGTTAGAAAAAACTACTTTAAATTTCATATGGAACCAAAAAAGAGCTCATATAGCCAAGACAATCCTAAGCAAAAGGAACAAAACTGGAGGCATCATGAGATCTGACTTCAAACTATACTACAAGGCTACAGTAACCAAAACAGCATGGTCCTGGTACCAAAAGAGATATGTAACTAATGAAACAGAACAGAGACCTCAGAAATAACACTACACATGTACAACCAGCTGATCTTCAACAAATTGGACAACAACAAGCAATGGGGAAAAGATTCCCTATTTAATAAATGGTGCTGGGAAAACTGGCTAGCCGTATGCAGAAAACTGAAACTGCACTCCTTCCTTATACCTTATTCAAAAATTAACTCAAGATAGATTAAAGACTTAAATGTAAAACCCAAAAGTATAAAAACGCTAGATGAAAACATAGACAAGACCATTCAGGGCATGGGCATGGGCAAAGATTTCATGATGAAAACGCCAAAAGCAAATGCAACAAAAACAAAAATTGATAAATGGTATCTAATTAAACTAAAGAGCTTCTGCACAGCAAAAGAAACTATCATCAGACTGAACAGGCAACCTACAGGATGGAAGAAAAATTTTGCAATCTACCCATCTGACAAATGTCTAATATCCAGCATCTACAAGGAACTTACACAAATTTACAAGGAAACAAACAAAAAATCACAAAGTGGGCAAAGGTTATGAATAGACTCTTCTCAAAAGACGACATTTATGCAGCCAACAAACATTTTAAAAAGCTTAACATCACTGATCATTACAGAAAGGCAAATCAAAACCATAATGAGATACCACCTCACGCCAATGGCAATTACTAAAAAGTCAAGAAACAATAGATGCTGATGAGGCTGTGGAGAAATAGGAATGCTTTTACACTGTTGGTGGGAATGTAAATTAGTTCAACAGTTGTGGAAGAAAGTGTGGCGATTCCTCAAGTATCTAGAACCAGAAATACCATTTGCCCCAGCAATCCCATTACTGGGATATACCCAAAGGAATATAAATCATTCTACTGTAAAGACACATGCACATGTATGTTTACTGCAGCACTACTTACAGTAGCAAAGACATGAAACCAACGCAAATGTCCATCAACGATAGATTGGATAAAGAAAATGTGCTACACACACCATGCAGCCATAAAAAAAAATGAAATCATGTCCTTGGCAGGGACATGGATGAAGCTGGAAGCCTTCATCCTCAGCAAACTAGCACAGGAATAGAAAACCAAACACTGCACATTCTCACTCGTAAATGGGAGTTGAACAACGAGAACACTTGGACACAGGGAGGGGAACAACACACACCAGGGACTGTCAGGGGGCAGGGGGCAGGGGAGAGAGAGCATTAGGATAAATAACTAATGCATATGAGGCTTAAAACCTAGGCCAGGCGCAGTGGCTCACGCCTGTAATCCCAGCACTTTGGGAGGCCGAGGCGGGCAGGTCACCTGAAGTCAGGAGTTCAAGATCAGCCTGACCAACATGGAGAAGCCCTGTCTCTACTAAAAATACAAAATTAGCCAGGCGTGGTGGTGAATGCCTGTAATCCCGGCTACTCAGGAGGCTGAGGCAAGAGAGTCGCTTGAACCCAGGAGGCGGAGGTTGCGGTGAGCGGAGATTGCGCCATTGCACTCCAGCCTGTGCAACGAGAGTGAAACTCCGTCTCAAAAAACAACAACAACAACAAAACCTAGATGACAGGTTGATAGATGCAGCAAACCACCATGGCGCATGTATAACTATGTAACAAACCTGCATGTTCTGCACATGTATCCCGGAACTTAAAGTAAAATTAAAAATTTAAGAAAAGAAGAAAAGAAAAAAATAAAAATAAAAATAAAAAAATCTTCTGAGTCTCCTACTTTAAGTTCTGTAGTTTTAGATTTTACATTTAGGACACGAATTCATTCTGAGTTAATATTTTTATATGAAATGAAGTATGGATACAAGTTCACTGTTTTGCATATTGAGATCCAATTGTTCCTGCACCATCTGTTGAAAAGACTATTTTTTTCTCTACTAAATGTGTCAAAAATCAGTTGTTCATATATATGTGGGTCTATTTCTGAGATCTCTGTTCCATTGATCTTTATGTCTTGATTACTTCAAGGAGTCTTTGTAATAAGTCTTCAAATCAGGTAGGGTTATTCCTCCAACTCTGTTTTCTCTTAAAAGTTATTCTAGCTATTCGAGATCCTCTGAATTTCTATATGAATTTTAAAATCAGCTTGTCAATTTCTAAAAGCCCCCCTGGAATTTAAACTGAAATTCTGTTGAATTCATAGATCAAGTTGGGAAGAACATACATCTTAATAAACAATATTAAGTCTTCCAACTGATGAACAACATTGACTGATTGATTGATTTAGGTCTTCTTTGTTCTCAACAATATTTTGTAGTTTTCAGTGTACAGGTTTTACACATCTTTTGTTAGACTTATCCTTAAGTCTGTCATATTTTTATGCTGTTATAAGTGGTATTTTTGAATTTCAATTTCCAATTGCTTGTTGCTAAGAGTATACAGAAATACAATTAATTTTTTGTATATTTATCTAGTATATTGAAACCTTACTCAACTCTTTTATTAACTACAGCTTTTTTTGAAAACTCAAAACAAGATACCACGACATACCTATTAGAATGACTAAAATTAAGACAGTGTAACATGTGTTGGCATGGTTGTAGGGGGAAGTAGAACTTTCAAATACTACTGGTAAGAATGTAAACATTGGCTGGGCGCGGTGGTTCACGCCTGTAATCCCAGCACTTTGGGAGGCCGAGAAGGGTGGATCACCTGAGGTCAGAAGTTCAAGACCAGCCTGGTCAACATGGTGAAACCCCGTCTCTACTAAATATACAAAAATTAGCCGGGCATGGTGGTGGGCGCCTGTAATTCCAGCTACTCAGGAGGCTGAGGCAGGAGAATTGCTTAAACCCGGGAGGCGGAGGTTGCCGTGAGGCGAGATTGCGCCATTGTGCTCTAGCCTGGGCAACAACAGCAAAACTTTGTCTCAAAAAGAAAAAAAAAAAAAGAATGTAAACATTACAACAACTTTGAAAAATAATCTTGGCAATTTTTTAAAAAGTTAAACATATACCTACCATATGATCTAGACATTCCAATCCTAGGTATTTATCCAAGAGAAATGAAAGGATATGTTCCTACAAAGACTTGTACATGAATGTTCATAGCAGCTTAATTTATAATATTAAAAAATTAGGAACAACCCAACTGTCCATCAGCATGTAAATGGATAAACCAGCTATGATCTATCAATGGAATACTAGTCCATAATAAAAAGGCAAAGGTATTAATACACACAACACTGACGAATTTCAAATTTACGTAACATAAAACTCTCCCTTTCAAAGTGTACAATGCAGTGGTTTTTAGTACACTGACAAGGTGGCACAAAAGTCACGACTATCTAATTCCAGAACATTTTCATCACCCTAAAAACAAATCTGTATCCACTAGTAGTCACTCCACATCCCAGTCTCATAGAATATACTTAATTTCCAGACAACAATGTATTTCATCTGGGTGTCCCAAATCAAGCCTCAAACCTTTCAAGTTTGAAACATTGCTTTTAAGTTAATTTCAAGGGTCTATGGTATAAACACTGTTACTCTTCATTATTTTATTCTTTCTAATGCTTTCTAATGAAAAACAGAACCACACTGATAAAGACACTGACAATTTTAGAGAAGTTCCAATCACAGAAGTGTCATTTAGTGTACATGTGTATAACTGTAATAGTGACTGCAAAATTATTACTTTTACTCAAATATTAATTCCAAATGTAGCAACTTATTTTTCCTTGGCTTCTCCTTATTATAAATGCCAGGACTGGTCAAGACTGAACTACAGTGGTGAATAAAAAAGACATGATGTCTTTGCAAATATTAAATCACACATCATCTGCAAGGCTTTTAAAAATTAGATTAACACAATCCACTTTGAGATCATTCCACCATGAACTATATCTTCTCAAAAACTTTTTAACAATCTTTATAAAAACTTTAGGTAAAGCCAACAGCACATTGGAAGGATAATGGTTTTACACTGCATTATACTAACTCAGAACATTATGATCAATACTTGTGCCTGTTTTTTTGTGGGGTTTTTTGTTTGTTTGTTTGTTTTGACAGAGTCTTGCTCTGTCACCAGGCTGGAGTGCAGTTGCAGATCTCGGCTCACTGCAACCTCCGCCTCCTGGGTTCAAGTGATTCTCCTACCTCAGCCTCCTGAGTAGCTGGAATTACAGGCACACACCACCACGCCCAGCTAATTTTTGTATTTTTAGTAGAGACGGGGTTTCACCATGTTGGCCAGGATGGTCTCGATCTCTTGACCTCATGATCCGCCCGCCTCAGCCTCCCAAAGTGCTGGGATTACAGGCGTGAGCCACCATGCCCGGCTGTGCCTGTTTTTGTTTTTTTTTTTCGAAGACATGACCATTTGTATTACAGAATCTGTCAATTATAGAAGAAATTATAATCATAATCCAATCAAAATTTAGCACTTTTTTAATATTGAAGGAAAGTCAGTGATGACAAACATCCATAATAAGCCTTGGAATAATATGCATCTATGTTTAATGATTCCATAATCCTACAAACTATTGTTGGTGCACAGATATTAAATGTGATAGAGCAAAACAGTGGCTGATACTTGGATTTTTACCCTTCTATGTTTAGATAATACTGTGAAAACAACACACAAGCATTATTCATTGTTTAAAGTTAACTTTTTTTTTTTTTTAAAGAGTCAAGATCTTGCTCTGTCACCCAGGGTGGAGAACAGTGGTGCAATAACAGCTCACTGCAGCCTCTAACTTGTGGGCTCGAGTGATCCTCCCATCTCAGTTTCCCAAGTAGTTGAGACTGCAGGCACATGCTATGATGCTCAACTTTTATTTTGTTTTAATTTCCTTTACTTCTCAATTTTTACTTTTTAGAGCCAAGAGGAGATCTGTTCTGTTCACCCAGGCTGGTCTCAAACTCCTGGCCTCAAGCAATTCTGCCTGCCTCCACCTCCCAAGTAACTGGGCCTCCAGGTACCAGCCACCACACCCAGCTTAAAAGTTCAACTTTTTATATGACATTTTCCAAGCCTACTAAATCACAAGTTAGAGATATTCCCAATGATTTTCCTAAGCAAAACCTATATTTCAGCAGTATACAATTGCAATGCTGTTGAAGCATTATTTGTGAAGGATTTCCTTGATTAACAAAAAATATGGAATAAGCATTACAGCATAGCATGACTATATAATCAAAAAATCAAAGACAGGAAAATTCAGAAAGAACATGTAATGTACATTTCTCTGATACTATTTTGGCATAACTGCTTTCAAAGCACAATAGCAAGAGTAAGCAGACTCTTGATATCTGAAATGGATATAATTAAAGACTTCTGAGCCTACAAAGTACAAATGCCACTACATATATCCACTTCAGAAAAATAAGTGGGTACCCAGTGAAAAGAAGAAAACCACCAAGCCACATTAAAAGTGTTGGGCAGTTCTATGTGCACTCACTAGCTATTCAAAATTTTGCCTGAAAAATTATGAACTGCTGCATCATGGACTTTGCAGCTGGTTAATAGTCAAAACCATGAACATTAAACTCTTGACTGTCAAGGTCCTGCAATAAATGTCTGAGAAAAGAATGAACAAAGAAATAAATTTTTAAAATCTTCTAGGCATAGTATCAGCATGGGATTTGTCATGTTAAAAACAGCATTTCTCTAGAATATTTCCTAGAGAAAAGAAAACTTCACATAAAGAACTGTACACCTATTCATAATCACCAAAAACTGGAAACAACAACAAATGTCCTTCAATCAGTGAATCAATAAACAAACTGCAGGCTACTCATACAATGGTATTCAATCAAACACAAAGTAACAAACTATTAGTACACCCCAAAACTTGAATAAATCTCAAAGGTATTATTTTGAGTACAAGAAGACAGCCTCAAAAGGTCACCTACTTTGTAATTCCATTTATGTGTCATTCTCAAAAAGACAAAACTACAATGATGGAGAAAAGATCAGTGGCTGTCAGGACTAGCAGAAGCGGGTAGGCATCACCGTGAAGGGATAATGAGGGAATCTGGAGGAGTGATGGAATTGTTCTGTATCATGACTGTAATGGTGCTTACATAAATCTGTATATGTATTAAAATTTACAGACCTGTATATGAAAAAGGACAATTTTACTATATAATTAAAATAAATAGCATTTCAGTGAAATCAACTACTTGTACTTACTCATTCTGAGAAGTGTTACAATATTGTATACAGCCAATTATTTAAAAATTTGTTTAATAGTACTTGCTAATGGTGATAACAAAAGTCAACCAATCAAGTGACTTAAAAATATTTAAATCTCTACTAACTTTTTATTTAAAAAAAAAAAAAAACTTACCAAGTTCATTGAGACTCTGAGCAGCTTTTGTTATCTCTCTACTTCCCCCTTGCAGTTGTCCTTGGAGTCTCTTACTGAGATTCAAGATACGAATAATCCTCCGAAGCAAATCACAGGCAACCTGTGCAAACATCACAATGTTAAGTTAGTTGATCCATGAAGTTTTATTACTATTAATAAATAGTAATAACAAGCACAGTGGGTTGATAGGTGCAGCAAACCACCATGGCACATGTTTACCTATGTAACAAACCTGCACATGTATCCCGGAACTTAAATTACAAAAAAAACACAGTGGCTCACATTGTGCTTAATATGTGAATCTACCCATTCTTTCCAGATGCTAAAGATTCACTCATGCTTTTTTTGTTTCCCACCAACCACAAACCTAAATAATCGCAAGTCTTAAAAAGCATCAAATGTCCTAGGGAACACACGGAAGTACTATATTTACATTTTACAATAAACTCCAATTCATCCCAAGTGGAGAGAACTTGGAATTGAGGCACTGTGAGACCCAAGGATTCTTTCAGTCCTAAACCAGCTTTCTTCTCTAGGCCAGTGGTTCTCAGTCTTGATTACAAATTCAAGTGGGTAGACTGAAAATGTTCCAATGCCCAGGCCACAGCCCTGACCAATTAAAACAGCATTTCTATGGGTTAGAACCAAGCATGAGTTATGTTTTCATGTTTTTAATATTCCCAGGTGGTACCAATGTGCAGCCAAAATTGACAATCACTATGCTAGGTTGCTCAGCTTCCTACTACTGCCTCCTGTTATTTTCAGTCCCAGCTTCTCTTTCCTATATCCTGCAGGAGTAGTCTTAAAACTTCTCTCAATTTCATTATTTTCCTAATCTTTTTTTTTTTTTTGAGAACAGGGTCTCGCTCAGTTGCCCAAACTGGAGTGCAGTGGCATGATCACACCTCACTGCAACCTCTACCTCCTGGGCTCAAGCGATCCTTCTGCCTCAGCCTCCCAAGTAGCTGGGACTACAGGCGTGTGCCACCATGCCTGGCTAATTGTATTTTTTGTGGAGATGAGGTTTTGCCATGTTGCCCAGGCTGCTCTCAAACTACTGGGCTCAGGTGAACCTCCCACATCAGACTCCCAAAGTGCTAGGATTACAGGTGTGAGCCACCATGCGTGGTGATTTTTAATCACTAATAAATTATAAAAGAGAAAGCACATAAACAACAAAACTATTTCACACACTTCCTATTCCTTTTCCCAGATCTAATACTAGGTCTTTAGCTATCAAAAGGCTGAGATAAGAAATAAAGGTTCATGTATTTTAGGACACTTTATTACAGAAGCTGGATTCACAGCAGTTGCATGAGGGAGAGTGTGGTAGAGGGTGACATACTGAATAACCAACATGTAGTGATCTTCAGCCTCAGTAGTGATTACAAAGGAAAGAGAGACATTCCATACTGCTGCATCACAACCATTTTTGAATGGCCCCAAGGCTAACTGAGAAGCAAGGACATCTCCCCTGTTTAAGGAGAAAAATTCTACATGGTGGCAATAAGAATTAAAAGCTCTGAGAAGCCAGGGTCCCTGAACCTCCAGGTATAAACATTCTTTTATGGGTGAAATAAATACATACACCAGAGCCACACACAGCCACACCCATGCACTCACAAGCAATACACCGTATGTATGCATACACCATACTCAAACATAAAACAAACATATATTTACAAACACATGTAAGTCAAAGCCAATCAAGTATTAAACATGTTTACCTGACTGCTTTTCAGAGAAACTAATCTGAAATACTTAAATAAAAAAAAAAAAAAAGGAATGCCAAAGGAAAATTTTTCCCATGGAAATTGACAATTGGGGCATCTTTATCTTTTAATTAAATATTATCCGTTTTCTGAATAGATAATACAAGCACATGATTCAAAATTCAAGAAATAAAAAGAAATAACATTGAAAAGTCACCCTCGTATCTCTGTCCCAACTATGCACTTAACAAAAACAATCACTGTTATTGTTGCAGGTAGTTAGACAGTCAAGAGTGGGGCAGGAGAGGGCTACTGCCCCACCCACTAGGAACGTCGGTTGATGATTTGGAAGTTATCACATTGCCTCTCTAAAACTGATAAATTGGCAGCCAGTGCCAGGGAGAGGACATTTCCTGATGGTCCACGCCTGGTGCATTAAAGTGTTAATTGAATGCAAATGCCAGGGAGAAGCAACTTCCAGGGCATGTGCTTTAAGACACAAAATGGTGGAGTATGACCTTCCGGGGGCACTCCACCTGAAAAAGGAAGAAAGCCTCAGGTGGGCATGCATAGAAATTCCTAAACACACTGCCTGTGCTCACCTCTTAAGGGTAAGGAGGGCACTGGACATGTGGGCAGCCCACCCTAAGGGAAGAATCTTGGGAAAGGAGCCAGGCTATAAAGTCCTCGGATCAAGGTTAAACACTGCACCTGACCTCAGTGCCCACGTGGGACTCTTCCAAGCGTACTTTCCTTTCTTTCTTTCCTGTTCTAAAGCCTTTTTAAATAAACTTCCACTCCTGCTCTGAAATGTACCTTGGTCTCTTTTTCTGCCTTATGCCCCTCAGTCGAATTCTTTCTTCTGAGGAGGCAAGAATTGAGGTTGCTGCAGACCTGTACGGATTCGACACCAGTAACTTGGATATCTTGCACTGGAAACATTATCAGCACCTTCCCTGTTAGAACTGACATTTTTAGATAAACAATTTGGAACGTAAAATCTCATTCCTCTGAGATTTTAAATACATCGTAAGAAGAAATTAAGCTCTTACTCTAAGACTGTCATCCAGAATTCCCTAATCCTACCCAACAAAGGGTATGCTCTCAAAACATGCAATCTTTATTTCTACTGTTTTTATTTTTAGCAACCATACTTAATCTGTCACCAAGTCTTACCAACTATCCTACTGCATAAAACAAAAGTTGTTATTTTACCTCTATTCCTACAAGCATCACCCTAATCCACATCTTTATCACCATTACCTTTACATAGTGGTTTCTCGGCTAGCTTTCAAGTCTCTCATTGAAATCCACCCAGCCAGATTTATCTTCTTAAAAATGCAGTTTTTGGGCCGGACGCAGTGGCTTATGCCTGTAATCCCATCACTTTGGGAGGCCAAGGCGGGCGGATCACCTTAGGTCGAGAGTTCGAGACCAGCCTGACCAACATGGAGAAACCCCATTTCTACTAAAAATACAAAATTAGCTGGGTGTGGTGGCATATGCCTGTAATCCCAACTACTTGGGAGGCTGAGGCAGAAGAATCGCTTGAACCCGGGAGGCGGAGGTTGCGATGAGCCGAGATTGTGATATTGCACTCCAGCCTGGGCAACAAGAGCGAAACTCCATCTCAAAAAAAAAAAAAAAAAAAAAAAAACACAGTTTTCAGCACTCCAACCCCCTTTTTAGTAAACTTTAATGGCTCTCTACTTACAGATTATGTTGAATCTTCTGGGAATACCATTTAATAAAATCCTTAGTTAATAAGTCTAAGCTATTATAAGTTGATCTATAAGGCATCAGTTCTCACCATTTCCCAATATAGCTGCCTCCCCTCCAATCAATTTCCTTTCCCTCCCTGTTTTTTTATCTTAGACTTTTACTATTAAATATAACACAAGCATGGAAAACCACACTCAGAGATACACAGCTAAAGGAACTTAGAAGCAACACACAGATCAGGAGACAGGATCATGTGAGCCACCACAGAAGCCCTCATTTACTCCCTCCCAATGCCATTACCCTTCATGCCAACCAAGAGAAACCACTACTCTTTTACATTAATCACTTCCTTACTTTTTTTTTTTATTACTGAAGTACAAATACCTAAGTGCTATGGTTTAATTTTTCTTGTTTTTAATCTGTTCTCTCACCTTCTCTTTTTTTCATTGCAATTTGTTGAATATATTGGATCATCTGTCCTAAAGTTTCCCACAGACTGGGTTTTGTTGACTGTATTCCCTTGATGCAGTTTAACAAGTTCCTCTATCTTCTATATTACCTGTAAATTAGTAGTTGGATGCGGGCAGCTTCATCAGATTTAAGTTTAGTATTTTTGGCAAGATTAAACATTAGAGGGTGGTATATTTTAAGAGATGTATGATTTTCTCTCTTTTTGTGTTGAGTATCAGCCACTGATATTCAATGTCAAAATCCACTGAAACATAAGTGACTGCAAAATAGTAATAATCCAATTCTGTCATTTTGTATTTATAAGCATATGAAATTTCTCTATAAAAATAAACTTTACCTCATTGACTATTTGTTTACCTAGGAGTATTGTTCATACTGAAAACTAAAAATAAATACTTAATCTTTCCCTTATTAGTTTTCAAAATGAAGAAATAATTTCCTAATATTCACCAATAATGAAAAATTAGTCGGTGAGGGCGGGGGGGAGGTGGGTGTTCTGGGGTTTTGCTTTTTTTTTTTTTTGATATCATTATGAAATTGATTTAAACATAATAAGGGATGCCCAACCCATCATGGCTCTTATCCTTATTGATGCTCAAAGTGTTCCATTTCGGCCAGCAGAAGCCTCTGAGAGTGATTAACTGTACCACTTTGCCTGAGACTGAGAAGTTTCCCAAGTTTTAGGACTTTCAGTAGTAAAACTAAAATAGCTGGTCACCCAAAGCCTATTCAAGTCAGTTCCTGAGTTCCTTTGTCATGAACCGAGCAGTCGTTGATAGCCTCCTTGGTATCTGGTATAAAAATGTTCCAGGATCATTTTATACATTTCATGCCCCAGACCTGGAATCAAAGATTTCTCAAAGAAGCCCTGGTTTCTTTTAGTAGAAAACAGCATTACTTTTTTTCTTTTTTTGAGACGGTTTCGCTTTTGTCGCCCAGGCTAGAGTACAATGGCACAACCTTGGCTTACTGCAACCTCCCCCTCCAGGGTTCAAGCGATTCTCCTGCCTCAGCCACCTGAGTAGCTGGGATTACATGTGTCTGCCACCATGCCTGACTAATTTTAGTATTTTTAGTAGAGATGGGGTTTCACCATGTTGGCCAGGCTGATCTCGAACTCCTGACCTCATGTGATCCACCTGCCTTGGCCTCCCAAAGTGCTGGGATTATAGGAATGGACCACTGCACCCAGGCAGAAAACAGCATTTCAAGACCACATTCACAGAACTAGGTTTGTTCATTTCTGGGACTTTTCCATAGACATAGCAAGGAAATGCCAGCATTAAAATATCACATAAATATTCATTTGATTTATGCCACAATACACATAAAACATTCTCAGATTAACATACATATACATATGCACAAATATATATATACACACAAATATAAGGTATATACTATTTTTAAATGACATTAAAGAATCTCAAGTTCATACTGATACTTCTAATTAAAAATCAGAAGTAGAGGATTTAGCCTTCTTACATCTATATAAATATAAACAGTATATAATTTCTTCCACATTAAGATTCCTAGCTCTCAAGGACACAGGAGATAACAAAATTAGAATAATGTATAATTATTCATTTGCTCTGCTGCACAATACACAGAAAATACCTGAGCAACAAAACAAACACTACAGTCAAAAGTATGATGGCAGAAAATAGTTTTTAAAATTTTTTGCATATGCTCTTCCCACTGTTTTTTACAGCTGAATTATATTTCTTTGCCAAAACATATAGTCATTACACACTATTCTTTATAACTTTCATTTAATACTAGTTCTCATGCTTAACACTAGTCTCACGGTGATTTTTTTCTAGTCAGTCTTTGCTGTTCTGCAGCCTCCACTGGTGATACTCAAGGACACAGGGTCTGGAGTGGACCCGCAGCAAACTCCAGCAGACCTGCAGCAGAGGGGCCTGACTGTTAGAAGAAAAACTAATAAACTGAAAGCAATAGCATCAACACCAACATCATGCAAAAACTCCATCCAAAGGTCACCAACAGCAAAGACCAAAAGGTAGATAAATCCACGAAGATGAGGAAAAACCAGCACAAAAAGGCTGAAAATGCCAAAAACCAGAATACCTCTTCTCCTCCAAAGGATCACAACGCCTCACCAGCAAGGGAACAAAAGTGGATGGGGAATCAGTTTGACAAATTGACAGAAGGAGACTTCAGAAGGCGGGTAATAACAAACTCCTCCAAGCTACAGGAGCATGTTCTAACCCAATGCAAGGAAGCTAAGAGCTTTGAAAAAAAGGTTAGAGGAATTGCTAACTAGAATAACCAGTTTAAAGAACATAAATGACCTGATTGAGCTGAAAAACAGCAGGAGAACTTCGTGAAGCATACACAAGTATCAATAGCCGAATAGATCAAGTGGAAGAAAGGATATCAGAGACTGACGATCAACTTAATGAAATAAAGCATGAAGAAAAGATCAGAGAAAAAAGAATGAAAAAGAACAAACAAAGCCTCCAAGAAATACAGGACTATGTGAAAAGACCAAACCTACATTTGATTGCTGTACCCGAAAGCGATGGGGAGAATGGAACCAAGTTGGAAAACACACTTCAAGATATTATCCAGGAGAACTTCCCTAACCTAGCAAGACAGGCCAACATTCAAATTCAGGAAATACAGAGAAGACCACTAAGATACTCCTCAAGAAGAACAACCCCAAGACAGATAATCATCAGATTCACCAAGGTTGAAATGAAAGAAAAAATGTTAAGAGCAGCCCAAGAGAAAGGTCAGGTTACCCACAAAGGGAAGCCCATCAGACTAACAGCAGATCTCTCTGTAGAAACCCTACAAGCCAGAAGAGAGTAGCAGCCAATACTTAACATTCTTAAAGAAAAGAATTTTCAACCCAGAATTTCATATCCAGCCAAACTAAGCATCATAAGCAAAGTAGAAATAAAATCCTTTACAGACAAGCAGATGCTGAGAGATTTTATCACCACCAGGCTTGCCTTACAAGAGCTCCTGAAGGAAGCACTAAATATCAAAAGGAAAAACTGGTACCAGCCACTGCAAAAACAAACCAAAAGTTAAAGACCATCAACACTATGAAGAATCTGCATCAACTAATGAGCAAAATAACAAGCTAGCATCATAATGACAGGATAAAATTCACACATAACAATATTAATCCTAAATTTAAATGGGTTAAATGCTCCAATTAAAAGGCACAGACTGGCAAATTGGATAGAGTTAAGACCCATTCATGTGATGAATTCAGGAGATCCATCTCATGTGTAAAGACACATATAGGCTGAAAATAAAGGGATGGGTGAATATTTACCAAGCAAATGGAAAGCAAAAAAAAAAAAAGTGGGGGTTGCAATCCTAGTCTCTGACTGTTTAGACTTTAAACCAACAAAGATCAAAAAAGACAAAGAAGCCCATTACATAATGGTAAAGGGATCAATGCAACAAGAAGAGCTAACTATCCTAAATATATATGCACGCAATACAGGACCACCCAGATTCATAACCAAGTTCTTAGAGATCTACAAAGAGATTTAGACTCCCAGACAGTAACAGTGGGAGACATTAACACCCCAATGTCAATATTAGTCAGATCAACGAAACAGAAAATTAACAAGGATATTCAGGACTTGAACTCAGCTCTGGACCAAGCAGACCTAATAGACATCTACAGAACTCTCCACCCCAAATCAACAGAATATACATTCTTCTCAGTACCACACAGCACTTATTCTAAAATTGGCCACATAATTGGAAGTAAAACACCCCTCAGGAAATGTAAAAGAATGGAAATCATAACCAACAGTCTCTCAGACCACAGTGCAACCAAACTAAAACTCAGGATTAAGAAATTCTCTCAAAACCGCACAACTATATAGAAACTGAACAACCTGATCCTGAATGACTACTGGGCAAATAACAAAATTAAGGCAGAAATAAATCAGTTCTTTGAAACCAATGAGAACAAAGACACAACATACCAGAATCTCTGGGACACAGCTAAATCAGTGTTTAGAGGGAAATTTATAGCACTAAATGCCCACAGGAGAAAGTGGGAAAGATCTAAAATTGACACCCTAACATCACAATTAAAAGAACTAGAGAAGCAAGAGCAAACAAATGCAAAATCTAGCAGAAGACAAGAAATAACTAAGAGCAGAACTGAAGGAGATAGAGACATGAAAAACCCTTCAAAAAAAATCAATGAATCCAGGAGCTAGTTTTTTGAAAAGACTAACAAAATAAACCACTAGCCAGACTAACACAGAAGAAAAGAGAAGAATCAAATAGACACAATCAAAAATGATAAAGGGGATATCACCACTGATCCCACAGAAATACAAACTACCATCACAGAATACCATAAACACCTCTATGCAAATAAACCAGAAAATCCAGAAGAAATGGATACATTCCTGGACATATACACCCTCCCAAGACTAAACCAGATAGAAGTTGAATCCCTGAATAGACCAATAACAAGTTCTGAAATTGAAGCACTAATAGCCTACTAACCAAAAATAGCCCAGGACCAGACAGATCAACAGCTGAATTCTACTAGAGGTGTTGCAAAGAGGAGCTGGTACCATTCCTTCTAAAACTATTCTAAACAATAGAAAAAGAGAGACTCCTCCCTAACTCATTTTATGAGGTCAGCATCACTCTGATACCAAAATCTGGCAGAGACACAACATAAAAAATTTCAGGCCAATATCCCTGATGAACATCAATGTGAAAATCCTCAATAAAATACTGGCAAACTGAATCCAGCAGCACATTAAAAAGCCTATCCACCATGATCAACTCGGCTTAATCCCTGGGATGCAAGGCTGGTTCAACATATGCAAATCAATAAACATAATCCATCACATAAACAGAACCAATGACAAAAACCACATGATTATCTCAACAGATGCAGAAAAGGCCACAAAATTCAACAGCCCTTCATGCTAAAAACACTCAATAAACTAGGTATTGATGGAACATATCTCAAAATAATGAGAGCTATTTATGGTAAACCCATAGCATTCCCTTTGAAAACTGGCACAAGTCAAGGATGCCCCTTCTCACCACTCCTATTCAACATATTATTGGAAGTTCTGGCCAGGGCAATCAGGCAAGAGAAAGAAATAAAGGGTATTCAAATAGGAAGAGAGGAAATCAAATTATTTCCGTTTGCAGATGACATGATTGTATATATAGAAAACTCCATCGTCTCAGCCCAAAAACTCCTTAAGCTGATAAGCAACTTCAGTGAAGTCTCAGGATACAAAATCAATGTGCAAAAATCACAAGCATTCCTATACACCAATAATAGAGAGCCAAATCATGAGCAATCTCCCATTCACAATTTCTACAAAGAGAATAAAATACCTAGGAATACAACTTACAAGAGATGTGAAGGACCTCTTCAAGGAGAACTACAAACCACTCCTCAAGAAAATAAGATAGGACACGAACAAATGGAAAAACATTCCATGCTCATGGATAGGAAGAATCAATATCATGAAAATGGCCATTCTGCCCAAAATAATTTATAGATTCAATACTATTCCCATCAAGCTACCATTGACATTCTTCACAGAATTAGAAAAAACTACTTTAAATTTCATATGGAACCAAAAAAGAGCCCATATAGCCAAGGCAATCCTAAGCAAAAAGAACAAAGCTAGAGGCATCACACTGCCTGACTTCAAACTATACTGCAAGGCTACAGTAACCAAAACAGCATGGTACTGATACCAAAACAGATACATAGACCAATGGAATAGAAATATAGATCAATGGAACAGGCCTCAGAAATAACACCACATATCTACAACCATCTGATCTTTGACAAACCAGACAAAAACAAGCAATGGGGAAAGGATTCCCTATTTAATAAATGGTGCTGGGAAAACTGGCTAGCTGTATGCAGAAAACTGAAACTGGAGCCCTTCCTTATACACTTTACACTGTTGGTGGGAGTGTAAATTAGTTCAGCCATTGTGAGGCTATTTCTCAAGAATCTAGAACAAGAAATACCATTTGACCAGCAATCCCATTACAGGGTATATACCCAAAGGATTATAAATCATTCTATACCCAAAGGATTATAAATCATTCTACTATAAAGATACACACACACGTATGTTTACTGCAACACTGTTCACAATGGCAAAGACTTGGAACCAACCCAGATGTCCATCAACGTTAGACTGGATAAAGAAAATGTGGCACATATACACCACGGAATACTATGCAGCCATAAAAAAGAATGAGCTCATGTCCTTTGCAGGGACAAAGATGAAGCTGGAAACCATCATTCTCAGCAAACTAACACAGGAAGAGAAAACCAAACGCTGCATATTCTCACTCATCAGTGGGAGCTGAACAATGAATACATGGACACAGGGAGGGGAATATCACACACCAGGGCCTGTCAGGGGGTGGGGCCAAGGGGGAGGGATAGCATTAGAAGAAATATCTAATGTAGATAATGGGTTGATGGGTGCAGCAAACCACCATGGCACATGTATACCTATGTAACAAACCTGCACATTCTGCAAATGTATCCCAGAACTTAAAGTATAATTTAAAAAAAAAAGAAAGAAAAAAAAAAGAGCAAAGGATTATTTGAATAGACATGTCTCCAAGGAAGATACATAAATGGCCAAAAGGCACCACAGAAGATGCTCAATATCATTAGCCATTAGGAAAATGCAAATCAAAATGACAATGAGATACTACTTCATACCCAATAATGATACAGGAGATAGAAATTATTTAGGCAGACAATAAGGGCAACAGAGTCCTTGGCAGAATTTCCCTTTTAACAAAAAGCAGCTCCCAAATCATTTCTTTTCTGACAAAGAGCAGCCTGAAAAATCGAGCTACAGACATAGATAAGCAAGCTGGAAATTGAACAGGTGAATGCCAGCAGCTGTGTCAATAGAAAAGGGCTACCTGGAAGCCAGGTATGTTCAACATGGAGGCTCCATCTTTGCTTTTCTTTGTAACCACATGTACAGTAAAGAAGCAGGCAACACAGCACCAGCCAGCCAGAGAATTCATCTGCATAATAAAAGATTAGGGCAGGGCGGCCAGCTTTTTCACATGCTATGCAAGTGGCACACCTAGCCCTAACTAGTTTTTTGCACCTTAGGCAAATAGCACACCTGGTCTGACCAATCTTTCATGCCCTATGTAAATTAGACACTGCCTCCTCAAGCTCATCTATAAAACTCAACTGCATTTCACAATAAAAGCAGCAACCCAGTTCTCCAGGACCCCTCTCTGCAGCAGAGAGAGCTCTTCTCTTTCTTTCGCCTATTAAACTTCCACTCTGAACATCACTATTTGTGTGTCTGCGTCCTAGTTTTGTGTGGCTGTAAGACAACAAAACTCAGCTATTTACTCAAGACAACGATGCCACTTCAATAAGATGGCAGTATTAAAAAAAAGTACAGAAATTAGAATCTTCATACATTGTTGGTAATAATGGAAAACAGTCCAGTTGCCTTGGAAATAGTTTGGCATTCCTCAAAATGTTAAACATAGAGTTAGCATATGACCTAGCATAATATGCTCTCAGGTATATACCCAAGAATTGAAAAAAAAAAAAGCACACACAAATATTATTTATGCAACGTTTGTTCTTAGCAGTCTACTCAAAATAGTTAAAAAGTAGAAACAACCTAAATATTCATCAACTGATGAAAGGATAAACAAATTGAATGGATAAACAAAATGTGATATATTCATAAAATGATATATTATTTGACCATATAAGTAAAGAAGTACCTAAGTCCTCATTAAACATCATCAACTGGTTCTTTTGACTTTAAGTGAAAACAATGGACCAGGCGGCTCACTCCTGTAATCCCAGCACTTTGGGAGGCTGAGGAAGATGGATCACTTGAGTCCAGAAGTTTGAGACAAGCCTGGGCAACATAGTGAGAGACACTGTCTAAAAAAAATTAAAATTTAAAAAAAAATTAGCTGGGCATGGTGGTGCGTGCCTGTTGTCTCAGCTACTCAAGAGGCTGCACTCCAGCCTGGATGACAGAGCAAGACCCTGTCTCAAAAAACAACAACAACAAAGCAACGTATAATGAAACCCAGTTTTTTCCTCCTCAGTGTTATAATGAAATGACATGTTATTCAAGGACCTGCTGTATGTTCTTTTACTTAAAGTTGCAGTTTCCAAGAACCTATCAATGACATTAAATAAGAACTTACTGTACTGACATATGCTACAATATGGATGAACCTTGAAAACATTACATTAAGAAGGCAAATACTACATAATGAATGATCAATTTCCATGAAATGTCCTGAATAGGGAAATCCAAAAAGGAAGACTGCAGATTAGTGCAGATTAGTTGAGAGCTTGGCGTAGAGAAGTGGATAGAGGGAGTAACTGCTAATGGGCATAGAGTTTCTTTTTTGGGTAATGAAAATATTCTGGCATTAGATAATATTATAGTATAATTAGATATTGTATTCACAAGATGCAATCTTGTGAATATAGTAAAAACCCCTAAACTGTACATGTTAAAGTGATTATTTTATGGTATGTAACTTATAACTCAATTTTTAATAATGAGTGTGACTTCTAACAATGATGGAATAGGGTCAGACTTACTTTTCCATTTTAAACAACTAGAAAATTGAACAAAATACACGAAATAATTTTAGAACAACAGGAATGAATAATTGGACAATAATTGGATAACAGAAAACACAGGTCTGTGATCTTTGAGAGAAACAAGAAAATGAGCTTAACAATTGTCTCAGATTACCACTGGGAGACAATTTTCAGGCCACAGCAAAGGGAAGGCAAGGGAAACAGAGCATGACAGTCTCTCTGAAGTTGGGAAGTAGAGATTACATTTCAAGAAAGCCAAAAAAGCTAGTGTTTATGGGCAGAGAATTGGAGAAAAGCTGCAAAAACAGAGGTTGTGCAGATAAGCAGAAAAATAGCTTCCAGTCTTCTGAGTACCAATCTGTGCATGTGTGAGAGGAAGCACAGGAAAAGAAACACTGAAACAACAGTAGAAAGACCTAATAGTAAACAGGGCTAAACTAGCCCTAGGCTAAAGGCTGTTCTGGACCTGTACTAACAAAGATTTAAAACTAAATCTCAAAAAGATTAATGGTGGCTCATGCCTGCAATCCCAGCATTTTGGGAGGCCAGGTAGGAGTATCACTTGAGGCCAGGAGTTTGAAATCAGCCTAGGCAACATGGTGAGACTCCCATCTCTACAATAAAAAAAAAAAAAAAATTAGCTGGGCATGGTAGTGTGTGCCTTTAGTCCCAGCTACTTGGGAGGCTGGGGCAGGAGGATTGCTTGAGCCCAGCACTTAGAGGTTACAGTGGGTCAAGACTGCCCCACTATACTCCAGCCCAAGTGACAGGGCAAGGCCCTGTCTCAAAAAATAAATAAATAAATAAAAATTAAAATTAAATAAAAAAAAAAAGATCAAACTGATTCCAAGTAACTTAAGTGTGAACCAGAAAAAAGTCCAACATTATTTAAAAGAAATTTTAAATAATCTAGGAACCCTAAACATAAAATACACATTTCTAATATCCAATAAAAAATTACCAGGTATGTAAAGAAGCAAAACACATAAAACCCATAACAAGAAACAAGAAGAAAAGTCAATCAACAAAAACAAACCTAGAAATAATAAAGAATTAAATGTTAAAATATATTTTATAGGCCGGGCACGGTGGCTCATGCCTATAATCCCAGCACTTTGGGAGGCTGAGGCAGGCGGATCACCTGAGGTCAAGAGTTCAAGACCAGCCTGGCCAATATGGTAAAACCCCATCTCTACTCAAAATACAAAAATTAGCCAGGTGTTGTGGCACATGCCTGTAATCCCAGCTACTCAGGAGGTTTAGGCAGGAGAATCACTTGAACCCAGGAGGCGGAGGTTGCAGTGAGCCAAGATCCTGCCACTGCACCCCAGCCTGGGCAACAGAGCGGGACTCTGTCTTGAAAAAAAAAAAAAAATTTATAAACATGTATATGTTCAAGAAGGTAAATGAAAACATGAATGTCAGCCGGACACAGTGGCTCATACTTGTAATTCCAGCACTTTGGGAGGCCAATACAGGTGGAATGCTTGACCTCAGGAGTTCGAGACCAACCTGAGCAGCAGGACAGAACCCGGTCTCTACAAAAAATACAAAAATTGGCTGGGTGTGGTGGTGCATGCCCATAGTCTCAGCTACTCAGGAGGCTGAGATGGGAGGATAGCTTGGGCCTGGGAGGAAGAGATTGCAGTGGGTTGAGATCGTGCCACTGCACTCCAGCCTGGGCAACAGAGTGAGACCCTGTCTCAAAAAAAAAAAAAAAAAAAAAAAAAAAATATATATATATATATATATGTATTTATGCGTGTGTGTATTTATATAAATGAAATTGAAATATAAATGTCATAACAGAAAGAGAAGATATAAAAAGACACAAATATAAACTAGAGATGAAAACTATAGGCCGGGGATGGTGGCTCACACCTGTAATCCCAGCACTTTGGGAGGCTGAGGCGTGCGGATCACGAGGTCAGAAGTTCGAGACCAGCCTGGCCAATATGTTGAAACCCTGTCTCTACTAAAAATACAAAAATTAGCTGGGCATGGTGGCAGGCACCTGTACTCCCAGCTACTCAGGAGGCTGAGGCAGAAGAATTGCTTGAAGCCAGGAGGCGCGGTTGCAGTGAGCCGAGATGGTGCCACTGCACTCCAGCCTGGGCAACAGAGTGAGACTCCATCTCAAAAAAGAAAAAAAAAAAAAAACTATAAAAACACACAGGATGGGATTAACAGCAGATTACATACTTAATTAAAAAGATTAGTAAATTTACAAGCAATTTCAGGTAGATTATAGATCTAAACATATGAGGCAAAACAATACGTGCTTTTGAAGGCAATATACAATATCTTCATAGCTTCAGGGTAGAGAAAGTTATCTTGTGAGAATTTTTCATAAAAGAGAACTAACCATAAAAGAAAAATTAGATAAATTTAACTTCTCTCCAACAACAGACAAGAGCGAGAAGGAGAAAAAAATGGATAGGCAGAGGAATATCTGAAACACACATAATAGATGACTTACAAGAGGTTCAATCTCCTTAGTAATTAGCTCTTAGAAAAACAAAACCACAACAAGATACCACCACACACCTAAAATATTAGCAAAAACTAACAAGTTTGACAACACTAAGTGTTGACAAGGATACAAACTAAAAGGAACTCTCATATACTGATAGCATATGTGGTATAACCATTTGGTAAAATAGTTTGGCATTATCTAATAAAGTTGAAAATCAGAAACCCTATAACCCAGAAATCTCACTCCCAGGATATAACTTACACAAAGGGGTATTAGCATGAGCCAACATATATTTGTAAAAAAGTTTTCACAGCCATATTACTCATAATGGTCCCAATCTGGAAACAATCCAAATTCCATAAGCAGAATATTCATATAATGACATATTCTACAGCAATAAAAATGAAACAAAACAAGCAAGGCCAGGCATGGTGGCTCACGCCTGTAATCCCAGCACTTTGGGAGGCCGAGGCAGGTGGATCACTTGAGGTCAGGAGTTCGAGACCAGCTTGGCCAACATGGTGAACTCTGTCTCTACTAAAAACACAACAAAAAAATAGCCAAATGTGGTGGCAGGTGCCTGTAATCCCAGCTACTTGGGAAGCTAAGGCAGGAGAATCCTTGAACCTGGGAGGCGGAGGCTGCAGTGAGCCAAGATCGCTCCATTGCATTCCAGCCTAGGCAACAGAGCACAACTCTGTCTCAAAAAAAAAAAAAAAGGGAAAAGCAATATAGATGAATTCAAAAAAGGATAATACTTTCCAAAAAACAGGGTATTAAAGCATAATTTTTAGTTAAAAAAAATCAATGTGATATGTTTATGAGTGACATTAGTAAGATGGCAGAGGAAGACTTTCCAGGACTCCAGCTTGCAGACACATTAATTTGAACCACTATCCATACACAAAAACATCTTCACAAAAGTTAAAGAAACCAGGTAAGACATTACAGCACGTGAATACAGCACAGAAATAAAAAGAGGCACATTGAAGAGAGTAGGAAGGACAGTATTACATTACCTGCGTCCCCCAACACCAGCCAGCTAGCAAGGAGACAGATGCTCGTTGAGGAGAGAAAAGAGAAGGAATTGAGCACTGGACTTTGCCTCAGCCCCAACACTAGGCCTGCCCCATTAAAATTGTGTTGGGCAGGCTGCCCCCGCCCGACTCCAGGCCAGTACTTCCAGACTACATCTCCTGGCCCACTCCAATACCAGGCTGGTCCCAGTGACCCCAGGCCCCAGACCAGCCCTCGGCTTCAGGCTAATCCCAACTCAGGCTCCAGGCCCAACCCAGCACCAGGCAACCCTGCATAGCCCAAGATGTTAGGCTAGCCCTAGTGCCAGGTTAGCACTCAGACTTCCAGCACCAGGCCAGCCCCTGAATACTCATGCTCCAGACCAGCCCAAGTGGCCCCAAACACCAGGTCTGCCCCGCATCAGGTTGGCACCTGTGGCCTCAGACACCAGGCCAGCACACAAGGACACAGGCTCCAAGCCTGCCCTACGGGTCCACATTCCAAGTCAGCCCCTGTGGCCCCACACTCCAACAGACACAAAGTTCAGGCTCCTCTGGCAGAGCCAGGGTCCAGGTCCATCCCAGCAGAACCTGGCCTCCTCTGGCAAACCCAGGGTCCAGGCTCATCACAGCAGAACCCAGTGCCAGGCCTGCCCCCAAGACCTGATGACTCACACCTGCCTCAGTGGCCCAGTCTCCAGGCAAGCCCTTGCAGACCCAGCCTCCAGGCCAGCACTCACTCACCCAGCCTCTAGGAAGACCCTCATGGCTCCAGGCACAAAGCAAGCACCCACAGACTGCAGCCTTCAGTGGACCCAGAGTCCAGGCTTATTTCAGCAGACCAAGGCTCCAGGACCACCCTTGCAAACCCAAGCTCCAGGCTAACCCTGGTAAACCCAAGACCAGGCCTGACTCACAGACTCCAGGCCCACCCCCATGGTCCCAGGTGCCAGTGAAAGCCAGGCATTGTGGACTCAGGCTCCAGGCCCATCCCCAAGGTCCCAGGTGCCAGCAACTGGTTGGCTCCTGCAGATTCAAGCTAAAGGCCGGTCCAAGTGCCAGGTCAGCTCCCAAGGGACCAGGCTTCAGACCAGCTCTTGTGGACTAGGGCCCTAATAGTCAACGTGTCCACTCCACAAGGGGCCAGCTTGGCACTGTGAACCCTGGATCTAAGTCTGCTCCAGCAAACTCATGACCCACATTTGCCCCAGTAAATATAGTCTGCAGACCAAACCTCATGGACCCAAGCACCAGACCTGTGCACCTGCTAACCTAGGTACCACAACAGCCTGCCTGAAGACACCAGCAGTAAGCCTGCCCACAGACCACACCAGAAAGCCTGCCTAGGATCTCTGGTCAGGCTAATTGGTGAAGAACTTTGCCAGCCAAAGCCAGTCTGCAAAGAGTGGAGTAAGTTCCTACTTCTTCAAATGTGCAGGCACCAATACAAGGCAACAAGAATCACAATCAGGGAAACATAACACCACCAAAGGAACAAACATTAAAGATATTGAGGTTTATGAGCTGCCTAACAAGCAATTCAAAATAATCATCTTTTAAAAACTCCATGAACTACAAGACAATACAACTAGACAAGTACACAAAATCAGGAAAACAATAAACAAACAAAATGAGAAGTTCAACAAAGAAACAGAAACCATAAGAATGAACCAAACTGAAATTCTGGAACTAAAGAACACAATGACTGAACTAAAAAAATTCCAAAGAGAGCTTCAACAGTAGACTCAATCACATAAAAGAATCAGTGTGCTTGAAAAGGGGTTATTTGAAATGATCCAGTCAGAGGAACAAAAAGAAAAAAGAAAAAGAGTAAAGAAAGCCTTTGAGAATTACGGGATGCCATCAAGCAAACCAATTTATATGTTATGGGTGTCCCAGAAGGAGCAGAGAGAGAAGAAAGTTTATTTTAAAAAATAATAACAAAAATTCCCCAAATCTGTGGAATGTAAAAAATATCCAGGTATAGGAAACTCAAAGATCTCCAATCAGGTTCAATGTAAACAAGACTACCCCAAGATATATTACAATCAAATTGTCAAAAATCAAAAACAGAGAGGATCTTGAAAGCAACAAGAGAAAAGAAGCATATCACATACAAAGGAATCCCAAGATGGCTATGAACAGATTTCTCAGTAGAAATCTTATAAGCCAGGAGAGACAGGGATGATCTATTCAAAGTGCTGAAAGAAAATAGGCTGGGTGCAGTGGCTCACACTTGTAATCCTAGCACGTGGGGAGGCCAAGGCAGGCAGATCACCCGAGGTCAGGAGTTCGAGACCAGCCTGGCCAAGAAGGCGAAATGCCATCTCTACCAAAAATACAAAAATTAGCCAGGCGTGGTGGCGGGCACCTGTAATCCCAGCTACTCGGGAGGCTGAGGCAGAAGAATGGCTTGAACCTGGGAGGTGGAGGTTGCAGTGAGCAGAGATCAGGCCATTGCACTCCACCCTGGGTGAGAGAGTGAGACTCCATCTCAAAAAAAAAAAAAAAAAAAAGAAAAGAAAAGAAAGAAAAAAACCAACAAATCAATTTTGAAACAACAGACTTTAACTACACTCTAAAACAAATAAACTGAACAAATACAGAACACTCCGTCCAACAGCAGCGGAATACACATTCTTCTCAAATGCACATGGAACTTTTTTCAGGATAGATCATATGTTAGACCAGAAAATAAGGCTTAACAAACTTAAGAAGACTGAGATCATATCAAATATCTTTTCCAACCACAATGGTATTAAACTAGAAATCAATAAAGGATGGATTTCGAAAAATTCACCAAAAATTTCTCAAAAAAAATAAACAACATGCTTATGAGCAACCAATGGATCAAAAAAGAAATTAAAAGAGAAGTTTTAAAATGTCTTGAGACAAATGACACAACATACCGAAAGTTATGGGATGCAGCAAAAGCAGTTCTAAGACGAAAGTTTACAGCAATAAATGTCTACATCAAAAAAGATTTCAAATAAATAACCTAGTATTAAACCTCAAGAACTAGAAAAAGAACAAACAAAGCCCAAAGTTAGTAGAAGGAAGAAAATAATAAAGATCAGGGCAGAAATAAATTAAATACAGACTAGGAAAACAATAAAGATTAATAAAACCAAGAGTTGTGTTTTGGTTTTTTGTTTTTTTTTTTTTTTTTTGAGACAAGGTCTCGCTCTTTTGTCCAGGCTCCAGTACAATGGTGCAATCTTGGCTCGCTGCAACTTCCACCTCCCAGGCTCAAGCAATTCTTCTGCCTCAGCCTCCCGAGTATCTGGGACTACAGGCGTGTCACCATGCCTTGCTATAAGAGTTGGTGTTTTGAATAGATAAATCAAATCAATAAAACTTTAGCTAGACTAAGAAAAAAAAGAAATCTCAAAACCAGAAATGAAAAAAGAAACATTACAACTGATATTACAAAAATATAAAGAATTATAAGAAACTACTATGAACAAATATATGCCAACAAACTGGATAACTTAGAAGAAACTGATACATTTCTAGACATATACAACTTACAAAAATTGAATCATAAAGAAACAAAATCTTAACAGATCAATAGTGAGTACAGAGATTAAATCAGTAATAAAAAGTCTCCTAACAAAGAAAAGCCCAGGACTTGATGGCTTTACTGTTGAATTCTACCATACATTTAAAGAAAAACTAATACCAATCCTTCTAAAACTCTCCCCAAAAAAATCAAAGATGGAAAAGTATTTCCAAACTCATTTTATTAGGCCAATATTACCCTTCTGTTAATGACAAAGACACTACAGGAAAAGAAAATTACAGGTCAATATTCCTGATCAACACAGATGCAAAATCCTCAACAAAATACTAGCCAATCGAATTCAGTAGCACATTAGAAGAATCATTCACCATGATCAAGTGAGATTTATCTCTGGGGTGCAGGGATAGTTCAACATGTGCAAATCAATAAATGATATACCACACTAACAGAATGAAAGACAAAAATCATATGATCATTTTGATAGATGCAGAAAAGGCACTTGGTAAAATTCAACAACACATCGTGTTAAAAACTCAAAAAAAACTCTATAGAAGGAACGTACCTCAACGCAATAGAGGCCATATACGACCAGCCCACAACTAACATCATAATCAACAGTGAAAAGTTGAAAGCTTTTCCTCTAAGATCAGGAACAAAACAAGGATGCACACTCTCACCACTACTATTCATCAACATAGCCACTGGAAGTCCTGGCCAGAGCCATTAGGCAAGTGAGAAATAAAAGGCATCCAAATCTGAAGGGAAGTAAAATTATCCCTGTCTGCAGACAGCATGATCCTTTAGACAGAAAACTAGATAAAGGACCCTAAAGACTCCACCAAAAGAGTGCTAGAATAAATGCATACAGTAAAGTCAGAGGATACAAAATTAACATACAAAAATCAGTAGCATTTCTATACACTAACAATGAACTATCCAAAGAAATAATCAGAAAAACAATCCCATTTCCCATTTACAATAGCTACAAAAAAAAAAAGTTAGAAATAAATTTAACCAAGGAGGTGAAGCATCTATACATTGAAAGCTATAAAACATTGATGAAAGAAATTGAAGAAGATATAAGTTAATAAACAATTATACACTGCAATGACAGTGAAAAGAATTTGCTTTAGATTTGTATTTTTTGAGCTAGACATCTTAAGGCTTTTTAGTATTTTTTTCTCCTTTTCTCTTACCTTCTGTTCCCATTCTCTTACTTCTTCCAAACTCATACTCTTAAATTTTGTCCACTTATGAAAACAAAATGAATAATAAAGTATAAAGAAATAAAAGTAAGAAACTACCTGAAGTCTTGCTAGTTGTGCAGTCCGGGCAACTATCTTATTGTATGGTTCAACAATTTTTGCTTTTATCCTACAGGAAAAGAGAGGAGTGAGAATAAAATCATTTTCAGAATATCAATGGATAAAAACATTCCCATTCCATTTATTTATAAAATTAAGAACAGTACCTATCAACAGCTCCCTGTAAAGCCCCAATTCTCGTCTGCATCATCTGAAGAACACCTAGGAAAACATAAGTTTACATTGGCTTTACAAATTTACAGGGCATCCAACTGGGTAAATAGTTAAATTAAAAGAAAATACATGCATATATAATTTTAACTTTTTTTGTCACCATCCTAATCCAAGCAACCAGTATCTTTTACCCACACTGCTGTAAAAGCCTGTAACTGGTCTCCCCCTCCAATCTTTGCCTCACAAAAGAAGCCTGACAGGGAATGGGAACTGACTGCTTAATGGATATGGGGTTTCCATCTGGGGTGATGGAAAAGTTATGGACCTAGATACTGAGGATGGTTGCACAACACTGTAAATGTACTTAATGCCACTGAATTGTATGTTTTAAAATGCTAAAAACAATAAATTTTATGTTATGTATATTTTAACACATTACCAAAAAAGTATGACTGATCCTCCATGATATCCCCTTTGCCCCATCACTCCTATATTAAAACTATAGTCCACAGCTTAGTCTACAACTCTCTAGGCTTACAACATGAGGAAATTTTCACAAATTGGAAAAATATTTCCAGGAAGATCAAGCATAAATTTTATTATTTAGGCTTTCAATTAGTACAGATATTTAATTATTTTGAATGCCATTCTTTAAAATTCAGTTTCTATATCCAACTGGCATAGTTGTTTTGAAAGCATAGTATTCTATTAATATCTAAATTTAAGTATAGACATGTGGTCATATTTTAAATGAAATAATATTGGAACAAATAAACATTCCTATCAGCATACAAGTATACAATAACAGAGTTCAGTTCAATAGAATCCTCTCTGAACCAAAGATTCCCACTTTTCTGCTGGTTTTGTGGTGTATTCACCATACACTGCCAAGAATACACTGCCATTACTTATAACCATTTTCTTACATCATATTCTCTCCACAACCCAGTCTCAATGGGTTTCCACCAATACTCCACCAAAACAGATGTTACCAAGGTCACCAGAAATCTATGAGTTGCCGAATTCTATTGTTGGTTCTGTCTTAACCTTGTTCCAGCTCTCAGAAATTCACAGCAGTTGACTACTCCCTTTCTAAAACATTTTTTGTCTAGGCTTTCTTTTTTTGAGACAGAGTCTCGCTCTGTCGCCCAGGCTGGAGTGCAGTGGCTTGATCCCCCCTCACTGCATGCTCCGCCTCCCGGGTTCACGCCATTCTCCAGCCTCAGCCTCCCGAGTGGCTGGGATTACAGGCGCCCACCACCACGCCCAGCTAATTTTTTTTTTTTTTTTTGTATTTTTAGTAGAGATGGGGTTTCACCATGTTAGCCAGGATGGTCTCGACCTCCTGACCTCGTGATCCACCCACCTTGGCCTCCGAAAGTGCTGGGATTACAGGCGTGAGCCACCACGCCTGGCCTTGTCTAGGCTTTCAAATCATCACACTTCCTGGGTCTCCTATTATCTCATTAGTTGTTCCCACTTCTCCTCTGTCAGACCTCTACATGTGCTGGAGTACCCCAAGACGTGATCCTCAGCCATCTGCTCTTCTCCATCTACAATCTTTCAGGAATTTCATTCAGTCCCAAAGTTTTAAATAGTATCTGTTCAATAAAATACTGATTTTATACACACACACACATATACAGACGTATACACATACATCTATGTAAAAAGATTTTCTTTATATATCTGCCTATGTTCTCATTCCCTATCTCTCTGTCCTCTTTCTCTCTCTTCCCCTGTACTGTTACATCAAATGTAAGATACCCAAGACAGTTTATGCCCTACCCCCCAACCTATCAAAAATCACACTTCTCTCCAGGCTATGTCATCTCCATTACTCATACCATCATCTATCCAATTTTTGAGACTAAAATCCTAGGAATAACTCACGGTGACTTTTTTCCATCAGCTCTTTCATCTGCCATCAACAAACCCTATCAGCTTTGCCTACATTTTACTCCATCTGCCACCACTCTAATCCAATGCACCATCAACTTCAACTATTCTAATAGCTTCCAAACCAGTGTCCCTGATTCCACCATTGCCTTTTTCTACAGAGCTATCAGAGTAAACTATTCCGAGTATTAATCTCATCATACAATAACCTGATTAAACTCTTCCAATGGTTTACCATTGCATTTAGAATTAAATCCAAATTCCTTCCCAAGAACCTTATCTACGATCCTCTCCCTCCTTCACTAAACATCAGCTATTCTGGGCTACTTTCTGCCCCTCAAACATGCCAAATTAATTCCTGCTTTCCCATTTATTGTTCAGTCTTCTCCTCAAATCTTCACATGATGGCTCCTCCTCATCATTAGATCTTGGCTCAAACGTCATCTTCTCAAAAAGGCCTTCCCTCTCCTTCATCCATCCCCATCACCTGTTTTATTTTCTCTATAGAATTTACAAATAAAATTTTTCTTTCTGTTTTCTGAGATACAGTCTCACTCTATTGCCCAGGCTGGGGTGCACTGGCATGATCTCGGCTCACCGCAACCTCTGCCTCCCAGGTTCAAGCAATTCTCATGCCTCAGCATTCCAAGTAGCTGGGGTTACAAGCATGATCCACCATGCCCAGCCCTGTTTTCTACTTGTACTTTGTTTTTTTTTTTTTATCTACCTCCAGGACCAGAACATAGTTCCAAAAGGACAGTGACTTTGTCTATCATTCACAAGTGCCTAGTACTTAACAAGTTATTAATTACTATTTGATTGCCTGAATGAACAAATAAATCAATGAGGCTACCTTTGTTTTTTGTTTGTTTGTTTTGAGATGGAGTCTCGCTCTGTCGCCCAGGCTGGAGTGTAGTGGCATGATCTCGGCTCACTGCAAGCTCCACCTCCGGGGTTCACGCCATTCTCCTGCCTCAGCCTCCCAAGTAGCTGGGACTACAGGCACCCACCACCACACCTGGCTAATTTTTTGTATTTTTAGTAGACACGGGGTTTCACCATGTTAGCCAGGATGGGAGGCTACCTCTTTTTGACAAAAAGAAGCTTAATAAATATTCCTCAAAATTCCATGAAAACAAAAACTCTATTGCTATAGCTTTCTGAAACCTAGCAAATTCTCAAAAGTAATATTTGGAAGAATATTTTTAAAAAGAACATTTTTAAATAAAATAGGCTTAAACATACCTCCAAACTACTTACATGCTAAAAAAATTTTACATATTTAGGAGAATAAAGCAGATGAAGTAGAAGCTAGAATAATATTCAATTTTTCTAATATGTATACACACCACACTTACTTTTCAGCATCTCAAAATAACATCTAGACACATCATGCTAAAATGAATGCTAACCAATTCACATTTAAAGTTTTTTATTTATTTTTTGAGACAGGGTCTAGGGTCTTGCTCTGTCACCCAGGCTGGAGGGCAGGGACACAATCACAGCTCACTGCAGCCTCAACCTCCTTGGCTCAAGCGATCCTCCTACATCAGCCTCCCAAGTAGCTGGGACTAGAAACATGCACCACCACGCCAAGCTAATGTTTTATTTTTTATAGAGATAGAGTCTCATTATGTTGCCCAGGCTGGTCTTGAACTCTGGGATCAAGTGAACCTCCCACCTTGGCCTCCCAGAGTGCTGGGATTATAGGCGTGAGCCACTGCACCCTGGCCTACACTTCAATCTTTTATGTTCAAATAATCTAGTGAATATCCTGAGATAATCATAGGAAAAAAGTAGCCAGCCTTTGTACTCTACACACTCACACAAGAGATAATCATTCTAATTCAGTCTAGCAGTGTATTTCAAATATTTTAATCTTTGAACATCATTCTGGGAAAAACAAGCACATTATAAACTAAAACACATATTTAAAAACCACAATGAGAAATATTTCTGTTGCGGTGATTCATCTAGACCTATACACACTCAATGTACTACCATGCCATCCTTATTAATAAAAAACTAGCATGTTTTCAAGATTGCCATTAAAATATTACATGCTCTCAAAAATGCATAAAAATATTATGACATTTAAAAACATAATTAAAACTAGTGAGCTTCTGCACAGCCAAAGAAACTATCAATAGAATAAACAGACAACCTACAGAACGGGTGAAAATGTTTGCAAACTATGCATCTGACAAAGGTCTAATATCCAGAATTTATAAGAAACTTAATTCAACAAGCAAAAACACAACTCCATTAAAAAGTGGGCAAAAGACATAAAGAGACATTTCTCAAAAGAAGGCATACATGCAGGCAACACACATGAAAAAAAAATGCTCAACATCACCAATCATCAGAGAAATGCAAATCAAAACCACAATGAGATACCATCTCACACCATTCAGAATGACTATTATTAAAAAGTCAAAAAACAACAGATGCTGGTGAGGCTGTTGAGAAAAGGGAATGCTTATATGCTTTTGGTGGGAAGGTACAGCCACTGTGGAAAGCAGTTTGGCGATTTCTCAAATAACTCAGAACTACCATTTGACCCAGCAATCCTGTTACTGGATATATATTCAAAAGAAAATAAATTGTTCCACCATAAAGACACATGCACTTGTATGTTCATCACAGCACTGTTCACAATAACAAAGACATAGAATCAACCTAGGTGCCCAACAACAGTGAATTAAAGAAACATGGTACATATATACCATGGATACTACACAGCCATAAAAAAAGAATGAAACTATGTCCTATATAGCAATATGGATAGAACTGAAGGTGATTATCCTAAGCAAATTAAGGCAGGAAGAGAAAAATCAAATACTGCACAGTCTCACTTATAAGTGGGAGCTAAACATTGGGTACTCATAGACCTGAAGATGACAACAACAGACAATAGGGACTACTAGAGGAGGGAGTACCTAACTGTTGGGTCCTATGCACACTACCTGGGTGACAGGATCATTTGTACCCCAAACCTCAGCATTATGTAATATTCTCAGGTACAAACCTACACATATACCCCCCCGGATCTAAAATAAAAGTTGAAATGACTAATAATAGTAATTAATTTCCAGTACTAAGTCAATCGGTACTTAGAGCTTCCTAATCTTCCTAAGAACCTAGTCAGATATGTATCCCAGATTTCAAATAACAAACTATTATTTCCAAAAATACTAAGTTCTTCATCAGGGTATCTTAGAAATATTGTACATGCTGAGAATAAGTTAGTATCTTTGAGTACATGAGAAATACTGGGGGAAGCATTAAAGAATACTGCATCACAGAAAACAATATCCTCTCTCCTTAAGAATTTGATCAACATCGAGAAAAACCCCTTACCTTTCTTCTGATGTACAATGATTAATAATAGTAATCACAAGTAATAATGTAAAACACAATAGTAACATTTCATATTTATGAGATGTAGTTTAATTTAATCAAGAGGGAATGAAAAATTCATAAAAGATTTAGTCAAACAAAAATAAGCAGATTTGTAAAAATAAAAATCCAATTATTACTTGACTATATTTTCATTAAAAAGAGTTGCAAAAAAGGCTCCAAGAAAGGCAAAAATAAGAAAAAAAATTCATGCCTTCTTCCACTACTAGTCACTCTGGTATTGTTGATGTTTTTATTGTTTTAATTAACTAACACTTACAGGTGCACTAAATATGTGCAGGCATTGTTCTAAGTATCTTGCTAATTCATTTAATCCTCAGAACAATGCTGTGTTAGTACACATTATACTCCTGTTTTACAAATAAGAAAACTGAGGCAGAAAAGGGTTAACTAACTTGCTCAAAGTCAAACACCTAGTAAGCAGTAAAACAAGGATTTGAACCCAGATCATTTAGCTCAGGGGCCAGCAAAGTTTCACTAAAGTCTTACTGAAACATAGCCACACACATTTGTTTTCATATTATCTGCCTACTTTCACTCTACAATGGCAGAGTTTAGTAGTTGCAACAGAGACTGTATGGCTGGCAAAGTCTAAAATACTTGCCATCCAAAGTAGCTTGCCAAAGCTTGCCAATCCCTGGTCTAGCTCTACATAATCTCTAGCAGTTATTAGAAATATACCTTCCAACGACTCAATCCCAGTTGCTTGTGCCAGTAAATCTTCATGTCTTGCAACAACCTGAAAATCAAAAATAAATGATTAGCTTTTGCTCTGTTAGGTATTCTTCCTTGTAACCACAATGTAGAATGGACAGTCTCTCTTGGTGTAGAAACGAGGCAAATACAAATACAAAAGAAAAAACCACAGGTTTTTAAGGTGTGTCTGAGATGAGTTGTAAGCGGGAACACACATACATTTACAGTTCAACACAGAGCAAGAGGAGTTACAGCCTTTTCTTAGCCCTGTCTTAGTCTGTTTGGACTACAAACACAAAATACCTTAGACTGAGTAATTTACAAACAGAAGAAATTTATTGCTCACAGTTCTGGGGTTTGGGAAGTCCAGCATCAAGGCATTGGCAAATTCAGCATCTGGTGAGAACCCATTCCTTACAGATGGTACCTTGTATCTATCTTCACATGGTGGAAGGGGCAAACAGTCTTCCTCGGGCCTCTCCAATATGATATGATAGTATTAAGAGCCCTGCACTAAACCCTAGTAAGAGCCCCGAGCTCTTAATACTATCATATTGGAGATTAAGTTTCAACATATGAATGTTAGGGGAACACAAACACTCAGACAAGCCCCTTGCTATCTTAAAGAGATGTACAAGTGGAGTTGTGCCAAAAAATGTAAAAAACAGCTCATTATTGCCACACCATTATTATGTTTTCCCTTTAAAGAACATTTTCAAACATCAGGTTCTCTTTGTTCTTGAATTTGATTCAGCACCACCAAGGCTACATCCTACTCTGGAAAGATACAGCATTCAGTGCTCACCTATACCTGAACATCTCTCTGCTTCCAGTTTCCCAGTGTCACATACCCACAGCAAATCCTTTTCCCTACAGATGTTTGATACTTTTATGAAAATTAGGGCACTGCAGATGGCCAGAACAAAAAAACCAAGGTTACTAAAGGCGACATGCAAGACATTCCTAGAAACATCACAAAATCATGCAAATCTTTAGAATAATGCAGGAATCCTTATTATTGTGTGCCTTTTATTCCAATGAATACTTAGTTTCATGTCTAGTCTGCTGACTGAAGTTCTTAATCACCAACGACTGGAACCCCTAAATCCTCCACTTTGTCTTGTTTCAGATATCACTGTCATTCTGTCAAGTTTCTTTCTATCATATCTACTCAAAGTATTACTCTTGGTCACCTCGGTCTTTTATTCGTAAGGTTGCCAGAAGATGTCTGAATTTTTCCCAGCCTACTGATACGGTCATCAATATGTCCATCTTAACAAGACTAACTTTTTAAAAATTATCTATTCTCCTTTATCACTAGTAATACTTTGGTAAGGTTAAAAAGCCTAAAACTATAGTTTCATGGACTCCCTTGCAACCAATTAAATGATTTTTCCAAGAGTTGTGGAAGACAAGAGAGAGGAAAGCTAGGCTGGGCACGGTGGCTCACACCTGTAATCCCAGCACTTTGGGAGACCGAGGTGGGTGGATCATTTGAGGTCAGGAGTTTGAGACCAGCCTGGCCAACATGGTGAAATCCTGTCTCTACTAAAAATACAAAAAAATTAGCTACGTGTGGTGGTGCACACCTGTAATCTCAGCTACTCAGGAGGCTGAGGCACAAGAATCATTTGAACCCGGGAGGCAGAGGTTGCAGTGAGCAAGATCGTGCCACTTATACACCAGCCTGGGTGACAGAGCAAGACTCTGTCTCAAAGAAAAAAAAAAAAAAGGAGAGAGGAAAGCTTACTGTTTCAGCTAGTAATAAAGGTCCTGAGACCTGAGAATTTAGAGACAGTTAAGAGAACCACATTGATCACTCCAGGATTTAGTCATCAGATATCTAGAGGCAGAATTTTAGCACTGGCATGGAAGGTAAGAACAGGTACTTCCAGGCCTCTGTATTGCATCTGTGGTAGTTCCTTCAACTCCGTCCACTAGCTATTCACCCAACAATTTTATAAGCATCCAAACTCTCTGTATGAAGTGTCTTTCTTAGAGTGATTTCTAGTTCCTGCACTAAACCCTAATAGTAAATGTTTTACAATTTTAGTCATCTCACTGATATAGACTACTGGGACTCGGAGACTTCCTCTACCTCACATCCTAGGCCACTACAACTTCTCCCCTCTAAGTGATGGTAAATACATTTTAAGTTCTTATTGATTCCTGCAGAGTAGATGCTGCATACAAGGAATAAGGAAAATACCAAGCATAAAAGGACTAAAAGAATTTCAGGTGGTTCTTGCAAAAAGCCACCCCCTGAGAACTCTAGACAAAACTAAATACATTATCCCCGCTCTCATAAACAACTTACACTGTTCTATTTAAAACAGGCCTCGCTTGCCTACCATTATTTCTGTCTGTGTCTGCCACTGGTCTGTGGGTCCTTGGAGAGCCAAGAAATGTATTCTATTTATTTGGCTATCCCCACAGTCTAACCCAAAGCTTGACAATTAAGCGTGTTTTCTTTCTTTTTTTTTTTTTTGAGACGGAGTCTTGCTCTTGTTGCCCAGGCTTGAGTGCAATGGCACGATCTCGGCTCCCTGCAAGCTCCAACTCCCAGGTTCAAGTGATTCTCCTGCCTCAGCCTCCCGAGTAGCTGGGATTACAGGCGCCCACCACCATGCCCAGCTAATTTTTGTATTTTTAGTAGAGATGGGGTTTTGCCATGTTGGCCAGGCTGGTCTGGAACTCCTGACCTCATGACCTGCCCGCCTCAGCCTCCCAAAGTGCTGGGGTTACAGGAATAAGCCACTGCGCCCGGCCTAAACGTGTTTTCTAAATATCTGTCAATAAAGATTGAAATCAAATGATACATAATCAGAATTTTAGAGTTAAAATAACCTTAGAAGGCATCCCAGTCCTATCTAAGGCACTCAAAGAAACTAAGACACAAAAATGATCAAGTGGATATGTCTCAGGTTATACCAAATCTATGTTTCCTGGTAAACAATCTATGTTTCATGCATATGTTCATTCATTTAAATATGTATTAAATACCTACTCAATCAAAGGCAACACTAGAAATTATGCCATAAAATCGCCCTATAAAATTTACAGAATTTTAGTAGAGGAGGGAATCTTCAAAGTTATCTACTACAGTCTCCTCTTCCTCTTGCTTATTCCAACCCATCTGATAGATTAAAAAACAAAAAAGCAAGACTCAAAGACTTTAAGTGATATTAAAGTCAGTTAACAACAGCATAGCTGAAATTAGGACCCGTCGCCTAACATCTCATATTGTATCCTACTCACAATAACATTTATCAACTTTCTGTAATTTCAGCAAATGCTACACTTTGTGCTAATAAAGTATGAATTGCGAATGTAACATCCCAATTTTTCTTATTCATATTGTTTTACTTCCAAAATTCCATTTTCTATTATCTTTATCGAACACATCCTATTTTTTGCCCACTATATTCGTTGCACATCAGTTAAGGTGGTGAACAGGAAGTATGAATGAAAGGCTTTGGTGAGGTGGTATATTAGTTTTTCCACAAACAAAAAGTGGTTTACAGAAAATTTCAAAAATTTACTTTGAAAAATAAGTCACACTGGTAAGTATGTACTTCTTCATGTAAATATGCATTTGTATTTAATAAGATTACAAAAATGCTAAATTATCACTTTAGGCTGAATAATCCATAGGGACCCAGAAGATCAGAATTACCTGTAAGTGTAGTTCTCTGTCCAACTGACTGATTCCTTGGGCAAGTTTTGCTAGTTGTTCAGCAATTACAGCTTGATGAATAGATTGAGAAGTATAAGTCTTTACATCAAAGTCTTCGTTTAAAAAGTCACTATAACACCCTGGATTGGGGAAAAAATAAGGAAAAGTCCTTAATTACCCTGTACTAAACCAGTTATTAAACAACAGAACAATTATAATCATAATTAACATATTTTGATCCCATACTCTGAACCACTCCACTATACTGCTTAATGCTTACTTTTATCATGACCCTAAAGGAAGTATAACATTGAGAAAGAGATTAAAAAACATAACGACTGGCCAGGCACACTGGCTCATGCCTGTAATCCCAGCACTTTGGGAGGCCGAGGTGGGTGGATCACCTGAGGTCAGGTGTTCAAGACCAGCCTGGCCAACATGGTGAAACCTCAAACCCCATCTCTACAAAAATACAAAAATTAGCTGGGCATCATGGCGGGTGCCTGTAATCCCAGCTACTCGGGAGGCTGAAGTGGAAGAATAGCTTGAACCCGGGAGGCACAGGCTGCAGTGAGCCGAGATCGTGCCATTGCAATCCAGCCTGGGTGACAGAGCAAGACTTTATCTCTGGCCGGGCGCGGTGGCTCACACCTGTAATCCCAGCACTTTGGGAGGCCGAGGCAGGTGGATCACGAGGTCAGGAGATCAAGACCATCCTGGCTAGCACAGTGAAACCCCGTCTCTACTAAAAATATAAAAAAAATTAGCCGGGCGTGGTGGTGGGCGCCTGTAGTCCCAGCTACTCGAGAGGCTGAGGCAGGAGAATGGCGTGAACCCGGGAGGCGGAGCTTGCAGTGAGCTGAGATTGCGCCATTGCACTCCAGCCTGGGCGACAGAGCAAGACTCTGTCCCAAAAAAAAAAAAAAAAGACTTCATCTCAAAAAAAAAAAAAAAAAAAAACCATAACTACTAGCTATAACTATTAATCCAAGAAAACAAGATCATTGTCAGTGAAAAGACAACAGGAAAATTGACTCTATATATATATATACACATATGTAATATTTATGGCCTCAGATATCTCTAGATCAATACACAAATACTGTTATAGCAAAGTGAATCTGGAATTTTAGTAACAATAGGAAATATAAATTTATAGGTGTTACTGAAATTTAGGATTTATGGGTGAAATATGTTAATGGAAAGAAAAGCTGTTTAAAATAGGCCCCTAATAGACAGAAAACAGAAGTAATACCAGATGTTAAAAAGATACCCCTCAATATAGAAATCCACAAATATGTGGATGAAAGAAAAATTAAGAGAATTGAAAGCTAAAAATAGATACCCAGAAGGGAGCTCATGGTAACCATGTACCAAATCTCCTAATGATACAGTAGATACAAGTAAAGCTGCCTTGAGAGAGATTATGAAACAAACAAAATAGAGTACTTTTAAGAAAACCTAAATTGTCTACATCTGCTATAATGTATGCTCCAAGAGGGGAAGAAGGTCTTTGTTTTGTTTGCTAACTCTTCTCCAGTGTCTGAACAATACCAGACACATGGCAGGTTCCATGAATTAACTAATCTATACATCAGCTGATGTATCATTAGTATCATTCTGGTAACAACCAACAACAAAAAGTAAAGGCTCATACTCTTGATTATTCTTAAAATGTAGTGGAATGAAAGAAGGAAACTGCTACTTTGGCTGCTTTTAAGTCTGAGAACCACATTTCCTTCTGATTTGCCAAGTGCTTCTCAGAATTAAGAGTCCTGTCAGCCAGACAAATGAAAAAAGCCATTCCAAGCAAAGGGAAGGTTTAGCAGTGGCAAATGCCATGGCATATTTTGAGAAACAAGGGGAATACTGATTTCAGTGTGTCTAAATCATAGCACATGTATATTGGACAGAAATGGTAAAGAATGACAGATGTGGTTCCAAAGGTTGGAGCGCAGTTTGAAAAGAGGTTTGTAAGACATTTGAAATGTTTAACCATATCTCATTTAACCCAAGAAATTGCACTATCAGCTTTATGTTACAGAACAATAATCCTGGCAGCTGTATAGAGGATGATGGAAAAAGGATTAGTCACACAGCAATGTGCTGAAGTTGCCTCTTATTGGCTCTTGAGCACAGACTGTTACATTTTCAGGAATTCTGTGAGCCAGTTGACCTTTCACACAGATATCTTAAAATCTACGATGGTGAGAGTATTTACACCATGGTAATCAGCAAACACTACAAAAATCAGGGCTTTTTCTATTTTCCCACAAAGCCAATTAACCAATACACCCAAGAAATAGAACCACAGAGGCCAGTAAAGTACTATGTTAACAGCCTAAGACATAATGAAGGCCCGACTAAGACCTGAATAAGTGGCACTAAGAATGTCAAAGTGACAAATTTGACAAATATTCACACTGCACAGGATGTAGGACTTAGTGACAAGCTGAAAATGGGTGATTAGGTAGAACAAACAAGGATTCCCAAATTTCTGGATTAAGCAACTGATACAGGAAATTTAGTTTTACACTAACTTAGACCACTAGACACTGAATATACCAAGATGAACATAAACTTCTGCCTCCAAGGAATTCATAATTTACAAGGGGAACAAGCACACATTTACCTAACAACATAGTAAACACAGATAACAGAAACTACCAGAGGAAAAGATTAGGAGAGAAGAACAGAAAAAGTGAATTCATTTCATTTTTTCATATGTAAACCTTGTACTATTTGTTCATATGTAGGTTTTCATGTGTATTATAGAACTAGCACTGCTTGTTTACTATCAAAATAGAAATGTCCATACAGGTTATGGAATGGCATATCATAAAAAAATTAAGATAGAAATGTCCAGTAGGCAGTTAAAAATATAGTTTTATAATTCAGAAGACAGGTAAGGAGCATACTGAAACCACAGACAAGACCAGATGATTTAGGAAAAAAAAGTTTTAGAATGCACAAAAAGGCAGGAAAATGAGGAAGATAGGAAAGTGGGGGGTGGACAGAGAAAATGAAAGCAATCAAAGAGACTAAAGAGTGCTCAGGGAGAAAGAGAAACAAAAAAGAATGGCAAAAGCCAAAAGAAGGGATAAAGAAAGTAAGTATTAGTATTGTCATAGAGCTTACAAAGATCAAACACAACGGGATGTGGCATTTGAGGGCTGACAGCCTTTAAAGAGATGAATTATATAATGCTTCTCTTTTATAGTTTCCTCATTCCCATAGAGGGCATATCAGAAACACCTCACCAATTTTCATACTATGCATCTGTGCTCACCAAGCCTATCAATCCGATACTCTGTCATTGGCCAAATCCCCGATATAGTGAATCAAAGTTTCTGCTGGAAATGCTTAATTCCTCAGGAATGTTGGGGGTGGAGGGGCAACAGAGACCGCTTAATTCAGAACAAACTGAACTGACAAGTATCTACAGGAACCTGGAAAAGAGCACCTAGAGAATTAAGAATTTTTAAAAAGCACGGCACCCATAAACCGCATGAGGAAAGTATTTCAAGAAAGGAATCAAATGTTATTACAAGTTAAAGGACCAAAAAAGTGTCCATTTGTCGTATGTGCAAGAAAGTCATTGAAAACCTTGCAAAGTTACTTCAATGGCATAGATTGAGGGTGACTGAGTCCCCAGGAAACAGGAAGAAAAAATCCAGAGCAAAGTAGGAGGCACTATCCTTAGAACGGAGCAGAGACTCGGCCGGGCGTGGTGGCTCACGCCTGTAATCCCAGCACTCTGGGAGGCCAAGGCAGGCAGATCACGAGGTCAGGAGATCGAGACCATCCTGGCTAACACGGTGAAACCCCGTCTCTACTAAAAATACAAAAAATTAGCTAGGCATAGTGATGGGCGCTTGTAGTCCCAGCTTCTCAGGAGGCTGAGCCAGGAGAATGGCGTGAACCCCGGAGGCAGAGCTTGCAGTGAGCCGAGACTGCGCCACTGCACTCCAGCCTGGGCAACAGCGCGAGACTCCGTCTCAAAAAAAAAAAAGAAAGAAAGAAAGAAAGGAGCAGAGGCTCCACTTCCGTTGCAATTGAAAAGGCAAGGGAAAAAAGGTGCAACAGATGGTTATACGTTGAGGTTAAATTCATAGGTTTGATGGGCAAGAAATGGAGAAAGTTCACATCTGATGGATCCTCTTTTTCTCCCCAGGGAAGCTTAAAGTCATTTGTTGAGCTTGAAGCGAAAGGTTTGAAAAGGGTAAAGAAGATTTAAACAATCACTGTGGAGAATGGCAGAGAACCAAGGAGGAAAATACAGAAGGCAGAACTGAAGAGTATTTACCGTCCAAGAACTGATTACAATTCCTGAAATACATCCTACTGAAACATATATCCAATGTTCCACTGTTCACCTGGGGAAGTCCTGTCTACAGTTTAAAACGTCTCCACCTAGAAAGCCTTTTCTGACATTTCCTAACCAGTTTCCAACCCCCAGTTATCATTCTCCTCTGTATTAATGCTCTACTTTATATGCAATCCTACTGCTATCTTACATCACTATATTACAGCACCTACCTTTATAGTCTACAAGATTATTTCCTCTACTAGATGGTGAACTACTTGAGGGCAAAAATTGCACGTGTATCAGGAGCAACTGCAAATATATCAGGGTCTCTGCCTTGTATCTAAAGTTTAAATTCAGTTTAGCCAAGTTTTAGACAGAGACCCGGTCCTAGAGTTTCCAACATGAAATAGTTCAGAAAACATCATTGCTTTTGACAAAAGTACATAAATTATCATGAAAAGGCACGTAATTCAGGATGACAATAAAATATTTAACAGTCAGAGAAAATAAACAATAATTTGGAACTTTATTTCATTTATTACCCACTTCGGTCTTCAAATGTGTGCATGTGCTTCTAACTGCGATGATGAATTTAAAAAACATTCTGCACCTACTGTATGCAAGATACTGCTATTCACACTGTGGGATATTAAAAAAAGTTTGCAATACAGAAGAGATTAAAACAAGTATACAAATGATTTTAGTACAAGGTAGAATGCGATGGCCACTAGAGAAAAAATTAAGAACAGGTGAGAAGGGCTTTATTTTTATGCTTATAAATGTGAACTTTATTCTGAAGGATAAGAGATTCGGGACATGGTAACTGGATTGACACAACTGAATATGCTTTTCAAGTATATTATATCTAACTTTTCTTATTTTGGGCAACTTCTCTCCAAACTGACTAGCAATAAAATCTGACTGCTAGATTCTGTACAAATGGTTAATCCCAACCTGAACAAATGTCTCAAACCCTCCCCCACGTGTCACTGTAGATAACTGCCTCATAAAGGAGGAAAAAAAAAACCAGCCTGTAAGAGGGGTCACCTGTACAGTCCATTTGTTAAAGGAGTAAGCGTTTCCAGCTCTACTTTAAAACAAGGCCCTATTTCATTATGCGTCTGCCGTCTGTTCTAGAGCTTACACTTTTGAAGAGCTCGAACGCTACACCCCTTCGTCAAGAACTGCGGCAGCAGCCGGTGGCTGCCAACGCGGTCCACAGGGTTTGGGCTCCCGAAACTTCAGGGAAGCTGGAGGCATGGGGGGGGGGGGGGTCGAGTTGAAATGAGGAACACACAGAAACCAAGTGTCCCCAAGACTCCAGAAAAGAGGGAGCCAGTCCCAGAGTAAATAGGTTGGCTAGAACAGTACCCAAGCCAGGGGGCCGGGCGGAGGGGAGTGGTCACGTCCAGACTGGAAAACTTTCTGCAAAGCAACGGGTTGGGTCCACCTCGCTGTCCAGGTGCGGAGCAGCGCAGACCCCCAACCCCACGACCTGGTCAGACCCCGTCTCCTTACCGTCCTGCAGAAGTTCCCGGACTGTAGCTGCAGCCGCTCCAGAGCCTCGAGCTCCGAGGCCAGCTACAGCGACGCTGCCGCCGCCACCTTCCATGTTGGCAGGTGCCGGGTTGATGTCGTCAGCAGCAGAACGGCTCCGCCCAGGTGGTGACGCAGAATCCCGGCGCCGCCCGCCCACCCAGCCCATGGCTCCAGGCCCACCTGGCGAACTGACTCTCAGCCCGCGCCTGGGCTAAGCCTGGCTAGGAGCCGCGCAGGTACTCGAGCAGTGGGCGCCCAGGGTCCGAGTGCTCTGCGCCCAGCGCACCGAGGGAGCCAAGGCCGTCGGGCCGGCGCTTTCAGCTGTCTCTCGCAGCAGCTCAGGGCCGCGCCCCCTGGGCTGGCGTCGTGCCCTAGCCAAGGAGAAGGTGGGCACCGGAACGTGGCCGCAGCGCTTATCTGTGAAGCAAGTATTAAACCTCAGAACAGGGGCCGCGCGGCGTAAGGCAGGAGAGCAGAGCGGAGGTTTCAGGGAGCTTCGTTTGCCCTCCACACTCACAAGAGTCACGCGTTAGTTGCTACACAGCTTTATCTGTTCCACGCCTTGATTGGCACTCCTGGGGTAATAAAAGCCCGCAGGAAATGCTTGGGAAGAAAAGTTGCTGGGGATGAACAGTGAAGAGAATTAGGGAGAGTCGATGAAGAAGGAAGTCTGAACCATAAAAGGACCAATAAAACTCACTGTCTCTACCCTCCTTCCTTCCCATGAGACCTTTGACCTTTTGCCTTTTCTACTTCTTCCTCAGTTTCAGTCACGTGCCAGACTTTTTCTTAATTACAAACTGATAGATGGTCCACATCTCAACTAACAGTATTGACGCTGTAAGAGCATCAGGTTGGTTCCCATTGTATCTTCTTTACTAATACGTTCGCGTTTTTGACCTAGATTTCTTTCTTCTAAGATAAATACTGATAAATTAACAGGGTCAGGCAACCACAAGTATGCAAGACAGTCTTAAGCTTCTTCGCAAAAAGAAGCTGGAAGATGACTTTTTCATTTTGTACAGTAGGTATGTATCCAGGAAACCAATTTTATCCAGTTCCAGAGCTACGTGGTTTTCTACATTCTGTTTCAAAAAGGTGCTATTACTTATCCTGTGCTTATCGCTGTTCTAAGTATTTTATAACTCAATGCATTTCATACTCATAACACCTCAGGTAAGCAAGTCTTATGCTACACTGCATTATGCTCTCTTTGTCTCAGAGGATTTTCCCTAGTATGTAAGATCTTAGTCATGATGGGAATAGGGGTGATTCATTCATTACTTGTGAATTAGGAATTGTTTTTCCTTCCTTGGCTTTATTCCCCCCAGTGGAAGATTTTAGAAGAGTGAGTAATATTCATTCATACAGCGAAAGTTTTGACCCCTCTACTCTGCATGCTCTCATGAGTTTACAAACATAAGACTCAATCCATATTCTAAAAGGAGTTAATAGGTAAGGTAGGAACCCATTTAAACAAACAATTGTACCAGGTGCTTTGGAATCTTTGGATTTACTTATTCCAGTAATTCCAAGCTTAGCTGCACATTGAAATCACCTGAAGAGCTTTAATAAAAACACTGATGCCTGCATCCTGAGCCCAGACGTTTGGATTTAATTGGTCTAGGGTATGGCTTGGGCATGCTAATTCTTAAAAGCTCCTCGGGTCATTGTAGTGTACAACTAAGGTAGAAAGCTACTGATTGTTTTGTTTTGTTGAGTTGGGGTCTAGCTCTGTTACCCAGGCTGGAGTGCAGTGGCAGGATCGTGGCTCACTGCAGCCTCAACCTCCTGGGCTCAAGGGATCCTCCTGCCCAAGCTTCTGGAGTAGTTGGGATCACAGTCGCTTGCTACCACGCCCAGCTGATTTTTATAATTTTTTTAGAGATGGGGGTCTCACTATATTGCCCAAGCTGGTCTCAAACTCCTGGCCTTAAGCAAGCCTCCCACCTTGGCCTCCCAAAATGCTGAGTTTACAGGTGTGAGCCCAGTCCCCTGAAACCTACTGATTTATTCTTTCAGCAAATAAATATTGAGGCCTTCTGTATGCCATTTACTATGACTGCAGGAGTGGATAAAAATGAAGTAATTCTTGCTAAAATCACTAATGACCTTGTTGCCATTGCGCTTTATTTTTGCCTTACTTTGATGTTTAAGATACCTATCCCCTCCTTCCTTCATAATGGTCTCTCTCGTTTTCTGAGTATCACTCTTTAGGTTTATTCCTCCCAGCTCCAAAGTTCATCTTCAGTCTCTTTTGCTCTCCCCTTTTCCTCTGTTACTTAAATATTGGTGCTTCCAGCGGTTTCTTGCAAGATCCTGACATCCTTAAGTACCTTGGCTATTTTTAATTTCAACTCCTTGCCTAAAGGTTAAAGACTCTAAAGTTTGAGCAATTAGACCATTCTAAAGTTGGCCCATATCTGATTCTTTTTTTTGTTGTTGTTATTTTCTGCTTCATTTTTCCTTCATACATACCTGTTTCTAAGTTACTGAGGCCAAGGACTGGAATATGAAAAGTAGCCAACACTGTGAAATAGTAGGATTTTAAGTATAGCAAATGTAAAACATTTACAAACTCCATAATTTCATCACTCGTACCTGTACCTCTTGGGGTATAAAAGTGATTTACAATGCAATTGTAGAATTATAATTGAAATTTTCACTAGATAATATCACATTAAAATTTTTAAAAATAATTAACGTTTGTTTATCTTCTGATTCACAGACAGAACAGGATTCAAGAATTACAATAAAAGCACCAGCATATCTTTTGAAACACTGACTACTTAAGAGTTGCTCTATTAATGCCATTTAACTTTCCTGAATAAAACAAGATATTTCCAAATGCCAGTCGAGTATCATATATAAAATAATTCAAACCAAATTTCTTGGCTTACCAATCCCAACAAAGTAACATGTAAAAAATTTTTAAATAACATGAAAACTTACAACATGGTAAACTAGGGAAAAAAAAAAAATCTCGTTTTCTGCATCTTGTGTTTCCACAACTATCTTGGGTAGTTTTCCACATCTATTTATCTTACAAATAGAGGCAGCATTCTATAGTATCATATTGGATACTGTGAAAATAAGCTATTAATAAAAAAATTTCTGAGCCCACAAGCCTGATAAAAAATATATGTTGTTGGCAGTTGAAATTGTTAGAATGGAATTAATATAGTGAAAACATATTTTCTCTATACAAGCTTATTGTCTTTTTCAGATTTGAAACATATCTGTATTAATGAAGAGTGACTGCATGCAAACGACAATATGTCAGGAAAGAAAAAAAGATCCCATAGAAATGTTTCATTCTGGACAGCTGGTAAAAGTCTGTGCCCCAATGGTTCGATATTCAAAGTAAGTGTTGCAAAATGATTAATGAACTAAGATGAAATTTCCCTTTTATGCTCTGACTTTTTAAAAGTACTGTAAGACCACCCACCATATGGGAACTTCAAACTCTTAGCTTTGGAATCATGACTTAGAATTGAGTCATGATGCTACTACTTGCCTAGTATATATGTGATCCTGAGTAAACAATTAACTTCTCTGAGCTGCACTTTTTATATCTATAAAAATGGTGGTGGTTGTAACTCCTACCTATAAGTATATAATGGATATTAAATAGATATAAGTATTGATGTATAGATTTTTATGTGAACTTAAGTCTTGGGACAAATAGGAGTGCAATTATGGGTCCTAAGGTAGTTGTGTGTTCAGTTTTCGAAGAAATATTTCTTCGTATCTTTTGCTCATCTTCTAATTGGATTGTTTGCTCTTTTACTATTGAGTTTTTTTAGAAGTTTGTTATAAAATATACGTAACATAAAATTTACCTCTCGATCATTTTTAAGTATACAGTTCAGCAGTGTTAATTACATTCACATTGTTGTGCATCTGATCTCTAAAACTCTTTTCATCTTAGAAGATGGAAATTCTATCACATTAAACTGTGACTCCCCATTCCACTGTTCCTCACAGCAGCCCCTGGCAACCATTATTCTACTTTCTCCCTCTATGAACTTCACTACTCTAGGTACCTCATATAAGTCTTATACGTATTTGTTCAGAACTGGATTTATTTTGCTAATATTTTATGCAGCATAACATCCTCAAGGTTCATTCATGTTGTAGCATATATCAGACTTGTTCCTTTTTAAGGCTGAATAATATTCCATTTTATGTATATTTTGTTCATTCATCTGTTGATATCCATTCATATATTGATAGAACACAAGATAACTTCCACCTTTTGGCTACTGCAAATAATACTGTCATGAACTATGGGTGTACAAATACCCATATACAAATACCCATGGTTCGTAACAGGTCTCTGAGACCCTGCTTTCAATTCTTTTTGACTATGTACCCAGATGTAGAATTGCTGGATCATATGGTGATTCTATGTTTAATTTTTTGAGCAACTACTGTACTGCTTTCCATAGCAGCTGCACCATGTTACCTTACCACCAGCAGTGAACAAGAGTTTTAATTTCTCCACATCCTCATCAACACTTGTTATGTTCTGGGAGTTTTTATTTTATTATTATAATCATCCTAATGGGTGTGAAGTGGTATCTCATTGCAGTTTTAATTTGCATTTCCCTAATGATTAATGATGCTGAACATCTTTTTGTGTGTTTATTGGCCATTTGTATGTTGTCTTTGTAGAAGTATCTATTCAAGTGCTTTTGTCCATTTGTTTGTTTTCTTGTTTTCTATTATACTCTAGATATATATTCTGCTTTGTCAGATGTGTGATTTGCACGTATTTTCTCCCTGTATATGGCTTGTCTTTCATGCTCCTAACAGGATCTTTTGCAGAACAAAAGTTTCATTTTAATGAAGTCTAACATCAATTTTTCCTTTTGTAAATTGTGCTTTCGATGTCAAGTATAAGAAACCTTTATGTAGCTCCAGATCCTGAATATTTTCTCCTAAGTTTTTTTCCCTAAAAGTTTTATAGTTTTATGTTTTGCATTTAAGTCCATGATCAATTTTGCATTAACTTTTATGTAAGTGTGAGGCTTAGGTTAGGTTGCCTATGGATGTCCAATTACTCCAGCATCATTTTTGAAAGGCTATCAGCCAGGCACAGTGGCTCACGCCATCAAATCCTAATCCCAGCACTTTGGGAGGCCGAGGTGGGCAGATCATTTGAGGTCAGGAGTTCGAGACCAGCCTGGCCAACATGGTGAAACCCCATCTCTACTAAAAATACAAAAATTAGTCAGCGTGGTGGCGCATGCCAATAGTCCCAGCTGCTGGGAGGCTGAGGCAGGAAAATCGCTTGAACCTGGGAGGTGAAGGTTGCAGTGAGCCAAGATCGCACCACTGCACTCCAGCCTGGGCAACAAGAGTAAAACTCCGTCTCAAAAATAATAATAAAAAAAGAAAGGCTATCTCTCCGCTAATTCTTTGCTTCTTTGTGAGAAATCAGCATTTTCTGTTTTGTTCCATTGATCTTGTATCTTTTTCCCCACCAATACCACACAGTTTTACTATATAGCTCTATAATATGTCTTGAAATCAGGTAGACTGGTTCTTCCCAATTTATTTACTTTTTCAAAATTGTTTTAGCTATTCTAGTTCCCTTGCTTTACAAATAAATTTTAGAATGACCTTGTCTATCTCTGCAAAAAACCCTGCTGGAATTTTCATAAGAACTGTGTGAAACCTATACCTCAACTTGGGAAGAACTGACTTTCTTACTAGGTTGAGTCTCCCAATCCATGAACACAGTATATCTTTCCATTGATTGAGATTTTCTTTGATTTCTATCATCAGTATTGTGTAGTTTTCAGCATACAAGTTCTGCACATGTTTTGTAAGACACCCAGGTTTTGAGCATGTTTGTAAATAGAATTTTTAATTTTTGGTGTTCACATGTTTATTGCTAGCACATAGAAATAGATTTTTGTATGTTGATCTTATATCCTGAAAACTTGCTAAACTCACTTGTTGGTTCTAGTTTTTTTGTAAATTCCTTCAGAGTCTATATGAACAACCATGTCATCTACAAATAAGGACAGTTGGATTTCTTCCTTTTGATCATATGCCTTTTGTTTCTTTATCATGCCTTATTGCACTGACTAGAAGTTTCAGCGCCGTGTTGAATAAGGGTGATAAGAGCAGACTTCCTTACCTTGTTCCTAAGGCAAAAGTGTTCTGTAGGAATTTTGTGGATATACTTTATCAAACTGAGGCAGGTTCCCTCTACTTCTGGTTTTCCAAGAGTTAGCTTTTTTTTTTTTTAACTATGTATGAGTGTATTTTGTCAAATGCCTTTTCTGCATCTATATGATCATGTGATTTTTATTATTTAGCCTGTTAATATGATGGATTACATTAATTGATTTTGACTATTGCACCTTCTGTTTTAACCGGCTTTTTCTGACAACACTCCAGCAGGGAATGATGTAGGGGAGTGGTGCCACCTCATTGCTATCTGATAGAAATCCAAGTTCTCCACTTGGCCTCCTTCGACATCTGGTGGGTGAGGAGCTCCTCATTACTGCGGGGCAGTGATGAGAGTTCCAGTTCCCCATAGTGAGGGTAGCCTCATATGTGCTGGGCAATAATGAAAGTCCTGGCTCTCCACTATGCCTCCTCTGACACCACACCAAGCAGGGAGGGAGAAGAGTGCTTCATTACTGCTGGCAGGCATGGAAGTCCAGGCTCCCCTTGTGGCCTCCACTGATACCACTGGGCTGGGAGTGACCTCAGTGGCCACCAGAGATGAAAGTTTCAGATCCTTACCTGGCCTTGGTATCAATAGAATGTTGGAGCACCTTGTTACAGCCTTTGGAGGGTAGAAGTCTAGGATTCCCACTTGGCCTTTGCTAATGGAGATAAAGCCATAGCTTTTTCTACAGTATTTGGCTGGAGTAGAACTGTCTAAAAGTTTTCTGTCTTACTAGGTCAGACAGAACATTTTCCTGGTCCTTTGGTTAGAGAAGGCTTTTGTTGGGGCTGGTTTTGTCTGCATCCATTGTTGTTTCCAGGTGGCCAGCTTCTTCAAGTCTAGGATATTTGAGACAAAAATAAAACCCAGAGAACTCACCACCCTGTCATTCCTCAGGTCCTGAGGTCACTAGCCTATCTGGACATCTTTTCTTCACCTTTCAAAATTTTCTTGTGTTTGTTTTATATATAATATCCAAGGTTTTTAGTAATACTTAACAGGAATAATAGGGAAAAGTAAATCTCCTCCATCTCCCCATAGGTAGAACTTTCTCTGATAAATATTTAACAATGCACTAAAATATGTTTGTGGTGTTTCTAAATGCATAATTAAGGTTTTATATGCTCACAGGTTGGCTTTTAGGACACTAGTAAGAAAATATAGTTGTGATCTGTGTTACACACCAATGATTGTTGCCGCTGATTTTGTCAAATCTATAAAAGCCAGAGACAGCGAATTTACCACAAATCAAGGTATGTGAAACCGAGTGTACTGACTTTGTAAAACTTTTTAAATTTGTTTACAAACTCAACTATCTTATCAGAAACAACACAATTTAGAGATTTTATGTGAAGAAGCTTTAGTTCTTTAGTGTTTTTAATAAGTATTTTTTACATGTTATTACTGAATGCCTTGCAAACTATCAGTGTATATACCAAAGTGTAAGGTCACTTTGAAACCCTCTCCTCTCACTAGGGCTACTAGAGTAGATTCCTGTCACACTGCCTCTAGTCTTGTACCATTCCAAACTATCCTCCAAGGAGACCAAAGTGACCTATTGAACATGTAAATTTTTCTCTCATTGTTCTCAAAGTGTGATCCCCAGACCAGCAGCATCAGTATTATCTGGAAACTTGTTAGAAATGGAGATTTACAGGTGTACTAAATCAGAAATTCCACATATGTGGTCCAGCAATCTGTGTTTTAAAAGCTCTCCAGGTAATTCTGAGCTTGTTAAAGGTTGAGAACTACTGGCTTAAAGACTAAAATTTCAGCACCTAAAGATAATACACAGTTTTTCATAATCTGACCTCTGAATACATCTTCTGCAGCCTTATCTTCCTTCAGTTTCTCCCCACACCCCACTGACTTTATCCTTCAAAATTCCTAAGTTATTTTAAGTCCTTGAACATACACTGTCTTCTCACACCAGACCCCCTCTCTCTCTTGCAAACTGTAGTTTATGTTTCGTCATTCAGCTCTCAATATTTGTAGCCATGAATCTTTTTTTTTTTTTTTGATCATCCTCTACTCATGTCCTCCCTGCTAAGCACAGGCTCTTATGTTGCACTTAATCACTTAATTCTACTGCATTATGATTTCCTCTTTATATGCCTGTTTCTCCCATTAGGTTCGGCCTCCTTGAGGGCTGTAGCTTTAGAAATAGCTTGATTTGTATCCTCAGCATCTAGTACAGTGTTGGAAATATATTAGACCAATAAATGGTTGTTAAATTGAAATTCTGTAACTCTCTTGAGTTACAAAAGGGAAAGCACCTTACATCTCCATAAAGAATAAAGCAAATTCTCCTAAACCATCATAATCCTGTAAATCAGTAGATTGCCATAGGAATCTTGAATCAGTGCAACTAGGATGATGCCCACAAATCTGCATTTTCATAAACACCCAGTGAATCTCATACAAGTATTCCTCAAAAGAAATGTTGAAATACATCTAAACAGAGTTTATAACACTGACCCAAGGATACGAAAAATATGTTCTTTAAAACCTAGGAAGCTTTAATACATTCGGCTGTATTAAAATTAAAACTTTGGGCCAGAGGCGGTGGCTCATGCCTGTAATCTTAGCGCTTTGGGAGGCCAAGGTGGGTGGATCACCTGAGGTCAGGAGTTTGAGACCAGCCTGACCAACATGGTGAAACCCTATCTCTACTAAAAATGCAAAAATTGGCTGGCCATGGTGGCAGGTGCCTGTAATCCTAGCTACTTGGGAGACTGAGCCGGAGAATCACTTGAACCTGGGACGCAGAGGTTGCAGTGAGCTGAGATTGTGCCACTGCACTCCAGCCTGGGTGACAGACTCTGTCTCAAAAAAAAAAAAAAATTAAACATTTATATGTAAGAGCACAAATATACTCAAAGACAAAAAACTGAGGAGAATATTTATAACACATGATAGATAGCAATACTAATTTCTTTGTTTTATTAAAAAAATTACAAATAAAAAGAACAACTAATGGAAAAATTATATACAGAAAAATGCAAAGAATATGAAGAGAGCTCACAAATTAGAATATTCAAATGTTGGATATACACTGTATGATAAGTTGTGAGGAAACAAGAACTTTTATCCATATTGGTATATGTCTATATTGGTAAACTCTTGAAAGATAATTCTGTAATATCTATCACAGTGTTGTATGTTAAATGCCTATTAACAATTCTCCTAAGAATTTACCCTATGAATATACTCAGAGCATGTGAAACAGTCTAAAAATACACTATATGGTCCATCCGTACAGCGGAATATCCCACTATAAAGAAGAAAATAGGTCTGAGTACATCTCCCAGATACATGAGGAAAGAAAGGAACACTAGGCACAGTGGTATATATAGATTGTTCACACTTGTTTAAATTTTACAGGTATACAAAAAAATTGTTCTGGAATGCAGTAAACTAATTCTCACCTTTGAGAAGAGGGTCTATTTTGTCAAAAGTATTAGAATTGTTTTCATTTATCAAATTTTGTACTGTTTGAATTTTTTACCGTGTAAATTGCTTTTAATTTTAAATATTTTAAATTGTTTAATGTTATATTATTTGGACAGATGCTTCTTAGGCTAAAAAATCGTTATTGCTATTTTATCCTGTACAAACATTAAAGTTTGGTGTGTGTGTGCATGGGGTTTTTTCCTGTGAATTTTAATGTTGAGCTATTCATTTTGTCAGGTGATTGCCCATTGATTGTTCAGTTTGCTGCTAACGATGCAAGACTTTTATCTGATGCTGCTCGTATAGTCTGTCCTTATGCGAATGGAATAGACATTAACTGTGGTTGCCCTCAGAGGTAAAGCTCAAAGAAGTTGGAAGAATTTTCCAAAAGAGTAGAAAAAAAACTGTGTGAACATGGTAAAATATCTTTCTAGTTTTCCAAAAATTAAAAAGAAAATAGAGTTACAGTCCCAGGGCTCAAAACAAGAAGGAAGAAAATATAGGGAAATGTAATTTAGAAACATAAATTCAAAGGTCTTTTCTGATGACTGAAATGATGTATAGACCTTTGACAGGTGTTTTGTCTCCCCTCACCAATAGAATTTTTATGTGGCTGTGCCTTGAATCTCATCCCTAAGTAGTTATATGAGAATCTAATGTTTACGGCAATCCCTAAAATGTATTTTTACTGTCATGTCAGATATACTTGCTCTGAAAACAGATTGTTTGACTTAGGAAATCACCACATATTTCCTCCTAATTAATTCCCCTTATAAAAATACCTTATTATAATCACTTTTTCTTTCTATACCACAGTTACTTGTTTGGGTTTAAATAACTGGGTGTTGATAGGGTGTACTTAATTTGACAATAATATTTCTTTTTTTTTTTTTTTTTTTGAGACAAGAGTTTCCCGGGTTGGAGTGCAGTGGTGTGGTCTCGGCTCACCACAACTACCGCCTCCCAGGTTCAAGCGATTCTCCTGCCTCAGCCTCCTGAGTAGCTGGGATTACAGCCATGCACCACCACGCCAGGCTAATTTTGTATTTTTAGTAGAGACGGGGTTTCTCTATGTTGGTCAGGCTGGTTGCAAACTCCCAACCTCAGGTGATCCGCCCGCCTTGGCCTCCCAAAGTGCTGGGATTACAGGCCTGAGCCACCGCGCCCAGCCTGACAATAATAGTTCTACTTTACTGGCACTGTAGTAGATTATCAGTAATTCAAAATGTGTCCAAAGAATAAAAGCAAAGTTGTTAAGTATAGCGTAATCGAAATCAGATTAGACATATTTGTATACTCATTAGGAGGGTTAAATTAGCTGTTTAGTGGTATTGGAATGCTGTAAGCCAAAAATATCTTTCTACTATTGAGACTAATAAAACCTCTTGTTATGCACAATAAACATCAAATTTGGAATTTTTAAAATCTGAAGTCATTGCAATTACTTCAAATATTTAAACCTGTTTTGGTTGAATGACTTTTAACTTAATATTCTCACTTGCCAATGAAAACCATTTCTCCTGAGTACTTTTTGATCTGGGAACATGTTTTCCTAATCTCATATTGATCCACTTAGAAATGTTGAATCTATGAATTTTTTATATCTGCTTCTCTTCCAGATCACTAGAGAAATGGATGCACTTACATTTCAGTGCTTTCAGAATTTTGTCTTCTCTTCCAGTTATTTATAATTCACTTGTTCATGTGTTTGCTTTACAAAGGTGGGCAATGGCAGAAGGTTATGGGGCTTGCTTAATAAACAAGCCAGAGCTTGTTCAAGACATGGTGAAACAAGTAAGAAATCAAGTGGAAACCCCTGGATTTTCAGTTTCTATTAAAATAAGGTAAAGACAATATTTCAATCTATTGATAGGATAATCCATTACTTAGGAAATGAAAGATTATTGCTTTTGTCTGATGCTGTTGGGAGTATCTATCCTAAATAAATTGGTAGCTGGTGTATGGAAATGTTGAAAATAAGACATTTAGTAAAAGAATATATACCATAATTTTCATTTATAGTCCTGAAAAACTTCCTCTTTGTACTTTTAACAAAAGTTAAAGCCTCCCTTTAAGTTTCACCAAACTTTCAACTTTAGCTATGTAGTATTTAATGTTAAGAAACATTACTGGTGCCAAGTGTAGAAAATAGGAAAAATATTTGCACTAAAATTTCACAATGAAAAGAAAATAAACCAGGAATCAGTTTTTCCGTGACAGGTTGAAAACATATTTCTTTTTTTGAGACAGAGTCTCACTCTGTTGCCCAGGCTGGAGTGCAGTGGCACAATCTTGGCTCACTGCAACCCCTGCCTCCCAGGTTCAAGCAATTCTCATGCCTCAGCCTCTCAAGTAGTTGGGATTACAGGTGTGTGTCACCACACCTCGCTAATTTTTGTATTTTTTAGTAGAAACGAGGTTTCGCCACGTTGGCCAGGCCAGTCCTGAGCTCCTGGCCTCAAGTGATCCACCTGCCTCAGCCTCTCAATGTGCTGGGATTACAGGAGTGAGCCACGGTGCCCAGCCTGAAAACATATTTCAAGATAAAGTATTATATTCTCCCACTGGGGGATGGGGGCATGCACAGCAAATATTAAGGTTTAAATTCATCTGTGACAGTACTTTCATGGGTCTTTCATTTATCAAAGCCAAAACATAGAAGCACTAGGTCTAAGATAAAACTTGTTTTTTGTCCTTTGTTGTCAATAGTGAAATAGCTAAATTTGAGGTCTTGTGTAGGAACTGCTCCCTGAAGAAAACCTTGCTGATAATGACATAGAGTAATAATATGATATAGCAAAGCTAACTAATTTGGTAGATGAAATACCATTTTAGTCAGTTAATGTTAGCATTAAGATTTGTGTGCTGTGAACAGATAAATGTAATTTTGAAATTGTAGGATCCATGATGACCTTAAAAGAACTGTAGATCTTTGTCAAAAGGCTGAAGCAACAGGAGTTTCATGGATTACAGTCCATGGAAGAACTGCTGAAGAAAGACATCAGCCAGTGCACTATGATTCCATTAAAATAATTAAGGAAAATATGTCTATACCTGTAATTGCTAATGGAGACATCAGAAGCTTAAAGGAAGCAGAAAATGTGTGGCGGATTACTGGGACAGATGGTAAGAAATAAGTACTTGGGTTCTTTTAATTGGGGGGGGAAGAAATGAGAGTGGGGAAGTAATGTTAATTTGATTTTCATTTGTTTTGTTTAACATTAAGCCATATTTTCCCATTGTACTGTTTTAAGCTAAGCGATTTATTAAAATGATGTTAAGTTTTCTACCTAGAAAAACATGGATTATCTTAACTGGGATAAATTAATTCAGTTACTTTTCTGACACCATCATATCTAGTGACCAGTGAAGAATTTTCCAGATAGCCTACTAGTAAAATAAAGCACCTAGAAATAAGAGTAAGTGAACTCGAGAATGATAAGAGCTAAAGGAATCCCAGAACTGCTATGCAGTTTCATTATTCCCTTAAATTATTGGCATGCCAAGCCCTATAATTGCTAGATGGGAGAATATAGATAAACTGAACTTTAAGCAGCCCAATTTATGACAATCCAGATTTACCCTAAAGAAAAACTAAAGACTAATGGTTTAATGTAGAAATCTTTAAAAAATAAAGATTTCTGTACGTACATTTAAACTTTCCTGGTTTACAAAAGGTACCAAAATTAATTCTTTTGTAATCGGATTAAACATATTAATGCAATAAAGACATTACAAAACCTTGTGATAATACTTTTTAAAAATATACTGTTTGCTTCATTGAGCTTGAACTAATAACCAGGGGTTCTTAATGTATGGACAAATATGGTGTGCTTTAATTTGTAGGTGTGATGGTTGCAAGAGGACTCTTAGCAAACCCGGCCATGTTTGCTGGATATGAGGAAACCCCACTGAAATGCATCTGGGACTGGGTTGACATTGCTCTTGAACTCGGGACTCCTTACATGTGTTTCCATCAACATTTAATGTACATGATGGAAAAGATAACTTCAAGGCAGGAAAAAAGGGTATTTAATGCTCTGTCAAGCACATCAGCAATCATAGATTACCTTACAGACCATTATGGCATTTGACTAGACTTCCCAAATAATTTTAATATATACTTTTAGACCCACAGTGAAACCACAGAAGGTCATATTTTGTACCTTAAACCAGTAGCTCTCAAATTTTAGTATAAAAACAATTCCTGGGAGCGTTTTTTAAAAATCAGTTGTAGACACCACCCTCAGAGATTCTGATTAGGTAGATCTGGAGTAGACCCAGAAATACACAGTTTAAAGAAAACTCCCAGTGGTTCAAACATCCTGATCATCCTAGGCAAACATTGACAAATACTGCTCTGAATCCTGTTCTATAGATATTGGGGGGATGGGTAGAGTGGGAATTTTTTCCTAATCATGTTTTTAACATTTTAAAATAAAATTTAATACTAAGAAATTATGGCTTATAGTATCTATAAATTAACAAGAAGTATGCAGGTGCAAAAAAGTGGTGGAACAAATACCAACATCCATCCAAAATGAAAAAGAACAGGAAATTCTGAATAGAATTGCACTCAGAACTTATATTAAAAATTCCATTTGGTTAATGACATTAAATTTGGTACATTTCAAAACTTCTAGGTCCTCCAAAGATTGAAAGCTTAATAATCTCCTACCTAAAAAGATAAAATTAATTGCAATCTACCATATCTTAAGTATAGGAAATTTGGTGTCCAACCTGGAGATGATTATATATTTGAAATATTTCCTAGAGAATAGTAACCAGGTTTTGTTTTTAACTTTAAAACCTAATTACTTTTGTGCCTCTCAGCCGTTGATTGTAACTTTAAAGTCCCATGGTTTTGGAGTGTTATTAATAGATTTTGTTATCGGTGGGCATGCACTGCAAGAATTAAGTATCTCAGACTGAAATAAAACCGTTCATAATTAAAGTATTATTTTGTTTTGCCAACATGAAAACTGTTATAAGGAAACAATTATGTAAAACTGTTTAATTCACGTTTGGGAATATTGAATGAATCCATTTTAACATAAGCACTGTGGTGCCATCTTTTTTCTCAGTACATTCTGTTTTCACTTTTCAGTTAATGCATTTTTTTTTTTAAAGATAACTCGCTGTTTCATTTTCTATGAATACTGTACAAAATAGGGAGGTATGGTCAGAACTCTGAATTGAATTACCCTAGTGTTGTGAGCACAGCATCATCACTAGAGTAATGTGCTCGGTGTTTGGAAGGAACCAGCGTGGATGGGCAAGAAGTTCTAACACTTTTGATTAAAAGTAACTTCCTGGCCGGGCGCGGTGGCTCACGCCTGTGATCCCAGCACTTTGGGAGGCCAAGACGGGCAGATCACGAGGTCAGGAGATCAAGACCATCCTGGATAACACGGTGAAACCCCGTCTCTACTAAAAATACAAAAATTAGCTGGGCGTGGTGGCGGGCGCCTATAGTCCCAGCTACTCAGGAGGCTGAGGCAGGAGAATGGTGTGAACCTGGGAGGTGGAGCTTGCAGTGAGCTGAGATTGCGCCACTGCACTCCTGCCTGGGCAACAGAGCAAGACTCTGTCTCAAAAAAAAAAAAAAAAAAGTAACTTCCTGGCTAGGCGCGGTGGCTCACACCTGTAATCCCAACAGTTTGGGAGGCCAAGGCAGGCAGATCACTTGAGTCCAGGAGTTCGAGACCAGCCTGGCCAACATGGTGAAACCCTGTCTCTGCTAAAAATACAACAATTAGCTAGGCATGGTGGCAGGCGCCTGTAATCCCAGCCACTCTGGAGACTGGGGCCAGAGAATCACTTGAACCTGGGAGGCAGAGGCTACAGTGAGCCGAGATCGCACCACCACAATCCAGCCTGGGCGACATTGGGAGACTCCATCTCAAAAAAAAAAAAAAAATCTTCCTTATGGTTAATTTATGTTCAAAGTCTATTTTTCTATTTTTTCTGTTACATGTGATCCAGAATATTAGTGATAAATTAAGAAAAAGCACCAACTTAAATGTGTTTTTGAATGTTTTATATTCTATAATTATCAATTTTCAACATTTATTTACTATTCCCCAAATAATTGTTACCAGGATAGTACTTTTATTAAATTCCTGATACGTTGTCAATATTGAAAAAACTCAACAACTTAAATGTACACGCACAGTTTGAAAAGCTGGAAAATAGTGAAAGAATATCCCCATACCCACCTTTCGTACCAGTCCCCAAACATCACGGTAAAGTTTACTGTCTCTTCCCAGCCCATGGACGGGAACGGGAACGCCTACGGAATATGTTGTGACATACAGTTGATCCTAGGTTCTCCAGAACAAAATGCTGCACGACCACCTCATCCTGGCCCTTTATTAAATATAGCTTAATTCTGGACACAAACAGTTCCCACCATGAAGAGAGAGTAGGTGACCGGAAAGGAGTGCGTCTTAAGCGCGTTCGCTGAATTTGCACCACCCAATCCAGCCCCGCCGCCCGGCGCCGCTCCTTAGACCTGGACCCCGGCACCCTCCCGCCGGGGCCGCACTTAGCAGTGGAAAGTCTGTCCTCCTGAAGAAGTTGCGCTCCGACCTCCAAGCATCAGGTCAAAAGTCTAACTCATTCTCTGACCTGCCGCCAATTAGAAAACAACTGTTGCCAATAAACGTGGTCGCGCCGCCTGTGACCTCAGCCGGGACGGACCCGCGGGCGGGAGCCTGCGGGGCGTGAGGCGGGGTGGGGCCCTGGCTCCCCTCCCCCGCCCAGCCGCGGCGTCTGACGTCCCGCGCGTCGGCGGCCGCGGAGCAGCGCAGGGAGCCAGGCGGGCTGCCGGCGGGTAAGGGCTTCTGCGACCCGGGGACCCGTGGGGCGTAGGCCGCGGAGGGAGAGCGCCGCTGCCTGGTCTGGAGAACCCCGCGGAGCTGGCCTGGCCCGACCCGGCCCGGCCCGGTCCGCGGCGCGGTGGTCGAGGGCCCGCGGCGCCTTCTGGGAGCGGGAGGGCCGGGAAGCCGGGCGTTGGTGGAGGGAGGCGTTGGGCTTCTGTCGCCGCGAAGCTGGCGGAAAAGGCAGTGGCCAGCGAGCCGCCTCGCCAGTTCCCACGACTCCCAGGGAGGTGGCGACACCCGCTTCCCGGGCCACCCTTTTCCCCTTCCTGACCGGGGTCCGTGCTTGCCTTCCCAGGTGGGGGAAGGTGGAACACTGTCCATCCCCTGGACAAAAACGCTGCGCCTCGGGGCCTTGAACCCGGTTTTGTTTGAAAGGAAGCAAGAGAAAATAAGTGTTTTTCCATTTAGGTGTGAAGAAAAAAATGACACTCCAATGGGCTGCAGTGGCAACCTTTCTTTATGCCGAAATAGGACTCATTTTAATCTTCTGCCTACCTTTTATTCCTCCTCAGAGGTAGGAAACCTTCAAATCGTTAACTAATAAATATTGGATCGCTCTTAATGTAAAATGGAAAAAGTTTTCTGAACATTAAAAAGTTTCGAAAGTCTTTGAAAATAAACTCACCTAACGAATTAGGTAGTATATAATGACAATATTAAAATAACATTTTATATAAAACTCTGTTACGTGTACAAGTGAAATAACTTTTTCTTCCCTTCTAAAAGAAAAGGCGCCTATACTTTTGATTCTGTTGATTACAGATATAATAAAGCAACGATTATACTTTTAACACCTGCCCTGCCTTGTCTCAGGTTTTACCTTTGTTTTATTGCCCTGAATTGGAGCCATGAACTAAATAAATATAAGTGGATAAATCATGTTTACAGTACAGCATGGGTGTAAAAGTGTTTCACTGAGGCACTGGAACAGCAATTTAGAAACCAAAGCCAATAAATTATTCTTAGTTTTCGCCTTTGTAACCGTTAGTTTCATTAATGACAATTTTACTACTTTTGATTTCACATAAAATTAATGAATGTATATTAAAAGTGCTGAATGTGAAAAGTATCACAACCATGTATTAGCATTAGTTCGTTAGTGACGGAACTTCTAAGGTCTTGAAGAACCAAGTACAGTGTTTCAAGCCAAGCAGTGGTTCATTTTACCCTTGCAGTAATCTACTTTTTAGTCGTTTAATTTTAGATCCAGAAATTTGATAGTATGAATGGGGAAATACACATGTAATAAAAATATTGCAAGATATTTGTTCATACTCCTGGCATAAAAGAAAGTATTTCATAAGTGAGATCCTAGAGATAACCCACTAAAGTGTATTAAAATCCCAGGACTGGGAGAAACTTCTTAAAGTTTCACCTTAGCTCAGGGTCCAGATAGTCTTTCACAACTCCTAACTTGCTCCTTACCTGCCTGGATTTCTGCTCTCTTCTGTCCTTCTCTATCAGCTAAGCTAAGCTCAGTAAGTTGTTTCTTACTAAAGAAAAAAAATTGAATCATACTGTAGGGTCTTTGATCTTATTTGATCCATTCCACCCATGTTCTATATATCACGTACTGAGACCCAGGAGGGCAAGTAGCCTACGGTTACCTAGCTGGTAAGTGACAGATTCTAGAAAAAAATCTGGCTCTTAGTCCAGTGTTCTTTCTACTCCATCATGCTGCCTCTCATCCTGTAGGTTTTGTTTCAAACTCAGTAACACCCTGTTTTGCTTTTTGGTAATATTTGCAATGATAGAATCCTATATACTCAAGAGAAAGAAAGATTTTGTATATAAACATCTAATTTATAGATAAGGCTTAAGGGTTTGCAAAGAAGGAAAAATTGTCAGTTGATCTTTACTCCATCAGAGTGATCTGTAACTTATGGATCAATATTTTTCTTCCTGCCAAATAAAAATTTTACCCATCCTGATCAAGTAGCTATTAGATAGATGTGTGTATATTTGCATATGATATATAAATGTGTTCTCATGTACAGATATAAAGAAAATACGGTATGTATGCACGCAGATCATTTACAATATGTCCTATGTGTGTATCCACATCTTTTTATCTTTTATATTTGTATCACCATAATCTTTAAAGAAAATATTTCATCATTTAGTCTCTATTATTTTCTTACATAACCCAGTGGTTAAAGGCACATGCTCAGAAATCAGGTCACCTATAACTGCATGTTACTAACCTTGGGCATGCTCTTGATCCTCTCTGATCTGTTTCCCCATCTGTAAAATGGAGGTAGTACTAGTGTCTACCCCTTACGGTAGTTGTTGTAATTAAATGAGATAAAACATGTAAAAGTACTTAGAACCATAATATAGTGAGAACACAATAGGTATTAGCTATGATAAGGTGCTCAACTGCTAGTTGTTCCCTATGAGAGATCTCTTACATTCCCTTTTACACCACACCAAACCTTGAAGAAATAAGTAAATTTACATTTGGACCTAGATCAAGGTATTACCACTTATGTTCTCTTAAAAATATAAAATTTTATATTGCATAATTTAAATATTGGCTGTATAAAATGCTTGGACTTGGAAGCAGAGACAAAATGAACCGATTCATCTGTATGAATCTCCCTCAACCCACCAATTTCAAGTAGTTACTTGAAGTTGTCCTAATCTTAAATCTTAAATGTGTCCTAATCTTAAAGTGAAACTGTTTTTTTCAAGTTGTAAGTGCTTGAAGCTATTTAAGTGCTTACTACATTTTTCTGCCTCCTTTCAACTAAAGTGTTACTCATTTAAATTGCCCTTGTACAAAGTTTGTTACCTTTCCTATTGCGTGATGGATTATTTTGCCACTTTGCCATTTATAACCCATGCTTTCTTACCACTGTCTTTGTTTATACTGTTCAATCCACCTAGACTATTTCCCCATCTCATTTCCTCTATGTTCACATCTTTATCTGTAGTAATTACATGGTTTTATATATATATATATAGTGTGTGTGTGAAAATTATCAAGCTACATATTTAAGATTTTTTCAATTTATGTGTATAATACCTGGGTAGTTTTTATAATTCCCTCATGGTTAAAGTAGAGAAACTTTTAGTTGGAGTATACGTTAAAATTGTACTATATAAAAATCAGTATGCAGAGTTAGACCCCACTCCTGAAATGTTGCCAATTGTTAGAACAATATATCTTTATTTCTAAGTCATTTCTCTGACCATGAAAAAGATACAGAGTAGTAGCTTCTATCAACAATATAATATTTTACTACTGCAAGAATTCCTTTTTAAGGTTTTGCTCATGTATGGTTTACTTTTAGAATATTTAAGCCACCAGACAGAGGATAATCAAATATCAGGTTATTATTAAATTTGAAAGAGTTGTTTTTTAATTCATGAGATATTCTGTCATGTCAGAATTAATAAATTTTAAAATTAAATTTCTGTAATTTTCACTTGCTACACAATTACTAAAATGTTACTTCAGTATTTAAAAAGTATTTCAAAACTTTATTTTAGTTTTTTTATACCTAATATAATTGTATTGCTTTACAGATGGCAGAAGATTTTTTCATTTAATGTCTGGGGTAAAATTGCAACTTTTTGGAACAAGGCTTTCCTTACCATTATCATCCTATTGATTGTTCTATTTCTAGGTAAGTACTAGATCCCTTCTTTGAATAAATATAACTTTTTTTAAATGAATTTCTTTTTAATTAATAGAGTTGATGTTACAATTGGTGTACAGTTGACTTTATATAGTATATTGATAGTACATAGAGTGGATACTGATCTATTGATACACAGTTGATAGATACTACCATTCTGTATGTTCAAGCTTAAGTTTCAACAGGGCACAATGATTCTTAACCCCTTCTAGGTTATTTTAAGATTTAAATGCTGTATATTAATGCATACCTTGCTGTTCAGAGTTACCAGACTTTATTTTTCATGGTGTTGTCTCTCCTTTGTTACTGTGATGTCCTAGGCACCCAGGAGCTTAGCTGTTAGAAAGGCAAATAAAAGAATAGAATCATTAGGCTCTCCAAAGGAGTCTTAGATGCAGGGTGTGCATTTGGACTGGATTAAAAAATAAACATGGCCGGGCGAGGTGGCTCAGGCCTGTAATCCTAGCACTTTGGGAGGCCAAGGCGGGAGGATTGCCTGAGTCCAGGAGTTTGAGACTAGCCTGGGCAACATAGCAAAACCTTATCTTTACAAAAATGTAAAAATTAGCCAGGTGTGGTGATGTGCACCCATAGTCCCAGCTACTCGGGAGGCTGAGAGACTGGAGGATTGCCTGAGCCCAGAAGTTCAAGTTTGCAGTGAACTATTGCACTCCAGCCTGAGCAACAGAGCAAGATCCTTCCTTAAAAAAACAAACAAACAAACAAAACTGCAACATAGATTTGGGGACTACCGCAAAAATTTGAATATGGAGTGATTGTATAATATTAGGGAATTTTTGTTAACTTTAGTTGTGATAACAGCATTGTTACATAGCAGGGTCAGCAACCTATATAGCCTGTGGGCCAAATACCTATTTTTGTAAATAAAGTTTTATTGGGAAATGACCATGCCCATTTGTTTACATAATGTCTGTACTCGTTTTTCAGCATGTTTTAAATTTTCATGGTAACAGTATTTTAAAAATTAAAAGTAGACCTTTAGGTTCTTGTCAAACCAGAAGTTCCATGAGTCTTAGTAATCACCATGTTTTTCCAGTTGTTACTGAGCTCAGAGAAATTGAGTGACTTGTCTAAGATTATCTAGCTACTTCTTGAAATGCCCCTTCTTGCACAGAGTATGTTTTCCCTCAGAATTCCCTCAGAGTTGTTGTGTTGTTGGTTAAATAGGATTTAGAGAGGCGAACTTGGGACCCTAACCGCCATCTTTGACACTGTTTTGTGAGAAAATGTCTTCCATGTTCCAAACCACCAATCTCTCAAATAGAATCCTCTTTATAAAACTAAGAACATCTGGTATGAGAAGGGATGGTATTGTCAAAAACAGAAAGGTGTGAATGATTTGTGCCTCTTTTCAAGATGTAAATATTTGTCTCATGGTACATTATTAATGTTATGGATTGAATCTCTAGCCATATAACTAGTTATGAGAAGTCAGTAAAGAACAATAAGGAAAACCGGTTCCAGTTCTGCCACCAGCTAACTAAAGGACCTTTGAAATGGCTTTTATTTCCTGGGTTTGATTTATTCATCTTGTGAAATAAAGGGAGAGATGGAAAGAATCTCTGCAGCTCCTGATTTTATGATCTTCTAACTCTAAAATTATCACAAAAATTTCTATTGAAAACTGTCACTTATCATGTAAGGGAGGGGAGTTGTAGTATAAGTTCTTTTGGTTACATTAGAAACAAACTTGGCCGGGCGCGGCGGCTCACCTCTGTAATCTCAGCACTTCGAAAGACCAAGGCAGGTGGATCAACCTAAGGTCAGGAATTCCAGACCAGCTTGGCCAACGTGGTGAAACCCTGTCTCTACCAAAAATACAAAAATTAGCCGGGCATGGGGGCGCGTGCCTGTAATCCCAGCTACTCAGGAAACTGAGGCAGGAGAATTGTTTGCACCCGAGAGGCAGAGGTTGCAGTGAGCCGAGATCGCGCCATTGCACTGCAGCCTGGGTGACAAGAGTGAAACTCCGTCTCAAAAAAAAAGAAACCAACTTGAACTCGCTTGACTAAAAAAGGAAAAATTTGTAATAAAATACGGGGCTGTTGCAGAGTAGCCCAAGAAAGGAAGGAAGCCAAATTCCAGGGAGGGATTAGTACTTGGAACTGAAATGTCCTTTTCTTGGCCATATACATTTTTCCTATATATACTTCATTCTTTTTTATTATGGACTCTGATATTCTGTCTATCTCCAAGGCAGTAAATGGGTACCACACAGCTGCCAGGTGTGGTACCCATTCCAGACGTATGCAAGGGTTAATTCATCATCTCTGAATCCCAATTCCACATCAAAGGAAAAAAAATTGGACCAGCTAGTACCAGTTATCTACTCCTCATCTCCTATAACCAGGAAGGTCACAAGGGAGAATCATGACTGCTGGCTGAAGCCTGCATCTTTGGGTAAACAGGGCAATTAATTCCCAGAGAACAAGGACATCATGGATAGTTAAGGCAACCAGATAGGTGCTTATCCTCTAGGTCTCCATCCAAAATGGAGTAATGACACCTACTTTCGTGTTTTAAGATTTAAACGCAGTAACATATGTAAAGTGCAGAGTCTGATGTTCGAGTCCACAACGATGTAAATAATGCAAAACCAGTGGATTACTCATGCTTAATTTATATTTTACTTGGAAATTTATTTCCTTTTTCTTGGTTATCTCTCTAAATAAGGTAACTTTTTTATACATTTTCTTTTTATATGTATTTATTCTTTTTTTTTTTTTTTTTGTGACGGGGTCTCACTCTGTCACCAAGGCTGAAATGCAGTGGTGCGATCTCAGCTCACTGCAACCTCCACTTTCCAGGCTCAAGTAATTCTCCAGCTGCAGCCTCCCAAGTAGCTGGGACTACAGGCGAGAGCCACCAACCCCTGGCTAATTTTTGTTTTTTTTAATAGAGACAGGGTTTTGTCATGTTTCCCAGGCTGGTCCCAAACTCCTGAGCTCAAAGCGATCCGCCCACTTCGGCTTCCCAAAGTGCTGGGATTACAGGCATGAGCCACTGCACCCAGCCAAAATAAGGTAGCTATTAAGAAGTGTTTGTATTCTTAGAGCCAACACTAACTGAGTGTGTGCATACAAGTGTGTGTGCATGTGTGTGTATTTTAGGTGCTGGTAAGAGACAGAATGGAAGTGGGAATTTCAAGAGTGTGTTTAGTGTTAGCAGAAATGCATCCCAGGAATTTGAAAGTTTCCATAACTGATCTAAAATTGGATCATCTTCAGGTGGTTTATAGAAAATTGACTATATGTCACATCCTTCCCTTATTGTTGACTCCATTCCATTTTTCAGACATAGTTACCTTTTTAGTATACAGGTGATGTATTCTACAGGTATGTTTACATGACCATTGACATTAATAAACCTTTTTAATATTATTGGTTAATCTTCAGCTTTTCTGCATAATGGATTCAGGAGTATTATTCCCATTTAATTACCAAGGAAGATGAATCACGAAGCATAATGATCCTTCATAGTACTCACTATTTGCCTATTTAAAATAAGTCGTAAATATATATTATCTTTGTTGGTTTTTTGGTAGTGGTTGGCATGCTCTTACTATATTATTGAGGCAATCTGAGAAATGACAAAGGGGAAATAGCCATTAAGATACAGGAAATTTTCTAAAGATCATTTAAGAGACTACTTTATATAACTATGCAAATAAATTGGAAAACCTAGATAAAATGTATAATTTTGTAGAAAAATATGATTTACCAAATGAACACCAGTAGATATAGAAAATTTAAGCAGACTAATTTATATAGAAAAATTATAGAAAGTTATCAAAAAGGACCCCTATTTGAAAAAAAAAGCAAAAAACCAGATAGTTTTATAAGAAACCCTACTGCTTTCAGAAAACAGATATTACTACTGCTTCTTAAACTGTTCTAGAATTTAAACTTCAAATTGTACAGAGCTAGAAAAAAGCAAGCTGTAGAATTGAAAATAAGTCAGAACAAATGAACTGAATAGTACATCAGATTGCAATATATAACACAGAGAAAAATAATTACTCTTGAACATAGTACTCTTAACTTTTTACCTCGCTGGTAGGGTACATTTTAAGAACCAAGAGGATTACAATGAAATCTGAAACTTTATAATAGTTTTATTGTTGGTAATTTAAAAGCTGTTTTATGTATAGTGCAGCATCAAGCAAATTAGTATGTTCATGGTATTAGAAACTAAGACTTTCAGGAATAGATATGGCATACAAATATAAAGTCAAAAATTAAGGATTTTTTAAGTTTTAGAGTGATTTATTTGGGTTTTATTTTGGAGTATGGAAATGTGGAACTAGATAGAGGTGGTAGTTGCACAGCATTGTGAATATACTAAGCATGACTGAATTGTTCACTTTAAAGTGTTTACTTTTATGTTATATGAATTTTGCCTCAATAAATTAAAACAATTTTGTTAAAGACATAGGAGTCTGGCTTTGTTCATAGCAAAACGGGTTGTATTAGACTATTTCTCCTGTGTTAAAAATTATGAACCCTCGATAAAATACGAAAAAAGGTATTTGAAGGCCTTGTAGAGCAACCAAAAGCAGGCAGAAACTAGAGGGACGTCAACCCTTAAAAGAAGGGAATCATACTGGGTGTGATCACATTTATATAGCCTTTCTTCCAACCGCTTTCCAGTCATGTGGCATAGACAACGATATAGAACTCAAAGCAAAAAGACAGTCTTAACTGACTTAAGGGGTCAGAGGTCAGATAGATTCAAAAATAAGAAGGATGTCTAAGAAAGGAGAGAACCCAAAAAGGGAACCCCAAAATCCACATGTAAACTCCCCTTAAATTCTTGGTTGACTCTTCAACCATGGATGTGTAGGAAAGATTCCAAGGAAATCAATGAAAAGGAACAGCCAGCAAAAAGCAGCAAGGCTGAGAAGAAATTTTGGCTGCTGGCCACCAAGGAGAGACAGAGTTTGGAGTATGAGCCTCATCACGTTAGAGGGGCTTGGTAAAGACCTTGAACCTTTCCACTAAAATCACAGAAGGGCTACTCCTTAGGAATAGAGACTATATCCCAGGAATTAGAAATTTACTATAACTAAGGCCTAAAGCAAAATAGACTTACCCTAAAAAAGTATAAAAATCAAGCCTCTCTAAACAGCTGTAAACTGTACATCAGCAGTCCCCACCCTTTTTGGCACCAGGGACCAGCTTCATGGAAGACAGTTTTTCCATATGCAGGAGCAGGGGATGGTTTCGGGATGATTCAAGCACATTAAATTTATATGCACTTCATTTCTATTATTATTACATTGTAATATATAATGAAATAATTATGCAACTCACCGTAATGTAGAATCACTGGGAGCCCTGAGCTTGTTTCCTACAACTGGACATTCTCATCTGGGGATGATGGGAGATGGTGGCAGATCATCAGGCATTAGATTCTCATAAGAAGCATGCAACCTAGATCCCTTGCACGCGCAGTTCACAAAAGGGCTTCCACTCCTATGAGAATCTAATGCCACCACTGATCTGATAGCTTGGGCAGTAATGTGAGCGATAAGGAGTGGCTGTAAATACAGATGAAGCTTTGCTCACTGGCCTGCCAATCACCTCCTGCTGTGCAGCCCAATTCCTGACAGGCCGTGGAGCAGTACAGGTGCATGGCTCCAGGTGTTGGGGACCCCTGCTGTACATAATCTTTGCAAGGGCACATGAATATACTAAACTCTCTTCACCAAGATACACTATATTCTGGGCCATAAAACAAGTCTCAATAAATACAAAGGATTGAAGTCCTACCAAGGATTGGAATCATATAGAGTATGGGGGTTTTGTTTTTGTTGTTTTATAGAGACAGACTTTCGCTTTGTTGCCCAGGCTGGTCTCAAACTCCTGGCCTCAAGTGATCCTTCCTGTTCCCAAAATGCTGGGATTACAGATGAGAGCTACTGTGCCCAGCCCCTACAGAGTATGAAAATAGAAATCAGTAACAGAAATCTGGAAAACCTATACATGTTTGAAAATTAAACAAGACTTGTTAGTAATCCTTGGGTCAAAGAACTCACAAAGGAAATTAGAAAATATTTTAACTGAACAATAATGAAAATACAATATATTAAAATTTTAAGATGCCATTAAAGCACTGCTTAAAGGAAAAATTATAGATTTGAATATTTATTTTTAAAAAAGATTTAAAATCGGTGATTTTAGTTTCCACCTTAATAATATCTACCCATTATATTGAATATTGACAGTGAAAAAAATAATATTCACTCAGTTGTTTTTTAAAGATTTAGAAGGAAGATTTCTCATTCTGATGAAGAGCTACAAAAAACCTCAAGCTAGCATCATACTTAAATATCAAAGTCTTCCCCCATAAGATTGGAAACAAGGCAAGGATATTTACACTCTGTTTATTCATTTGAGTAATAGATGTCCTAGCCAGGGTAATAATAAGTCATGAAAGAAATGAAAGGCTTAAAGATTGCAAAGAAAGAAGTAAAATATCCTTATTTGCAGATGACACGATTATTTATATAGAAAATCCTGGCCTGGCACAGTGGCTCACTCCTGTAATCCCACCACTTTAGGAGGCTGAGTTGGGCAGATTGCTCAAGCTCAGGAGTTGCAGACCATCCTGGGCAACATGGCTAAACCCCGTCTCTACCAGAAAGTACAAAAATTAGCCAGGCATGGTGGCTCATGCTTGTAGTCCCAGCTACTCAAAAGGCTGAGGTGGGAGAGTTGCTTGAGCCCAAGAGGTCAAGGCTGCAGTGAGACGTGATCACATCACTGCACTCCAGCCTGGGTGACAAAGCGAGACCCTGTCTCAGAAAAAAAAAAAAAAAAGAAAGAAAGAAAGAAAGAAATAATCCTAAAGTATCTACAAGAAAGTTATTATGTCAAAGAAATTAATATAGTGGGGTCACAAAATACAGGTGGGTCAGTATACAAAAATTCAGTGTATCAGTAATTGTATTTCTATACTATAAGCAGTAAACAATAGGCAAATGACATTTTTAAAAATTCCTTTTCTAAGTACACCAAGAAGCCTAAAAACCTTAGAAATAAACTTTATAAAAGAGGCACAACAGCTCTATACAGAAAACTACAAAAACATTGCTGAAAGAAAATCAAAATAAATGGGGATTTTTCATCAGTTGGAATACTCAATATTATTAAAATGTTTGTTCTTCCAAAATTCTACGGACATAACACAGTCCCTGTCAGAAACCCAACAGGCATTTTTGTAGCAGTTGATCAGTTGCTTCTAAAATTTATGCAGACATGCAAAGAACTCATAAAACAGTCAAAAAATCTTTACAAATAACAAAATTGGGAGACTCACACTACCAGATTTCAACAGTAAAGGGGAAAATAAAAACAGGTTAGTGGGCTTTATCTAATCAGCTGAAAGCCTTAATAGAACAAAGATTGACCTCCTCTGAGCAAAAAGGAATTTTGACCGCAGGTTGCCTTTGGACTCAAGATGTATTTCTTCCCTGGATCTCCAGACTGCCAGTCTACCCTCCAGATTTTAAACTTAACAAGCCTCTACGAGCATATGAGCCAGTTCCTTAAAATAAATCTCGAGCTCTCTCTCTCTCTTTCTCTCTCTGTCTGCCCCCTGTACCACTTTTCCCCATACACACATACACACACACACACACCCTATTGGTTCTTTTTCCCTGGAGAACCCTTACATCTTAACTAAGTAATCAAATTTAGCATCAAAAAGTATGAGACAAACTAACATTACACAGCATAAACTATGAGGGATTCTTGCCAAAAGTATTAAACCTTATCCAATCAAGTATTTGTTTTATTTTATTTTTACTTTCTGAGGCCTGGCAGAACCAATCAAGTCTGACTTCTGGTTTTCTAAAAATACAGGAGTTAGAGAAAGAAATTGGACTACACTCAGACAAATTCAGAATGTGAGAACTTTCTTTGTGCTTATTTTTTTTTTAATATTTAAAAAAAGAGACAGGGTCTTGCCATTTTGCGCATGCTGGTCTCCATCTCCTGGCCTCATGCTATCCTTCTGCCTCTGCCTCCCAAAGTGCTGGGATTACAGGTGTTAGCCACCACACCCAGCCAGAATGTGAGAACTTTCTAGAAAACAATTGGCCTGGCACCTTTTTAAAAAAGTATTATATGTCAAGAGACTACAGAAACATAACTATATGTAATGAGTATCCATTATAAAATTCTCAGTTTGAAAAAAATTCTATGAAAGACATTTGGGAGACAAATAAAGCAAATAACCCAATTTAAAAATGGGTAAAGGATCTGAATAGATATTTTTCCAAAGATGATATACAAATGATCAACAAGCACATGAAAAGATGTTCAACAGCATTAGCTATCAGAGAAATGCAAATAAAAACCACAAAGAAATGCCACTTTACACCCACTAGGATGACTATAATCAAAAATATAATAACAAGTGTTGCTGAGGATATGGAGAAATTGGAACCAACATACACTGCTTGTGGGAATGTAAAGTAGTACAGCTGCTTTGGAATACAGTTTGGCAGTTCCTCAAAAATTAAACATAGAGTTACCATATGGCCCAGCAGTTCATCTCTTAGGTATGTACCAAGAGAAATGAAAGCACATGTCGATATAAAACTTGCACATGAATGTTCGTAGCAGCGTTATTCATAATAGCCGGAAGGTGGAAACAGCTCAATGCCATCAACCAATGAATAGATAAACCAAATGTTACCACATTCATACAATGGAATATTATTCAGCCATAAAAGTAATGAAGTACTGACACATACTACAGTGCAGACGAACTTTGAAAGCATTATGCTAAGTGAAGGAAGCCAGACACAAAAGAGCAGATAGTATATGATTCAGTTTATATGAAATGTCTAGAACAGGTAGTTCTGTAGAGACAGAAAGCAGATTGCTGGTCACCAGGAGCTGAGGGATGTGTATAGATTTTCTTTGTGGGGTGACCAAAATGTTCTGAAATTAGATAGTGGTAATGGTTATACAACTTTGTGAATATACTAAAAACTACTGAATTATACATTTTAAAGAGGTAAATTTTTATGGTATGTGAATTACATCTCAATAAAGCTGCTAAAAATAAAATAGTAGTCAAAAAGGCCCCAGTTTTCTAACTGGAGTCTCCTTGTGTGGCAATAACTCTTACCCAAGACTTCTGTTGGTCGCATGAAAGGGGAGCATTCAAACTTGTTCATATACTTCCACTGGCTTTTGAGACCTTATAAGGCAGATGCCTTCCCTAGTACATACAAGAATCCAGGAACTAAGAATGCACTCAATGTAGACCCTTATAAGCTGATATCTATTTTCCACTGGAAAGAAGTGGTTCCCCTGCATCTGAGACTTCCCAGAACTGAAAGCATCAAAGGAGCAGCTATCTGAACCTTTCCAGTAGCAGCTGCTATGCACTAGTCGGAGGAGTGTATGCCACCACAGATCAAATCCCATGTTAACAAACTTATGCCAGTGGAAATTTCAGTATAACCAAATATTTTGAAAATCTCAATCATTTAAAGTAATAATATGTAATAAAATGCTAGTGTAGTAAGAGAAATGGGATAGTCTCTTGGAATTGATTGTAATGGGATATGACATCTGTCATTGTCAATAGGCTGAATTTTAGTCATCTTAGAGACAGAAAATGTAAAGGATAATAGTTTGCAGTGTAGTTAGAGATGAGAAACAATAAAATGATGGTAAGTACTAGATGAATAATTTTAAAAATGCTATAGTAATTCAAAATTTGCTACTAGTGTCCATTTATAGAGCACCTACTTTGAGCATGAAAAGTTCCCGGGTACTGTAGACGGAATGACATAAAGGTCGCCTCTGCCTAAAGTCCATTATTTAAAAGTTTGGTCAGTTTTTCTAAAACTGCTTTCCATTTTTAACAAGCTTATATTCGTAAAAGCCAAAAGTACTGTTTTCTTTTGTTCTGTAATAGATGCTGTGAGAGAAGTAAGGAAATATTCCTCAGTTCATACCATTGAGAAGAGCTCCACCAGCAGACCTGATGCCTATGAACACACACAGATGAAACTTTTTAGGTCTCAAAGAAATCTTTACATTTCTGGATTTTCCCTATTTTTTTGGCTGTAAGTAAAAAATAATAATAGAAGCACAATTTAAAAACATGACTTATGCTTTCCTTTCTCATTTTGTCCACCTTTACTGTAGATTTTTTTTTTTTTTAAGAGAGACAACCTTTCGCTCTGTTGCCCAGGCTGCAGTGCAGTGGTGCCTTCATAGCTCACTGTAACTTCAAACTCCTGGGTTCAAGTGATCCTGCCTCTTCAACCTCTCATTTCTAGGACTACAGGCGGCACACCACCATGTAGGGCTAATTTTTAAATTTTTTGTAGAGATGGGGTCTCACTGTGTTGCCCAGACTGGTCTCAAACTCCTGGCCTCAAGTGATCCTCCCACCTCAGCCTCCCAAAGTACGGAGATTACAGTCACTGTACCCAGCCTACTGTAGTTTTGTTTGTTTGTTTGTTTGTTTGTTTTTTAAGATGGAGTCTCGCTTTGTCGCCCAGACTGGAGTGCAGTGGCGCGATCTCGGCTCACTGCAAGCTCCACCTCCTGGGTTCACACCATTCTCCTGCCTCAGCCTCCTGAGTAGCTGGGAGTACAGGCGCCTGCCACTGTGCCCTGCTAATTTTTTTGTATTTTCAGTAGAGACAGGGTTTCACTGGGTTAGCCAGGATGGTCTCGATCTCCTGACCTCATGATCCTCCCGCCTCGGCCTCCCAAAGTGCTGGGATTACAGATGTGAGCCAACGCGCCCGGCCTGTAGATTTTTTTATAACATCTTTGTAAAAGAATTCAGATGATATACCCAAATAACAAACAGTAGTTAACAGCTTGTAGGTTTGCCCAGTCCATAAGGCCCTGAATGATTAGGCTCCTGCCTCTCTTTGGAGCCTTGTCTCATACGTGTCTCTGAGATGTACAATACATTCCACCCTTACAGACCTTCACCATTTATTCATTCATTCCATCTTGCAACAGATATTGATTGAGTTCTGTGGTGTACCTAACTCTTTCCCATTTTAGGGTCTTTACACAAGCTCTTCCTTTTGCCAGAACACTCTTTTCTTTCCTCATTTCCTGGCTAACTCTTACTCATCCATTAGCCTCTTTCTCAAAGCCTTCTGTGGCCATCACTACCCACAAAGTAGGTAGGTCTTCTCTTACAGGTGCTCAAAGAATGTATATATACTTCATTTTCTAGTGTCATTCATGGTTGTAATTAAATACTGTTTTAACTTTTGCTTCCACAACTAGGAGCTAAACCCCTGAGGGCATGGACTTTGCTGTTTTCCGCTGTGTCTGCAGTGCCTGGCAGAGTGTCTTAACACTTAGCAGTTCCTGAGTAAAGGAATGTCTGCTGAATGAATAATTGAAGATAGTCATCACTATTTCTTCTAACAATGGCAGTTACACATAAACGGATGTGAATGAGCTGTTCTTCGGCTTGTTTGACCTTACACAATGTTCCTTAAATAGCAGAATTTGAACTGGGCCAAAAAAAATAATTCTCCTACTGGCCCTGTCACACTGTCTGAAATTTTCCTGTTTCTATTCCTCCAAGCTAAAGCCTTCTACAGGAAAACAAATAAGTACCACTGAACCTGTATTCTAAATGCTGGTCTTCTAACAAAGATTCCAAAGGAATGAGACACGGGCCTGTTTTTACTAAGAGACTTGAATTAAAAAAAGAATAATGGGTTCTGCCTAAACATTATCTGCCACCACCACACCTATATCTAATGGGGAGTAATTTGGCAATGACTGTTTTAAAATAAGTTTCTGGTGATTGGCCAGTAATACATTATTCTGGTTTTTTTTCTTAGAGTTTTGAGACGTCTGGTTACGCTTATTACTCAACTGGCAAAAGAACTGTCAAACAAAGGTGTACTTAAAACTCAAGCAGAAAATACTAACAAGGCTGCCAAAAAATTTATGGAAGAAAACGAAAAACTAAAAAGGGTATTTAATTTTCTTTGTAAAAATTAAATGTTGTTGGTGTTCCCGAGGAGTAATGTATTTGTTTTCAGCATCAAAAAGAGCATTTTTATATTTTATAAGCAGAAAATGACCATAATTAACAATATTTTATGTAATGATTATTTCAAGAATAGTTTTACTGTTCTTTAGAAATGCTTGTTCACACTAATATTTTTACTATTATTTAGATTTGCTTTTTCTCCATAGTGGATTTATACCATTGGACCTATTTTCTGTGATTTAAGGAGAAAATAGTATTCTGGGAATATGAATTTTAATTCCTTCATTACCGTTAAGTTTACTTTATAATCTAAAGCAAGTCTTTATAACTGTTTCTATTTCTTTTTCAGTTAAAGTATTTTTAAGCCTAGATTTTCGTTTTCTTTTAAATGATTGGTTTATAGAAAGCAGAGAAACGTCATTGATGCTAGATTGATAATTGCACATAATATTTGAAATCTTTAATGTTATTCCTTTATTTTCTATCTTTTGATCTCATTTCACAGTGGCAAAAATAAAAACACAGTCATTAAAGCTTTGATTGATAGTGTTAACTAAACTCAAAAGCACGCAGCCTTGTATTTATAGAACAACTGATCATGTACATATCTTAATTTAAAATTATACACATCATTTTGGAGTAATGATTTGTAACCATCAGAACACTGCTTTTTTTCCTCTTCAATTGTTTTTCTCTTATTCTTTAGCTCTAAGAAAATGGAAAGTGTTATTTTTTTCATACATACCATACTTAATACACTTAAATTAGTCTTGCCCTTTTAAAAAAAGCACCTTCCTCAAAATACTTTTGCAACTTTTCTCTTGGAATTGTTTTCAGAACCATTTACCCATGCAAGGAAACTTATGTCATGATTACCAATTCCTTGACCCTGCGTGATTTATTCTTTCTGTTTGTTTGTTTTCCTCTCCTTTGTTTCCATACTGTCCTGATTTGCTGCTTCCTGCATAGCTGTGACCCAATCAGAGGAGGCACAGATATGCTGGGCTAAAGCCAGTACACAGTGGGGAGAAAGTCTTTGAGCAGCACATAAAAGCAGCTGTCAGTGCCCAGAGTATAACTAATTGACCAATAAAGTGACCAACAAAGGCCATAAGTGAGAATATAAAAGATGACGTCTGTTTCAAGGTACTTCATGTAGGTTTTGAAAAATAAGCTAAGGAAAGATAAGCTTGTGAAAACACCCCCTTTGTTTTGTCCTTCCTTCCTTTCTTTCCTTTCCTCTCCTTCCCTCCCTTCCTCCCCAGACTGATCTCAAACTTTTGGCCTCAAGCAGTCTTCCCACCTTGGCCTCCAGAAGTGCTGGGATTATAGGCAAGAGTTACCGCGCCCAGCCATACCTCTTCATTCTCTATCAGAGACACATTATCCAGTGGAAACTGCATTACCCTGAGATCCGAGAGACTTAGGTGCTAGTTCCAACATGTGACCTAGCACAAATCACCTATGTTAATGGGCCTCAAAGTTCCTTAGCTATAAATAATAGTTAACATTGTGCCAGGTATTGCTTCATATGCTTCACAACAAGGTTTTTAACTGTTAATTTTCACAAAAGTCCCTTGAGTTTGGTATTGTTATTATCTGCATTTTATAGATGAGGAAATGGAGGCATAGAAAGGTTAAGTGACTTGTACAAGATCATTCAACTAATATGTGACAGAACTAAAATTTGAACCTAAGCAGCCTGACTCTAGAATCCACATTCATAACCACATTATTTTGTGCCCTCAACTCCTATGTTATCTGATAGAACAATTTCCACGTGGTACCTATGACCACTTTCTGTTCTGATATTCAGTTAAAGAAATGAAATAATTATGAAAGACCAATTAACTTTTAATTTTACTTCTTCAGTGTGATAGAGCTTTACTTTGTCCTGATTTTTTTTTCCAGCCACGTAACTTAACCAAGGTGGGATAATTTGGATTAGACAGTGAACGCTTGCATTGTTGTAGCTGGTAATCATTAAATTTCAGATTTCAGTGTTCTTGGTCTTTCTCCAGCGTCAAGTTACACATCATAAATTTAGGCAAGTTTACAGGTGCAGTAGTGAAAGCTTATTTACAAGACTAACACAAATCCACCTTTTCCAAGTCAATGGCATGAAAATTCAAGCAGTCAGCGAAAACGTTCCTGCAACTCAATGATTCTCTTCTAATTTGGGTAATCACTGGAGATTTTATGAACTGAATTCAGTGAAGTAATAGCTGGAGTTGTTTTCAACTTGAAGTAGGCAACACATTAAAAGAGATTTGGAGAAATTTTTTTCTTGTGCTGCTCTTTACAAAAAAGAAAAACTTTTAATTTGAGAAGATATGAGGCTCCTTTAGTTTCAGAATGTATTTCAATCCTCCCTTCTCCAAAAAACAGTCCTTGGGATTATATAATATATGCATTAGAGCTTTAATTCCTTCTCTGAGCTGCCTAATCTCTATATAGCACAGTAGTACTGTATTTGGTCTTGTGCTACAGTTTTTATGCTCGTTTCGTCCTTTCTACTAGATTGAAGTTATTCAAAAGTAGAGACCATGTTTCTCTTATATTTTTATCTCTTACAGCACCTTACATTGTAAAAATATTTGCATGTAGTCATTGCTCAGTAGAACTTTGTATTTTGATGAATATATTGGCTTACATTAGAAAATGAATCACCCTGCAGTGAAATTCCTCTTATGTTAGTCTGTTTAAAATTCTCCTGTGTTCCTTTTTTACCTGACTATAGAACCTGTCAGTATCAAGTTGCTGCCACTGGCCAGGTGCAGTGGCTGATGCCTGTCATCTTAGCACTTTGGGAGGCTGAGGTGAGAAGATTGCTTGAGGCCAGGAATTTAAGACCAGCCTGGGCAATACAGTATACACACACACACACACACACACACACACACACACACACGCACGCACATATATGTGCACACGTGTATATATAAATTTATATATCTATAAATTTATATATATTTATAGATCTACAAATTTATATATATAAATTTATATTAAAAATTTGTATATATATAAAATATATTTATAAATATATAAATATATTAAAAATTTATATGTATATAAATATATATTTATAAATATATAAATATATTAAAAATTTATATGTATATAAATATATATTTATAAATATATAAATATATTAAAATTTATATGTATATAAATACATATTTATAAATATATATATACATAATTATATATATTTATATATAAATATATATAATTTTTATATATATATTTATATATAATTTTTATATATAAATTATATATAAATTTTATATATATATATATAAATATATATATGCACACATATATATATATATAATTTTTTGTAAAATTAGCCTGCCATGGTGGCACACGCCTATAGTCTCAGCTACTCAAGAGGCTGAGATGGGAGGATCACTTAAGCCCAGGAGGTCAGGGCTGAAGAGACTATGGGTTGCACCACTGTACTCCAGCCTGGGTGACAGAGTGAGACCCTGTTTCTTAAAAAAAAAAAAAGAAAAAAAAGTAGCTGCCTGCCTCTTTATTTAATCTATTGACCCACAACAGTATACATATTATGTTTTTCAAACATTTACTTTGTCTTTCTAGGTAATTTAAATGCTTTATCATTTCTTTAAGTCAGCTTCTTAGTTCTGATGATAATTATAGTTTCTGTACACAATACAGATGATTAAATTTTTACTCCATGATAATTTTATTTTGATCAGTTGTTTTACTATATGGATCTTAATTTTTCTTACCTAGAAAAGATAAGCTACAAACACTAACATTTTTAAAGCCAGAATCAATTTTAAAATATAAAGAGCATTATAAAGGATTAATGGAATAACAGTAATTTGGAAACTATTCAATGAAAATTAGAACTTTCCAGCTGTAGAAATGGTCCTGTCATTTCCCACTTACCCATCTCCACTCTGACATATTCTTCTCTTACAAATTTGTCTGTATAAAAATAGGCTGAGTAGATAGCTCTACAATCAGAACATAATGGTTTTCTAATTAATATCATCCTCAGAACTGTTTTTTTCCCTTAGATTTACATTTCTCATTAATTGAGGAAGAAAGACTGACGTTATTTACCTAAATACTTTTGAGAATATTATTTTAATCACAGCAACTAGAAATTCTTATGTTCATTTTACAGATTTTGCCATAATAGGAAATCTTTTTTGTGTGTTTCCCAAATATTAAGTTTCTGTTAGCAAAAGTACATTGTAGAAAACTATAAAATTCTGAAAAGGACAAAGAATAAATTATAAACAGGTAAGTTTAGATAGGTTACTCAGCTTATTTTCTGTAAGAATGTCTGGCTATTGCAATCTAAGCTTATTTCTTCCTGTATCTCCTTTTGCAATAGATTTTGAAAAGCCATGGTAAAGATGAAGAATGTGTTTTGGAAGCAGAAAATAAAAAACTAGTAGAAGACCAGGAGAAACTGAAAACTGAATTAAGGAAGACTTCAGATGGTAACTTTGTGTACATGTGAAAAAGTAAAAAGACTAGCATGATATTTTATGCTGTACACTTCACTGTTTTTCCTAAAACAAAACTAATGCCTAAATGTTCTTCTAAGATACCGAGAATGACCTATTTATAAATTCTTGTTCAAATATGAAGATAAAACATTATGTCAGCCAAGAGAAACATGCTCTGTTATACAGAAAAACATGTAGGTGTTTCAGATCTGTGTTGTAAATACAGATGTTCTTGCCTTAGCAAAAGAGCTGTGTTCCTAAAAAGTTGTTTATAAATGTGTTTTTATAAAAAGAATCACATTTTTCCATCATCGTATATTCCTCCTCTCAGAGAAGCAATTGTAGGGGAACAGTTTTCTTACAAGAAAATATATTGTTTATTTCAAGCACTAATATATTCTACCTGTTAGACATAAGGAAAGCGTTCCTTGAAAGAGGTGGGTAGGCACAGAGTAGGCAACAATATCTGGGATGTCAGCTAAGAATTTGAGTGCCTCCTTCCCACATAACATTGCAGTGTAGGCTTGAAGTGGAGCATCCCAACTCCATTTTCCTGAAGGCAGCAATTTCTTCTACATTAAAAAAAAAAGTTTTGCTAGTGTTTTTTTCTTAGTCAAAGAACAAATTATTTTTGTTGCATCTGCACAGCACAGAAAAGTAGATAACCCAAATTCAGTGTCATCCAAGAAAACTCAGTGTAAGTTTGTGGCTTGATGATTTGCAACATTTCTGCATACAACAGATAGTTTTTTATGTTGGCCAGACACTGAGAAACCTCACTTTCAGTTGGTGTTAAGGTACGTTGTTTGGATAGGGTTTACTTCAATCAGGGTGTATTTGAATTTGAGATGAAAAACATAAAAATAAAAGCTAATTCTGTGAATAGAACAGAAATCCACTGGAGAATATTTATGTGATACAAAATTCTTTAGTCACGTTCCTCCTTATTATTTCAAGTGAAAAAAAGAAGACAGTTCAGAAGCAATAAGTTAAAAAATAAATTACCCTTATAGACAAAGTGGTATATTATGTAGTTGGCATAGTATAGCCCAAAATTCAAGAATCTTCTAGTTGGTACTGTTGCCTTTTCTGTAATTCCAAAAGATTTCGAACATGATCAAGAAATGTTATTGTTTATATGAAAATGAATTTAATAGTTACCTACCGTTTACAACAGACATTTCAGAAGAGAAACTAGTGTTCTTTTTTAACCCTGCATAAAATATTGCTACCAATTCTTTTGAAGAATGAAACCATCTATTTCCAAAACACAAAAATATTCTTTCAAAATCCTGCTTTCTTTTTTCTGTATCCACCAAGAATCTCTTTTCTTATGTTGTAAGCAGGGTGGCACAAAAATAAAAGATAGACAAGAGTGTATGTGTGCTACACTTCTCTTAACCCTGCACAATTGAGTTTCTCCTTTCACCTTTCAAAAATTCCAGCTCTGAGATATTTTGAGTTTTAACTCTTTAAATCTGGCATAAAACTTAACTTAGTATTACATGAGCATTTCTTTAAAAGACAAAATCAGATTTTAGAAAAAATGAACTCTTTGACAATGTAAGCATTGTGTTTACAATCTGATAACAACTGATACCAGCTTCTGTGTTTGAAGTATAGACTGCAGAGCTACTTTCAAAGTGAATTAGTGTTCAGGTAAAGGCAGATTTTACCTGTTCGAGTGTGTCCTGTTTGGTTCCAGCAAGACATATAATATTTTATGAACATGTTTTATTTACCCTAAGTTTTTTTAAAAAATAACATTTGTAATGACCTTGAGAAGATCAGAGTTCCGTTTCTAAAGAAGGTGTTTCCTTGGTCATGTTCTGTTGACCTAAACCAGTTAAATTCAGTAAGGTAAGAACTAAGAAAATATATCAATTAATAGTGCATGATTTGGATGAATTCAGTGGTACAATGCTTTGTGCACAGTACCACTCAAAAATGTTCATTGATTTCTAAATATTGAGGGTGTTAAGGTGACAAGGCTTAAGAAAGATTTAGAAAGAGATCTTACATTTGAAAATTGAGTTAAAAAAAAGCAATTTTTTTTTTTAGAGGAAAATAGGGTGTTTTCCATATGAATTTTCTTATCCTTTGTGTTACTTAAATCTAAGTGAAACATTTTCTCCCAAGTGTATTATTGGAAACAAAACGTAAATACAAATGTTTATTTAAGCTAGTTAGCCCCAAATTTAAAAAGTGGCATTCTGAAGGCAGCTACTGAGAACACTCTATCAGTAGTGGCAAACACCTTCAGTTTTTAACCTCCAACTCCTATTTTGACCAAAGTTTGTAAACTATTACCGGTGCTTCCGTGCAGTAATATCACCCTAGCACAGACATTGCATTTAGTGGAAAAACCTTCTGATGTCCAAAGAGATTGATTTTAAAGGTCTCTTCCAGGAAAACTACTTATTTTCATAAATGAATACCTTCTTTTATTCTTTTTTTTTTTTTTTTTTTTTTTTGAGATGAAGTCTCACTCTGTCGCCCAGGCTGGAGTGCAGTGGTGGGATCTGGCTCACTGCAAGCTCTGCCTCCCGGGTTCACGCCATTCTCCAGCCTCAGCCTCCCAAGTAGCTGGGACTACAGGCGCCTGCCGCCACGCCTGGCTAATTTTTTTGTATTTTTAGTAGAGATGGGGTTTCCCCATGTTAGCCAGGATGGTCTCAATCTCCTGACCTTGTGATCTGCCCGCGTCGGCCTCCCAAAGTGCTGGGATTACAGGTGTGAGCTACTGCGCCCGGTCTCCTTTATTCTTATAACTAGAAATATGTAGCATTCAGTCATTGTATGCATCCAAGCAATGATAAAAGTAAATATCGTTTAAAAAGTGATTGAGCTGCATGTGGAAATGTCTGTTCTTCATTCTTTTAGGAGCAGGAATACATATAGATATAAAAAACATCCCATATTTTAAAAGGAATTCTTAGGGCTTGCCAATCTTGTAGTAAAGGTTGAATTAGCAGTATATGTCTTCTACATAAAGGAAAAGAGAAAACAGTAATTGGGGGAAATTTCTTGACCATGCCTTTCTTCTGTTTGTTCCTGCTTTCCTTTGTTCCTTCTTTGTTTCATCAGCAATTTTTTTTTTTTTTTTTTTTTGAGACAGAGTCTCACTGTCACCCAGGTGGGAGTGCAGTGGTGCAGTCTTGGCTTACTGCAACCTCGAACTCCTGGACTCAGGAGATCCTCCCGCCTCAGCCTCCTGAGTAGCTGGGACTACATGTGTGCACCACCATGCCCGCCTAATTTTTTTGATTTTTTGTAAAGACAGGGTCTCGCTTTGCTACTTAGTCTGGTCTTGAACTTCTGGCTTCAAGCCCTTCCTCCTCAGCCTCCAAAAACGCTGGGATTACAGGCATGAACTGCTGTGCCTGGGCCTCAGCAATTTTTAAAAGAACTTTTCAAGTAATTCAGTCGTTGTAAAGTCATTTAATGTGGAGCATAATTAACACTTTCCTTAAAAAGTGTGCCTCTTGAGGATAAAGCAAACTTTAAATAAATTTCTTAAAGCATATACTAACAATCAGAAACTGAGTGTAAAGACCTATTATGGGTACCTAAGTATTAGCAGCACGCAATAGAGATACTAGATTTGGACCAGGAAACAGAACCCTTAGTCCCCTACTTAAAATAATGATAATTCAACTCTCTTCCTGGATAAATGCTTTCATATCACCTTGACTTACGTTGAACAAAACTAAAATTACCTTTTGCAGACCAACTTTGATACCCTTGAAGATGTTAAGTTTTTTTTACTTTTTATTGCCAGTTAACATAGGGACCAGATAGTGAAAAATAGCTGAAGTGTTTTTCCAGAGAAATTGGAGATCAAGACAAGATAGAAAATTACAGGGGAATTGCTGATCTGTATACCCAAAACCCTAAATTCCTGCCTCTTCAGTGTTAAGAATAAGACATAAGCTTTGTATACAAGTTTAAAACCATATGATTTCCAGTTTCTTACAAATGAACCATATATTCATCTAAAAATAAATTCTAAGTTTACCCTAAGCATGTTTTACAGTTGTAAATTTTTGTGGACGTGAACTTAGTTATCTTTTACTTACAGTTATATCAAAGCCCCCAGCTTATTTTAAAATTATTAATGCTTAAAAACAGTTTGCTGTTTTTAGTCATTTTGTTGTTGTTGTTGTTGTTGTTTTTTTTTTTTTGCTTTGTTGCCTTTTAATGCACTTTTGTGATTTAAATAAGAAAAAAACATATTATTTGTTTTCATGTCTGGAAGTTTCTGTTTCTTTGACACCTTTGTCCCTTCTTGTATCAACTGAAAAAAAAAACTGCATTAAGAAAGAATAATATAGTTTATTTGATGGTTGTGCCAGTAGGCAATATATAATTAATAGTATTTTAATTATTTAAAGTAAATAAAACTCATGACCAATCCTTTTAGTTAGGTAAATAAAGGATTTATTAGTATTTATTAGTTCATCTCTGTGTTATCTTCACATATTGATGTTATTGTCAAAACAGAAAAAAGGGTTTGCTTGCTATCAGAGTACTTTTCTTGGACTAATATATAATGATGATATTGCATCCTGTTTGGTTCCCTGTTACATTCCCATTTAGTTGTGATGTTTCCCTTTCTTGTGAGCTTCTTATCTGTTATCAAGGCCTATACTCATAAACTATGTGTCTTTCAGTAACCAGGAGGAATAGCTATAGGGAAGATATTAAGACAGAAATTCAAAGATACCTTATATATTATTCACAGTACTAGCAAACATAACGATATCTACCCTGAGGAGAAGCTTTTATAATCTCCACAGAGGGACATTAAAGCAAGAGAAAACAGTTTGTTCTCAGAAGAGCTTGTAGTCCAGATGGTAAACCAAACATATGTCCATAAAGGGATTCATTTCCTCCCCAGTGTGAAACATGGGCTAGTCTACCAAAAACATGAGTGGAGAGTGCTAAATGCATACTGAATCAAGGAATGTTCCAGGTGTTAAAGATGTAATCAAGCACAATTCTCTAAATGTGTTGATGGACATAGAATGGCAGAAAAATGAGTGAAATGATACTACTGTTCTGAGTGAGAAGAGCAAAGCAAAAAGCAGAGTGGTCTGTTTGAAGTCGATGTGTCACACTAGGTGCAGTGAATGATTGTGCTGTATGGTTGAGGGGTCCATTGATGTAGCCCCTAAAAGATCGAAGGAGATAATTACTTTGAATGCCTTGGTGTTCTTTTCTACTGTCTTATTCCATACCTAGATATGCATGTTTACTACAATCCTTCATGGTAAATACTTTTCTAATGATATCAGCTTATGGCAGGTTCATGTTTATGGCCAAGTGAGTTACAAAAATTAAACTGTACAACTCTAGTTTTAAAACACTTTCAATTAGGAAAAAACACTAAACTATTAATAGTGGTTTTCCTTAGCATGTACAACAAATGACTTTTTCCTAGAGTTTAAATTATTTTCTACAATGAATTTCTTTTGCTTAATGAAAAAGATAGCTTTTTATTGTAAAAAGAATTTAAAAATAAAAATAAAAAACCTCTTCCAAATACCCAGGTAATCTAGGGCGGTAGTTTTTTGGCTTGAATTATCTAATTAATTGGCTGTATTCCAACTTTACTTTGTTGGTAGACCCTAAATATTAGAAGCTGTTCATATAGCTTTTGCTAAGTTATATGAATTACATTGCAAAATCTGAGGATACACTGGGTAATCTTGGTGAAGTCATTGACTCTTTTTAGGCATAGTTTTCTCTTTTGTAAAATGAGAGACTGAACTAGTTAAACTTTAATGTCTATTATATAGCTCCAAATAATGTAATTAAGCAAAACTGACTATCAAGAATTATTTTCATTGTTGGCTTTTTGACCCTTCAAATTATATTTATTTTTCATGAGAAAAATCTTTTCACAGTAACTTCCCTTTCTCCAAACTTAATAAGCTCAGCAGGTGATTAAGCCACATTCTTCACTTTTGAAGAATGTTTCATGCAATCTTAGGATCTTTAGGACAGGATCTGGCAGGTTTTATGCATCTGTTAGCTCACAACACAAGTGTGCTATGTAAAATGGGAACACAAGTGTGCTATGTGAAATGGGGCCACAAGTCTTAAATGTAGGGCATTGGGAGAAGAGAGGATATGCCAGTAAACAGAACCAATTCTCATTAGTGTTAGAGCGTGGCTGTTTGTTTAGAACATTTATTAGAACTATTGATATGGAATAATAAAACTTTGCAGAAGAAATGATTTAAGAAATTAGCATGTTCTTTTCATTATAATTATGTTAGGGAAATAAAAAATGGGACTAGATCTCTAGAGGTCTTCCCAGCTCTGAGAGCCTTTGTTATAAAAGGGAGTATTTATCTGGAGCACCTTTTACTTTTTTTTATTTTATCAAAGTTTTACATATACATATTTTTAAAGCAAAATAGTAACACAAGGCTTATAATGAAAAAGAGCAGTCTCCTGAGGCCCTGTCCCCAGAAGCAACTACATTCAACTCCTTTAGAAATGTCCTCTGAGGCCGGGCGCAGTGGCTCACGCCTGTAATCCCAGCACTTTGGGAGGCCGGGGCAGGTGGATCATTTGAGCTCAGGAGTTTGAGGCCAGCCTGGCCAAATATGGTGAAACACTGTCTCTACTAAAAATATAAAAATTAACCGGATGGTAGTGGCACGTGCCTGTAATCCCCACTACCCGGGAGGCTGAGGCAGAAGAATCGCTTGAGCCTGGGAGGCACAGGTTGCAGTGATCCAAGATTGTGCCACTGCACTCCAGTCTGGGCAACAGAGTAAGATCCTGTCTCAAAAATAATGTTCTCTGATATGTGCCTCCAGGTTTCTAAATGCAGTGTTTAGGTAGTTTTTTCTTGATCTTTCAGTATGGGATATTATCTTTGACTTTGTTATAGGGAAGACGAGGACTTAGACCTCTTTATCTCACCCAGTTTCCCTCCTGGCTCCTCATACTTCCCATCCCCCTCCATCCTTTCAATTTAAATATATCATAACTTTTACTATATCATATTATTACAACTATATATTCATCATCATTATGAGGATTTCCTTTGCCTCTTTCCTGTATTGATACCCTCTTTCCTGAATTCCATGTTTTCTTTCTTTTTCTTTTTTTTTTTTTTTTTCCGAGACAGATTCTCCCTTTGTAGTGCAGGCTGGAGTGCAGTGGCGCAATCTTGGCTCACTGCAACCTCCGCCCCCCAGGTCCCGGTTCCAGCAATTCTGCTTCAGCCTCCCGAGCAGCTGGGATTACAGGCACACACCACCATGCCCAGCTAATTTTTGTATTTTTAGTAGAGATGGGGTTTCACCATGTTGGCCAGGCTGGTCTTGAACTCCTGACCTGGTGGTCCGCCTGCCTCGGCCTCCCAAAGTGCTGGAATTGCAGATGTGAGCCACTGTGCCCGGCCTGGATTCCATGTTTTCTACTTTTGTATAGGTTTTGAAAGTCACAGAGGTGCCAGCTTTCATCACATTGTATCAAGAGTACATATTATTAACATAACTTATCAGTTTTGATGTTGACCTTGATCACCTGGCTAAAATAGTGCTTGTCTAGTTTCTGAACTGTAAAGTTCCTCTTTTCCCTCCTTTTTCCATACCGTAATCTTTGTGAATCACTGTTCACAGCCCACACTTCAGAAATGGGGATCAGTGTGCAAATGAGTGGATTAAAAAAAAAAAAATAAGAAAGGGAAGTTACGCTCAACCTCCTTGAAAGCAGAGTATCTGTGTAAATTGTTTGGAATTCTACACAGATTTGTCTGTTGTCTACCATTTGTTTGTCAGTATGGACTCATAGGTATTTATTTTATAATTTGGGTTATAATTTAATACTACTTTAGTTTATTGTTCAGGTTGTCCAGCTTTCACCATTGGGAGCTCTTTCATTTGGCTCCTGTGTCCCTTTGACACATTTCCATTTTGGATATTTGTTTGTTTGTTTGTTTGTTTGTTTGTTTCATTTTTGGAGCACTTCCTTACTTTCTGGCATTACAAGATACTCCAGGCTTATCTTGAACATTTCCTGCCCCATTCTTAGAATCAATGTTTAGGGATTTTTTTTAATTGGGCTGGATTCTTTGGTACTATTTATTTATATTTTATTTTTGATTCTGGAGTAGTATGAGATATTTGTAACATGAGTATATTTTCATCAAAATATTTCAAGAATGGTCTCTTTGCTTTGTTTTGGCTATCCTGAGTATTTTGGTTTTTGATTGACGGTGTTTTTATCAAGATTACTATCAGGTGACTAAAGTAACACTTTGTATTGTTCACCTGACATTTATCATTTCCAAGTGAACTGTTTACACACAAGTGAATTTTTCAAATGCTTAAAGCTTACACTTTTCATTTATTCATTCTTTCATTCCTTCAAGGAGCATATTTTAAGCACTTACCAATACTAGGCAATATGCTAGGTACTCAGACAGATAAGACACAGCTCTGTTTCTTGAGTAGTCCATAGTCTAGTAAGGGCATAGTTGCCCTTCAATTCAATACGTGGTGTGGTGAAACTTGAGTTGTAGTAGAAGCCAACACTGGAGATCGACACTTTCTTGACATTTTAAAGGATGACATTAATTAGCCAGATGAAGTAGGAGGAGATGGACAAGGTGTTATAACAAAAATGAGCAGCATGTAACCAAAGGAGTATGGCACTTTTGAGGTACTACAAGGAGCTCAAGGCAACTGGAGTGTAAAAGAAGATGGAACCAGTGGAGAGAGTTGAGCAGTAGGCCTAGAAGCCATCCTGAAGGGCCTCATATGCCCTGTTTGTACGTTAACATTTTCAGGGCACTCTTAGAGGGTTTTTAGGCACAAGAGCAATCACTTTGACAGCATTATAGACAATGGATTCAAGTAGACGGGCAACTACGTGAGAAATCCACTTAATAATCTAATCTGGAAATGAGGACAGTGGTCACAGAGCTGGAGTGGAAGGTATGGATTGGAGAGCTATAAAGGAACTTAACAGCTATCAACAAACTTTATCAACAGATGGGTGTGAGGTTAAAAGAGATTAGGTGTTGATTGAAGTGATGAATAAAACGTAAATCTTTACCTACACAGACCTCACAATATAGGCATGTACAAAAGAAGGATAATATAATTAAACCACAGTTTATGTCCTTACTGAACAGAAGTTTGTATGTCTACTTTCCAAGTATCTTGGAAGCATTACTGTAGATTAACAATCCAATAAGTGATCATTGGCAAAGGAGTAGTACATGTGAGGATTAAATACTGAATAGCTCCAGTGTATCACACTCTTGAATTCTCAGAAAGAGAACCAAATAAATTGGAAAGAAACCAACACTAGACATATGGAAATTTTTCAAATAAAATATGTTTTCCTCTGGCTCAGTCCTTACAGCTGTTGTACAACAGCCCAACTTTAGCTGTCATGCCAGTGCCTCTAAAAACTTCCATTTCCTGGCAGAGCTTTACTGGCAGTGTTTCTATCTCTGGTCGAAATCACAGTGATACAATACATTTACACGGTACATTAGTCTCACCAGCTCCTCCCACTTTTGCAAATAGTTCCGTAAGTGAACGTTTGACACTTGGAAAGACAACAAATGTTTTTGCTTACTATGTGTCACTGTAACATTAGTTGAAGTCATTTTCTATATTAATAAATGATGCAAGTGCCTTTAAAAATATCTAATGGACCATAACCTAGGACATAACAGTCTCTTATTGAATCTAGCCAGTATTCTTAGCAAATATCTCAGTATTTCCATAAAGCCACTGGCAAGTGATAGCAGCCCGTTTTTGCAGTTAAGAAAATTGCAGTAGCAACTTAGATGTATCATCTAAAGCCTCCTTGTCCAATAATATTTTTCTTATATATGCTGTTTCCAAAATAATATGCCTCAAAATAAAATAAGCATATTCACATGTCAGATAACAAGTTTATATAGTCCCTTGGTTACAGATGCAGTTGCAAAAGGAGGTGGAAGGCATCCAAAACACAATAATTTTTATAAAATGAGATAAAGGACTGGGAAACAGTCCAAGATGTGTCTAGACAATAATAGCCTCCCCTAATTGGAGTGATAGTATTCATTAGATTTATTAATATCCACTGAAATACAAAATGAAATAAGAAACACATTTTATACCTTGGCTTAGTAAGTGGCAGAAAAACAGTATTTGTCTGCATTTGTTCCGTTAATAACTTTATACCAGTAGTAACCAGAAGAAACTCCTAGATAGGCTGTACAAGTGGTTTTCTAGCTTCTTTTAAAAAGGAACTACTGGGTTGATATCTAAGATATATTAAATTTATTAAATAACTTCTTAATGTCAGAAATTCAAGTATAAATTGTTTTTGACATTAAGACCAACTCCTGTTCATTACAAGCACCTGACCAACTGTCTTAATAGAAAGTACTCTAGACTCAGTAGCTTATAAACAACAGAAATTTATTTCTCACGGTTCTGGTGGCTAAGAAGTCTGAGATCAAGGCCCCAATAAATTAGGCCTCTGATGAGGGCCTGTTTCGTGATTCGTAGATGGTACCATCTTGCTATGTTCTCACATAATGGAAAGGGAAAGGCAGCTCTCTGGGGCCTCTTTTTATTAGTGCACGAATCCCATTAATGAGGACCCCACCCTTATGACCTAATCACTCCCCAGCCACGCCTCCCAATACGATCACATTGGTAATTAGGTTTCAACATATGAATTTTGTGGAGAGACAAGCATTCGGACCATAACAACAACATTCTTAAAACTACCATTGTAGGCCAGGGGCAGTGGCTCACAACTGTAATCCCAGCACTTTGGGAGCCTGAGGTGAGAGAATTGCTTGAGCCCAGGAGTTCAAGACCTGCCTGGGCAACATAGTGAGACCTCATCTCTACAAAAAATTTAAAAATTGGCTGGGGTGGTAGAGCAAGATGTTGTCTCAAAAAAAAATAAACACCATTGCAGGCTAGTCAGCCACTATTAGATTGTGGAATCTACTGTGTATTTTATGTACCAGAAATCCAGGGTCTTAAACTTTTTTGCTGAGCTCTGAAGATACCACCACCATGCATCATATTTTCAAGTAGCCTCTAGGAAATGCCTTGTAGAACCCAAATTGAAAACTAACGTATAACTCTTTATGTTGTGAAGGTGGTCCTAATGAAATCTAACCATCCCCAAAAGTGTCTTCCATACCTGACTCATACCTTTAGCAAGTGACATCACATTAAATTTGTCAAAATCAGTCTTTAATACCTTATTTAGAATTATGCAGCTATAGAAGGAACATGGAGGAAATTATAGAGCTGTGCTGCCCAATATGGCTAGCCACTAGCTCACATGTGGCTGTTTAAATTTAATTGAACTTAAATTGAAAATATAGGTCCTCACTTAAACTAGCCACATTTAAAGTTCACAATAGCCACATCTAAGTAGTGACTACCGTATTGACAACGCAGATGTAGAACTATGTAGAACATTTGACAATACTGTCTAGAAAGTACTGATACAAAAAGCACTTTAGTTGATAATGGCTTATATATTTATATAAAAATGCCTATATGATGACTTCTCAAGAGAAAAGATTGTTTATAACTGGAACCTATAATTTTATTTCATTGTGCCAGAAAAGTAGCTTTTAAATTTATAAATTCTACTTTTTTCCCTTAAACTCCTACCCTAAAATACTTCCAAATGTAGAACTTCTGAAGGCTACATATGATATAGAGCTACTTCAGGATTCCCAGAGTTTGGAAAAATGATTTCTGAAAGCACTATATGAGATAAAAGTTTCAAGTATGACAACTCTAATTTTTCTACCCCATTTTGTACAGCTCTTCTACATATTTTGCTCATTAGCACCTTCTTCACAATGTATTGTTTTATATATATATATATATATATATATATATATATATATATATATATATATTTATTTTACTTCTATCTAAGGCCCTGAATCTGCTGACATATGACTTGTAGCTCCTTGGTAGGTAAAGGTCAATATATAGTAATTCTTGTGTGCCATTATCTTGAGGAGCAGGATGTTTGCATAGACTAAATTGTCTTCCTATATATTGCTGCTTTAGTTACAAAGGTTAAAATTGTAAGTATAAAATGGAAAAACCAGTGAGGGACAGAGGAACTTTGGATGTAATGGGCCTCTGGATGCCCTGAGAAGCATTTAATATCACTTATATTCATATGTAAGTGGATGCATGACCTGAATTTATTCATGAGGAAACATCAGACAAAAACAAAGTGAAAGAACATTCTATCTAAAAAGTGGCCTGTATTCTTTAAAATGTCAGTATCATGAAAGATGGGGAGAAGAGGGCTGTGATAATGGTAGGGAATTATTCCAGATTAAAAGAAATTAAAGAGATATGATAACTAAATGCAATATGTGATCTTGCACTGTATCCTGGACTAGCAGTGGAGAAAATGCTTAAAGGACATGATTAAGACAGTTCCAAAAACTGGCATATGGATGATAAATTAGATTTAAAGTATTGTATTCATATTAAGTTTCCTAAATTTGGTGACTATACTATGGTTATGTTAGATAATATTTTGTTTCTGGGAAATACATTCACAGAAATGTATTGAAGAGTAGAGGGGCACGATGCCTGCACCTTATTCTCAAATGAGTCAAGAAAATAATAGTGTGTGTGAAGAGAGAGAATATGATAACAAATGTAGCACAATGTTAACAGTGGATTTGAGTAAAGACTATACAGGAGTTCTCTATTTAAGCCTTGTAACTTTTCTATAAATTTGAAATTATTCTGAAATAAAAATAAAACTATTCGATATTTTCTAGCCCTTTCTAAGGCACAAAATGATGTGATGGAAATGAAGATGCAGTCAGAGAGACTTTCGAAAGAATATGATCAACTCCTGAAAGAACACTCTGAACTTCAGGTGGGTGTGACATGCACTTTATGCACCTAAATGTTTTGAAATAGTAATTACCTAAGTAAATTATTTGGGTTATTTGTCCTTAACTAATCAAGATGATGTACTTAATCCTGGCTTTGTTAAACGATTTAAAGAAGCCAGATTTTTACCTAGAGGGTAAAGATTAGGACATTGCAGGAAAATACAAGATAATTTTAAGGAATTGCTGACTTGCATACTTACAGCATTCCAGTTTTGGTGAATTTTTAAGCAAAAGAAGCCACAAAAATGGCAGCATTGGAAAACAGACTGGTTCTAGAAAAGGTGAGTTTTGCTCTTTGGGATGTTTGCCATATTCATGCCAAAATGAGGCCAAAATTTCAAGTTCCACATCACACTACTCTTGTCTCAGTGTTTTAGACATATTAGGACAAGACTTTAGCATTCAAATTTATCATTTACCTCCAAATGTTGATTTGAAAGATGGAAATGGGAAAAAAATGTTTCATTGTTAAAGCCACAAAGTCAGATCTGGGCCATAGGTTTTCTTTCTCTTTCTCTCTAATTCAATAAAAGAAATGGTCATCCCTGTTAGGCTTGTCTTTCCTCCCTCCCTTCTGCTGCCAGCCAGTAACCTGAATTGATTTCTCAGACACACTCTGATCAATTGGGGAAGAGACCATTCCAGAGACAGCCCTGGCCTTCCCTCCCAGTTTCTCCCAAGACAGACTGGTTGGGCTTGTCTTCAAAATTTGGCAGCCTTTGTGGCTTTCAGTCAGGGCTTTTTACAAATAATAGCTTTTTATTTCACTGTACACATTTCCCTGCATCTTAATGGTCATGGTATCTCCAAGACTCAGCACTGTTCCTGGCACAAGGCAAGCATACACTATACTCATAGACTTTGTAGTCAGACCTACTTGGAATACCTACCTATACCTGGCTGCATGCTAGGTTTTTTATCTTAGGCAGGTTATAGCATCCCTTTGGGGCTCACTTCTTTCATCTATAAAAATTGAAACAATAATGATGCCTGGCTCACTGGATTGTTAAGAGAACTAAATAAAATGTGTAGGTTTTTTAGCACTATGCCTAGCTGACAGTAAACACTCAAGAAATGATAGGTATTATCATCATCATCTGTATTACTTCCTCTGTAGGAATTTTGCTGAAAGAATGACTTATTCTCAACCAACCACTTTGGCCTTGGTTTAGAGCCAGTAATTAAGTAACCCAAAGCACATATTTGTAATCTGATATTCCCAGTTGGTTTGCATGTTTGGTTTAACTAGCCTACTTTGACAATAGCAAAAGACAAGGTAGCCAGAGAAGGGTGAATACCCTGTATGCTCCAATCCCAGGACACTGAGGGCTCAGTTCACATGGCCTGGAGCAGATAGGTAGATTGTCAGCAAGACCACCCCTTCCCCGTCTCAAAAATAGAGACCCTAAAATTGCTGACCTCATTGGGGCATGATAATTATTCGTGGTATCTTTCAAGGTCCACCTTGGAAAGTGAAGAAGTCACTTCAGAGACCTCTTGCCTAGAAATACAACATTTTCCCCCTATTTGTGAGATTAGGGTTTACTCAGCCAGGTTGAGTATCGACATTAGTGGACTTTGCCATGATGTCAGACATGCTTAGATCTTTGAATGGAGAAAGGAAAACCAGAAGTATGCCTTCAGTTTCTTATGGCCAGTGTCCATTGTTGAATGTCTCCATTGTTGAATGTCTCCATTGTTGAATGTCTCCATTGTGGTAACAGCCATTGGTTCTCTTAATTCTGAAGAATATATATAACAGTGAGATTTCCTCAACCCATTTCCTCCCCACAGAAAAGCCACAGTCAGCCTGGAGCTGCTGCATTCTTGGTAAAGGAAGTAGAAAGCTTTTAAGAGTGATTCCTGGCTGAGCGTGGTGGCTCACACCTTTCTTTAATCCCAGCACTTTGGAAGGCTGAGGCGGGCGGATCATGGGAGATCAAGACCATCCTGGCTAACAAGGTGAAACCCTGTCTCTACTAAAAATACAAAAAATTAGCCGGGCATGGTGGCAAGTGCCTGTAATCCCAGCTACTCGGGAGGCTGAGGCAGGAGAATCACTTGAACCTGGGAGGCAGAGGTTGCAGTGAGCCGAGATCGCGCTTTTGCACTCCAGCCTGGGTGACAGAGCGAGACTCCATCTCAGAAAAAAAAAAAGTGATTCCTTCCCAAGAAAATAGTTGTTATAATAGTTGTCATACCTGTTTCTGTGGAAAAGACCCCATCCCAGATTATGCCAGACACCATGCCGAGAGTAGGGCCTTGTTTGATAGCACTTCAGGACTTGATCTAATTTCTGCTTGTATCCAGTTTTTGAAATATTTAATAGATGTCATTTGTTGAGAGTATGCTCTGGACTAAGCACTTGGCTAAGGGCTTCGTATATGTTGTTTTGTTTACTCTCCATGACAGCTCAATAATTGAAAGTATTTTAATATCCCTATTTTGTGAATGAGGAAACTGAGACCCAGAGATGTTATATAATTTATCGAAAGTAACTAGAAAGTGATAGCATTCAAAGTCAGAGAATCTTTCTCCAGAACCTCCATCATTAACCACTATGTTCTTTGGCCTTTGCTGATCATTGGATTGTGTTCTTGGATCCATTCTCCTCTCACCACTGCTTTACTCTGTATCTCTGGGAGGCCCGTTTCCAAGGCTCCCTTGCTGTCTGACTCAGTCTGGGCAGGTTTAGCCAGTGGCAGGCACTAGAAGACTGAAGGCAGGAGGAAGGGGAAAGCCAGGGATTTCTTCTACTCTTTCTGCTATAGAGGCCTTCTCCTTTATGACTCCAGTTCCTTCCCTCTAGGTCCCACTGGGCAGCTTCTACATACTGGCCTTCGCACCTGGGCTCCATAACCCTCATCCCTCCAGCCCAAGAAGTGGTGGTGGCTTTTCTGCTATTGATAATCCCAGAGGTGCCTTACCACCCTGTTTGGTGTGTGTACTTTTTCATCACCTGTAAAACCAATTTCCCATAATATCTCTGTTGGAAGGAAAACAAAATCTCAGCTCCATAGTTTACCACTTCTGTAACCCACAGGTGACTCATTTGACATCTATGCTCCTCAGGTACTTTACTACTTAAATAAAGGTTGTAATACCTTATGAAAATTAAACCAGATCCTGTATAAGAAAGCACTTTATATATTTATAATCAAGAATGCTATTTATTATGTCCTGACTGGTTACATTTTTTTCCTTCACCTACCCATCCCCCACCGTTGTCCAATATGAGACCCTGTATAAGATTCTCAGATTTAGATATCATTAAGAGCCCCATTTTGTTTGTTTGTTTGTTTTTTGAGACAGTGTCTCACTCTGTCACCAAGACTGGAGTTCAGTGGCACAATCTCAGCTCGCTGCAACCTCCACCTCCCCAATTTAATCGATTCTTGTGCCTCAGCCTTCTGAGTGACTGGGACTACAAGCACATGCCACCATGCGCAGCTAAGTTGGGTATTTTTAGTAGAGACAGGGTTTCACCATGTTGGCCAGGCTGGTCTCGAACTCCTGACCTCAAGCGATCCGCCCACCTGGGCCTTCCAAAGTGCTGGGATTATAGGCTCGAGCCACCGTGCCCAGCCAAGAACCCTTTTCTTTAACTCTTGTGCTTTAATGTTCGTCTGAGCCCTGCTTGAGAAGCAAAAGATAGTTACAGATCCTCTATGGTAAAAAGCTCTATCAAATTGTCCTCATGAATTTACTTCTGTTGTCAAACTAATCTTAGATATTGAATTATATGCTAAGGTTCTTTGGAACTAGCTTCCTGAATTTTACACAGTTGACATATTTTCATTGGAACAATCATAAAACGAAAGATCATTAAAATATTAAGGAAACAAAGGTTAAAGAGGGAAACGCTGATTTCTTTACTGTAAATAGATCCCAATTTGCATCTTTTAAATCCTTTTGGATTTCCCCATCTGGTCCCCTCCCTGTTATAGGCACTAAATAAATATTAGAAAACAGTCCCTTCAAAACATGTAGTCCTTTCCTTATTTGCCCTGCCTCTCTTCTAAAAAAAAAGAAAAACAGAACTAACTAGAGATTATTGGCTGCACAAACCCATCAGCACCTGCCAGTTTTTAAATTTCATTTTGGAAAATCAGCCATCACTTAAGGGACTTGTCCATAATAGCTTCATTAAAGCTTTGTTTTTTATCAAAAGGGGGCCACATATGTAAACTTGTGGAAGTAATTTACCTCCTCTACTCTTGTCTTTTTATTTGATTGCAAAAGTTAATGTTATTAAAGTTGCTATGGAAGCATTAATGTTCAGCCTGAACAAGAGCTTGACGAACTTCTTTATACAAGCAATAACACTCTGCAACCCCATTTTATGAGATATTTTTCATGATGTAGACATTTACTTTCTTAGCACAAGTGATCTCTTAAGATTAATTTCTTTTCCATTTTCCTTCAGTTTTAAATGATGTAATATAGTAATCTTTATAACATGATCAGCCAAGTATAATTTGAGAAGTCAGTTCTGTTGGCAAATATCTGAAGGACAAAACCAAAGCCACCCTAGCTGAGGTTTTTGTCCCTTCCTTCTTTCATTTACCAAAAACCTTAATTGGGTTAACAGTAGGGGAATTTTAGAAATCATGTTTTCCTAATGTAACCTGTGAAACAAAAGCAAAATAGATTAAGGCAAGGGGAAAAATGAACTTACCAAGAGTGTTCTTTTTCCTAAGTAAAAACCACAAATTTTATAGTTTTTTAAATTTTAGACTTTCTCAATCCTTTTTTTCACATTTAATTATTCTCATAAGTATACATAGAAGAGAGAATGTTTTTTAAAAGTCCTTGTCATGTCTATGAATCTGTTTCTCTTTGCTGTACTACATAAATCATATTTTTTTCCTTACAGGATCGTTTAGAAAGAGGCAACAAGAAAAGACTGTGAACTTTATAAAAGACACTTGCAATATACTGTGTCAAAATGATAATTTTGTTATGTTAGCCTCTAGAAAATTTAAGTTCAGAAAAATGCACTATGACCGGTTCGTAATTTTTTTAATGCCACACATAGGTTGTATTGTAATGGCATTATCAAAATATTTGATGATGTTTCAGATATATTGCAAAGTCTGTATTCCAGCTCTTAAGAAAAATATAAGCATGTTAAATACCATATTTACATATTGATAATGTCATTGGTATATGGTGGCTGTTTACCAATAAAAGGAAAAAATTCATTAACCGGTTGCTTCCAAAATTAGAAGTTTTAAGTTGCATGAAACCATTAATAGCCTTGAAAGCTTTGATAAGTTTTCAGTAATAATAACCTATTTAATCAGATGATGATGTGTTTGAAAATAGTGTTCAATATCAGCAAATTTGTACACAGGGAATGTAAATAAGGATAACTGATCAGAGTTATCCACTGTATTTATAAGGAAGAGTCGGAAAAAACAATGACCTTAGTTTTTTTTAAGCCTGATGATACTATGGTTTACTCTAATAAGATAGCTATATTGATAATTATATTTTTGTTACTGTGCCCTTGCACATTTTGGTCTTTTTGTTAATATTTTTATTAATAACACATAATTAGTAACCACTCTACTGTTTCAAGTTAATCTAGTAATAGAGCTTACATATATTTGTATAACTGCTATACCACTGAACTGAATTTATTTTACAACAGTGTAGAATTCTTGAAAAGTTAACGTAGAAAATATCCAAAAAGCAGTATTTCTAGAAAGTGTCCAAAAAGCAGTATTTCTTTCCCTTGGTTGTGAGAGTAACTAATTATATAAATATTACCTCAAAAATACATACACTGGTATCACACAGTCTTTCTACAATGTTTCTGTATTCTGAAAGCTAAATATTAAGTACTATTTTTCCATTCAAATATTCATTTAGAATTTCCTTTAGAAGATGGCAGTGATTATAATATTAATATGATTTCATTTGTTCCAGTGTTTAGACATGAAATCATCTTCCTTGTCTCATGAAAACCTAAATATAAAAAAAAGGAAAATACTGGAGTTTTTATTTCTCTTGTCTTTGTTACATCCTCTGTTTATTATAATTTTAGCACCAACTTCACACCTAGCTAATTTTTTTCATCATAAAGTGGATGAAATGAGCAAGTACCTAAAAATTTTATTTCAGATAAAAGTCAGGAGTTACTGCTAAAAAACAGACATGTAGGAGACATTCAACAGGAGTATGAAATGAGAGTTAGACCATATGGGCTGACAACACCATAAATAACAAGAAAAGGGAGTGCTGAAATAGGAGAGAACAGAGCAAATGTTAGCTCAAAGTATAGACTTAGAAATATCAAAGTAAGAGCTATCTGGATAAATATATAGATATTGAGTGCTTGGAATCCTAGCCTACTATGTGAAAATTAAGTCTAATGTCAGAATAACTTACAGAAAAATAGAAAATGCACAGCTTTAAAATGGGCAGAGTTAAAATCTATTCCCAGCTTTATCACTTATTTAGCCATGCTAGCCTAGGCCTCTATTTCCTTGTCTCCAAAATGAGAATAATAAAATTTAGGTCAGGATTACTATATAAACTAAGATAATACAGTGATTCTCAAAGTTGTTCAGACTGTATAGTAAGGAGAAAGTCTGGTTGCACTTTGAAGAGCTTGAAGATTTGAAAGATTCCCAAAAAAGCATTTTAAAGTTTACATTTAAGGGACCTTGGACCTCAACCCTCTCAAGTTTACAAGTCTGAAACTTTAGACATCAAAAGTTTGAGCAGTTTTTCCAAGGCAACATTGATAGTTAGATTCAGGGCCAGGCTGTAAGTCTAGAATTTAGATATCCTGATCCCCCAGATACCGCTCTTCTGGTTATACACAGACCAGCTATAATTTGCTAAACATAAAATATTGCAGTGTATTAGCCGGCTGTGGCTCCAGAGTCTGTGCCCTTTACCACCGTGCCCAACTGTTTCACATGCTGTGTTTGGTAGTTTTTCCTAGTACTCTCCTTAATAATGGTGGTGTTTAGCAAATTGTATTACATAAATAAATATTTATTTCATGGATTGAGTTATGTTGCATATTAAATTACTTTCCTTCCCATTGTCAATAATGACTTCTTTATGTCTTAGGCTGTATTATAAATTCAAACACAGGAATGTTATTCTTGCCTTTTTCCATCAGAATTACCTAAAGTTTTATTAGACTTTCCCCCTACTTGCAAATCTGCCTGGAGGTTCTGGTCTTTAGGAAGTAGCACTTAGCAAGTTCTGGATAAGCACTCCAGAATTTGGGATGAGTTATCCTTGTTGTTTGTCCAGCTCTATCTTGGACCCCAGTGCTGCTAATTAGATTCATGCCTTGTTCTTTAGGGCATAAGTTCCTCTCTTGGCTATTTTTCCTAGTATGCTGAGAACTAGGATTCCCTTTCAGTGACAGAGTCCTGCCCTGGAACCCCAATCAAGAGCCTAAAGTTTAACTACTCTCTGAGATATTAGCCTGATGCCAGCAGCCTGCCTGGATCTCTAAATATTACCCATTCTGGGAGTTGTTAGTGGTCTCTGCTTTCCTGCAGTGTCACTCCTGCTTCCTCATTGGGCCTGCTAGCCACAGCTACTTGGATGTACCCGAACCTGTTGCCTTGCCCTACCTCTGTGGGCTGGTTCAGTTCTGCATTCCCATTCCAGTGTCCACTGCCTTCTCGCTATCCCTCCCATCTGTGCGCCACCACCAGCTTATCCCCAGCCCTGCTAACATGACAAACTATTGTGCATTTGAGTGCCCACTATACAATGTGTGAATATAACCGTGCTTTTAAGCATTGACTTTAATGTCTGGGATGATCCGTCTAGAGTCCATGGAACCCTCCTGTGTTTTTTCATCCCTTTCTTAGTAATCTTGGAAATCCACTTATGAAATTCTTTTTCTAACATTTCTTTGCTGAACGGCATTTTTAAAATTACTTTCACGGTGTTTCTTTCCAGTTTGATCTCTACACAAACACAACTTTATTACTTGCACCAGAAATGATTTCAAACACTTTAGGAACTGTGGTAGGCTTAATTATGACTTCCCAAAAGATATCCCTATACCAATCCCTGGAACCTGGAAATGTTCTCTTCTATAGCAAAAGATATGATTAAGTTAAAGTCTTGAGATGGAGAGATTATTCTGGGTAATCTGGGAGTGCCCTAAATGCAGCTACATCTATGCTTATATAGAAGCAAAGGGAGATATTACCACACAGAAGAGGAGAAAGCACAGTGACCACAGAGGCAGAGATTGGAGTGATGGAGCCGCAGCAAAGGAATGCTGACAGCCACCAGAAGCTGGAGGAGGCAAAGAACAGATTCTTCCCCAGAGCCTCTTCCAGCAGGAGCATGGCCCTACAGATACCGATAAAACTGATATTGGACTTCCTGGCCTCCAGAACTATGGGAATAAATTTATTGTTTCAAGCTATCAAGTTTGTGATTATTTGTTACTGCTGCCATAGTAAATTAATACAGGAGCATGCAGGACAGATCTGTAATGGCCTGAACTGAATTTCAAGGGGTGTGGAAAACAGTTACTCTTTAACACCACTCCGTCTTCCCCATTAGCCATTTGGATAAGTCAAAGATAGCCTTAGCCATCTCCTATCTTAGTTACTTTTCTCCTTCAACTGTATTTTGCCATTGTCGTTGCCATTGCCTCTGCCTAACTGCAAGCCATCATCATCTCTCACATGGACTATGACGACCTCCTCATCTCCCTGTATCTTCTCTAATGCTTCTCTCATATACATGCTCTCAGCAGCCACCTGGTTTAAAACAAAAACAAAAAAAACACTAATCATGTCATTCCCTGCTTGTCTTCCCGTTCTTTCCAACTGTCATTCCCTGCTTGTCTTCCAATTCTTTCCAACTGCAGTTAAGATCAAACCACCAAGACCTCACCAGGCTCCCATCTACTTTTCAGCCTCAACTCAGTCCACCTGCTCTGCCAATCACACCTGTTTCTTTTTGTTGTTCTTTCCCTAGGATATAGATCCTGGCATACCTGCATTCTGATTCTTCTTGGAACAAGCCAAATTCTTTCCCCTGTCAGTACGTTTGCATGTGTAGTACATGTTGCATCCCAGGCCTGTCTGCCTTCTTACCCTATTTTATTTTCATCATAGCACTTACTACCATCTGAAATGATCTCATTTATGGTTTGTCTCCTCAGTGATTAACACAGTTCCTGCACACAGTAAATCAGTAGTTCTCAACAGGAAGTGAAGAGGTCATCCTGAGGGGAACATTTAGCAATACCTAGAGACATTTCTGGTTGTCATAACCAGGGGAATGCTCCTAGTGGATAGAAGTCAGGGAGGCTGTTAAACCCATTCCACAATGCACAGGACTGGAACAAAGAATGATCTCTCACTCAGAATGTCAGTGTTGCCAAGGTGGAGACATCCTGCAGTAGATGCTTGTGGCAGAGGGTACTGGTTGTACCCCAGTATCCATTCTTTCATTCACCTGTGTTAATACATGCTCCAGTTTTGTATTTTTTTTTATAAACAGCTGTCAAGCATAAAGATAACATTTTCCATCTCCTTGTATGTAAGTGGAAATAGGACTGTCATGTGGGGCCAGTTTCTTTTTTTTCTTCCTCTGTCCTGCTGCTTGAAACATATGCTGCTATCTTAGATCATGAGGTCGAGGCCATGCAAAGTGGAGCAACAAGGAGCTGTGTCCCTGACGCCATAAGCACCACACCTGTCCTGAATTGCTGTGAATGACACCAGCTAACTACAATGCATTGTCTCAACATCCTAGACATAATAAAAAGCCATAAATATGTTTGTCCTATGCAGCACAAAACCTTTGTATCTTTGCCTTTTATGTTGGGATCTTAATTAAAAATTACATCCTCTACTGTCTCTGCATGCTCAACTTTTTATATTCGACTTAACCATTATTAATCAGCATCATGCATCGCACCCCCACAATAGCTGTGCATTTCACATTATAAAAGTTTACAAATCTCTTCTGCCTCTTTGTCTTTAGTATGGTGTACACCACAACAAGAACAAACACCTCAAGAACATTCAGGCACATTATATATACAAAGATAGCACATAAGAGCTTGATGTGTAAACAAGGTGTGTAAACAAGTTAGGAAGAAGTTTCCAACTTTTTCTTGGCGATCAACTCCTTTCCTAAATTTGAGCGAAGAATGTGTTTGAAGTGTTGGCTTTGCCCCCTAAACTAGGTGTCTTCCTGGTTAGCCAGGCTTCTCTGAAGTCTTTCCTTCAGAAATTGTTGTTCTCCCTGAAGCACCACCCATGGTAAAGAATTTTGGTCTCTCCCAAGGGCTGTCAATTTCCCGGAGCACAAAAGACCCTTACAGCACCACTTCTCAGCCAAGGGCTTCCTGGAATAATCCTCCATAGAGGTTTACTTGCTGAAACTTTCTCTTTTTAAGTTTGTTGGTTTTTTTTCCTCTTGAAACAAAATTGATACATAGTAAATGTAGAAATGAAAGAAAAAATAGCTGTTTGTCTAATTTTTATATATATATATATATATACACACAAATATTTACAAAAATAAGATCACACCTATTTTTATGCATACTGTTTTGTGACCTGCTTTTGTTCCCCCTACATCAATATTCTTCTGCAACAGAATTCTACAAACAACTTCTCATAGGTCATATACACATCACCTGGGGGGTTCGGTTTGTTTAAAGCACAGGGACTCATATGCCCTGTTTACCACTACCACCGGTGAGAATTCCTGCCCCAGGTAACAGTGTTAGTAATGAGACTGCCATAACCATCCAGTATGTGAGAGCAAAAAAGGTGGATGAGACCCATCGTCCTATGACAAGGTATTTACCTTATCCCCTGTTGGTGACATTTCATGAGAATCTTTATTGGCAGAAAATGCTCTGGAATCAGTAGAACATAGTGGTTACATGCGTAGATTACCTGTGTCCAAATCTCATCTGCTTTATTTATTACCCATTCAGCATCTCAGTTTCTTCATCTTTAAGGTGATTTAGACTCTAAAGTCTTGCTGATGAGACTAAACGAGTTGATACATGTTAAGAACGTTTAACAGTTTCTCATGGTAAACTATTCTGAACATTATACAAAGACTGATGCCCAGTCATAAATTTCCCCATCTAAAAACAATAATCTAATGGAATTTTAAAATGTCTTAAAAATAAAAAGTGTACTGGAGATGGATGGTGGTGATGGTTACACAACAATATGAATGTAGTTAATACCACTGAACGATACATTTAAAAGTGGTTGGTTAGTACAACCTCTTTGGTATTAACTACTAGTATTAACCACTTTTAAGTGTATAGTTAGATGGTATTAACTACATTCATATTGTAGTATTAACCATATTAACCACTTGTAAGTGCATTTTACATCATTGAAAACATTGGGAAACAAAAGGTGGACCCCCTAGTTTTCTGGAATGAAAATGCACAGTGTTGAAACTGGTAGATAGTTAAGGATGCCTTTTTTTTTTTTTTTTTTTTTGAGACAGAGTTTTGCTCTTGCTGCCCAGGCTGGAGTACAATGGCACGATCTCAGCTCACTGCAACCTCCATCTCCCAGGTTCAAGTGATTCTTCTGCCTCAGCCTCCCAAGTAGCTGGGATTACAGGCACCCGCCACCACGCCTGGCTAATTTTTGTATTTTTGGTAGACACCAAGTTTTGCTATGTTGGCCAGGCTGGTCTTGAACTCCTGACCTCAGGTGACCCACCCGCCTTGGCCTCCCAAGGTGCTGGGATTACAGGCGTGAGCCACCGTGCCTGGCCTGAGGATGCCTGTTCTTAACTGTGATCAGTCATTCCCCTGCCACCCCTCTTCTTCCACCTCAGAGAAAGCACAGAGCCCCATTTGCTCAGGTATGCAACTAATGTTTGCTTATCTGGATTGAATTCAGTTCAATTCTAGTGTGTCAGATTCTTTTCAGGTGACTCTTCCCATTCCCCATCTTCAGAGTGTGTCCTGTTGTCTTAAGATTATGATAGGATCAGATGCAATTTTGACCAACATTCTTAAAATACATCCAGACATGGATGTATTTCACTTCAAATCCCATTGGCAGATTTGATATTATGAAAGGGCCTGGGTCTGAGGTGTTTTGTTAGTCACTTGAACCTTAACTGCAACTTTTTTTTCCTTTCTCAATGATTAAAATAATTACATATATATGTATATATGCACATATATTATGATGTTTTTACATCTTTTTTTTTTTTTTTTTTGAAATGGGGTCTCGTTCTGTTGCCTAGACTGGAATGCAGTGGTACGATCACAGCTCATTGCAGTCTTGGCCTCCCAGGCTCAAGTGATCCTCCCACATCAGCCTCCTGAGTAGCTGAGACTACAGGCATGCGACACCAAGCCTCTTTAAATTTTCTCATTTTTTGTAGAGATGGGGGGGTTCTCACTTTGTTGCCCAGGCTAGCCTCGAACTCCTGGGCTCAAGTGATCCTCCCACCTCAGCCTCCCAAAGTGCTGGAGTTACAGTGTGAGCCACCAGGCCTGGCCTATGTCTATTTAAAAAAGAAAAATGCAGCTAGGCGCAGTGGCTCATGCCTGTAATCCCAGCACTTTGGGAGGCCAAGGCAGGTGGATCACTTAAGCTCAGGAGTTCGAAACCAGCCTGGGCAACATGGTGAAGCCCCATTTCCACCAAAAATTAGCCAGATGCGGTGGTGCATGCCTGTAGTCCCAGCTACTTAGGAGGCTGAGGTGGGAGGATTGCTTGAGCTTGGGAGGCAGAGGCTGCAGTGAGCCATGATTGCACCACTGCACTCCAGCCTGGGTAAAGGGGTGAGACCCCCATCTCAATAAAAAAAATAAATAATTAAAAAAGAAAAAGGCAAGGGCAGAGTGGATCTCAATATTTGGGGCCTAGAGCAGATACAACTTGGGGAGTTCTCTATAAGGAAAACAATACAAAATTACCAAAACAAAATTAGGTATGAATTTATTCAGAATAGGAACAGAAATCGCAACAAATAACTGGAGGTTTGGAGATTCAGATACCTTTCTCCTAAGATCTCTTGGGACAATTCATCAGGGATGCTTCCCAGCTGCAACCTAGCTTCTCCTTTCTACCTAGGACACTCTACAACTCCAGTATTCTTGATACCTGTGTACCAAAAGCCCTGAAGCTTCACTATCATTATTTCCATATAAATCTTCCTCTAGATAAGGAATGGGAGGGCAGAGTTAATATAATCAATCTGTTGAAAACCTCAAAAATTTTTTGGAGTTTTTTTTAATTTTTTTTTTTTTAGTTTTTAATTTTTTGTGGGTACATAGTGGGTATAGATATTTATGGGGATACATGTGATGTTTTGAAACAGGCATACAATGTGTAATAATCATACCATGTAAAATAGGATATCCATTCCCTCAAGCATTTATCCTTTGTACAAATAATTCAATTATACTCTTAGTTATTTTAGAATATACAATTAAATTATTTTTACTATAGTCACCTTGTTGTGCTATCAAATACTAGGTTCTATTCATTATCCCTATTTTTTTGTACTCATTAATCTTCTCCACCTCCCCTCTACCAACCCCTACTACCCTTCCCAGCCTCTAGTAACCATCCTTCTACTCTCTTTCCTTATGTGCTTGTTTTGGTTTTTACATCTCACAAATAAGCGAGAACATGTAACGTTTGTTTTTCTGTGCCTGGCTTATTTTCACTTAACATAATGACCTCCAGTTTCATCCATGTTGTTGCAAATGGCAGGATCTAATTCTTTTTTATGGCTACGTAGTACTCCATTATGTATATGTACCACATTTTCTTTATCCATTCATCTTCCAACGGACACTTAGGTTGCTTCCAAATCTTGGCTATTGTGAACAGTGCTGCAACAAACATGGGAGTGTAGATATCTCTTTGATACACTGATTTCCCTTTTGGGGGGTTATATACCCAGCAGTATGATTGCTGGATCATATGGTAGCTCTATTTTTAGTTTTTTGAGGAACCTCTAAACTGTTCTCCATAGTGGTTGTACTAATTTGCATTCCCTCCAACAGTGTCCAAAGGGTTTGCTTTTCTCTACACCCTCTCCAGAGTTATTGCCTGTCTTTTGGATATGAGTCATTTTAATTGGGTTGAGATGATATCTCATTGTAGCTTTGATTTGCATTTCTTTTATGATCAGTGATGTTGAACACCTTTTCATACGCCTGTTTGCCATTTGTATGTCTTCTTTTGAGACATGTCAATTCAAATCTTTTTCCTATATTATAATTGGATTATTAGATTTTTTTCCTATAGAGTTGTTTGGACACCTTATATATACTATTAATCACTTGTCAGGTGGATAGTTTGCAAATACTTTCTCCCATTCTGTGGGTTGTCTCTTCACTTACTGATTGTTTCTTTTGCTGTGCAGAAGCTTTTTAACTTGACGTAATCTCATTTGTCCATTTTTGCTTTGGTAGCCTATGCTTTTGGGGTATTACTCAAGAAATCTTTGCCCAGTCCAATGTCCTGGAGAATTTCTCCAATTTTTTCTTGTAGTAGTTACATAGTTTGAAGCCTTAGATTTAAGTATTTAAGCCATTTTTATTTCATTTTTGTATATGGCAAGAGATAGGGAACTAGTTTCATTCTTCTGCATATGGTACCCAGTTCTCCCAGCACCATTTATTGAAGAGACTGCCCGTTCTCCAATGTATGTTCTTGGAACGTTTGTAGAAAATGAATTCACTGTAGGTGCGTGGATTTGCTTCTGGGTTCTCAGATTTTAAGGTAATATGAATCATACTTTTTCTTTAATTTATAGTGAGTGTATTCATTTCCTATTGGTGCTTTCACATATTACCACAAACTTAATGACTCGAAACAACACAAATTTATTATCTTACAATTCTAGCAGTCAGAAGTCCAAAATTAGTCTTACTGTGCTAAAGTCAAATTGTCGGCAGAAAAAAGCAGGAACAAGGAAGAAGAGGGTAGAGGAGGAGAGGGAGGAGGGAGGTGGCAGTGCTGTGGCAGAGGGACAGGAGCAGGAGGGGGATGGAGAGGAGAAGGTTCCTAGGTGGCACAGTGCTCCTGCTCCTCCCGGCGCTGCCCAGCCCCCTGTCAGTGAGGGCTGAACCCCCACAGGATAAGGAAGCCTGAGTGCATACCAATAATCAAAGCTACATCTGTGACACAGGACACTGCTGTGGACAGTCTCAGTGCTGCAACTACTGCTAGGAACTCTGGTAGCTCTGGCTGGTGTGGACCATCATCATCATCCTTAGCTGCTGCTACATTGGCCACCACCGCCAAGCCAAGCACCGCCTTCAGGCCCAGCATCGGCAACATGAAATCAACCTGATCCCCTGCCAAGAAGCCTTCAATCACTCAGTGCTGCCTTTTTATTTCAGGTTTTTGCTAAACTACTTAACTACCTCCTTATGAGGAAGTGGTGAGCCAGCCTCCAACTCCTCCCCCAGCATACAGTGACTTCCAGCTACGCAGCAGCAGCAGCTCCTGCCTCCACAGTGAGGCCTGGCAGATGGCAGTCCCCCAGCGCCAATCCCACCAGGGGATCCAAGGGAATCCCTTGTCTGAGCCCAGCAGAAGCATCACAAGACCCCCAAGCATCGCTGATCCTGAGCCCTCTGACCTACCAGGTGACCGAGTAGCCACCAAAGCCCTGGGGATGCAGCCCAGTGGCTCTGTAGCCAGCCTGGGAGAGCTGGACCCAGGGGCCTTCCTGGACAAGGAGGCAGAATGTAAGGAGGAGCTGCTGAAAGATGACAGTTCTGAACATGGCAGCGCACCGCCCAACAGCAAAGAGAAGATGCTCAGGAGACATTGCCACTTCACTGGTGACGCGGGCATTGAAGTGCGTATGTCAGGGCCACCATGATCATAGCCTTAAAGAGTTCAACATGCTCATCGCTGATGCACTGGATGGGCCCCTGGACTTCTGCGACAGCTGCCATGTGCAGCCTCCTGGTGATGAGGAGGAAGGCCTCTTCCAGCCCTCCAAGGAGCAGGCTTGACAGCCTGGGCACCTGCACCTGCCACAGCTACCTGCATGCCTGCTGCTAAACATCATCAATGAGCAGTACTCTCCCAACTCCCAGAGCAGCAGCTCCCGCAGCTAGATCAGGCTCTGCCAGCACCCAAGAACTTGGCAAAGCAACCAGGGTAGGGGAGAACCACGAGAGAAGCATTAAATGACTTTCAGAGAAAGTGGTACAGCCACTTGATTCCTTTTTTTTTTTTTCTTTCTCCTCTCCTGCATTTTCCTCCATCTCCAGGTACAGTTTGGGGTGTGGATGCCTCTCGCCCTACAAAGGCACAATGTTGTGGAGGGCTGAGAAGTTGGTTCTGTTTCTCGTTCCTCATACCCCATCCCTATCCCCTTTATTCTCCCTTTAAAGTCCTATCTCACCTACCTGTTTGGGTCAGAGAGATGTGTTTTAAAGGCCCCCAAGGAAGGAGGCTGGGACTGTGCCCTGAGATGATTCTTGGTGACGAAGTGGATTTGTGCTCTGAGTTTAGTTTAAGAGAACGTCACTGTGTCTCAGTCCCGGAGAGGCAACCCATCTTAGACCTGGGTGAAGAAGGAAGCCTGCAGAGGCCTAGGCTTTGTCGCCTGTGGCTCCCAGTGTCTGCAGAGCCAGCATTGAGCTAATCCTGTGGGAGGATGAGAGCTGATCGGCAGTTGTATGATAGGTTGGTAGGGGGCTTGTGATCTGTGAAATTCCAGGTGATGGATGCATCCAGTGTGCATCACTAAGAGGCCCTTTCCCAGTGGCCTCTGGCTGGCTGCAGGCTGGTTCCAGTGTGAAAGATTATACTGCCTTTTCTTTTTTTTATTTTCCTTTTGAAAACAGACAACAAAAGACAACTGAAAATAACTTCCCCAGTGAGCAGGCAAGAATTCTCTTCTGAAAAATGACGTTTGTAGTTCTTTCCCAAGTTGGCCTTCAAAGAGCCTGGCTGCAGTTGAGCCAGAAGGAGATGTCTTGTGTGAAGGCTAAAGTGGAGGCTGTCTCTGAAATCTCCGTGAGCAGGTGGCCCTAAGCCATGGTGGTGGATAGATGTGCAGCTTTCTGCATCTCTGCCCCTTGGTCTGTGCCCACAGGTGGCCGGCGTCAGCCTCCATCCCGAGCACATGCTCCGCGGGTCTTTATGTCTCACTGTTCTTCACACATAGGAGGAAAGAGATAGGAGACTGAGGAAGGGATGGACCCTGAGAAAGGGCCCCTCCAGCCTGGCTCTCACACAGTATTTTGTCTTTGATTCTGAATAAATTTTTTTTTGTGGTTTGTCTTTTGGTTTTTTTGCGGGGATGGATGGCTGGTCGTTGTCTGTTTTAAACTGACCTCTTCGAAGAAACACCTTGGTTATCTGTGGTTTTCATGTTCTGTCCCTGCCCCTGTCCCCACTCCTTTTGAGTGGGGCAACTCATTTTTTGTGTAAAGAGTCTCTCAGATAGGAGGTGAACACAGCCATCTGGAAGACCCGCAGGATCCTTGTGCCTGTTGCTTAGCTTCGGGTCACCAGCTGAGCTGTGATAGGAATAATCTGAATGGAGGCGGCAAACAGCTGAAATGAACATTCCTCGTGCAGCCCTGTTCACATGAAGAGTCTGATTTCCCCTACCCTTGAACAATGATGATATTCAGACAAGGCATTGACGTTGTGGTAAGAATATATATATATAGAAAAAATACATGTCCCCAAACAGACAAATCCAAGGCTGTGAGGTAAATTAGTGCATTTGGATTCCACAAAACCAAAATCCATGTTGAACAGAGTGAAGTCCGTACACTGTAACTTTTTGGGTGAACCCTGCGTGCCTGTCCATTGTGTGTGACCCCGAGCCCTGTTTCCCTAGGAAGATACTTTGAGTGACAGCCATTCTCCTCAGGCAAACCACATGTCTGGAGCACAAACGGCCCTCTCTAAGTAACTGATGTTACGCATTTACTGTTTATGGGGCAAATGTCTGACTATGTACTCAGGTGTATTTCACAGCATTGTGGACTGACTGCAGGCCCCTGTGTTTGCCAGAGATAACTGTGCTCAACATAGAGGTTTTACTCTACTCACCACTGCAACTTGCACACTGCTCCGGGGACACATGGGAGCCTGTGTTCTGTTCCCTGTAAATGGAAATGTGCTCTGAGCCTGTCTGCCTCCCTCGGCTGTGCCTGGTCCTCTGTACCAGCCCCTAGGGGTGTCCACAACCACCTGGGACAGAAGAAGGTGGAATTTCAGACAGAAGCTTGATTGAGTCTTCAAAGACAGTCTTGGACTAGCTGTGGCCCAGACCTCGGCCCTGCCCAGAATTGCCAGGAGGAGGCTTTGAGGGCACTGGGGGTACTGCAGGGCCTGCCTCCCTCTGCCGAGTCCAGTGGGCACAAGCAAGCTGGCATGTGGCCAAAGGTGGCTGGATTGTGTCATAGCCCTCAGACGCCTTTCCTTCCACCTTTTTAAAGAATCCCAAATAACTCACTGAAGTGTCTCAAAGGCAAACAAGTTCTACCAAAATGAATCCTTTTTCAGTGAACAGATCAAATGGATGAATTCTGACTCTCTCAAGTTCCTTTCCCCAGTTAGAGTGGGGAAGTGGTGGAGTGCTAACTGTGTGATTCATTGCAGTGTCCTACCCTAAAGGCACAAGAAGATGGAAATGCAACCTGTGGAGCTGGCCTTGATTCTCAAGTCGCAGTCTGGCCCCCGCTACAGGAGGCTACCCCGCTCAGGGAGAGATTTAATAAGGAATTGGTTCCGGGGCCGGGAGATGTGATTGAGACTGGTTTTCCAGCTGAATGAGATGGAAGGGGTTAGTGGAGGGTTTGATGCTACAGCCAGTTGAGAGATTTGCAAATGCGAACACATTCCTGTGTGAGGCACATTATCCTTTGTCAGTTATTGTGAATATGTGTATTTTAAGCAGTAAGGTGCTACTGGTCAGACTTTTCTAGGCAGTCTTGGTGATGCATTTCCTGTGCTGAGATTGTTCGGAAGAGTGACTATAACCACTGTGAGGAGCCCAAATAAAAATTGATCCCCCCTCCGCCCCAAAAAAAGCTGTTAGCAGAGCTGGTTCCCTTCAGGAGCTTCTAGGGGAGAATCTGTGTCCTTTCCTGCTCCAGTGTCTAGAGGCTAACCGCATTCTTTGGCTCATGTTCTCCTTCCATCTTTAAAGCCAGGAAGAGATGGTCAAGTCTTTCTGACATCATATAACTTTGACAATAACTCTTCTGTCTCCCTCGTCCACAATTAAGGATCCTTGTGACTACATTAGGCCAAGCAGATGACCCAGGATAATCTCCCTATTTTAAAGTCAGCTGATTAGCTACCTTAATTCCATCTGCTACTTTGATTCCCCTTTGACATGTAATTTGACCTACAGATTCTGGGGATTAGAATGTGAACATCCTTGGGAGACCATTGTTCTGTCTATCTCAGTGGGTAAGTTATTTGAATGCTAAATGCTTTTGAAAATGCTTTCTGCAATCAGAGTCCCATAACTGTTCTTGATTCTTGATTTGGAGAGTTTTTATTTTTAATTGGACTGTCTGTGAGGGAAGCAGAGGCATAGTTCTAAATTTAAGAATTGAAATGGAGCAAGTAGCCCCAGTTCAGCATGCCCAGAGTCTGCTGCCTTTGGTTTTTCCAAAAGAAGGCAGCTGCAAAAAAATCTCTAAACACTATAAAATATACCATAAAAAAAGCAGAATTGCAAAAAGATGGCTAATTGAACACACACTTTCACTCTCTCCTAAACTGCACTGAAACTATGGTATGGTAAAGGGTTTTTTGTTTTGTTTTGTTTTGTTTTTGTTTTTGTTTCTTAAGCATAAACCTATAAGGATACAGTGAACATGAGAAGAAATAGCACCAACTTTTTGAAAGCTACAAAACAGATAACAGGTGGTATGGACTTGGTAAAACTGATGAAAAATTGAACTCTTTTTCCTCCTTGGTTCCAAGAACCAAGTCAATTTAAACCACCAAATAATCAAGGCTCAGGCATTGAAGGCACAACTACTCCTAGAAAAGAGGGGCAGGGCTGTGAAAGATGAAAGAAGGTTGGTTGAAAGCTGTTGGAGAAGCAGTTATATCCCTAGATGCCCCTCTCTTCCTCCAAATGCTGGGTGATTTCCTTCCCTCACCCCAGCAGAAGACAGTCTTCCTCTTTGAAGAGGGTAAAACAGAGGGTGTGTTTTAACAAACAAAAAACAGGAGGGTTAAGTAAATGATGTATGCCTACTAAATGCAAAACTTCCTCCTCATCTCAGAATGACGGCAGCAGTTATTTACTTCCAGGCAGAACACCAAATAAGTCTTTTGTAGGTGGGAATCTATCAGACCCAAGAAGAAAGATCCAAATACACTCACATGGATGTTGACATCAGGGCTTCCCCAACCAAAGGCCCAGGCAGCTCACCCTACAGGAAATCTCACCATGATCAAGCCTCACCTACTTACTCAGTTTCCAGGCAGCTCTTGAAGCCTCCACTTTTAAATATGAGCAGGTAATCAAGCATGAGAGATTCGAGAAACACCTGAACAGGAAAAAAAAATATATAGTGAAAACAGAAAGCGTGCGGGAAGAACAACAAAACTCTCAATGTCTTCAGAAACGTCATGAATTTTTATTACAATGCACTCATGAAATCAGAATTGAAAAGTATAAAAAAAAAATTTCAGGTTGCTCACACCTATAATCCCAGAATTTTGGGAGACTGAGGCAGGAGGATCATCTGAGTCCATGAGTTTGAGACCAGCCTGGGCAACAGAGTGAGCCCCCATCTCTACAAAAAAAAGAACAATAATAAATTAGCAAGATGTAGTGGCACATGCCTGTGGTCCCAGCTACCCAGGAGGCTGAGGCACTTGAGCCCAGAAGGTCGAGACCACAGTGAGCCAAGATCACACCACTATACTACATCCCAGGCAACAGAGCAAGACCTTGTCTCATAATAAAAATGGAAAAAAAAAAATCAGAAAGTAAAAAAGAGCCCTCAGGAAAAAATAGGTCTCACTAAATCCTCAGCCCAATGCCCAAAAATAAACTGTCTTATTTTGTTTGTGCTGCTATAACAACATTCCTGAGACTGGGTAATTTATAAAGAACAGAAATTTATTTTCTCTTAGTACTAGAGGCTGAGGCATCCAAGATCAAGGCACTGGCAGGTTTGGTATCTGGTGAGGGCTGCAAAAAAGGACAGACTTCCTCCATCAAGCCCCTTTTTCAGTGCATCTAATCCCATTCACAAGGGGAGGAGCCCTCATCACCTAAGCATCTCTTAAGGGCCCCATCTCTTAACACCATCACCTTGGCCATTAAGTTTCAACACCTGAATGTTGGAGGGGAGGGGACATATTCAAACCATAGCATAAAACCCATACTGATGAATAACGCACAAAGAGAAAATTCTACACATTTCCAGAAAACACAACACGCAAAGGTTGAGGTGAGGCATCTGAACAAGTTCAGATTTCCCAAAAGGAACTCTGGAAGATAGAAGACAGTAAAACAATGTGATATGGTTTGGCTGTGTCCCCACCCAAATCTAATGTTGAATTGTAGCTCCCATAATTCCCACGTGTTGTGGGAGGAACCTGATGGGAGATAATAGAATCATGGGGGCTCTCCCCCCCATACTGTTCTCATGGTAGTGAATAAGTCTCACGAGATCTGATGGTTTTATAAGGCGTTTCCCCTTTCATGTGGCTCTCATTCTCTCTTGCCAGCTGTCATGTAATACATGCTTTTCGCCTTCTGCCATGATTGTGAGGCCTCCCCAGCCATGTGGAACTGTGAGTCCATTAAACCTTTTTTTCTTTGTAAATTATCCAGTCTCAGGTTATGTCTTTATGAGCAATGTGAGAACAGACTAATACACAATGCTTTCAAAATTATCTCCAACCTAGTATTCTATGGGCCAGTCAAGTTGCAAATCAAGTATGAGTGAAGAATCATACTTCAGGCTTGCAAGTTCTCAAAAGCTTTACCTCCCACATACCCTTTTCTTGGGAAGCTAGTGGATAGAGGATGTACTCCACCAAAAGGATGGGAAAATATTTGAGAAAGGAGATCTACACAGAGAGAGGCAGAGGTCTACAGGATGTTGGTAAAGGGAGACTGTTAGCTGTGAAACAGCTCAGACAACTTTGGGTGGGGTTTTTTTCTAGAACATGAAGTTTATCAGATACCTGATGTGAATCAACATACTGAAAGACGTAGGGATAAGCTGGAGAATTGGGGTTGAATAGTGATAGATATTACTGGTCTCAGAAAAGAAAGCAAGTAATGCAAGATGAAAAAACAAACAAAAAAACAAGACAAAACTCAAAAGAACAACCCCTCACCCCAAAAAATGTCTAGCAAATAAAAAGTAATAGTGGTTTACCACACACCTTCATTCTTTTTTTTTTTTTTTTTTACCTTTTTCTTTAAGCAGTAGAGACAATGTCTCACTGTGTTGCCAGGGCTGGTTTTTATTTATTTATTTATTTATTTTTGCCCCATTGCAATCAGTGTGCACAGGCTTCTTTCTTTCTTTATTTTTTTGAGATGGAGTCTTGCTCCGTCACCCAGGCTGGAGTGCAGTGGTGCAATCTTGGCTCATTGCAACCTCTGGCTCCATGGTTCAAGTGCTTCTCTTGCCTCAGCCTCCTGAGTAGCTGGGATTACAGGCACACAGCTCCATGCCTGGCTAATTTTTGTAATTTTAGTAGAGATGGGGTTTTACCATGTTGGCCAGGCTGGTCTCGAACTCCTGACCTCAAGTGGTCCTCCTGCCTCCGCCTCCCAAAGTGCTGAGATTACAGGCAGGATACACTGCCCTGGCCTACAGGCTTCTTTATATAGGTCATCAGCCTGTATTCACATTTCCATCCATTTCTAATGTAATTACATTAACATTACTTTAGCATATGACTTTGCCTTTTCCAGAACTCTAATTAAGATTTTAAATAAGATGTATGCCACTGGGAATCTCTCATTCACGCTTGTTAAACACCTTTCCTGTTTGATTATAATTTCACTTGCTAATTATTTCTGACTTTGGTTTTCCAAACTTTTCCTTTTTATGACTTAAACACAGTTTGAACTGGTGCAGCAAATCACTTACAATCCAGGTGTAAGATAGATTGGCAAACTAAATAGAAAAGAAGACAGTCATTGGGTGGAAAACAGTGACCAAGTTTACCTCAGTCAATCTGTTTATTAAAAGAACTCATAGGCCAGGCAAGGTAGCTCACTTCTGTAATCCCAGCACTTTGGGAGGCCGAGGCGGCGGATCACAAGGTCGGGAGATCGAGACTATCCTGGTTAACACGGTGAAACCCTGTCTCTACTAAAAATACAAAAAAATTAGCCAGGTGTGGTGGTAGACGCCTGTAGTCCCAGCTACTTGGGAGGCTGAGGCAGGAGAATGGCGTAAACCCGGGAGGCAGAGTTTGCAGTGAGCTGAGATCCAGCCAGTGCACCCCAGCCTGGGTGACTGAGCGACACTCCGTCTCAAAAAAAAAAAAAAAAAAAACAGAACTCATACTGCTGAGCATGGTTGCATATGCCTGTAATCCCAGCTACACAAGAGGCTGAAGTAGAAGGATCACTTGAACCCAGGAGATTAGCCTGGGCAACATAGCAAGACCCCATCTCAAAAATATAAATATGTAAAAATAAATAAAAGGACTTGTACTTTTTAATAAGCACTCACCATGTGCTAGGTTCTGATTGCTTTATCTACTTCTATGCCATAAACTTTTTTCAAATTTATTTTGCATATTTTTAGATGCCTGCTATACACTGATCCTTGTGATAAGAGCAGCCAAGGTTCCTTGAGCACTCACCATGTGCTAGGGTCTAATTGCATTATGAACTGTTTGTCATTTAAATATTGCAGCAAGCCCATGAAGCAAGTAGTAATATTACCCCCAATTTTCAGATAAGAAAAATGAGGCATAGAGAATGTGAAAATAAATAAAATTTAAAAGCTCTTGGAACCCCAGAGAACACATTAAGTCTTGAGAGATGTGACTGTGATCTCAGCCATGGAGCATGGAGTTGTAATTTCTGCTCCTTAGATTATAGATTAACTCTCTTCTTCAGTGTTCTTCTTCTGTAAATTATGAGGAGAGACAAGAGACCAGACCTCCTTCTAATCACTGATCTTTGTGATAGATTAACTGCCTCCTTTTTTGTACCTGTATTAGTCTGTTTTCACCCATTATAAAGAATTGCCCAAGACTGGGTAATTTATAAAGAAAAGAGGTTTAATTGACTCACAGTTCCACATGGCTGGGGAGGCCTCAGGAAACTTATAATCATGGTAGAAGAGAAGCAGGCACATCTTACATGGTGGCAGACGAGAGAGAGAGAGAGAGAGAGAGTGTATGAAAGGGAAAGAGCCCCTTATAAAACCATCAGATCTCATGAGAACTCACTCACTATCACAAGAACATCATTGGGGAAACTGCCCCCATGATCCAATCACTTCCCACTAGTTTCCTCCCTTGATACATGGGGATTATGGGGATTATAATTCACTATGAGATTTGGGTGGGGACACAGAACCAAACCCTATCAGTACCTAACTCAGTTAAGGTAGCACTAATTACCTCCCAAATTTTATATCTTCAGTGTGGAATGTTAAATAGACCTTTCCTGAAAAGAAAAATATTACCTTGTCTAATTGGATTACTGTAACTATACATTCAGCCATATACAGAAAAATATTGAAATTCTGTTAAGCTTTCTAAACCTTATCTATGTTAAGTGACCTCAAACTTCTACACTTCAAAGTGCTGACTTCCATTCTTTGGAATCTGTCTCCCAGGCCATCTTCAAACTTTGTACTTGAATAAACTCTCTTCAAAATTCAAAATAAACTCTCTTCAAGTCAAACTAGATTCTGACGCTTATTTCAAGTTGACATTTTGGCAACCATGAAAGGACCTAAAGCAAGCCTCTGTTGATTCCCCACTGCATTGCCCACAGTTAGGATCCTGGTACCAGCATGAACAGTTTTCATTCACTTGGCTTCACTGGAGCCAGCAGAGGGTCTCCGGTGAAGACCCTCTCAGGTTTTGAATCTCCCTGATTTGGGTTGAGAATCAGACTTTACTCAAGTGACCCAATTCCACACTTGATGGAGCTGGAATTGAAGCTCTACTTTAAGGTAAGAGTTTTTGTCTGTTCTCTAGATATTCTTCTGTTCACAGATTTGTGGTTTTCACTTTTCTCTAAGGTTAAGTGTTATTTGTAACTGCTCATTAACATTTGTACAGCTTTTTCTCTCATTTGAATTTTGGTCAGGGAAAGAAAGTTTCTCTCTCTGAAAAGAGGAAGTGAATGTGGCTTAAGCAAAATTTGCATAAAAGAAAAAAACCTGGCTAAACTCTGAAGCTTGGTTCATTTGACATATCTAAAGTTGTTTTGTTTGTTTCTGAGTGACCAAAAAGAAAAACTTTCTATGAGGATGGCCAGGTGCGGTGGCTCATGCCTGTAAACCCAGCTCTTTTGGAGCCCTAGGCAGGCAGATCACTTGAGGCCAGGCATTCAAGAACAGCCTGGTCAACATGATGAAACTCTGTCTTTACCAAAAAATACAAAATATTAGCCGGGTGTGGTGACATGTGCCTGTAATCCCAGCTACTCAAGAGGCTGAGGCAGGAGAATCACTTGAATTTGGGAAACAGAGGTTGCAGTGAGCCAAGATCATACCATTGCACTCCAGCCTGGGTGACAAAGTGAGACTCCGCCAAAAAAAAAAAAAAAAAAAAGAAAGAAAGAAAGAAAGAAGGAAGGAAGGAAAAAAAAGAAAAGAAAAGAAAGAAAGAGAGAAAGAAAGAAAGAAGGAAAGAAAGAAAGAAAGAAAGAGAAAGAAAGAAAAAGAAAGAAAGAGAGAAAAGCTTTCTATGAGGATGAAGATAAGTACCAAAGATAAGGGACACTGTTTCTCCTGGCCAAAAGGCATCTTAGGCTAATAAGGTCTTGCGGGAGTGTCTGAACTCATTACTCTTAACATGCAATAGTACTGTAGGGAGTTCTCAAAGAAGAACACACAGGAAATCTTGCTTAACCTGGTGGGCACATATGAAGGGCTGATCTTCTAGTGCCTTAAGTGCCCAGGATTCCTGGCTTTCACCAAGACAGGGAAGAAGAGAGAAGTGATTCACTGGTGTCACCTCAAGGAATAATCCCCATTAAGCAACATACCAGATCAAAAACATCTTTCCCATTTCATCTTTGATCACTTAAAAAGAGAATCCAAATTATGGGCAATCATCCATCTAAAACTGAGTCTTCCTTTTTAAGGAGAGATCCACCTTTAGAAATTCCAGCTGGATTCCTGTATAATATTGTGGTGCAACCTCCAGTCAATATCTAGAAAAGTTGTCTTTCTTAACCCATGAAGACCCCAAACAACAATGACCAAAGTGGGCTATCTTTGAAATACCTAAATTAGCTTATTTATGTGCACAATTAGAAAAAGCTATTTCTAAAATTAAAGAAAATAATTGGGAGAGTTACTTCTAACAGTACTTAGAAGCATCTGAAAAGCGCTCTGACAAAGTTCTTCCTCTACAGGAAGAAAATTAAAAGCCCTCTAAAACCATTTCTAAATTAAAAAAAAAAAAAACTGCCAAATCTTTTACTCCTCCTTCTGCTTCCCCAACTCTTTATTCCCCATCTCTTCCTCATCTGAACGACACTGCCCAGCCTTTCCTTCTTTTCCTCCCCTTCCCCTTCTTCCCACTCCTGTTGTTTTAGCTACATTTTGTGAATGGCTGGTATCTGGTAGAGGAGAACCTGCCTTAACTTATCAACTATGATCAAAGGTAGACATTAAAGGCATAATTAAGGAATTTCCTCATCCCCACCAAGACCCTATTGGTTTTGTCAGGAAATTTGAACTAAATATTCAAGTTTACAACCCTGATTTTTCCAATTTGTATTAAGTAGTTCACATGTTAGTATCAGAAAGTAAAGCTAAAGATTGGAAGAGCTAAGGCAAATTGGAGGAACCACTTGAAGGACTTTCATACATTTTCAGAAGACCACAAATGTGACCATGAGGTTTCAAAGGCTTTGCTCAAGCCACCCCTTCATTTGACCTTCCAAAGAATGGTCGACTGGAATAAAATACAACAATGTCAACAAAATTCAGATGAGTCAGAAATGACATATTTTGAGAGATTCGAAAAAATATTTAAACCATATTCAGGATTATCCAAAGAGAGTTAGGCTAATCATCAAAATGATACTCTCCTCAATTTCAATTTCATAAGTGGGTTACTTAGATGAAGAATTAGGACTAACAGTAAAAGGACAACACCATAGTTGGACAATTGCTCACATTCATGATTTGGTTAATTTTGCTGATCAATTATGTCATGCCTTAACTAAAGAAGAGAAAAAGAAGCCAAAGAAAAGAATAAGGCTAATAAGATTATGAATTTATAACTAAAACAATTATCTACCCAGTCTGAACCTCCAAAACATACCCCAAAAACCTCAGAATGAATTTAACCCTCTGCTTTGTCATTATTGCAAAAACACCCTGGTCACTTTAGGAAAGATTGCTGAAAACTAAAATGGAGGCAACAACAACAGGCAAAGGAAAAAAAGAAAAGGGGGGGTGCTCCAAGGAACTTAAAGAGACCTTGCCTTTCCTCCATATTTATATTTTGGGAGAAATAGAAAGTATCTGAAATGGAGAACAAACATAAGCTCTTATTGACACTGAGCTGCATTATCTGTAGTAAATCCCACCTTATTACAAGGTCCCATTCCTTAAAGTAAACCATTTAAATGGTGGGTGTCACTGATATTCCTGTATTGGCACATAAATCTTAGCCTATAGCTTTTCAAGTAGGTCCTTTACAAGAGACTTGTATTTTTCTCTTCGTTCTCTAAGCCACTATCCATTTGATAGGAAGAAATTTCTTAGAACTATATAACACCCATATTTGTTTTTCCCAAAAGGGTAAAATATTTTTAGAATTAGAAGACAAAGTTGAATTACTAGACACCATGAATTTTTCAGAATCTGATCCTTTTAAATTCACAAGCTGCAATTTATATTGCCATAGAGGACACCGAATTATTGATTGATAAACGAATACAAAAATTGTTAAAGGCAATACCTGATTAGTTGTGGTCAGTCTTTCATTGATACTGGAAAAATTATCTTGACTTCCCCAATCAAAATTTAAATAAACTCATCAAAACCTCTTCCAAACCTTAAACAGTATTCTTTAAAGCCAAAGGCTTTAGAAGGAATACAACCTATAGTTCTAGACTATATAAAAAGAGGTCTGATTATTCCCTGTAGAAGCCTGTGTAACACTCCAACCCTTCCTGTAAAAAAACCAGATGACAGAGGATGGAGGTTTGTACAGGATCTGAGAGCAATTAACAACATAGTTATTCCTTGCCATCTGCTAGTGTCAAACAGTCATATGTTGTTGACTACCATCCCCGCTGAAGGTGAGTTTTTCACTGTGACAGATTTATGCAGTGCATGTTTTAGTATTCCTGTGGAGAAAGACAGTCAATTTCTCTTTGCCTTCACTTGGGAGAACAGACAGTACAATGGACAGTCATGCCTCAGGGATACACTGAGAGCTCAACTTACTTTTCACATATATTTGTGATATCTGAGATCTCCCAGATATTGACTTCATTAAGAAATCCAATCCCACCTCAGTATGGAACATAACATCCAAGGAATGAGACTTCCTAGTGACGGGGGATGAAACTCCTGAACATAAAAGGAGTCAAAACTATTGAGATCATCTACAGTGCTTTCTTCGAAAGATCTTGATGAAAAGGGGGAAATGTGAAAATAAATAAAGGTTAAAATGCAGTTCAAACCCCATGAAACACTTCAAGCTTTGAGTGAGTTGTGACTGTGGTCTGTGCCATGTAGCTTGTGGCTGTACCTTCTGATTTTTAATTTTATAGCCACTGACTTTATTGATCTAAAAATCTTCACAGAGACAATGACTGTTGTGTGAAAGAAAAAGGAACCAAATGGTGTGAAACACTAGAAGTGAGGGTAGGGGTGAGGGACGGGGCCAGAAATCCATCAGGAAAGTTGGCAAGTATCACCAGGCAGAGGAAAAGGAAGGGAGGTGCATGAAAGAGTTCGAATTGCAAAGAAGTTGAAACGGTTAGGGGAGAAAACTCCCAAAACACTCCTAGAGTCCACTGGACACAAGCACAACAACAGCAATCATTTCCTTTGTAGAGGACAGAGGAGGAGTCCCCTACTTGGCTGCAAACTCTGGAGACGCAATGCTGGGGCTGGGCATTGAGGGCTTCCCAGAAAGCATCACAAGAAGGCGTCACACCACTCTTGAATGCATCCAAAGCAGTCCTGGGGCTGCTTGGCTTTGGTGCTACTTGTGTCCTTCAGCCATACCTGGGCAAGATCTTCCTCTTTCTTTAGCACCAGCCAAGGACAACACAGGCCTTGTCAAAGCCCCTTTCCTCCAGCTTCTTGCCCAGCACTTCACCAATACTGGCCAGGCTCCCCACTGGTTTTCCCCCATAGGCTCTGCCGTGAAGCCTCAGTGCTTTTGGGAGGTTGTCATCTTAATCAAGCTTAATCAGCAGCTCCAGTTCCCATAACAGTACCTTCTACAACAGGCCTCTCTGGCCAATATGCTTTTTACACTATGGATTAACTTTGTTCCTCACTGTTTGTGTTCTGTAAATGACTAGGAGAGACCAGAGACCAGACCCTCTCTCCTTCCAATCACTAATCTTTGTTATAGATTATCGTCCTCTTTTATTATCCTGTACCTAATTCAGGCCAGATGGTGCAAAAGATTCCATAACTGTTACATCTTCAGTGTAGAATGTAAAATTACCTTTCCTGAAAAGAAAAAGACTGCCGTAACTAATAAGATAAAGCCTTATATAGAAAGCGTTGAAATTCTGTGAAGCTCCCCAAACTTATCTAAGTGAATGAGCCCAAACTTCTACACTTTCAAACACTGACTTTCATTTTTTGGAATCTGTGCTTCCCAAGCAGCCATCCTCAACTTTGTGCTTGAATAAACTCTCTTTAAACTAGATTCTAACCCTTTTGAATATTTGAGGTTGACAAGAGACTGAGTATGCTTCCTAAATTCCTTAGGGAGTGACTAAGCTGGGAATCAAACTCCAGCCCATATTCTGAATCAGTGCTCTATATCACCTCCCACTGGATGGCAATGGGCACCATGGAGGAGACCACAAAACGAAGGAGAAAAGGGAAAGGATTTAACTTTATTGAGCACATTACTATGGCCCAGAAAGTTCTATCATGGTATTTCATTATTATGACAATGTAATGAATGACTATTACTTACTAATACTTGTAAGAAAGGTTAGAAAACTTGCCCAAGGTCACAGATAAGGATTAGCCCTCAAGAAACTTATTTCTGCTGGGAATTAACATAAACCCAGAAGGAACTGGCATAACTACAAGATAATGTCAAATCTGTAGTAGAAATAAAAATATAGTAAAATCTCTGAGGAAGGAGTGTTCAGTCCAGGCGAGATGCTGGTGATACATCCTGGAGAAAAAGGAGGTTGTGATGTAAGGCTTGATGTATAGATTTGGATAAACAGAGAGGAGGAATAAACAGCATTGTTCCTGACTTTTGTTCTTTTCTATACTTGTAATTTTTTTTGTAAGCATTTTATTGTTTATAAGATATGGGCTTTAGGGTTGACAAAAGGTCATTTCCTGATTTACATCATTTTATAGGAACTTCTAAGCAGGGACAGATGCCTAAACTTAGAAAACCATAAGATATGTAAGAGAAAGACCAAATAGGGGAAATCAAGAGCAAAGAGGTTATTCTCTTAAGGTTACAGTAAGGGGGCAAGAAGTAGAAGTTGGGAATGAAAAGAAAGAAAAGCTTAGAAAAGAAAAGTGAAACGTAAGGAAGAAAAGTGAAACTCTCATAAGGAAGTCTATGTTGAAACATGGCTGGGGTTCAAAACTTTCATGGCCCAGGCCACTGACCTGTATGGTCTTAGAGAACCTTTCATAATTAAGATGCTGCACTCTGTGTGTGTGTGTGCACATGCGCATGCACGCACGCTCATTTTTAAAGAATTTTAGAGATATAGAAGAGAAGAAAGGTTTTCTCAGCCAAGACTTTTGCCAGCCTTCTCAGATCAGTAACACGTTGTCTCAATCCAGGGAAGTATTGCTACTGCTTAGCATTTGGGATGAAGCCAACTGCGATGTTCAGCAAATATGAGTTTCATCCTCTTGAAAATAATTGCTTTTACATCTTGTGACATCTTTCATGGACTCTGCAATGAAAATAAATTATAATTTCTTTGGGTGGGAGAAACTAAATTAGAAAGAAAAATGATTAGAAACAGAAGGCAGCTTGACGCTTGTGATGCCAGATTTGTTCAACATGTGATTCGAAAGCTGTGGATAAGTTTTTCTGGCCATTCTCCCAAATAACAACCTTTAGCTTACTTAAAAGCCAAAATCCGTGACTCAAAAGAGTGTGCTAGGAAGAAATTTTTGACAGATAAAATTAACTATTCCTGGCAACATCAAATAGCATATACATATACTCATGTACCTTTTTTTTGGAATGAAGCTCAAAATATACCAAGATCTAACTTAAACTGCTCCCAGGGCTCCAGACCTCAGTTATAATAGTTAACATTTATCAAGTACTTACTATGTGCCAGGCATTGCAACTATTTTTTACACCAACATTATGAGATAGGTAGTATTCTCACATAATCTTATTTTAAAGATGATAAAATTGAGTCAAGGGAAGCTTAAATAACTTGCTCAAGGTCACTCAGATAGAAAATGGTAGAGCTAGGACTGAAACTGAGAAAACGTGTCTCCACTATATTCTTTAAAAAGTCCTTACTAGCTGAGGGTGGTGGCTTATGCCTGTAATGCCAGCACTTTGGGAGGCTGAGGTGGGAAGATTGCTTGATTCCAAGAGTTCAAGACCAGCTTGGGCAACATAGCGAGACCTCATCTCTAACAAAAATTTAAAAGTTAGCCGGACACAGCGGCATATGCCTGTAGTCCCAGCAATTCAGGAGGCTGAGGCAGGAGGATGGCTTGAGCTTAGGAGGGCGAGGCTCCAGTGAGCTAGGATCACACCATTGTACTCTAGCCCGGGCAACAGAGCAAGACCCTGTCTCTGTAAAAACAAACAAACTCCTTACCTTCAGGAAGTTTATAGTCTAATACTGGATTCAGACAAGTACTCTTCAGTGTGGTAAGTACACACATAGTTAAGAGTGCTAAGGTTATATGTAGGAAGGTAATCTAACCTTGCCTTTGGTTATTAGGGAAGTAACTATCAAAGGGAACGCTAAACTAAGAAGTGAGGGATGGAGAAAGGGGGAAAGAGTTCCAGGCAGAGGAAGAAGCAAGTCACCAGGTCCAGAGATAAAAGAGAGCTCAGTGCCATGGGTGCATAGAGAGGCAGGGCATTAGCAATGCCCTGTCAAAGGCAATGGAGAGCCTTTGAAAGATTTTAAACTAAGGAGGAACCTGACCTGATTTGCATTTCTTAGACTTTTGGAGGCTGCTTTGGAGAATAATTTGTGAGTAGAACAAGAGAAGAGGCAAAGAGACCTATTAGGACGCTATTGCTTTGGGGTAATCCTAAGCTGACCCCAGGCAGCAGTGGTGGAAAGGGACAGAAGCAGACAGAACTGGAGAGCTATTCAAAATGTGGACTTGACCATAGATGACATGAAAGAACAGAGAAGAAGGAATCGAAGTGGCTGCTACATTTCTGGCTTGGGCAATGGGATGGATGGGATTGGGATGCCATTCACCAAGATGGGAAAGCCAAGAGGAGGAGTAAGTTAAAAAATGGGGTTGGAAGAAGGAACTAATTCATTTTTTTTTAAATTTTATTATTATTATACTTTAAGTTTTAGGGTACATGTGCACAATGTGCAGGTTTGTTACATATGTATACATGTGCCATGTTGGTGTGCTGCACCCATTAACTCGTCATTTAGCATTAGATATATCTCCTAACGCTATCCCTCCCCCTCCCCCAACCCCACAACCATCCCCAGAGTGTGATGTTCCCCTTCCTGTGTCCATGTGTTCTCATTGTTCAGTTCCCACCTATGAGGGAGAACATGCGGTGTTTGGTTTTTTGTCCTTGCTGTAGTTTGCTGAGAATGATGGTTTCCAGCTTCATCCATGTCCCTACAAAGGACATGAGCTCATCATTTTTTATGGCTGCATAGTATTCCATGGTGTATATGTGCCACATTTTCTTAATCCAGTCTATCATTGTTGGACATTTGGGTTGGTTCCAAGTCTTTGCTATTGTGAATAGTGCCACAATAAACATACGTGTGCATGTGTCTTTATAGCAGCGTGATTTATAATCCTCTGGGTATATACCCAGTAATGGGATGGCTGGGTCAAATGGTATTTCTACTTCTAGATCCCTGAGGAATCGCCACACTGACTTCCACAATGGTTGAACTAGTTTACAGTCCCACCAACAGTGTAAGTGTTGCTATTTCTCCACATCCTCTCCAGCACCTGTTGTTTCCTGACTTTTTAATGATCACCATTCTAACTGGTGTGAGATGGTATCTCATTGTGGTTTTGATTTGCATTTCTCTGATGGCCAGTGATGATGAGCATTTTTTCATGTGTTTTTTGGCTGCATAAATGTCTTCTTTTGAGAAGTGTCTGTTCATATCCTTTGCCCACTTTTTGATGGGGTTGTTTGCTTTTTTCTTGTAAATTTGTTTGAGTTCATTGTAGATTCTGGATATTAGCCCTTTGTCAGATGAGTAGGTTGAAAAAATTTTCTCCCATTCTGTAGGTTGCCTGTTCACTCTGATGATAGTTTCTTTTGCTGTGCAGAAGCCCCATAGTTTAATTAGATCCCATTTGTCAATTTTGCCTTTTGTTGTCATTGCTTTTGGTGTTTTAGACATGAAGTCCTTGCCCATGCCTATGTCCTGAATGGTATTGCCTAGGTTTTCTTCTAGGGTTTTTATGGTTTTAGGTCTAACATATAAGTCTTTAATCCATCTTGAATTAATCTTTGTATAAGGTGTAAGGAAGGGATCCAGTTTCAGCTTTCTACATATGGCTAGCCAGTTTTCCCAGCACCATTTATTAAATAGGGAATCCTTTCCCCATTTCTTGTTTTTGTCAGGTTTGTCAAAGATCAGATGGTTGTAGATATGCGGCATTATTTCTGAGGGCTCTGTTCTGTTCCATTGGTCTATATCTCTGTTTTGGTACCAGTACCATGCTGTTTTGGTTACTGTAGCCTTGTAGTATAGTTTGAAGTCAGGTAGCATGATGCCTCCAGCTTTGTTCTTTTGGCTTAGGATTGACTTGGCAATGCGGGCTCTTTTTTGGTTCCATATGAAGTTTAAATTAGTTTTTTCCAATTCTGTGAAGAAAGTCATTGGTAGCTTGATTGGGATGGCATTGAATCTATAAATTACCTTGGGCAGTATGGCCATTTTCATGATATTGATTCTTCCTACCCATGAGCATGGAATGTTCTTCCATGTGTTTGTATCCTCTTTTATTTCATTGAGCAGTGGTTTGTAGTTCTCCTTGAAGAGGTCCTTCACATTCCTTGTAAGTTGGATTCGTAGGTATTTTATTCTCTTTGAAGCAATTGTGAATGGGAGTTCACTCATGATTTGGCTCTCTGTTTGTCTGTTATTGGTGTATAAGAATGCTTGTGATTTTTGCACATTGATTTTGTATCCTGAGACTTTGCTGAAGTTGCTTATCGGCTTAAGGAGATTTTGGGCTGAGACGATGAGGTTTTCTAGATATATAATCATGTCATCTGTAAACAGGGACAATTTGACTTCCTCTTTTCCTAATTGGATGCCCTTTATTTCCTTCTCCTGCCTGATTGCCCTGGCTAGAACTTCCAACACTATGTTGAATAGGAGTGGTGAGAGAGGGCATCCCTGTCTTGTGCCAGTTTTCAAAGGGAATGCTTCCAGTTTTTGTCCATTCAGTATGATATTGGCTGTGGGTCTGTCATAGATAGCTCTTATTATTTTGAGATACAACCCATCAATACCTAATATATTGAGAGTTTTTAGCATGAAGGGTTGTTGAATTTTGTCAAAGGCCTTTTCTGCATCTATTGAGATAATCGTGTGGTTTTTGTCTTTGGTTCTGTTTATATGCTGGATTACATTTATTGATTTTCGTATGTTGAACCAGCCTTGCATCCCAGGGATGAAGCCTACTTGATCATGGTGGATAAGCTTTTTGATGTACTGCTGGATTCGGTTTGCCAGTATTGTATTGAGGATTTTTGCATCAATGTTCATCAAGGATATTGGTCTAAAATTCTCTTTTTTTGTTGTGTCTCTGCCAGGCTTTGGTATCAGGATGATGCTGGCCTCATAAGATGAGTTAGGGAGGATTCCCTCTTTTTCTATTGATTGGAATAATTTCAGAAGGAATGGTACCAGCTCCTCCTTGTACCTCTGGTAGAATTCGGCTGTGAATCCATCTGGTCCTGGACTCTTTTTGGTTGGTAAGCTATTAATTATTGCCTCAATTTCAGAGCCTGTTATTGGTCTATTCAGGGATTCAACTTCTTCCTGGTTTAGTCTTGGGATGGTGTATGTGTCGAGGAATTTATCCATTTCTTCTAGATTTTCTAGTTTATTTTCGTAGAGTTGTTTATAGTATTCTCTGATGGTAGTTTGTATTTCTGTGGGATCGGTGGTGATATCCCCTTTATCATTTTTTATTGCATCTATTTGATTCTTCTCTCTTTTCTTCTTTATTAGTCTTGCTAGTGGTCTATCAATTTTGTTGATCTTTTCAAAAAACCAGCTCCTGGATTCATTGATTTTTTGAAGGGTTTTTTGTGTCTCTATTTCCTTCAGTTCTGCTCCGATCTTAGTTATTTCTTGCCTTCTGCTAGCTTTTGAATGTGTTTGCTCTTGCTTCTCTAGTTCTTTTAATTGTGATGTTAGGGTGTCAATTTTAGATCTTTCCTGCTTTCTCTTGTGGGCATTTAGTGCTATAAATTTCCCTCTACACACTGCTTTGAATATGTCCCAGAGATTGTGGTGTGTTGTGTCTTTGTTCTCATTGGTTTCAGAGAACATCTTTATTTCTGCCTTCATTTCGTTATGTACCCAGTAGTCATTCTGGAGCAGGTTGTTCAGTTTCCATATAGTTGAGCAGTTTTGAGTGAGTTTCTTAATCCTGAGTTCTAGTTTGATTACACTGTGGTCTGAGAGACAGTTTGTTATAATTTCTGTTTTTTCACATTTGCTGAGGAGTGCTTTACTTCCAACTATGTGGTCAATTTTGGAATAGGTGTGGTGTGCTGCTGAAAAGAATGTATATTCTGTTGATTTGGGGTGGAGAGTTCTGTAGATGTCTATTAGGTCTGCTTGGTGCAGAGCTGAGTTCAATTCCTGGATATCCTTTTTAACTTTCTGTCTTATTGATCTGTCTAATATTGACAGTTGGGTGTTAAAGTCTCCCATTATTATTGTGTGGGAGTCTAAGTCTCTTTGTAGGTCACTCAGGACTTGCTTTATGAATCTGGGTGCTCCTGTATTGGGTGCATATATATTTAGGATAGTTAGCTCTTCTTGTTGAATTGATCCCTTTACCATTATGTAATGGCGTTCTTTGTCTCTTTTGATCTTTGTTGGTTTAAAGACTGTTTCATCAGAGACTAGGATTGCAACCCCTGCCTTTTTTTGTTTTCCATTTGCTTGGTAGATCTTCCTCCATCCCTTTAATTTGAGCCTATGTGTGTCTCTGCACGTGAGATGGGTTTCCTGAATACAGCACGCTGATGGGTCTTGACTCTTTATCCAGTTTGTCAGTCTGTGTCTTTTAATTGGAGCATTTAGCCCATTTACATTTAAGGTTAATATTGTTATGTGTGAATTTGATCCTGTCATTATGATGTTAGCTGGTTATTTTGCTCGTTAGTTGATGCAGTTTCTTCCTAGCCTTGATGGTCTTTACAATTTGGCATGTTTTTGCAGTGGCTGGTACCAGTTGTTCCTTTCCATGTTTAGTGCTTCCTTCAGGAGCTCTTTTAGGGCAGGCCTGTTGGTGACAAAATCTCTCAGCATTTGCTTGTCTGTAAAGTATTTTATTTCTCCTTCACTTATGAAGCTTAGTTTGGCTGGATATGAAAATTCTGGGTTGAAAATTCTTTTCTTTAAGAATGTTGAATATTGGTCCCCACTCTCTTCTGGCTTGTAGAGTTTCTGCCGAGATCAGCTGTTAGTCCGATGGGCTTCCCTTTGTGGGTAACCCAACTTTTGTCTCTGGCTGCCCTTTTAACATTTTTTCCTTCATTTCAACTTTGGTGAATCTGACAATTATGTGTCTTGGAGTTGCTCTTCTTGAGGAGTATCTTTGTGGCGTTCTCTGTATTTCCTGAATTTGAATGTTGGCCTGCCTTGCTAGATTGGGGAAGTTCTCCTGGATAATATCCTGCAGAATGTTTTCCAACTTGGTTCCATTCTCCCCGTCACTTTCAGGTACACCAATCAGACATAGATTTGGTCTTTTCACATAGTCCCCTATTTCTTGGAGGCTTTGTCCATTTCTTTTTATTCTTTTTTCTCTAAACTTCTCTTCTCGCTTCATTTCATTCATTTCGTCTTCCATCACTGATACCCTTTCTTCCAGTTGGTCACATCAGCTACTGAGGCTTGTGCATTCGTCATGTAGTTCTCGTGCCATGGTTTTCAGCTCCATCAGGTCCTTTAAGGACTTCTCTGCATTGGTTATTCTAGTTAGCCATTCGTCTAATTTTTTTTCAAGGTTTTTAACTTCTTTGCCATTGGTTCGAACTTCCTCCTTTAGCTCGGAGTAGTTTGATCTTCTGAAGCCTTCTTCTCTCAACGCGTCAAAGTCATTCTCCTTCCAGTTTTGTTCCATTGCTGGTGAGGAGCTGCGTTCCTTTGGAGGAGGAGAGGCACTCTGATTTTTAGAGTTTCCAGTTTTTCTGCTCTGTTTTTTCCCCATCTTTGTGGTTGTATCTACCTTTGGTCTTTGATGATGGTGACGTATAGATGGGTTTTTGGTGTGGATGTCCTTTCTGTTTGTTAGTTTTCCTTCTAACAGTCAGGACCCTCAGCTACAGGTCTGTTGGAGTTTGCTGGAGGTCCACTCCAGACGCTGTTTGCCTGGGTATCAGCAGCAGTGGCTGCAGAACAACGGATATTGGTGAACCGTAAATGCTGCTGCCTGATCGTTCCTCTGGAAGTTTTGTCTCAGAGGAGTACCCGGCTGTGTGAGGTGTCAGTCTGCCCCTACTGGGGGGTGCCTCCCATTTGGGCTACTCGGGGGTCAGGGACCCACTTAAGGAGGCAGTCTGCCCGTTCTCAGATCTCAAGCTGCATGCTGGGAGAACCACTACTCTCTTCAAAGGTGTTAGAGAGGGACATTTAATTCTCCAGAGGTTACTGCTGTCTTTTTGTTTGTCTGTGCCCTTCCCCCAGAGGTGGAGCCTACAGAGGTAGGCAGGCCTCCTTGAGCTGTGGTGGGCTCCATCCAGTTCGAGCTTCCCAGCCGCTTTGTTTACCTAATCAAACAACTAACTTGGCAATGGCTGGCGCCCCTCCCCCAGCCTCGCTACTGCCTTGCAGTTTGATCTCGGACTGCTGTGCTAGCAATGAGCGAGACTCCATGGGCGTAGGATCCTCCTCCAAGCCAGGTGTGGGATATAATCTCCTGGTGTGCCGTTTTAAGCCTGTTGGAAAAGTGCAGTATTAGGGTGGGAGCGACCCGATTTTCCAGGTGCCGTCTGTCACCACTTTCTTTGACTAGAAAAGGGAATTCCCTGACCCCTTGCACTTCCCAGGTGAGGCGATGCCTCGCCCTGTTTCGGCTCACGCACGGTGCGCTGCACCCACTGTCCTGCACCCACTGTCCGGCACTCCCCAGTGAGATGAACCCAGTACCTCAGTTGGAAATGCAGAAATCACCCGTCTTCTGCGTCACTCACACTGGGACCTGTAGACTGGAGCTGTTCCTATTCGGCCATCTTCAAACTAATTCATTTTTTACCATGTTGAGGTGTCATGCAACATACGAAAGCATGTGGTGATCATTCTTTTTTTTTCTTTTTTTTTTTGAGACAGGATCTCACTCTGTCACCCAGGCTAGAGTGCAGTGGTGTGATCACAGCTCACTGCAGCCTCAAATTCCCAGGCTCAAGTGATCCTCCCACCATAGCCTCTCAAGTAGCTGGGACTACAGATGTACCCCTCCATGTCTGGCTTATTTATTTATTTATTTATTTATTTACTTAGGGATGAGGTCTCACTGTGTTGCCCAGGCTGGTCTTAAACTCCTGGGCTTAAGTAGTCCTCCTTCTGAGCCTCCCAAAATGCTAGGATTATAGGCATGAGTCACTGGGCCTGGCCTCATTCTTTATTTAATAAAAGAATAACTCATGTGAGTTATCTTAATCATCTAATTCTTCTAACGTATTTAAAGAAGTTTGATTCACAAAATTTTTTACAGGGGCCAAGCGCGGTAGCTCACGCCTGTAAACCCCAGCACTTTGGAAGGCCAAGGCGGAAGGGTCACTTGAGACCAGGAATTCAAGACTATCCTAGGCAACATAGTGAGACCCCATCTCTACAAAAAATTAAAAACTAGCCAGGTATGGTGGTGCATGCCTGTAATCCCAGCTATTTGGAAGGCTGAGGTGGAAGGATCGCTTGAGCCCAGGAGATCGAGTCTGCAATGAGCTATCATCACACCACTGCACTCCAGCCTGGGTGACAGAGTGTGACCCTGTCTCTAAAACAAACAAACAAACAAACAATACCAATAGACCATTTGTTTTGCATCTAGTAATCCACAACTATCAAGACATACGTATATATAATTTATCTTATCACTAGGGCATTTGAAACATAATATAATTTCTTTTAAAATGATTGACAAAGTAACAAATTGACCTATTAAAAAATCACCTCAAATAGTACAAAATACTATAAAATAAAAATATCTCTTAATTAGTATGAACTTATGTTTAATTTAATAGAAATATAGATGATTAGATATAGAAATATTATTGATGTGTATATATGCCTTGGTTGATATACACACATATTTCTTTGCTCTGTCAGCTGAAAGGGCCTAGAGCAACAATTCCCCTGCAGCAGGGAACACTCTGTCACCCAGATATTGGTTGCTTATACCATTCACCGATAAAAGGAACAAGTGTTCCTTTGAGAAATGGCTGATTTTACACAGGAATACACGAGATCAGCCTGGAGCATCTTACAGTGCCAAAAAGTAAGAAAATGCTCCAAAACCAAAAGACAAAACCACCCTACATTGGTGGGGCTATGTCAAAGGGCACAGAAGCCAACTGAAAGAGCTCCTAATGGCCAAGCCTGGAACAATTTGATTTCTTAAAAAGTACTGTTGGTTTATAATGCAACATATAAAATAAATATTCATGATTTTATGACATGAAGAAATAATTGAATAAATGAATAAATGGAGGAGAAGAGACAAATCTCTCTTGCAGAAGAATTCCAAATAATTTATTTAGGTATTCTGCCCTCAAGGATGTGGAATTCAACTCCCCACTCCTCAAGCATAGGCTGCATATAGTGACTTCCTTCCGAAGATTGCAGAATGGGCTGGGCAAGGTGGCTCACGCCTGCAATCCCAGCACTTTGGGAGGCTGAGGTGGGAGGATCGCTTGAGCCTGGGAGATCGAGACTGCAATGAGCCATGAAGGTGCCACTGCACTCACCCTGGGCAACAGAATGAGATCATGTCTAAAAAAAAAAAAAAAAGAGTAAGAGAGATTATAGAAGAATGGAAAAGGGGAGAGGTAAGGGGAGTTGCTTTACAGTGGTAAAACCTAATAAACACTACCTCTCAGGTGATCAAGGTTAATATCAACAATAAGTCATGTTGACTATGTACCCTTGATAATTTATGATGAAAATGGCACTTTGTATGGTTTTTCTCCCATAAAACACTACTGTAGTAATGAGAAAGACCAGGCAAATTCCAAAAGAGGAACATCCTGTAAAATACTTGGCCAATACTTCTCAAACTGTCAAGTTTATGAAAAGCAAGAGAAGCCTGAGAACCTATCACAGCCAAGTGGAGCCTAAGGAAACAGGACAACCCAATGTAATGTGGTAACCTGGATGAGATCTTGGAACAAAGTGGCTCATGCCTGTAATCCCAGCTACTCGGGAGGCTGAGGCAGAAGAATCACTTGAACCTGGAGGCGGACGTTGCAGTGAGCCAAGATTGTACCACTGAGGCAGGAGAATCACTTGAACCCAGGAGGCGGACATTGCAGTGAGCCGAGATTGCACCACTGTACTCCAGCCTGTGCAACTTTGTCTCAGAAAAAAAAAAAAAAGAGGGACAAGTTTCAAATGTTCAGATTTTTTTTCCCCTTTACAAGTGTCATTAAAAGATACAGGTACAAAAGAAATTTTATTGAGAGAAGTATCTCCAAGAAGTTCAAAATATTTTAGAGATGTTTTTTTCCTCACCCCCTGAGTTCAAAGATTCTCAGCATTTTACAGAAGAGGCCCCTCCTCTCCTCCTATAAATGACCTCTAAATGTTGGACCGTCTGAGGGCTTGGTGCTGGTCTTTTATCTGCTTCTCTCCTCACCCTAAATGCCTGGTTTCAGTTGCCACATATATACTGAGGACGTCCAGTTTGCTGTGCCCGGGTCTGACTTATGTGGATTTCAGTCTTGCCGGCCTTCTTTTTGTTTCTCAAGTGCATCAAGTTCTTTCCTAACTCAGAGTTTTTGCATTTGCTGTTTCCTCTTCCAGGAAGGCTGTCTTTTTCTCATCCTTTAGTCTCTCTTCAAATGTCATTTCCTCTGAAAGAGAAAGGCCTTCCCTGAACACCCCCTCTAAGGTGGTCCTCCTCCTCCCCTTGCTGTGTGTTGCTCCATCAGTAATTCCACAAGACATCTTTCTCTTTCTCCCATAGCATTTCGTCACAACAGAATGTTATCTGATTTATTTTTTTTGCTGATAATCACTGTCCCCCATTAGAAGTACTTTGAAGGCAGGAACTTTGACAAACTTGTTCACTGCTGTATCCCCGACACTTAGATAGTGTTTGATACAAGTTAAGGGTTCACTAAATACTCATGGTGTAAGTAAATAAATGTATGAATCAATGAATGAATAATTAAACGAATGAATGGAATACTTAAACATCCAACTCGTGGTAACACAGCACATCAGTGTTTACTTGAAACAATCCTCAAGCTTCCCTTTTCTCCCTCCATTAACAAACCACAGATTTCATGAGATAAGATATGCAAGGATAACTTTAAAAGTGCAATACACTTAAATAATAAGAAATTTGGAAGGATCCTGAAATTATTCTTTGCTTAGAAAACTATGCCATTATTGGCTCGACATAGTGGCACAGGCCTGTAATGCCAGCTACTTCAGGGACTGAGGTGAGACCCCCATCTCTAAAAAAAAGAAAGAAAACATCCAGGCCAAGTGCAGTTGGCTCCTGCCTGTAATGTCATTTTATAATCAGCATTTTGGAAGGCTGAGGTGGTAGGATTATTTGAGCCCAGGAGTTTGAGACCAGCCTGGGTAACAAAGCGAGACCCCATCTCTTGAAAAAAAAAAATCATCATTAAAACAAACATTAAAAGAAACCCACCTGGGTGTGGTGGCTCACACATGTAATCCCAGCACCCTGGGAGGATGAAGCAGGTGGATCTCTTGAGCACAGGAGTTTGAGACCAGCCTGAGCAAGATGGCAAAACCCTGTCTCTACAAAAAATACAAAAATTAGCCGGGTGTGGTGGCACATGCCTATAGTCTCAACTACTTGGGAGGCTGAGGTGGAGAATGGCTTGAGCTTTGGAGGTGAAGGTTGCAGTGAGCTGAGATAGTGTCACTGCACTTCAACCTGGGTGACAGAGCCAGACCCTGTTTAAAACAAACAAACAAACACACACACACACACACACACACAGAAAACCCCTCAAAACCCAAAACTATGCCATCATTTCGTTCTAGCAATTTACTAAACCACATATCAAGTTTGCATTCATATTAAAGAAGAGGCAGATGGGCTCTGCCTGAGAAATTTATTGAGTTATAGTTTTATTGACACTGTAAGTTGTTTAAAATTGAATGGATTGCCACATAATATTTACAAATAATTTCATTTTTTGATGTTTTAATGGTTGGATTCTCTTCTTTTAAAACTAGTTTTTTTTCTACCCAAATATTTCTCAAAATTCCATTGTTAAACAATCAATTGATCAATAATTTAACAAGTCTGGTACCTATTATATTGTCATAATTTGTCAAGGTATTGTGTAGGGAAATAAAGAGACTAGCATTATAATTTTACTTTAATAAAAATGTATACCTATGTCTGCATAGAAAGAATAAATAAAAAAAGAAGCAAAACAGTGATTATCTGGATAATGAGATAAAATGTGATTACTATATTATACATTAATGTAGTTTCCAAATTATTTACTACAGGCACATCTTATTTTTGTAACACCATAAAAGACATATACTATTTATGTCCCTAGGGAGCATATCTTATAACTGGAGAAGAAAATAAAGTAGCATACAGTAAACAAATAGAAAACAATTGAGTGCAAGATAAAAATAACAACAAAAAACCAAGAAAACAATTGAGTGCAAAACTGTATGATTACTGAGAATAAGCCCAATAAGTTGCTCAGAGAAGAAGAGATCAGAAATATAGAAAGAAAGTTCAGTTCAGTTCTCTTTTTGTATAAGTATGACAAAAATTTAGCATTTGCTATCTTGAGAAAATTAACACGCATAATGAAATAAAAGCTCAGGATTAGGCCTGGCTCAAGTGATCCTCCCGCCTCAGCTTCTCAAAGTGTTGGGATTACACTGTGAGCCACAGCGCCCAGCCAACATGTTTGCATTCTTTTGCAATTCTTCTGATTTGAGAACATTTTAAATTGTAAAAAAAAAAAAAAAAAGAAAAAATTTATACCACAATATTCGCTCTCAGACAAAAATAATGTAGCAAGATTGACTGCTCTTAAGTTAAATAAACGAAGGATTCAATTAAATCATTCTTGTAGCACACGTAGTCACTCAAAAGCATAGATACTCTGTCAGGTGTGGTGGTGTGCACCTATAGTCCCAGCTATTCTGGAGACTGGGAGTTCAAGTCCAGCCTGGGCAAAATAGCAAGATCCCATCTCTAAAAAAGAAAAAAAAGGCATAGATACACTATAAATTTATGTAAATATCTATATTTTATTAATTATAGAATTCTATTATAAAACTCATTTTATGAATCACAAAATACGCTATCAATTAAACTATAATATATAGTAGATCATCAATTATAACATGAACCCTGATAAAATGTGAAAAATCTGTATTTTATAATCAGTGAAATAAGATACACATTTTGTGACCATTTGATTAGTGTCTACTGCACCCATAAATATGAGGCCAGGGTATAAGCTTTTGTTCATCATTGTACCCACAGCCAGCACAAATAATTTCCTAATAAATCCTTGAATGAATGAATGAATGAACAGGTGAATGCGTAATCAAACAAGGGAGTTTGTCTTACACTGCAAATGCCTAAATGATAAATAAGAAAATGCCTTTTAAAAAAGTATTAACTGCTAAATAAGTACTGTAAAGTATCAATAATATTGTCTGATATTTATTTTTAAGTGATGCATCTATTTCTTTGGAAAGAAGTCCTGAATATTTTAAAAGTCTGATAAATAAGAACCACCCACCTCTGTGTGAAACAGGAGAAGGTTGCCTTATAAAGCCCAAGTGAGTAATCTAAGGTGTTTAATATCACAATTAAATAGGGTGGAGAGAGCAAGCTGTTATTTCCTCCTACTCTTCTGTTTTTAAAAAGCCAAATTCAAACGGTCTGCCTTTTACCTATGAGAAAAGCAGTTCTATACCCTTATAGAATCCTGTAACAGAGATACCATTTTGTTCTGCCCCAGCTATTTCTGCTATGGAAAAGCATTGAACAGAAAAAAGCAATTATCTTCATCCAGATACATGCAGGACTTATTATATTGTGATTATTGAACCAAACTCTTATATAGAGAGATGCATTTCAAATAAGAATTCTATTAGCCAAGCTAAGTTACTCTTTTGCCTCCTGTTGTTACTCAAGTCTTTTCTCTTCTGTCCTTCTGCCAGCCTTACCCCACTCCTTAATCCTCTGAACCAGCAAACCATTGCCAAGTTCTGATGCAAAGTGGTTTATAGGCCTGACTGGACCAGACTAAAAGTGTTCAAAATAGCAAGCAACAAGGAGCAGAAATCCATATTAGAATGGGATATGGACTATATTTATATTGGTACAGAATGCCTTCAATAAAGAGTTGTGAGTTGTGTAGGTGAGTTGCCATGGAGCTACAAATATGAGTTGATATTCTGAAATCCTAGACAGCCATCTCCAAGGTTAAGAAAAATCCTTATGCACTCACTTGCAAAGATATCCACAGCATGCTCTTAATGGAGAAAAACAAAGCCTTAGATCAAATATGTAAAGTAATTTTTAGTTTTTTGAAAAGGTATGTTTGGGCTATAGATAAATCTGTTCAAAAAACATGAGAGAAGATAATAATGGTTGAAAGGAGACACAGTGCTTGCCCTCAAGAAGTTTTTGTCTAGTGAGGGAGAGAGAACTTGTATGTAAATAAAATTGTGTTACTAAGGTAGATAGTGAGAAGTAACTTAAGAGAGGATCAGATAAGGTATTAAGAGAATACAGAAAAGGGTCTGGATTAATTCTGAACAGCATCAAAGAATGTTCTTGCAAGAGATAGTGTTTTCACCAGATCTTGAAGGTATGGATGAGGGTATACAGAGTGAGTATATTCAGATTCTACTTTAAAACAAATACTTTCCTCTGTTGTAGTGGAGTTGAGCTATACATCCAACAATAATGAAAAAATACACGCATATATACATATATGGAGAGAGATACATATTTTAGTACATGTAGCAATTGATTAATAAATGTACAGTTTAAGTCGCATGCAAAACCTTGGAGTGATAGCAAACTTCATTGTAGGATGTTTAGCAGCATCTCTGGTCTCTACTCACTAGATCCCAATAGCATCTCCCTAGGTGTGACAACCAAAAATGTCTCCAGGCATTGACCTCTGGAGGCAAAAAAAGCCCTTTATTAAGAACCAGTGGTATACATAAGTAAAACATACACAAGAGATTCCTCCCCTCTTCTCTGTATGTGAATAAAAATTGCAAAGTTCATGACCTGGATTTTCCTTTTAGGTTTCTTCTTTAGTGGTTCTTAACTTCATTGGGTGAAGTAAGCCTTTGAAGATCTGTTGAAAGCTGTTGACTCATTCACTTCTCAGGAAAACGCACATGCTGACTACCATTTCAGAGAATTTGCATCAGGGTTCTCTGGGGAGGAGTTCTGAGTTCTGTTTCCAGGAGCTCGTAGAATTGTCATGGTCTGCATATGCAAGGCAGGTGGATTACGGAAGGTTGATGTACAGAGGTCTGTATTTTGGAGCCTCTTCTGTATTTACTTCAGAACACTAACAATCAGGCGAGAATGTTCTGGTTTATCAAACCCTTCCTTCTGCCTTTCATCTTAACCATGCATTAGTTTTAACAAAGTTCATCCCAACAGAAGACAAAACACTGATGAGGTAGGATAGCTCCAGCTCCTCCTCCCTCTCTTCTAGTCTTGATTTCCATGTAGTCCAGTTTATTCCTTCCCTGATTGTCCAGGAGAATGAGAAAAAGAAAAAACAGAGTCTAGTGGGTAAGAAAGGGCCACCTGGACGGCTTGATTTGGATTGTGAAATAAAACACACACACATGCACACGTAGAATAAGTGGCTAAAATCTGAGTAAATCGTGAACTCTCTGTATCCTCCACCCATTGAATACTCCTAAAAGACTTTCTAGAAATTCAAGGACTTATTAATATAGAAACCTGGCCATTGTTCCTCTTCTCCTCCCCATGTGGTATGAGAGCACCTGTGGCAGGCTCCCAGAGACCACGGACCTCTTCCTCTAGGCGGGCTCTGCTCTTCTTTAAGGAGTCCCACAGGGCCTGGCCCGCCCCTGACCTCGCAACCCTTGAGATTAGTAACGGGATGAGTGAGGATCCGGGTGGCCCCTGCGTGGCAGCCAGTAAGAGTCTCAGCCTTCCCGGTTCGGGAAAGGGGAAGAATGCAGGAGGGGTAGGATTTCTTTCCTGATAGGATCGGTTGGGAAAGACCGCAGCCTGTGTGTGTCTTTCCCTTCGACCAAGGTGTCTGTTGCTCCGTAAATAAAACGTCCCACTGCCTTCTGAGAGCGCTATAAAGGCAGCGGAAGGGTAGTCCGCGGGGCATTCCGGGCGGGGCGCGAGCAGAGACAGGTGAGTTCGCCCTGAAGATGCCCACACCGCCCGGCCCGGGCTCCACTCCCGGGGAGGCCTCGAGGGTTGCGGATGGGACTCTTAAGTGGTCACGGATCAGGTGGGCAGGGGGCAGTACAGCTTTCTTTCTGAGACGCCGAGAGCGAACAGGCTGCTCGGAAAACAGGACGAGGGGAGAGACTTGCTCAATAAGCTGAAAGTTCTGCCCCCGAGAGGGCTGCGACAGCTGCTGGAATGTGCCTGCAGCGTCCGCCTCTTGGGGACCCGCGGAGCGCGCCCTGACGGTTCCACGCCTGGCCCGGGGGTCTGCACCTCTCCTCCAGTGCGCACCTGGAGCTGCGTCCCGGGTCAGGTGCGGGGAGGGAGGGAATCTCAGTGTCCCCTTCCAGCCTTGCAAGCGCCTTTGGCCCCTGCCCCAGCCCCTCGGTTTGGGGGAGATTTCAGAACGCGGACAGCGCCCTGGCTGCGGGCCATAGGGGACTGGGTGGAACTCGGGAAGCCCCCAGAGCAGGGGCTTACTCGCTTCAAGTTTGGGGAACCCCGGGCAGCGGGTGCAGGCCACGAGACCCGAAGGTTCTCAGGTGCCCCCCTGCAGGCTGGCCGTGCGCGCCGTGGGGCGCTTGTCGCGAGCGCCGAGGGCTGCAGGACGCGGACCAGACTCGCGGTGCAGGGGGGCCTGGCTGCAGCTAACAGGTGATCCCGTTCTTTCTGTTCCTCGCTCTTCCCCTCCGATCGTCCTCGCTTACCGCGTGTCCTCCCTCCTCGCTGTCCTCTGGCTCGCAGGTCATGGCAGCGCCAGGCGGCAGGTCGGAGCCGCCGCAGCTCCCCGAGTACAGCTGCAGCTACATGGTGTCGCGGCCGGTCTACAGCGAGCTCGCTTTCCAGCAACAGCACGAGCGGCGCCTGCAGGAGCGCAAGACGCTGCGGGAGAGCCTGGCCAAGTGCTGCAGGTAGCGGCCGCGCGGGCCTGCGTAGAGAGAAGCGGAGCGGGGCGTCCACGCCTTGGGGAGGGAAGGGCGTCCCCAGCGGGCGAGAGTGGGGTGCGGGCGGCGGAGCCCCTGGGCGCCAGCTGCTTCTCCCAGAGGCCCGACTTTCGGTCTCCGGTCCTCCACGCCGCCCTTCTGGTGGGAGGGTGGCTCCATCAGTCTCGGGCCCGAAATGAACTTACCTGGGAAACTCGCCTTTGGGGAGAGTGGGTTCTAGGAGCCCCGTCTCTCTTTTTCCTCTCTGAAGGAAACTTGGAGTGCCTCTTGGGGTACAGTGGGTCCCTGTTGCCTTCTTGGGAGCTTGTTTAAATGAAATGAATAGGGAAACCCAGCTCTTGACCAGGAGGAGTCCTTGAAACACTCAAGCTAAGTAGGCGGGCTACCATTCAGTTAGAGACCAGGATGCAAGCTAGAACCCAGGGGAGCGCGGGGTGTGCCAAGTACTTCATCAGCAGGCTGTGGGACCCCTGGGGAAAGCCACCCTCAGTCTCTAAACCCAAACATGCCGTAACTAGATGTCACAAACATAAAGAAATTAGAGTTTCTAAAACCTTTCATTATAGAACATTTCAAATATATGCATAAGTAGACGTAGTAGTATAATGAACTCCCCACCCCCACCGTTTTTAACCCATCACTCGGCCTCAACTGTGATCAAATCCAAGTTACTCTTGTTTCTTGTATCTACACCTACTTGCTCCCTCCAGTATTATTTTTAAGCAAATCTCATATAGCATACTGTCTTTATGTATTTTACTGCATATCTTTAAAGACTCTTAAAAAATATAACCACATTTCATGATCACACCTTAATATCTAAAAATAACCTCCTAATATCAAAAATTGAGTCATTATTAAAATGTCCAATCGTCCCATAAATGCCTTAATTAAAAAACAATTTATTCAAATCAGGAGTTATACCACCTACTTTTGATATTTTTCTTTCATCTGTAGGTCACTGAATTTAAAAACTACCAAGTAGCAAGGTATAAGGTATACATTCCTCATGCTAAGATTTTTGTAAAAACTAGCTCCAGGCTTGTATTGCCAAAATATACTCAGTGTGTTTATCTTCTTTAAAGAAAATAATAATAATAAGGCGCCTGGATTAGGAGTCTGAAAAGTAATCTCCATTTAGAGACTCCACATCCATCAGTCTCTGGCTGGACCAGAAAATAGGTTTTTGTGTAGGAATATTTTTTCAGAGGATTAAAAATGTGAGCGAGGGGTGGGACACTTAATCCTGTGTTCTCTAGAAGAGTGCATTTAAAAGGATAGATACAGTTCTTGGCAAAAGCATGGTAAGCACTTCAGGGTTATTATTTTCCAGGAAATACTTATCCTTTTTCCAAATAGTTATAAACATCAGCAGAATCCAGTTCATAACTTTGTGATTTGCAAATTGGTTGTGACTGAGATTGGATTGAAAACCCAGTTTTCTTGCTTTTTGACAGTTGTTCAAGAAAGAGAGCCTTTGGTGTGCTAAAGACTCTTGTGCCCATCTTGGAGTGGCTCCCCAAATACCGAGTCAAGGAATGGCTGCTTAGTGACGTCATTTCGGGAGTTAGTACTGGGCTAGTGGCCACGCTGCAAGGTAAGATGTTGGCAGATTGAGAGTTCTGGTCTCCAGCAGGAGTTTAACACTTCTCCCCAGCTACCATAGGTCTGTGACAGATGGTTGCTTACCCTTCAAGGCCTGTATCTTTCCTGTAGAGCCCCTTAGTGGAGAGAGTCACCTCTCTTCTCCCCTTCCTTAGAGTTCTCTTCCTGGGAAACTGCTGCCCCACTAGGTGCAGAGGTCCAATTTAGAGGCATATACTAGGCAGTGGCTTCTCAATTTTTTTAAATTTTATTTTATTTGAGACGGGGGCTCGCTCTGTCACCTAGGCTGGAGTGCAGTGGCGCAATCCTGGCTCACTGCAAGCTCCGTCTCCCGGGTTCACGCCATTCTCCCGCCTCAGCCTCCCCAGTAGCTGGGACTACAGGCGCCCGCCACTACGCCCGGCTAATTTTTTGTATTTTTAGTAGAGACGGGGTTTCACCGGGTTAGCCAGGATGGTATCGACCTCCTGACCTCGTGATCCGCCTGCCTTGGCCTCCCAAAATGCTGGGATTACAGGCGTGAGCCACTGCACCCAGCCAGCTTCTCTATTTTCATTGACCACAATTCAATAAGAAATGTGTAAAGAGTTTCAAGTCAAGATTTAAAAAAAAAAAAGAAATGTGTTACATCCTGATATATACATATATATCTAAAGTTCCTGTGAAATATTTATTATAACAATGTGCTAATCTTTCACTTTGTTCTATTATGCTTAGGTTTTTTAAATGATGATTGCAGCACATTAAATTATTTTATATCCACACGTGGATCTTTTTTGTTGGTTTGTTTTGCTTTGCTTTTTAGAGATACAGTCTTGCTCTGTCACCCAGGCTGGTGTGCAGTGGCACGATCTTGGCTCAATGCAACCTCTCTGCCTCTCGGGTTCAAGTGATTCTTGTGCCTCAGCCTTCTGAGTAGCTGGGGCTACAGGCATGTGCCACCATGTCCAGCTAATTACTGTATTTTTAGTAGAGATGGGGTTTCGCCATGTTGGCCAGGGTGGTCTGGAACTCCTAACCTCAAGTGATCCGCCCTCCTTGGTATCCCAAAGTACTGTGATTACAGGCATGAGCCACCATGCCCAGCCTCCCACACGTGGATCTTGAGGTGTAGTTTGAAACTGGCTTAAGGAAAAGTGAAGGGAGCTTCCTAGCCTGGACTCCACATGAATGTTTTGCCTGCCCCTCATCCCTTTTTAAAAAAATTCATCCTCTTATTTTAATGTGTGGGAAAATGTGCCAACATAGGTGGTTATTTGTTCTTTTATAAACTGAGTTCATACCATAATATTCCCATAAGCATCTTAGAAATCTGTTGTATAGTTGGTGCCTAGCAGCATGGCATTCTCCTCTGTCCCCTATCCCCACCATCTCGTTTCTGCCCCACCCCCAACACCCTGACCAATTTCCCAAAGACCCTGAATCATGAAAACAGAAATATCGTTATTTATTATAATTTGTGAAACACCTAATATGTTCCAGGCACTAGGTATGCTGACACGAATAAGATGCATCCTCTGCTTCCAAGGAACTCATAGTCCAATGGAGAAAGAGAAAACAATTCAATGTGATAAGGGCTGTGGCAGGGGAGTGCAAATTACTTGCTAAGGGAGTGCAAATGAGGTTCACTCAAAGCGGTCTTAGGGGATCTTGAATAGCTTCCTGGAAGTTGAATGTCAAAGCTGAGTTTCCCTGATGGCTAAGTCTGAGTTTGCCAAGTGATGGGAAGTAGGGTGGGGTGGGGATGGCTTGAAAATAGACTATTTCAGAAGCTAGTAATGAATGTTGAGCAATATTGTGAGCTAAAATTTGGCTATGGAGCTTTCAAGATTGCTCAGATCAGGCCAGGTAGATGCCCGAAGAGAAGGAGGATGGCCTATGAACCCAGGGTGGAGCCTCAGCCTGATCAAGCATGTTCTTAATCACAAAGGTGGACGGGAGAGAGACTAGGATGGGCTGTGTGGTTCCTAAGTTAAACAATGCCAAGTATTCTACACTGTGCTCTAAGGGCTGTGACATGGTGACACCCTGTGACTCCTGGGGGACAGGAACCATGCCTCATTCATGTTTGTTCAGCAGGTGCCTAGCACAGAGACAGGCACATAATAGATGGTATATTTAGTGAAAAAGATTGAATTGCATTCCTGATAATGAATCTTCTTTATATATAAAAAATGGTGGTTCATGCTCCATGTCTCCCCAGTTTTCATAGACAAGTATCTTATAAGAATTCATTTTGTTTATAAGCATGAGACACTATGCTAAGTAAGAATGTTGCCAGCTATCTCATTTAATCCTCATAACAATCCTGCTAGGTAGGTCTATTATTATTTCATTTTCAGTAGGTGAAAAAATCTATTAAATCTTGCCCAGGGTCACGTGGCTGGTAAGTGGTACAGCTGGGATTTTAATCCGGTGTCTATTGTGTAGTTCCTTACTTTATGGGTAAGATGCTTTTCTAGAAACATTATCTCTATAAAGTTTTCTGTGTAAGGTGAATTTCTGGGAGGTTAATCTGGCTCAGTTACACATCCATTTATCATTCATTCACTTAATAAATATTTATAAACTAATTCTGTAGACCAGGTATCCAGCCATGTGCACTCAGTGGTTCATTAACAGGCACAGGTGCTGACTTCATGGAGCTTTGTAAAATTATTTTGAGGGGTAGGGATGGGAATTAAATAAGTAGATAAATAGAAAAATAATTATAGATTGCAATATCTATTGTGGTGGATTAAATATACTGCAATAGGGATTAATTTGAAAGGTGGATCTTTATTTTTATATTTTTTTGAGACAGGGTCTTGCTCTGTTGCGCAGGCTGGAGTGCAGTGGTGAGATCACAGCTCACCACAGCCTTGGCCTCCTGGGCCCAGGTGATCCTCCCATCTCAGCCTCGCCAGTAGCTGGAACTACAGGCATGTGCCACCATGCTTGGCTAATTTTTGTATTTTTTGTAGAGACAAGGTTTCACCATGTTGCCCAGGCTGGTCTGGAACTCCTAGGCTCAAGTTATCTGCCTGCCTCGGCCTCCCAAAGTGCTGGGATTAGAGGTGTGAGCCATTGTGCCCAGCCAGGAAGGGAGGTCTATTTTAGATATAATGGTCAAGGAAGAACTTACTGAGAAGGTGAAATTTAGTAAAAGACAAGAGAATGAGAAGGAGACAGCCATGTGATAAGCAGAAAAAAAGAGTGTACCAGGTAAAGGTGCAAAGGCCCTGAGGCCAGAAAACTTAGCATTTTCCAGGGAGGAAGAGGAAGAATTGTAGTGTGGATGAGTGCAGTGGGGGAGGGTGAGTAAACCATGAAATAAACTGAGGCAGGACTGGGATTAGGATGAGGTAAGGGAGGCACTCACTCTCAGGATGCCTCTTTAAATATTGTACCCTAGGAAACTCATTTGCCTCACCCTATTCCTGGCCCTGTGGGGATATTGCTGTGAATTAAAGGGAGAATGGGTGTGTCAGCTTGAACCAGATGATGCAGGCTATGAAGAGAGCTGCAAGATAGGAATATATTGTGCAGCAAGAATCACTGACACATAATGATGAGTGTGGATGAAAATCACTGATGCCTCCAAGGTTGTTGGCTTGAGCAACCGGATAGATCATTACATCATTTATCTAAATGGCAAAGACAGGCTGAGGAGCAGGTTTGGGATAGGAAATCAAGTTTCCTTTTGGATATGCTAAGTTTGAGACACAGGGTGAGACATCTAAGTGGAGATGCCACCTAGAGAAGTGGGAGCTACTGCAAGTGTGAAGGTTAGAGGAGAGGTCTAGGCTAGACATAAAAATCAGGAAAGCATTGCTGAAGAGGTGATATTTACAAGAGTGGGAATGCCTGTGATTACCTAGGAAGAAAGGGCAGGTGTAGAAGAAAAGAGAGCCAGAGTACTTAGAAGTTAGGAAGGCAAGGAGAGGGGCAGCCAAGAACCTGAGAAAGCCTGGCGCAGGAAGTTGAAGACAAAGAACAACCAAAGGAATGTGGGATCAGAAGCCAAGAGAGAAGGTTTAAAAAAAAAAAAAAAAAAAAAAAAGCATAGAGGGGCTGAGAGTGTTGAATTTGCCTGAGGGGTGGGGTATGATGAAGGATTACAGACTGCTTTTAAGAAGTTTTGCCATGAATCAGAGGGAGATAAGAGATGAAGACAGAGTGAAGGGAGAATTTGTTTTTCTTAATATGGGAGATACTAGAACGTATTTGTGAACCGATAGGAATGACCTAGTAGAAAGAAAGAGATCTGTGGTGCAAGAAGTACAAGAGAAATAACTAGAAGCAAAGTAGTAAAAAGGGGCAAACGTGGAGGGGTTTGAGAATGGAACTAGGAGAACTACTCCTTAAAGGCAGGAGGGATATTTCTTCCATTTTCAAAGGAAGATAGCCCAAATGGTGCAGATGCAGACGGGTTTGAAATTTTGATGAAAAGTAACTTGGGAGCATCTCATGCATTCTGTGTTTTCGATTAAATGCAGAATATGTCCCTTAACTTTGAGTCTGGTGGAGAAGGGTTTGGGCAGATTGAGGTAAGTAGGGGAGGTTTGAATAGTTGTCTCAAGGAGAGGAAAGGCACACCCCCTGAGGAAATGTAACTGGGTCCCCAGGCAGTGTTGAGTGCCCATCTAGCACTTGTGGTCACACATTTTACATGAAATTGGTTAGCCCAGATGTAGATGCCTTCAGTCCAGTTTATCTAGCTGCTCAAAGGCTCTCATGGATAAGGTAGATGTTTGAGGTCAGCCAAATTGGGGTTTTGCCAGACAAGAAAAGGAAGGAAAGAGAGAGTGAAAAAAGGGAGTTAAGAATATTTGCAAAATTCCATGGAATCTGTGTGGGCAAGGGTGGAAGTGAAGACAGGAAGGTGTGGAGGATAGAGAGAAAGTGGATCGGTTAATTAATTAGAAGCCTCGTGAGCACAAATAAATGTTGCAATAAGGATTCTGCAGTAGATGAGCTGGAAGGTTTGGAGGCTGTAGCTGGAGAGAGGCTCAAAATTCAGATTTTGGAGGTGGTGGTGTGGTTTCCAGTGATGACAATGTCCATGCCACAACCACTGGCTGAGCAGCTGAGTAGTAGAACAACTCCGAGAAGACCAGCTCAGGTTACTGGGAAGCCAGGAAGTTGCTAAGGATGATGGGATCTTTGTGATTTTTGTTATTAAAACAAATTCCCATCAGACAGCAAAAGATCGATGCAACCCTTGTAGTGCTATTTTTATTCACAACTTTAAGGAGTCTGCTGTCTGCTTTCTCCTTTTGACTTTTATGTATTTGTTTGTTTAAACAACAGAAATTTATTTCTGCAACATGAAGGTGCCTGTAGATTCAGTTTCTGGTGACAGCCCGTCACCTTGCTGCGTCCTCACATGGTGGAAGGCTTTACCTTTAGAAGAAATTTAAATTTAATATAAATTTCAACTGTTTATTAGCACCTGCTTTGCCAGTATTTGTCACCATGCTATAAATCATGACTACCAACAGAGAAATTCTATCATTTAAATCAATGGCTCAGATTTCTTCTAATTTTTTTTCTTTTTTGAGACTCTTTCTCACACAGGCTGGAGTGTAGTGGTATGACCTTGGCTCACTGCAACCACTGCCTCCTGGGTTCAAACTATCCTTGTGCCTCAGCCTCCTCAGTAGCTGAAATTACAGGCATGTACCAACACCCCCAGCTAATTTGTGTATTTTTAGTAGAGACGAGATTTCACCATGTTGGCCGGGCTGGTCTTGAACTCCTGGCCTCAGTGATCTTCCCACCTCAGCCTCCCGAAATGCTAGGATTACAATCATGAGCCATCACACCTAGCCCCAGATTTCTTTACAAATTGTGTAATTTTAAAACTGTTGTACCAAGTTTCTTTATAATAAAGATGATTCCAGTATATTTGAGTAGTAGTGGTCCCTAAATGGGACACTCTGTATGAAAACTGAAAAGTTCCCCTTTTCCAGGCATATTAAGAACTGCAGAGCCCAGTTTGGGGAAATGGAAGTTTGAGAAGGACTTGAAAAATGTCCATATGAAATAGACAAGTTGTGCTTTCATCCCCTGCTCCTTCTTTTCTTATCTTCCTTCTGTGGAGTCACCTTCCTATTTTATTCCATGCTGTTGGGACTACTGACTATTGCAATTCCTGTTTGTAATTTACATATTAAAACAATTGTACTAATAGATATATTTTTCTAGAATACAAACTCCACTAGGGCAGAGACTTTGTTTTAACAGTGCCTGACACATGGTAGGTGCATAATCAACTGTTGTTGAATGAATGAATGCTTATTGTAGAAAACTAGAAAATACATATAAGGAACATGAAAAAATACCTCCACTACAAACTAGAAGTCTCCTCTGATCCTACCATACAGATAACCCATTGATATTTCAGTAAATATCTTACTAGGCACATAAATACTTATCTATATAAAAGTATAATGAAATGTCTGGAAATAATAAGCACCAAATTCAGGATAATTGTTGCCTTCTGAGGGTAGAGGGAGGAAAGAGGATGTGATTGAGGAAGAGTATACTGAGAGTTTCCGCTGCATTGGCAGTAATTTATTTCTTAAGCTAGATGATGGATACATGAAAGTTTATTATATTATTCATTGTGTATTGTGTTTCTTGTATATGTAAATTACTTCATATTTTATTCAAAATACCTCCAGATTTTTTTTTTTTTTTGAGATGGAGTCTTGCTCTGTTGCCCAGGCTGGAATGCAGTGGCGCAATCTCGGCTCACTGAAACCTCCGCCTCCTGGGTTCAAGCAGTTCTCTGCCTCAGCCTCCTGAGTAGCTGGGATTACAGGTGCCTACCCCCATGCCTGGCTAATTTTTGTATTTTTAGTAGAGACGGGGTTTCACCATCTTGGCCAGGGTGGTCTTGAGCTCCTGACCTCCTGATCCACCCACTTCGGCCTCCCAAAGTGCTGGGATTACAGGTGTGACTCACCGCGCCCGGTCCCTCCGGCTTTTTTTAATGCGTACACTCCCACAGGCTGGAGTGGGAGTGTATTTTTTACAAAAGAGGAAGCATACATACCTATCAGTTTTGAATCTTGATTTTACTCACTTTTTTCCCTCTTACTTCACATCTCTCCACGTTACTGAATGTACTTCTGAGCATCACATCAATTTCATTTCATAGAATTACGAAGTATGAAGCATAACTTAGTTAACCACTTCCCTGCTTGGGGACATTCATCTGATAAGTAATATTGAGTGTGTGGGGGCCAGCATATTCAGGCTGTTGCCATTTTTAATAAACTACTATAAATGTAATTCCTTATTAATGACTCAAGAGTGAAAAGGCTTGATTTTCTCTCATTGTGAGTGAGTGAAGGGTGAGGAGGTAAAACGGAGTAAGATATGCTGGCTACCTAAGTATTTAACCAAGGAAAAGAATGTCATTATCCTCTTCTAACCCTCATGTAAACTAGAATGTTGATTTCTCTATAGCCAGGCATTAATGGGTCTGGGGGCTGCTGCCATTGCCTAGTGGAGGAGTTGGTCAACTTCATCAGGGTAGAGTTGTCTTGTCTGCTGCTGAGTATAATTATCATATTTTTTCTTTGGGTCTAACTTTTCTTCCCCACCAAAAAAGGAGAAAGGGCAGTGTAACAATGACTGTGTCCCTCAGAACGCAGAGAAATATTGAGCTCAGACACAACTGCCTCTGTGCAAAACTGGTCTGAGCCTTTGGAGTGAATTGACCAAAACTTTTTTTTTTCTTTTTTAGACATAAGGTCTTGCTCTGTTGCCCAGGCTGGAGTGCAGTGGCACGATCATAGCTTGCTGTAACCTCAAACTCCTGGGCTCAAACAATCCTCCTGCCTCAGCCTCCTTAATAACTAGGACTACAGGCGTGAACCAATATGCTGGGCTCATTCATTTTATTGTAGAGATGGAGTCTTGCTATGTTTTCCAGGCTGGTCTCAAACTCCTGGGCTCAACTGATACTCCTGCCTATGGCTTCCCAAAGCACTGGGATTATAGGTGTAGGACACCAGGCCTGACCAAGTTTTTAATCAACATTTGACTTGATTGTTTTTTCCCACTGATCTGATTGGTGGAAGACTGAATTACTGATCAACTGAGTCCATTCATTTGAGCAGGTGATGTTTGTAGATGCAATCATTGTTCCAGGTGATTTGGATCCTGTTCTGCATCCTAGCATAGCCAGTCTGTATGCAAGATAAGGAGACCAACTCAGGACAGGCTGATCTGTTGAAACTGTAAATTGAGAGTATCTGTGTAAAGGCCCTTCTTTCTGCAGTAGAAAGACAGATGCTCCTCTACTTCTCATGAGTTACATCCTAATAACCCATTGCAAGTTGAACATATTTTAAGTCAAAAATGCACTTAATACACCTAACCTATGGAACATCATCGCTTAGGCTATCCTACCTGAAATGTGCTCAGAACACTTACAATAACCTACAGTTGGGCAAAATAATCTAACGCAAGCCTATTTTATAATAAAGTATTGAATATCTCATGTAGTTTACTGAATAATGTACTGAAAGTGAAAAACAGAATGGTTGTATGGTTACTTAAAGTATGGTTTCTACTGAATGCATATTGCTTTTGCATCATCATAAAGGCAAAGTCATAAGTGGAACCATTGTAAGTTGAGGACTTTCTGCATACTGTAACTTTGGTTTGTGAATGTAATCACTTTGCATGTGCTTTCAGGGATGGCATATGCCCTACTAGCTGCAGTTCCTGTCGGATATGGTCTCTACTCTGCTTTTTTCCCTATCCTGACATACTTTATCTTTGGAACATCAAGACATATCTCAGTTGGTAATTATAAGTATATTTTACAATTATATTTGCTCATGTTTAAAGTGTTTTGGCTATATTAAGTGCATTATACCTCTATTAGGTTGGTGCAAAAGTAATTGCGGTTTTCACAATTATACTTTTAATTGTGAAAACCGCAATTACTTTTGCACCAACCTAATATATCTGTGTTAATGTTGTCAGGGAAATGGGATTTCAGTGTTTTGCCTGCTTTTTCTATTCACTGATGTTAGGTAACTTTTTTAATGAAGTGGAAAAATAAAAAAACTGAAAATGACAGCCTACTTTAACATTTTAGCATGTTTTGCTTTTTAAAAACGTGATCAATTTGACTCCATTTTTGGAGTCATAATGACAGGGAAAAAATGACACAAGGTCTTTGAACCTACCATTTTACTGGATTAACTTAGAAATTACTAAGTATGTTCATCAAATACATGTTCATGATTTAATTAAAGAGCATACTTATTTTAAATCACTAATATTAGAAGACTGGCAAAATCTTACCAAAACAATTTAGAAGCTAAGCTTGGCTTTCTTTCTTGGTATGGCTTATAATAAGTTTTCCTGCTATTCCTAAAATTTGAATTCTCGTTTGTTAGAATGTCCTAGTAAATGAGTGTTTTAATGCTATTTTGTGACTTTGACATTTATACTAGAGAAAATTTTGCTCCTACATCCATCTGCTGGCTAGACATGTCTACCTCGATGATCCTCTTGAAATAAATGCAACCATCTACTTTATCCCCAACCCATGTTTTTGTCCTTAGTTGTATTTCCTTAGAAGGAGATCAGAAAGAGGTTTTGATTGAAAGAACTTCCACACCTTGGAGAATCAATCAGTGTTGAGTGCTTGACTAGATGAGGAACATGGAAGCTGGTTTTTCTCTTTGGTATTCTATACATTGAGATATTCCAGGTGACTGGGGTTGGGTTTTGAGACCTCAAAACCATAAAGCCTTCCATGATGAGAGGGTAGAATCATCATCATCGTCATGGATAAAAATAACAGTAGTGAACGGAGCAATTGCTGAAAAAAAAATATTTTTTAAAATATAAAATCTTACAGATTGACATTTGATATGAAAAAATGTTTTGTCTTACAAAAAGAGAAAGAAACTTCATACTCCCTTTGCTGTTTTTTTAATCCTAACTTCGACCCTGTGATATTGATCAAGGTACTCAGATCCACAGAGATCAGGACATTGGACACTCTAGGAAATTAATGAGATTATATGAAATAAAAGTTGAGCGGAACAAGTAAACACTCAATGTATGTGCTACCTTTGCCAGAAAACCTTTCCTGACAACTCTCATCCCTGTCCCCACCACCCATACACATGAGGATCACACACAGACAGGTTAGACGACCTTTTGATATACTCACGAAGCATCCTGAATGTTGTATTCTAATAACTACCTACGTGTCTCTCTCGCCTATTTCTAGGTCATGAATGCCTCGAGATATCTGCGTTTTTAGCTTCTTTTTGTTGTTGTTGAGACAGAATCTGGCTCTGTCACCTAGGCTGGAGTGCGGTGGCGTGATCTCAGCTCACTGCAGCCTCCACCTCCCCAGCTCAAGCAATCCCCCCACCTCAGCCTCCCGAGTAGCTGGGACCATAGGCACGCACCACCACACCCAGCTAATTTTTGTCTTATTTTGGTAGAGATGGGGTTTTACTATGTTGCTTAGGCTGGTCTGGAACTCCTGGGCTCAAGCGATCTTCCCACCTCAGTCTCCCAAAGTGCTGCGGTTACAGATGTGAGCCACTGGGTCCGGCTCAGCTTCTTTCGTGAACAAACAATATTTTCCTAGTCACAGCTAAATCTTTTATACATTTTTTAAACCCTATGCAGACACATTGAACATTTGTGATTAATAACTGATTAATTGTTAGAGACTTTTTTTCCCCAGGACCTTTTCCAGTGGTGAGTTTAATGGTGGGATCTGTTGTTCTGAGCATGGCCCCCGACGAACACTTTCTCGTATCCAGCAGCAATGGAACTGTATTAAATACTACTATGATAGACACTGCAGCTAGAGATACAGCTAGAGTCCTGATTGCCAGTGCCCTGACTCTGCTGGTTGGAATTATACAGGTAATGAACTTACAAGTAAAATATAGATGGATGTAATTTTTATTTGAAATTAACTTTAAAGCATATAGACTTAAAGATTCTACTAAAAACAAAACAAAGTAATTTCCTGGAACCCAAAATTATTTTCTAAATTACGTTGTTTTAGGTCAGGTGCTAAAATAGTAAGCAAGACCCCACTTATTAAGGCTCACTTATCATCAAAGTCAGAGACAGAAAAAAGCACAGAAGAACATGTGTGATTCAATTGAGGATGAGAGAAGGGAAATATACGGGAATCCATAAAGGAGAAAAAGTGTTCTGGTGAGCGGAGACACAGGACCGAAAGCCACATAAATAAGCTCTGGGTTTTTGCTTTTCTAAGTACATGTATAGAAATACTTCAAGGTTTTTATTACACTTAGTTTTCAAATTTTAGAGTGGTGGAGGAAGGGGAGTGATAGGGTATTAAGAAATTCATATTTTTTTCTACCAGTATTTTTGTGCTATAGGCAGGCTACTAGTGTTTTCATTGGTATTAAGCTTGATGTAATATTTCCAGAGAGTAGGTTTCTATCTCAGGCAAACATTTAATTTTTCTTTCCTTTTCCTTATCGTAGTTGATATTTGGTGGCTTGCAGATTGGATTCATAGTGAGGTACTTGGCAGATCCTTTGGTTGGTGGCTTCACAACAGCTGCTGCCTTCCAAGTGCTGGTCTCACAGCTAAAGATTGTCCTCAATGTTTCAACCAAAAACTACAATGGAGTTCTCTCTATTATCTATGTAAGTGTTGCTTCTTGCTCCAGGGATGGGTCACTGTTCATTCCAGAAACAATTGTATTCATTCTCTGAGTCTGGGCCAGGCGTGGTGGCTCACACCTGTAATCCCAGCACTTTGGAAGGCCGAGGTGGGCAGATTGCTTGAGCCCAGGAGTTTGAGACGTGAGACCTCATCTCTTAAAAAAAAAAAAAAAAAAAAAGAAAGAAAGAAAAGAAAAGAAAAAGAAAGAAAAAATCCAAAAATCCGAAAATTTGCTGGGTGTGGTGGTGCACACTTGTAGTCTCAGCTACTTGGGAGGCTGAGGTGGGAAGATCTCCTGAGCCCTGGAGGTTGAGGCTGCAGTGAGCTGTGATCGCCCCACTGCACTCCACCCTGGGTGACAGAGCAAGAACCTGTTTCAAGCAAAAACAAAATCAAAACAAAACAAAACTTGAGTCTGGGAGCACCCACATTTCTTTCTTTCTTTCTTTTTTTTTTTTTTTTTGAGACAGAGTCTTACTCTGTCACCCAGGCTGGAGTGCAGTGGCATGATATTGGCTCACCACAACCTCCACCTCCCGGGTTCAAGCGATTCTCCTGCCTCAGCCTCCTGAGTAGCTGGGATTACAGGCGCCCGCCACCACACCCAGCTAATTTTTGTATATTTAGTAGAGACAGGGTTTCACCATTTGGGCCAGGCTGGTCTTGAACTCCTGACCTTGTGATCCACCCACATCGGCCTCCCAAAGTGCTGGGATTACAGGCGTGAGCCACCGCGCCCGGCCTGGGAGCACCCACATTTCTCTATGCATACTTTGGGAGCCATTGAAAACATTTGGTTGCTTCTGTCAGAAATACTATTGTACTTAAAAACATTAATGAAAACAAAGTGGTCTAATGAAGTAAAGGCTGCTCTGGAATGTAACAGACTTGATTTCTAGCCTCAGCTTTGTCTCTAACAGGTAAGTGACCCTGGATACATCATGTAGGGTGCTAATTGAAAGCTCAGTTTTAGAACTGGATGGACCTTGATTCATATTCTGGCTCTACTGTCTACTAGCCATGTGAGCCAATCACCATGCCTCAGTTTCCTTCTCTGCAAAATTGGGTTAGTAATAGTATATGCCTCATTGGATTGTTAAATAAGAATAGATAAGCACTTGGCCCAGGGGCTGGTACATAACAAGTACTCTAAATAAAGGAGTTATTTTGAAATGATTATTTCAAGCCATCTTTTCTTTTTTATTGGTGAAATGAAATGATTGGAGATGTATCTCTAAAAGCTTTTTCTAACCATAAGAGTCCGTAAAATGCATAATGTAAATGTCTCAACAATTATAAATGAAAAGGAACATTAGATTCAGAGATGATTCACCATGCAAAAGAAATGCAAAAGCAGGATGTAGATCACACTAATTAGATTTGAAAAAGGTTTTGGATCTAAAAATGTGTTCTACATAAAGCATGTTATTGATGCTTGAAAAATGGTGATAATAGTAACATGATGTCATCCTAGCTTGGGGGGAATGATACCATACAAAAATAACGTGTCAACATTAAGAATGGAGTTTGAGTCTTTAAAGACCCACCTATTAGCTTCTAAAACAATGTAAGGCCATGTACACATATCTAAGAATTGGTGAGTATGTCAATAATTGCTCAATTTTATAACGGTGCCATAATCCCATACTATTACACTCCATCCATTCAACAAATATTACCAAGTGCTTACTACAGGCCAGGTACTATGCTAAGCAGTGAGAATAGACAGAGGAGGCAGAATAACATAGTGAATAAGATCATGAGGCCAGGTGTGGTGGCTCATGCCTGTAATCCCAGCAGTTTGGGAGACTGACACAGGTGGATCACTTGATCCCATGAGTTCAAGATCAGCTTGGGCAACATGACAAAACCTTGTCCCTACTAATAATACAAAAATAATTAGACATGCATTGTGGCACGCACCTGTAGTCCCAGCTACTTGGGAGGCTGAGGTGAGAGGATCACCTGAGCTCAGGAAGTTGAGGCTGCAGTGAGCCGAGATCATGCCACTGCCTTCCAGCCTGGGTGATGGGAGTGAGACCCTGTCTCAAACAACAATAACAGCAACAACAAACAAAAAACCAAAAACAAACAAAAAAGATCATGGACTTTGAACTTCAACAGACTTGAGTTGGCATCTTGGTTCTCCACCCACTACCCATGATGTTTATACTCAACTTCCCTAAGCCTCAGTGTCCTCAATTGTAAAATGGGAGTAGTAATAGTAGCTACCTCTTAGAGCAGTGAGGATTGAAAAAGAAAATACGTGTAAGGCACTTAGCACAATATCTGTCACATAGTAAGAATTGAGTTTATTATTATTATTATCACAGATGAATAGACCTCATGAAGCTCGCCGTTCATTTCCTCGGGACCCAGCCTATTAGGAAACATTAGCAAAAGTTTTTGATTCAGCATTATATGGGTCATTCTTGATATGTTTTTTCCTGTCAAATCCTCAGTTTTCTATTAAAAAAGAATTTTTTTTTTTTTTTGAGACAGGGTCTTGCCCCATTGCCTGGGCTGGAGTACAGTAGCACAGTCATAGCTCACTGCGACCTCCATCTCCCTGTGTCAAGCGATTCTTCCCCCTCAGCCTCATGAGTAGCTGGAACTACAGGTGTGCACCACCACACCTGGCTAATTTTCTTTTTCTTTGTTGAATTTTAGTAGAGGCAATGTCTTGCTATGTTGCCCAGGTTAGTCTCGAACTCCTGAGTTCAAGTGATCCTCTCACTTTGGCCTCCCAAAGTTCTGGGATTAAAGGAGTGAGCCACCATGTCCAGCCCATATTTTAAAATTAAAATTAAAATTTTAAGATTTTATTTTGGTAGAGACAGGGGTTTTGCAATGTCGCCCAGGCTGGTCTTGAACCCCTGGCCTCAAGCAGTCATCTTACTGCATGCCTCCTAATGTGTTGGGATTATAGGTGTGGGCCACTGCACCTGGCCAATCCTTAGTTCTTTTTGAGACCTCTGACTGCCTTATTTTGACAGGCTCTGTAACTTTTGCAGCTCCTGGCACATCTTGCTTTTACTTACTTTTACATTTTCTCCATCAAATGTTCACTCATTTATTCCTTCATTCTCATTCATTCAGTTTATCTACTCAATAAACACATATTGAATACTTACCATGTGCCAGGCACTGTTCACTCCCTATACAAACCCAGTGACTCATTAACCTACCAAGACATCTCTTACTGAGTATTCTCACCTCACTGGGCAAACATTGCTAGGCCTTCATCTACACAGATCGCAGGAGGTCCAAACTAATTGTTGACCTGGGTCCATGGCCATTTCAGGACCCCTGCAGAACAGGAGAAATAGTTCTTCTGGTCTCATAGGATTATGTTTAAGAAGAAACTTTCTGCAAATGATTTCACTTTGACAGGGACAAAAGTGAGCAGGAAACACTAGACCAAGGTCAAAAATAGTTTTTAAACCAAGTGCAGTCATTATGTAACTTACTTCCTGTTGAATATTTTTCTTGAAATCTCAGTTTAGCATACAGCATAGAATTTTGCAAGAAACTCCTCACAGGCCACCCAAGTTGGAAAAGGTATTTCAGTCATCCCTATATGGTGGTGAATATAAGTTTGCTCTTCTGAAAAAAAAAAAAAATCAGCAGGTCTGAAAACGATTGCATAGGGTTAAATGAGCCGCTTAGTCTCTGAACAGAGAATTTTGCTTATGACATTACCATTGCAATTATACATGAAAGAATCCTTCAATAAATGCAGAGTAGTAGAGGATTCTCCCAGAAAAGACTGTAAGATTGTTGTAAAATACTTTACCTGGAGTGTTAACTTATCTTTGTTCTAAGGTTGCACTTTGGTTTGTCCTGCCCTCTCCCCCAAAAAGGTGCTGACAACTAGAAGTAACAAATGCAAAGAAATAGGGGAGAAAATATTAGAAGAAAAAGAAATCAGTTAATTTACAAATGTCAGAGATACTGGATGTAGGAGGCAGAAGGGAGAATGACAGGGTATTGGCAGCAATTTAGAATTAGTCAATACCCTTGATGCTACCATGTAGCTACTCAGTTATCTAAGTAAATCCCAGTCCACTTAGGGGTTGATTTCCCACCACTCAATTTGAATGGTTTGTCTCAGTAGACAAGGGTGAGAGCTTTGAAAGCCACCACTAAGCTTGATTAGATTTGTTACTTTGTACCTATTTCAGTATGTAAAATTTATACATTGTATTAAAGTAACACTTTAAGGATTGATCTATACATGTATACACAAAAGATATGGAAGGAAATGCCTGACAGCAAAAGGTGGTCGTGAAGCATTTGTGATATTCGTAGAGATAAAATAAACAAAAATAAATTCAGTTCCAATAGTAAACTGATCAATTTTCTCATACACATTATTGGGCATAATTTTTTCTTACGGTTTCATAAACACAGGTAATCCTGGGCAAGAACAAAGAAATTATCTAAATGAAATTGTCCTAAAATTTTCCAAACACAGCAGGAAATATAATAAAATATTATCTATTACCAAAAAGTTCATTATCATAATTTGAATTATTTGGAATACTAAGCTAAAATACAGAATTATATGTGTATCCATACTATTAACATACTTTATGGTATTTTAACAGTAAACTAAATTAGAAGTACTGTTCAGTGTTTTTGTAGAGTCTAATTTCTATGTCGTTAAATATAATCTTATATTATTATATAATATAATCTTATATTATTATATAATCTTATATTATTATATTATATAATCTTATATTATATAATCTTATCTTATATAATCTTATATTATATGCTCTTATATAATATAATCTTATTATATAATCTTATCTTATATAATATAATCTTATTATATAATATAATCTTATTATATAATATAATCTTATCTTATTATATAATATAATCTTATTATATAATATAATCTTATCTTATTATATAATATAATCTTATTATATAATATATTCTTATCTTATTATATAATCTTATCTTATTATATAATATAATCTTATCTTATTATATAATATAATCTTATCTTATTATATAATATAATCTTATCTTATTATATAATATAATCTTATCTTATTATATAATATAATCTTATAATATAATCTTAACTTATTATATAATATAATCTTATTATATAATCTTATCTTATTATATAATATAATCTTATCTTATTATATAATATAATCTTATATTATTATATAATCTTATCTTATTATATAATGTTATATTATTATATAATCTTATCTTATTATATAATGTTATATTATTATATAATCTTATCTTATTATATAATCTTATATTATTATATAAGTATAATCTTTTATTATATTATTACATAATATATAAGTATAATCTTATATTATTATATAATATTATTATTATACAATAATAATGTAAACTGACTATTGCAGTTTACATGGTGAGTTTTATTTCTGCACAGATTAAACTTTCTATCATAGAGCTCTTCTTAAAAGATTCTGAATGACTACTCAATATGTAGGCAACTTATTTACATACTCAGATACCTTGCATGATGCAATTCTGTAATATAAACTGATTTTGGTTTTTGAACCTCGTGTTACATTTCTAATCCACCAGACATACTTTTTATTCAAAGGTCTAATTGATTCTCATGGATTAAACTGGAATCCTGTAGTGATTATTTTTGTAAGGTAAAAATGTTTGTGTGATTGGGATAATGATTCCAAATGTTTTGTTTTTCAAGTTTTAATTTTTGCATCTTGAGTTGAAAAGTACACCTTTAATGAATAGACAATTCATCAAAATGTTATACCTAGCTCCTGAATTAATTAGGGTCATTCATCAGAAAACTGATTATGTAAAGGACCAAACAGCAATGATAACCTTCAAGCCTCTGGGATAGGTAGGGCTGTTTGCTCCTGTGCTAAATGCCCTAAGTTCTTGTTATCGTGTCTGCTGGTGGTAGTTATCCCATTTTCTTTTTCACTCTGCTGTCCCTGGCATCATCTTGTTTCTGTCAGTGTAAATGCCTTTAGCAATTTTCAGTGACTCTGAAAACCAGACAAAGTGAATTTGTTAGTACTGGATTTCAAGAAAGAGCAAAAGTACCCTCTGAGTGAAAGTTCAAGAGTCTTCCTACAAGTTAAATGCCTGAACTCTAGTCCAAGTGTTTGGTGGGAGGTATTTTGCATGCATAATAGCTTCTCCCCCATTTCCTTACTCTTCTTGAATGTGTTCCAGAGAGCTGAGGTTGCTGGCAAAGTGACTCCTAGATTACTTAAGGTTCATTAAGTACTTAAAGTTCATTAAGCTCATACATAATTGTCACCAGATTATCATTATAATTATTTTAAAAGTAGTTTATCTGTGAAAATAAGTAAAATACATTTTATAAATGTTATAAACTATAAGATGCTCCATTATTTTATCTTCCTATAAAATATGTCTATAAAAAAGCTCATTTAAAGAAAAGTTACCTTCACTGTGAGATTGTCTCAAAGAAATGTCTCAAAGATACCTTCTTAAATCCTGCCTTCTACAGGACTGAAGTTAATATAACAAAGATATTAGTGTTCTTCCTTGGGATTCTTCCTTGCTAATTTCCTTGAAAACACCCTTGATTCCCAGAAGTCTCCTATTTACAAAACAAAACTAGTTTTTCTTGAATTGATTCATCTGTCTACTTAAAGATTTTTTTTGGCCAGTTGTGGTAGCTCATGCCTGTAACCCCAACACTTTGAGAGGTTGGGCAGGAGGATTTCTTGAGGCCAGGAGTTCAAGACCAGTCTGGGCAACAAAGTGAGACACCATCCCCTGCCCCCACCTCCTCCCGCCCCAATCTCTACAAAAAATAAAATAGCCTATTTATTGTACTCTCTACAATAAATAAAATAAATATAGATGCCTGCCTGTAGCTCCAGCTACTCTGGAGGGTGATGTGGAAGGATTGCTTGAGCTCAGGAGTTCGAGGCCACTGTACTCCAGCCTGGGCAAGAGAGCTAAAAAAAAAAAAAAAAAAAAAAAAAATTTTTTTTATGTTATCTTAGTTCAAGTTTGAGAAATAAAATTAAGTACCAAATTTATTCCCAAAAATGTATGCTTGTCAGGAGATATACCTAATGTTAAATGACGAGTTAATGGGTGCAGTACACCAACATGGCACACGTATACATATGTAACAAACCTGCACGTTGTGCACATGTACCCTAAAACTTAAAGTATAATTTAAAAACAAAAAACAGAAAAAAACTACAGATTCAATTCAGCTTTAGGAATTAAAAAAAAGATTTGATGTAATTATATCATTATAAAATCAAATTTTTTAAATAAAACATGAAATTGTTTTAATTTAAAAAAAAGTATGCTTGGCCTATATGTCAATTCAATAGCTTTTCTTTGCCAGAAAGAATGAAGTCAGTCTACCTGTATCCACATATGAAGTATTTTAGGATTTTTTGTAATTTTTTGTTATTATCTATATCATTCAGGTTTAGGAAAGAACTTTACCTAAAATACTGGCTAATTGTGCCCCAAAAAAAAGAAAGCTAGAAAGAAAGAACACACACACACACACATACACACATATACACACACAAAAAAAACAACCAACTGATCAACTGGGAGTTTCAGGTTTATCAGCCTTTAGTCTCAATGCTGTATCACTGTAGTAAAAATCAGGCTACTTGATAGCACCTAGAAACCCATTTTAAAATATAAACTTGTAAAGCATTTCTGTAAGTAAAAGTTAGTATGTTTATAATGACATTTTTTCTTTTAAGACATCTTTATTATTATCATAAAAAATACAGAGAAGCAAAAATAAGAATGTAGAAATCACCCAGTTTTTCCTTTCCAAGTAAACAATCATAAAAAACTTGGTGTATATATATATTGCAGCAATTGTATGTATGTAATGGTCTCTGTATCAACCAACACATTTTTATCATTTTACTGAAACTTTTGAGTGTTGTTTGATGCTGATATCATGGTTTTTCATGTGGGAAGATTCATATGAGAATTGATTGTGTGTGTGTGCGTGTGTGTGTGCTCGTGTGCGTGTAGCAGCAGGAAGTATATAAAATTATTTTCTTTTTATAGACGCTGGTTGAGATTTTTCAAAATATTGGTGATACCAATCTTGCTGATTTCACTGCTGGATTGCTCACCATTGTCGTCTGTATGGCAGTTAAGGAATTAAATGATCGGTTTAGACACAAAATCCCAGTCCCTATTCCTATAGAAGTAATTGTGGTAAGTAGAATATGTAGTTAGAAAGTTCAGCATTATTTGGTTGACAAACAAGGAATTATTAAAACCAATGGAGTTTTTAACATCTTTTGTTTTATTTCAGACGATAATTGCTACTGCCATTTCATATGGAGCCAACCTGGAAAAAAATTACAATGCTGGCATTGTTAAATCCATCCCAAGGGGGTGAGTGTGGTGTTCCTCTTAGTACTAATACATTAAGTCAGTAAGTCAGTCTTTTTTATTTAAATAAAACCTTTTATTACAAGCTTCATTTCACTGATACTCCTTCAATAGTCCTATTTGTGTGTGATCTGGAAGAAACAACCATAAGACAAACAGTATGTGTGTAGATAAACGTCAAGCCATTTGTTTAAAAGCAGCCCGTATATGCTCTTTTTTCTTCATTTTCTTAAAACATGGCAGAACATGTACGGTTAACACCAGAGTCCTGATTTAAACTTATACATAACATTATAATATAATATAAATAGAATCATTTCTCAGTAACATCTATTGCACTGTGAACAATCTGCTTAAGGAATCAGGGACGTCTGGCCTAAATTCTCTATCATTTAGTTTAATCAATTTTGGATAATAATTATATCCTCGTACCCATAAGTAAAATGCATTATCTTCAAGGGAAGTTTTAGAAACATTTGGTAGTTTGGTGAATTAGAAGAGTAAAAGATCAAGGTCCTTCATTCATCTCTGTCACCTTCCAGTTTTGTGACCTGAGGAGATTCTCCTATATAAGACAAGGATAATGAAAACAGCCGAAGCCTCAACTCAAGCTTATTATGAAACACCAGTGAGATCTCTCATGAAATGAAGAGTAGTCAAGACACCCTACACCATAATTTTCTCATATGGGGTTACAAAGGAGGCCTAGACGTTTATTATATTTGTAACATACACTCATAACATTTAAGACTAGACTTGCTGTTAATCAAGAAGTACTAGTTTTCCCTAAGACTGGAAGAGTTTGGTACCGGTGTTTCTACCAGGAAAGGGAGTGGAGGGGAGGGAAGGGCACGGAGCCACTGTTTGGTACCAGTGTTTGTTTTCCATGCTCTTAATAGAAACTTCCTCAGGCAAGCTTATTCCCAGAGCTTATTCTACAGGGAACTGCTGTATTCCCATTTGATGAATCTTATAATTTCCTCTAATATCTGTTCCAAACTATTTGAAAAAGCACAGCTGGCTACATGGGACTTAATTTGCATGCTATCCATTACAGTGTTTCTCAAACTTACCCTTTTGTAAGAATCACATGGGATCCTTTTTCACACAGATTCCTGGTTCCCACCCCAAACCTATTGAATCAGGCTTTCCAGAGGTGGGGCTCAGGAATTAATATTTTTCAAAAGTGCCTCAAGTGATTCTTGCCCTCAAGGAAACTGGAGAAACTCTTTAAGAGAGGATCAACAAATCTAATCTAACAACTAGATAATTTCATTAGTTAGAAACAATTACAGAAAAAGATACTTTACAGATCTCTTTTGTCAGGCTTCCTAGGATGTATCAAGTTATAGGTGGTCCACAGAGCAGGCCCTGTCCCATCCATCCGTGTTCCATTAGTTGGTTTAGGGAACTCATTTCTTCTGCCCTAAATTATCCCTCCAGGTCCTCTGCAGAGCTTTCCTGTGCTCTCCTCCTGAGAACAGATTTCTAGCCTCTCGCCCTTGAGTTTAATGAAGCTGAATCCTTTGACAGACCACCTGGTCAGCTTGGTCAGCTAATTTAACCTGCCTGGCCCCAGGGACTTTAAGCTACTCCATGAGGGCAGTGACCCCATTGGTGTTGTTCAGCTCTGTCCCAGAGCACAGAGCTCATCTCACAGTAAGCTCTCAGAAAACACTTGTTGAAGGAATAAAATACCCAAGCCTATGTCATTATAAACAAGCCACAACAAAGGCCTTGGTTATCTGATCTCACTTGGTAGCACAGAAGCAATTCTGATGATATTAACAAACCTGAAAAAGAAAGGGAGTGGAGAGATTGGAAAAAAGCAAGCAGAGTTTTAAAGTGGCCCTGAGGTGAGCACAGTGAAAGGAAGAGGGACAGAGAGATTGTGATATGCCCCCTTTTGATCTCCTCCCTGCTTCAATCCTCCATTAAGGCTGCTGCTCGTAGTTCCCTTTATCCTATTGAGGGTCCATAAGTTAGGATCACTCCTAACCTAGGACCATACGTTAGGACCATAAGTTAGTCCCCAATAACAATGCCCCATTGGACAGCCAAAAACAGTGGCTCCATGCCCTTCCCTCTACTCCCTTTCCTGGTAGAAACATACAACTTTTCCTTGTCCAGTCAACACCTAAGCGCCCCACTAGGATTCACTCATTCTCCCATCCTGGGTGCTTTCTTAACCAGCAGACACTATGAGGGCCAGTCATGTGCCTCTCTTCTCATGCAACTGGTCCTTATCTGCAACTCGTAATCTGCCCAGTTCCTCACTCATCCTGCCCAGGCTTCTCTTTTACCTCTTCTGTTATAGTGGTGTGTGTGTGTCTGTGTGTATGTGTGTGTGTGTGCTCACGCACGTGTATGTGTAAACCCATAACAAGATTGACAGCTCTGTCCTCTAAATTTTAATCCCTATTCACTCTCTTGCCTCCTGTCCTTGCCAGTTCCAGAGGTCCCCTTGTTGTCATGTTTGTTACTCTCTTTTTTCTTTTCTTTTCTTTAACAGAGTCTCACTCTGTCACCCAGCCTGGAATGCAGTGGCATGATCTCTGTGGTGTGTGTGTGTGGGTGTGTGTGTGTGTGTATAAACCCATAACAAGATTGACGGCTCTGTCCTCTAAATTTTAATCCCTATTCACTGTCTTGCCTCCTGTCTTCGTCAGTTCCAGAGGTCCTCTTGTTGTCATGTTTGTTACTCTTTCTTTCATTCTCTTTCTTTCTTCCCTTCCTTCCCTCCCTTCCCTCCCTTTCCTACCTTCCCTCCCTTCCCTCCCTTCCCTCCCTTTCCTACCTGCACTCCCTTTCCTCCCCTTCCTACCTTCCCTCCCTTTCCTCCCCTTCCTTCCTTCCTTCCTCTCTCTCTTTTTTCTTTCTTTCTTTCTTTCTTTCTTTCTTTCTTTCTTTCTTTCTTTCTTTTCTTTCTTTCCTTCTTTCTTTCTTTTTCTTTTCCTTTCTTTCCTTTTCTGAAACAGAACCTCACTCTGTCACCCAGCATGGAATGCAGTGGCATGATCTCGGCTCACTGCAACCTCTGCCTCCCAGGTTCAAGCAATTCTCCTGCCTCAGCCTCCTGAGTAGCTGGGACAACAGGCACACACTGCCATGCCTGGCTAATTTTTAGTAGAGACGGGGTTTCACCATGTTGGCCAGGCTGGCCTCAAACTCCTGACCTCAGGCGATCTGCCTGCCTCAGCCTCCCAAAGTGCTGGGATTACAGGCACTGTTATAGACCCCTTTTGTCAGGTTTCCTAGGATGTATCAAGTTATAGGTGGCCCGCAGAACATGCCCTGTCCCATCAATCTGGGTTCCATTCATTGGTTTGGGGAACTCAGGCCTACTGTTGTTTTTAAAGTATGTGCTTTGCAGTTGTACTTGAAAGTGTGGCACAGGGGCAAAGCCAACAAAACCACAGGGTTTTTTTCCTGGCTGCTTTCTGAGGGCTACTCTTCTCCTCTAGCTGGAGTGGTGGTGCATTTGCCAAGTGTTCAGACCCAGTCTGAAGTACTCTGGTATTCTGTTTGGTATTCTGTTTATGACGCTGGCCTGTCGTTTGTGGAATTTTGGGCCCTTCAGGGTTCACTTCTCCCGGTCTTCATCTTTTCAGATAAGTGTGTGTTCACATGCTCACTCCCTTGGGCTCTTCATAGTGTTGTCTTATGATCAGGCCTGACATGCTTGGCTGGGGCCAAACAGGCCCACTGAGCAAAAAATTTGGAGAGTTATATCCACAGAAGGAGGGCAAGGGCAAGGGCAAGGACAAAAGGCTTACTTACAGGTCATTAGAAGATATCCAGACGGGACTTCAATTGGTTTGGGGCAAATAATTGGCACACTTAGGGTTCAGCAAGACAGCAGACATGAGTGGCAGGAGTATGACAGACTTAGATTCTCCCAATATATACCAAGAACCTACTATATGTGTAGACACTAATTACTTACTTACACAAGTGATTCCTCATTGAATCATATGAGAAGAATATATAGTCCCCATTTGACAGCTGAGGAAACTGGGATGTGGTGGGTTTAAATAACATGCCTAAAGTCATTTGAGAGTGATTCTGGTCCTTTGACTTAAGTCTTTGCACTTTACACTTTGCACACCTGGATAATCAAGGATCAGGTCATATTTGGAGAACTAGGCAGCCAGGCAGGCAAAGTGCATTAGGCTGCTATCAAAACTAAGCTGTATGTGAAACTGGAAAGTTATCCTGACAAGTCCGAGTGACCTGAAGTAGGGTTGACTGGGTCTCAGGAGCAAGTCAGGAGCCTGTTTTGAGAAGTGTGGTCCCAAGTCACATCCCAACTAGCAGGTGATGTCATGCTGAGTCGCCCAACTGTTGGATCAGGGTTTCCAACATCCTGTCTGTCTACAGATGGGGTTCATTCCACAGTCTCATTGTGGGGTAGGATGGGATATAAGGAGAAAAGGAGTCTGAAAATTAACCTCACTGGTAGGGAGAGTAAGGCTACAAGGGCAGAGAACCAGACAGATCTTGTTAGGTAGGAAATCGTCTAATATCTAACATTTAGACCTGGACCCACTAACTGACATCAAGCAAATCACTTCACGTTTCCAGGTCTAAGTTCCTTTATCAACAAGACAAGACAAGAGTGGTGGATTCAACAATACCTAGGATGCTTTCTCTATGGTTTTCTCTAAGAACCTTATTTCTATTTTATTTTTACCACTGTTCTCTAATTATAGGGGAAAATGTAGTTTCCTTATTAAAGAAACTTTAGGCATAAGTGATGTAGGTCGGGGAGACCTTTCATGGCTGGGGGCCTCTGGAATTATACCATATGGATAGTCATCAAGATATAGGTCCATCTCCCAAATTTTCATATTTGAGAGAACCTCGTGGTATAATGTGTAGGTTAATTTTTTTATATGGTTTGTAGGGTAGCTCTGGTTTTGTCAAACAGTAGTCATTGGACCCCACAATCACTGAGATATTTTAGTCACTATGGAGCGTTGTGATAATTACATTAATTTAATCTTTTTTGCCTTAAGAAGATTTTAAATGTCCTGGCTCTCAAAGGATTTTCCACTGAGCTCTTTTAGCTTCATACATTCTTTGTCTCTTTAACAGAGCTGATACCTCTTCAAACACAGTAAATCTCATATTATGGCTAGAATCTCTTTTAAATTCAAAGAACTTTAAGATGGAATTGTGGAAGGAGAAACACTAACATGTGAAATGGCATGGATGGGGCTGTATGATATTAAAGAATCAGTAACAGCAGATTTATTCATGTGAGAGATAGAGAAGAGTCAGCATGGCTAGGCTCAAAAATAGAGGACAAAGAAATCAGCCAGTAAGATAACACCAACTTCTGATTAAACATTATAAAAGCTGCTACTATCATGTATGTATTTCGTGTGCTTTTTGTTCTTTTGGATCAAGTACTTTCATGTCTAATATGTGACTGAGCAGATATAGCATTTGATGAGATGGGGAAAAAGGATGGTGGTCAAATCTTCACAGCATTTTTCACTTAAAAACTCACTAGGTTTTTGCCTCCTGAACTTCCACCTGTGAGCTTGTTCTCGGAGATGCTGGCTGCATCATTTTCCATCGCTGTGGTGGCTTATGCTATTGCAGTGTCAGTAGGAAAAGTATATGCCACCAAGTATGATTACACCATCGATGGGAACCAGGTATGGGTGCCCTTTTGCTGAACTGGTTTTATAGGGCTGGAAACAGGAAAAAAACATAAATGGAAAAGATTTTGGTGTCAGCTAAAGAAGGGGTTGGATTCTTTCACCAGACCTTATTGGGTTGGTTTTCCTCTTGTGTTTGCTAATTAGAAATTATTTTGGAATAGACACACTGCATCACTTTGCTTTTTTAAGAAATAAGTTGAAATAACACTAATTTTAAAAGAGCTAATTCAGTCAGGTCATAAATAACATTCAAAGTGAACATATTAGGTCAGAAAGAGAATTCTTCATGTAACCCAGTACCTCTTGGCAATTATTTTTAACGGCAGTTATAATGTGACAAAACAGTGCAACAAACATTAATAATAGTTGTGACCACTTTAAATTGAGGTGGTTCACTGTGCAGTTAATATATACAGGCAATTTTTGTAGGCATGTGATACATTGCCAGGTAAGCTGATTTCACACTGCTTGCAAATTTGCAAGTTCTGTATCTATATGTTTCTGAAAATACAGTATAGCAATAACAGTAGTTAAATGGTTAGTAATCAAGCAGAATAACAGCACTGCTAGTCATAATATGCTTCATAGTGAATATTCAACCACAGAAAAACACTTTATGTGAGAGCTGCAGACATTCCATTCACTAGGCAGTGAAAAAGCTTAGCAAATGATCAGGTGCTATTTCTTGTCAACTTTAAAAATTATCGAGAGCAATGAGACCTCTCTCAGATGGTATGGCGTCCAAACTCCTGATGTCGTACAAGGACCCCAAGTACCTATCACGGTAAAAATTAAATTGGACCACCACGCAGAGTAGGCATGGGAGTTTTCATTCTTAATGTACTTCCTGAAATACTCAGCGAAGGTCTTGCAAAGATTCAATTTGTAGGATCGTTGTCATCCAGTCTCTTCCTTAGGAATTCATTGCCTTTGGGATCAGCAACATCTTCTCAGGATTCTTCTCTTGTTTTGTGGCCACCACTGCTCTTTCCCGCACGGCCGTCCAGGAGAGCACTGGAGGAAAGACACAGGTAGGAACAACAGCCTTATGATATCCATCTCAGAGAACAAGTCGAGGAATGGCAACAGAGGAAGGCTCGCACCGAGCTTAGCAGGACAATTTGCCTTTCAGACTTGTACTTCCTAATCTGATTCACCTCAGGCCTATTCCTCTTGTTCCACTCCCTCACCTGAAATCTCTTAAAAAACAACATGTATGGTTTTCTGATACAGTGATTCTCAAATCTATTTGTCAGTGCTTACCTGTCATGTAGCTACACTTACCTGCTGTGGTCAATAACAACTGACAAGGAATCAGTAATGAAGGATGCTGATTTTTGTTAATTTGTTACCTGGGGAGACAGATGGCCTGGTAAAAGCGCTTCCTGGCTTTAGGAGCTATTCTATTTTCAGGAAAGTGAAAAGCTCTATTCACATTTCCTTTAGAAGGATCAGGAACTTCCTCCAGGGGCGTTTGGTCCCACAGAACAACAGTTTGCTAGCCAAGAATATTTTTGTTGTAACATTTTTGGCATTTCTTCCTGAGTAAGATTTATGTTGTTGAAGTTCTGCATGTGGGTTTAATCTTATCTTTTAAATGTGGTTTGCAGTTGTTGCCTTTACAAGGTGGCCAAAAAGCCAGCATCCTAGTTAATCTCTGGATAATCCCTCCTTCAGTGTTCAGAAAGCTCAGGAGCCATACTCAAAGGCCACTCTTTCCAGCAGGACACAGTCGAAGAGACCACACCAAGCAGATGGGCACAAGAGACAGACTCAGGAATTTTGCTTCTGTCTCTTATGCCTTGAGGTCCTTATCTTCCCAACACAGAAAGAACTATTATTTAGGAGTAAGAAGTGCATTGAGACTCCAAAGAACAACAAACCCAAACTACATAGTGCAATACACACACACACACACACACACACACACACACACATGCACACACACATGCACAGTCTTCACAGTCTTCAAATGGGTTTTACTAAGGCGGGGACACTTAAAAAATAAATATAAGTCGGGCACAGTGGCTCATGCTTGTAATCCCAGCACTTTGGGAGGCTGAGGTGGGCGGATCAATTGAGGTCAGGAGTTCGAGACTAACATGGCCAACATGGTGAAACCCCTTCTCTACTAAAAATGCAAAAATTAGCCAGGTGTGGTGGTAGATGCCTGTAATCCCAGCTACTTGGGAGGCTGAGGCAGGAGAATCACTTGAACCTGGGAGGTGGAGGTTGCAGTGAGCCAATATCGTGCCACTACATTCCAGCCTGGGCGACAAGAGCTAGACTCTGTGTCAAATATATATATACACACACACACACACACACACACACACACAAACATATATATATATATATATTCTCATATATATATACGAGAATAACTGAAAAAACTAATGACTCCAACAGTGACTTGCCCAGGGAGGGCTTTAATTGTCCCCAATATGCATGTGATGCTCCTTTCCTATTTATAATGGATCTTGTGACAGACTTGGAAGAATTGGCCTCTTCCAGTTTTTTGGCTGCTTTTCAACAAAAAATTTTATTTTCAGAATTTTTCTTAATTTTTTATTTTTTTTGCAAATATTTCCAGCTCTGAGGGAGCAGGTAAAATAATACAGCTCATATCCGGAGGCATAGCCAGAGATCTGTGGTCAAGGGGAAGAGGTCAGAGCCAATTTCCAAAGCTGTGCACATTTCAGGCTGCAGCTGTCAGCAGCAGGAACTTCTGCTGCTTTCATTTGAGACGGAGCACTGACAAGCTCTCCAGAGCACATGGTCTTCAGCGGGTGCAGGCAAATCTCAAACTGCTGATGTCCATTCTCCTGATGTTACCTCCAGGCTCAAATGAGGCATGGGCTGGCTGTCCCAGTAAGTATGCCCATGTAAAGTGACCTCCTTGGCACAGGGTTTGGGGGATAATGGTGCTCTGGTAAGCTAATACCCCCTGCCACATACTGGCATGTATTATATTTAGGAATGAAGGATGCCAGGATTTCAGCATTAAAGAATGAAACGAGTAAAGAAATGGCTTCATGTTTAATTATTGAAATGTATACTAAATTCTGGGGTTAAAAGTCTAAGTGCCTGAACTGAAATCCAGGGACTGATGGACAAATAAACTGGCAGGGCTTCTCTTGTGTGGCTTCTCGTGTTTTCTCTTATGTTGGAACTTCAGTTTCAGCATCTACAAAATGGAAATGATAATTGCATCCATTTCACAGGGATATTGTGAGGATTAGGCAAGAAAATGTAAAGCCTTAGCACATACTTGTAAATGCTCATTGTTTCACTCCTTTAGGCAAGAATAGCATCTTAGCATCTATGATACATATATTGTGCCTGGCACATAAGAAGCACCTGGCATATATTTGCTGAATGAATGAATGGAAGAATGAGTATTGGTGGACACGAACTGTTTTTAGCACATCTACAGATTGTAGAAGAATTAAACATTGGAACCTTTTCTTTCCCTCACCCCCATCTGACTTCCACTGACTCACAGAAAAGTAATTCTGATTACAAACCACTCTTTAGCTCTGATTACCCCCTCCCTTAACAGAATAATTTTTTAGTAACTGAATCTGGTTGTAGATATAAAGTCTACAGAGTTTCTCACAAACAAGCCTTATCAAGTAAGTAGAAATAATTGATCACTCACCAATTTTAATATAGTGGCCAAAATGAGCCTTGGCCTCCCATAATTGGAGACTCATTATGACATATAATTGGCAAGTAGGTGGCCACTCTCCTGGCATGAGTTTGGCAGCTGACTGTGGTCCTTGTCCCCAAATCTCCATATCTTTCTCCAGTTCACAGAGCTCCCCATCCACAGTGAGATGCAAGTGGCTCGGTAAATACTGGTTGAGTAATTGCATGCAAGGAAGGAAGGGAGGGATAAGGGAAGGAAAGAAAGAAGAAAATGGAAGGAAGGACAAGGGAGAGGAAGGGAAGGGATATGAAGGAAAGCGAAGAGAAGGGAGGGAAGTAGGATATCAGCTTCTCTGCTTAGTCAGGAGAAGGGAAAGAGCACCAGGGTACTGGGAATCTAGGATGGGGATAGGAAGAGCATAGAAAAGCCAGCCAGACATACAAAGCACGCTTTTTAGTACCTCATACACATCATATTGCCTCAGGCTGACCCAACTATAATCTAAATATAAATGATCAATTTGCCAGGTAGAGCAAGTGCTTTCTAATTTTCTGTTTATATTTGCTGTGTCTGTCTCCCGTAACTCAGACCTTTTGCACTAGACAGTACTTGTGCTCAACAAAATCTTCCCAGTTGTTTCCTCTCTGATTGCTTTGCTTGTAGTTCCCTGTCTCCTTTTCTTCTTTGTTTCAGAGCTTCTAATCTTCATCTTGGCTCTGCCCCAGCTGTCTCAACAGAGAATTCATTGGTCATCTAATCAAACGAGAGAGTAGTCCCCACCCCCTCAGCCTCTCTCCTAACTAGTATGGATCTTAGGAGAGCTATTTTTGCCAGCGAAGGTAAAGTTTCTGAAGCTTCCTTTTACCCCTGCTATTGCCCCGTTACTCCATAGTCACTGTTTCAGGCTGCCTTGGGGCAAAGCTCTGAGCCTGCCTCCGTGGAACTGTCAGAGGAGGCAGGAGACACAATCCCACCTCTCAATGTGCAAATGTGGCATTTCGAATTTGCAATAGGATGAGTAAATTTATTTTCTCTGAGACTTTAATGAGACCATGTGCTACAAGTACGAAGTGTTATCAGAGTTGCTATTATAGCTGCAGCTTCAATAATGCAGAAAAATCAGCTATGTGCCATGAGAATTTATTTCCCAAGAATACGACAATGATCTCTGTTGTTGGGAAAGGGGGGATTGGTCCATGTTTCCTGCCATGGTAAATAACTAGAAGCTTGGCCTGAATGGACGCCGAAACCGCAGGTGTGTACTATCACCAAATAAAATCCCTGTCAAACTGGCTTTAATTTCATAGGATCAGTCCCCATATTTTCTTTAACTTCTCTGCCATAGCATATATAGATGCCATTTTTGTTCAGTTTTGTGGCTTGAGCAAATAACTATCACTTTTCTCGACAGTATTGAGCAGAAGGGGGAGACAGGGAAGTATGAAGTGTGTCTGTGAACAGGCTGTCTCATACACACATCCAGTGAGCTGGAAGACACAAGGGAGAAGGACGAATCCTTTTCATAGGAGGTGTGTGTCTTCCAGGTTGCTGGCATCATCTCTGCTGCGATTGTGATGATCGCCATTCTTGCCCTGGGGAAGCTTCTGGAACCCTTGCAGAAGGTATAACCCTGCTTCTCTGCATACCGATTGCATAATTTCCCTTCACTACTCTGCTACCAGATAAATAACAGGAGATTTAACAATCATCACATGGAAAACCATTCCCTGAATAACACAGCCTTCTCTGTCTCTCTTGGCAGTCGGTCTTGGCAGCTGTTGTAATTGCCAACCTGAAAGGGATGTTTATGCAGCTGTGTGACATTCCTCGTCTGTGGAGACAGAATAAGATTGATGCTGTAAGTCACCTACCACCTATATTTATCTGAAATAAGATTTGGTTCTTATATGCTTCCTGCCATATCACTATATTCCCCCCATCCCCTAAGTCTCACTTGTGCTTTGGGAACTCCAGAGGAGAAATTAGAATTGTGGGGATAAATCAAAGCCATGAAGTCTTCCATGTGAACTGCATTTTGTGAAGATTCTGTATCTCTGGGAAGGTCAATTTCCAGCAAGAATCCCATATGAGGCTCATTCATACACCTTTGGCCTTCTAAACACAAAAAGCAAAAAAATGTTTAAACACCCTAGTTTAGAAGGACAAACAACATACAAAACAATGCAAAAACAAAATACAAAATGTAAAAACCCACGCTGACTTTAACTCTGACTAACATAACCTTTGCAACTATTCTGAGAAACTAAAAATCAGAAGCTAAATCCTTCAGAGTTCCTCTCTAATTTAAACCATAAAAAGAATGAGAAGACTTCCTACATATTGATATGGAAAATTTTCCAAGACAAATCGTTAAGTGAAAAAGAGACCAGAATAGAAATGCTGGGGAAAAGCACAGACACAGGCAGAAATAAAAGCGGATACAAGGAGGGAGGGAAGTTGGGAATGGGTGGAGAAGGGGGAGGGTTGTGAGCAAGAGTTTTCCCCTTTTTAATGATAATTCCCTTATGAACCATACAAATATATTAGCTATTCAAAAATTTAGAAATAAATAAAATGGGACAGTTGGTCTTAATTGAGAAGCCCAGTTTCTACAGCTACTTAAATATAAAATGAATGAAGTCACAATATTTTTAAAAAGCTGTGATTTGGCCAGGCACAGTGGCTCAGGCCTGTAATCCCAGCAATTTGGGAGGCAGGAGGATCACTTGAGCTCAGGAATTTGAGACCAGCCTGCGTAACACAGTGAGACCTTGTCTCTACTACAAATAAAAGATTAAAAATTAGCCGGGTTTGGTGGTATGTACTTGTGGGTAGTCCCAGCTACTTGGGAGGCTGAGGCGGGAGGATCACTTGAATCCAGAAGATGGAGGCTGCAGTGAACTATCATGGTGCCACTGCACTCCAGCCTGGGCAATAGAGTGTGACCCTATCTCAAAAGAAAAAAAAAAATGTAATTTGTTTGTGGATCATTGATCTTATTTTTATAGGTAGTTATCACATGATGGTACCTGATACATTAATATAATTCTTTTCATTTCTATTTTTTTCCCTAGGTTATCTGGGTGTTTACGTGTATAGTGTCCATCATTCTGGGGCTGGATCTCGGTTTACTAGCTGGCCTTATATTTGGACTGTTGACTGTGGTCCTGAGAGTTCAGTTGTGAGTAACGTAAAACCCAGATTTCCTATAAACAGAACAACACACTCTGAGCTTCCTTATACCATTTTGATAAATATAGTGAAGCCACTTTCTTTCGTTATAGTTACTGTATATTGAGTGCTTCTATGCATTAAGCAGACAGTGTTTTACAGACATACTTAATCTTCAAAAATAGCCTATGAATAGTTTTGATTAGTCTCATTCTACAGGTGAGAAAAGAGAAATTCAGAAAAGCTAAGAAGCATCCCTAAGATCACACAGCTAGTACGTGGCAGAGCTAAGATTTGAACCTATGTACCTACTCATGTCCTCTACTGCTGTGCTCTCCTTTTAGTTGTGGTAAGACTAAAAAGTACATAGTTTAGCCAAAGGCTGAAGTTGCTTTGTAGTTTCTTCTTTAAATGAGATGAGGAATGTAAGGCGCTCGGCCCCAGGCTTGGGACAAGACAGCTGTTATATATTATAGTTCATTTTCTTTTTTAAAGCTAGTAACCAAAAGTTACATAACCCAGAACAGGAGGACTTTAAAATAGCTGATGACAGCCAAAATTCATTCAAATCTCTCATATAACCAATAAGGCATATAACCAATAAACCACACAATTATGTGAAGGAAACAATTAGCTCATATGCAGAGTGAAGGCAGCAAAGACATGATTTAAATAATGGAAAACAGCCTGTGAGGGAAGGTGAGGAGCCTGAAGGTGGTTTTTTGGTTGGTTTTGTTTTGATTCTAGAGAGGCCTTAGTTAAGTGCCCTCCTGGGCCTAGAGGGGAACAGAGTCTTTCTCTCCCTCCTCAATGTGTCCATCGTCTTTCCAGACTTCTGGCCCCTGCTCTGCCTGTGCTTGGGCCGTGAAAGAAGAAGACACCTGGAAAAACATCAAGATAGATGTCTTCAGCTTAGCATCCGCTCACCTCTCCTGTCCCACCAGCCAGTTCTCCTTCCTGCCCTCCTTCCCTACCTTGGCATATTGGTGCCTACCCAAAAGGCTTGTGTTTTCTACCTCAGCATCCTAAATGATTGCCCAAGGGCCTGAGAAGGTTTGCAGGCTCCCAAAGTTCTCAATTTGCTTCTAGGACACGTCTCAGAAACGCTCCTTAGAAGATGCTGTCTCTCATGCTGTATATGCCTCAGTGTCTATTTTTTCTTGTGTGGATGTGGTTGGAAAAGAAGGGTTTTACAGAGAGAGATTAGCTTATAAACTTTTAAGTTAAAAATCAGCACAAACCTGTAAGCCAAGGAATAACTGGTGGCACATTTTAGCTGCTAGTTTGGTATCTAGGCTTTTAGCCAACAAAAAGCAGTATCCTCCACAGTATTTAATTTCCAGTAATTATCATGCTGATCCAGAGAGCACAATGCTGAAAGTACACTAAACAGATACTCTTTCTTCAGGAATTGTATTTAGCATGTCTCTAGTCACACATGAAGAGTCACGGAATTTATCTGATTGCATCAGGAACAAGAAATCAATAGTCTGGTTGACAGGAAGGACTTATTTCTGGTCCTCCAGTCTCCTATTTCTATAAAAAATGACTAAGTCACAAAGAAGCGCCAGGCACTGGAAGACCCAGGGGTTAAAGACAGAGGCTCTGCTGCCCTTTACCTCCAGGCCTTTTCTCACTTCTCTTAAGAAGTTTAGTTAACAATAAAAATCAGGATAATACTGATGACCTTTCAGGGTTATGGCAGGGCTTAAATAAGATTTCACATGCGTGAAAGCTCTATGCTTATCCTATAACGTGTTGTGCACGTGCAAGTATGATGCTCATTATTTCTCTCAGCCATCAGAAGAGAGGCACAGTTCTCCCCTCCCCTGCCGATTCCACACAAACACCAGCTGTTCATTTCAGAGTTAGCTACAGGAAAATGTCATCTGCAATAAAGACAGAGTCCAAAACACCAGAATGATGGGCTCTTTAGTAGCTGTTGTTTTTAACTTTTTATTCCAAAATACGGCTGTTCCAAAAAATCTTGACCTTGATATTTTTTCTTCTAGTCCTTCTTGGAATGGCCTTGGAAGCATCCCTAGCACAGATATCTACAAAAGTACCAAGAATTACAAAAACGTAAGTACCTTTGTGAGACATTTGCTGGACTTGGGTTTACTAGCCTGAAGTTTCAGCAGCTCCATTTTACGTACAAGGTAGCCAAAGGGAGAAAATGCCTATTGGGAAAGTCTGTTAGTCCACAGGGAGTGTCATGAAAACTTTTGATCCAGTGCACCTTCTGACACCCATGGCTTATGTGAATTTTGTCTATGCTAGCTGAATGTCTTTTTTTTTTTTTCTTTTTAGATGGAGTCTCACTCTTCACCCAGGCTGGAGTGCAGAGGCAGGATCTCAGCTCACTGCAACCTCTGCCTCCTGGGTTCAAGTGATTCTCTTGTCTCAGCCTCCGAGTGGCTGGGATTACAGGCAGGTGCCACCACGCCTGGCTAATTTTTGTATTTTTAGTAGAGATGGGGTTGCACCATGTTGCCCAGGCTGGTCTCAAACTCCTGAGCTCAAGTGATTTGCCCGTCTTGGCCTCCCAAAGAGTTGGGATTACAGGCGTGAGCCACTGCACCTGGCTAGCTGAATGTCATTTTAATATAAAACTGTTGTAAGAGGAATTTAAAAATAATAGGCAATTTCTAGATGTTCATCCAAAATTTTGTTTATCTGGTATATAATTCTTATCTTCTGTAAGATTTTCTTTATTCAGTTCTAACAAGAGATTATCAAGTTCTCTATGACCAAGACCTTATTATTTGACACTTTGCTTTATCCTTGGTATTAGAAGAAATAAAATATGACACAGGAAATGAAAAACAAAGAAATTAAACATCCCATTGATGGACTTGTGTCACCTGCAAATAAAATTGCTTAGTGGTGACTAGGGGAAACAAAGATAAAAAAGCAGAGAAAGTAAATCAAGAAAATACAAATTTAGCAAATAATAATAATAATAATATCAACCCTAGGAAGTTGTAGTCTAATTTTACCTTAACATTAAAAAAAGTTGGACCTTGAAACTGGGATTTCAGTAGCTGCTACTTAATTTATTTCCGTGATCTTTCTGTTATGTTGAGCCAAGTGCCATTAAGAGCTAAAATGATTTAGAGATTTTTTTGGCTTTGGGGAGGGAGCTCTAAGCTGAGTTAGGGAATTCTGACTTCTAGGCTCCATCTTGGTGAGACTTTGCCCAAGTCATTCAGCCTCTCAGGACCTCAGTTTTCTCATCTGAAGCAGCTAGACTAAAATTGCTGATTCCTGAAGACTAGAAAAGTCTATGATTCTGTGATTCCTGGGTTCTATTTTGGGTGTGGCCATTGTATGTCAGGGTGAGAACAGATGATATCATAGGCCTCAGTTCTGCAAATCCCATTGATTTTGCTTTTTTTCTTTGCTACTTTTAAAGAATGTTAGCAAAATCAGGAGGGTCAGTGGTATGAACTTCAGGCAAATCATGGCACTGTTCTAAGCCTCAGTTTCTTTTCTGGAAATCAGAGGGTTGAATAAATTGCTTTCTAAGGCCCTTTCTAACTTTGACCTTCTATGAGACTGTAGAGGTCCAAGAGTTTTTGTAACCTGTTGTCTCCCTATTCAAGAAAAGTTGTAGAGGCCGGGCACGGTGGTTCACACCTGTAATCCCAGCACTTTGGGAGGCTGAGGCGGGTGAATCACTTGAGGTCAGGAGTTTGAGACCAACCTGGCCAATGTGGCAAAACTCTGTCTCTACTAAAAATGGAAAAATTAGCTGGGTGTGGTGGCAGCACCTGTAATCCCAACTACTTGGGAGGCTGAGGCAGGAGAATCCCTTGAACCCAGGAGGTGGAGGTTGCAGTGAGCCGACATTGTGCCACTGTACTCCAGCCTGCGCAACAGAGTGAAACTCCATCTCAAAAAAAAAAAAAAAAGAAAAGAAAGAAAAGTTGAGTGCTGCTACCCAGCTCCTCTGAGCAACTGTGACTTGACTCCTTGCTAAGTAGCCAGAAATGTAATTAAATACTTGAGGCTTGAAATTATTTAATCCCAGACAATTTCTTTTAATGCCAGATTGAAGAACCTCAAGGAGTGAAGATTCTTAGATTTTCCAGTCCTATTTTCTATGGCAATGTCGATGGTTTTAAAAAATGTATCAAGTCCACAGTAAGTATTTTATCCCTAGAAATTTGTTTTCTAACCTCTTTTGAGACTTCATTCATTCTACAAGTATTTACTGGGGTCCAATCAGGAATAGGCCCTAGACCCTCTTCCCTTTGTGTAGGGCAATGAGAATTAAAATATAACATCCTTGCCTTCAAATAATTTACAGTCTATTTGGGGATTAAAAAAACACATATGTTAAAACCCAGGTAGTAATAACTATGCCAGACAAAAACATTAGAGATGTTTCTAGGCAGAATTTGAGTAAGTTTCAAATAAGTAGTATAGACAGTTGAGAGTTCATAGAAGGAAGAGATCCAGGTTAGTTGGACTAACAGGCTTTGTGCGGCAGTTGGCTGAAGGAAAGAAATCATGTCAAGTGTTTGAGAACTATGTGAGCTGAGAGACAGTGGAAACATGTATTGGAGGTAGGGTTGCCCAGTTGCAGCAAAAAGTAAAATATACTAGTGGAATAAATAAGTAGAAAATCCTGGCACCAAATGCCATGCTATGCTTTGAACTTGGAGTTTGCCTCTAAATCAGTGTTTTTCTAAGTGAGTTCCAGGGCAAACTGATTCAGAGGAATGTTCACAGATTTTGCAATAACAAAAGGGCTCTGTGATACCAAGGGAATTTGGAAAACCCAGACTTAAACTAAAGAGGGTATTTTGGGGTGTGTGTGTGTTTCTGTTTTGTCTTTTACTGTCTTGGAGCCTTTGATATGCTACTGTCTTCTCAGAGCTTCTGGGTAGGAGTAGGGTAGCCTGGGAGTAGACAGAGATCTACTCCATCAGACCTTACAATTTCTTTTTTGGCAGGATAGCTCAAGGAATTATACCCTTTGAGAAATAGCCTTTCCAGATAACAGTTGCCATTAATAAGCTTTAGGTGCCAGGCATTTTAAGTAACTTGACATTTATTTCCAAAGGTTGGATTTGATGCCATTAGAGTATATAATAAGAGGCTGAAAGCGCTGAGGAAAATACAGAAACTAATAAAAAGTGGACAATTAAGAGCAACAAAGGTGAGATGACATCTTTCTTTTCCCCCTTAAATTATTTCCTTTCCCTGATGAGAGCAGTTAGAGGGTCTAAAATTAAATCTATCCTCTTTAGTATCCAGATGTGAATGAACAAATGACATGTACGTATCAAAGAACAACTGAGCTATTCTTATAGGCAAGCGGGAGTGGAAGGGAATGAAATAAAATCAGCAGCGCTGCCTGGAAACACAGGATGTGATTTTTTTCCCCACCATGAACAGTGTCTGCATTATTTTCTATACTTTATTTTTACTGAAAGGAACAAAATAAGTGCAAATTCAATGCCAGAAAACTACCCACCATAGAAGGCAGTCTAAGTCCATAAACTTTTGGAGCTGTTAACTTTTACTCAGATTCTTCTGGCCAGTGTATTTCTTGGCAAAGTTCCACAATCATCCAGAAAACAAAAGTTTCCTGGCTCCTCTGTTCTCCCAGTTTTCTTCCTAGACAACATCAAAGTTTGGGCTGAGGTGAAACCCATCCTTAAAAATTCATCTCCTTGATGTCTTGCTTACCAAGGAACAGTGTGTAGGTCTTTTGGATAATTTGATATGAATGGTTGAAAGATTTCAAATCTTTGACAATTAAGTTGACAGTGTTTTCTTCGTTTAGAATGGCATCATAAGTGATGCTGTTTCAACAAATAATGCTTTTGAGCCTGATGAGGATATTGAAGATCTGGAGGAACTTGATATCCCAACCAAGGAAATAGAGATTCAAGTGGATTGGAACTCTGAGCTTCCAGTCAAAGTGAACGTTCCCAAAGTGCCAATCCATAGCCTTGTGCTTGACTGTGGAGCTATATCTTTCCTGGACGTTGTTGGAGTGAGATCACTGCGGGTGGTAAGGTTCTGGTTTTCTGAATTATACATTTGGAGCTTTGGCAATAGTAAAATGATGTGGGTTGTCCAGTATTGCAACAGGGCAAATACATGGGCTTTGTAATTTTTCTAGGTGAATGCTTTTGTAAAAAAGTGTAATATTTTAAAGCATAGGCTCTGGAGCCAGACTACCTGGGGGAGATACTGGCTTCACCACTTACTAGCAGTACGACCCTGGGCAAGTTGCTTAATCTGTCTATATCTCAGTTTCTTCATCTGTAATATGGAGGTAATGATGGTATCTACCTTCACAGGTTGTTACAAGGATTAAATAAGCTAATAGATATAAGGTGTTTAGAAGAGTGTCTGGTTCAGGCTGGGCATGGTGGCTCACGCCTGTAATCCCAGCACTTCGGGAGGCTGAGGCAGGTGGATCATGAGGTCAGGAGTTCAAGACCAGCCTGGCCAATATGGTGAAACCCCGTCTCTACCAAAAATACAAAAATTAGCTGGGCATGGTGGCGCACACCTGTAGTCCCAGCTCCTAGGAGGCTGTGGCAGGAGAATCGCTTGAACCCGGGAGGTGGAGGTTGCAGCTGAGATTGTGCCACTGTACTCCAGCCTGGGTGACAGAGTGAGACTTCATCTCAAAAAAAAAAAAAAAAAAGAATATCTGGTTCAAAGATACTCCCCAGCAAATTAATTCACATTTATTATGTTTTATCTTTCTGAGAATGTATAACAAGTGGTATATGAAAAGAAAAAAATGGGCAAAAGTTTATTAAGTATTACATTTCTATTTGTTATGTTAACAGCAACAGGATAAGGAATACCAGGTGTATGTTAGGACTGGAAAAGCCAGGCATTATTAAGAGGTTAGAGTAGGAAGCAGGTCAGACATCTGGAAGGTCAAAGCAAGAGTTGAGGAGTATGCAGGATAGAAACATTAATGATATCAGAAACCAGTTATGCAAGCTGAAGTTCATTAATTCTGTCAACAAATAGATGTGAAATGCCTAATGTGTACTGAGCACTCTGCCAGGCACAAGAGACTAGTGATGAAGTAGACACAGTTTCTACCTACGTGGGACTTAGCAGTCTGGAGGAGAAGGCAAACATTAAGTCATCTTATAAATAACAATTGTAGTAAGTGCTCCAAAGAAGATGAATAGGACATCACCTGAAGCATCAAGTTCAGTGAAGCTTCAGGTAGGTATCAAAAGGGTCAGGCAGAAAAGTAAGCAGGTCAAGACACCAACAATCAGATGTAATAATATAAAGCTGACTCCTAACTGAGGTTCCACTTAGCTAAGGCTTCTTTGCTACCTCTATAAGGGGAGGAAATGATTCCAGGATGTGGGTACTAGGTAGGTAGGGTAGAGAAGTGATTGTGCTTGGCAAAAGAGTATGAGAATATGCTGACAGGTTCTGTTCTAGTTCTCTTAGCAGATTTTGTTATTAGCTCATTTGAAATCACTCTTGTTCTTTGTTGTACATTTCACTCTAAGCATTGGCTGAGATCCATTGTAGACTATATTGGCCAGAGAGTTCAATGAATTACTTTTGGGGACAGTCTTAACATATTTAATGCCAGAATATTTCCCACACAACGAATATTTACTTTCAAATATTATAATGACAGTTATGATAGCTAAAGAAGACTCCAAACTTTATACTTGAACAGAGGTCTTGATTTGTTTTCCTCCATAATTCTCAAATTCTCTTTTATTATTGACTATGGGTCTTGTGTCTTGACTTTTTAAAATTAAATGTTTATTTTGACATAATTGTAAATTCACATGTAGTTGTAAGGAATAATATTTAGATCCTATATACCCCTTACCCAGTTTCTCCCAATGAGTAACATCTTGTAAAACTGTAGCATAAAATCACAGTAGGACACTGACATTCAAAATAGAGGCCTTGACTTTTAGGTCAATAGTAACATTTTGAACCCGATAAGCATAGCCACACCCATATCTCTTCTCCAATCAGCAGGGCCTATATTAAGAAGCCTCCTGTACTCTCTTCTTTCCACAAATGCTTATTTAGCACCTCCACGCTATCAAGTGCTGTGCTATTGAGCGCTGGATGTTGCCATCTCTTGAGATATAATCCTAATTATACCATTACTGTAGTTTGAAAACCTCCATGGTTTTGCAATAATAACCTTTCCTTAAAGTCCTGATTAACCATGAAAGTAATAATGTTTCTCCTGAGCAAGTAACTGAATGCTACTGAATTATGGGCAGATAAGGTTGTTAATTGTTACAAACTCTCCTTTTTTATTTTTAGATTGTCAAAGAATTCCAAAGAATTGATGTGAATGTGTATTTTGCATCACTTCAAGGTAAATACATATATCTACATATCTACCTGTAAGACTTTCCCGTAAGCCCTTTCTCCTATCTGGGACTGTGGTCACATTATGTCTGAAGGCCTTTTTTTTTTTTCTTTTAAAGATCTCAATTGTCATTATTTGCAGTTCTGGAATCTGGCACTGCTTCATTCCATAAAACAGAATAAGTGTTCCAAGGAACTAAGCAGGAGTTCAGTATTATACACAGAAAAGGCCAAAGACAGCAAAAGCAAGCAACAAAGAGTATATTAGTCCATTCAAAGTTACTTTCTTGTAAGTCAGAGACAGTGAGACAGAACAATAGGAAAATAATGGATTAGTTAACATGAGGTCATGTCAGGATACTTTTTTGTATGAGGATTATTGCAGAGGAAGCTTTATTATTATGCCAACTGGAAATTTAAACTGTCCTGTTTTAGGAAATTTGCTATTACCTCTCTCTCCTGATTTCTTCAAGTATCAGATAACAATTTAGTTTAGGTTTGATAACTTGAAACTTTAGCATGAGTGACTCCATTTTGATTTTTAGTCTTGTCTGTTGTCGTCTAGTGCGGGAGCTTAGTCTAAAACAATGGCCTTTTATTTTTATTTTTTATTTTACTATGTGCCTGTGCCTTGCATGACCCCAGGATGGGCACAGCTGCTTGGCCCCTGAGCCACCGAAGGCTGCTCTACTCCTTCGTTCTGGCTACTAAAAGCTGCAAAGCTCTGGGAGGGCAAAGCTCAAGAAGACTAAAACAATGGCCTTTACCATTTTTGTTTGATGATTTTCCCCGTTTTGATCAGGCTCTCACCTAGGTAAGAGTGAACAAAATGTAGGAGATCAGTGCTACTCTGTTACCATCATTTTGGGTTTCTGGTCTCAGGAGGTCATGTGTAGCTTATGGTGCCCTCCTCATTATCATGTATGTCTCTGAGTTTTTGTTGTTTCAGAGAGAGACCATTCGATGTCTGACAGGTGGCTTTTTGGAAACATTTAAAACTTTGAGAGGGTATAATGTACCAGGAAGACTGCTATTATGACTATCAGGGAGATAATACCAAGGGTTTATAGTATGCTCCTTAGCCAGGATTCTCATGAATCAAACCAACTAAAATTGAATAGCCTGACAAGGAGACTACCTGTTTTAACCAAGAAGTCTTCTCTGTAGTACCTGATGTATTTATATATGTGGAACAAGAAGTGTCACCCAACTGCACAGATGCTTCCTTGTTGAGTTAGCAGGTAATCTAGCATTCCATGACTGGTTAAATTAAAGCAGAAAGTGTAAGTTACCCAAAGAAGCTACTCATTGTGAAGTTTTAACTACAGCACTATCCTGCCAAGTGAAAGAGGTAGGCACAAGTAAGGGAAAATTAAAAGGGATAAGCATCTTATGATAGGGAGTCTTGTTCTGACAGTCTTGGAGCTGTCTACAGCATGAAGTTGACAACTTCTTGTTTTGGTTTGTAGTTTTATTGTCTCTAGTTGTGGCATCCAGCATTCTGGCGAACTCTCTATGTGGCCCACAGTTTAAGCATGAGATTCATCTCTTGAAATTTACACTGAGTTGCTCAGCTTCAGCTTACAGAGCTTCAGGAACTGAGTAGTTCTTGGTCTTCATTGGAGTGTTGTAGCCAGATATTAGTGAAAGCTAAAAGAATTAAGAATCCAGCTCAGTCTACAGGTAGATAATAAAAACTCATAAATATTGAACAGGGCTACAGTCTAAGAACAGTTTTACTATGCTTTTCTTTTGAACCATATGTTTTTCTTTCTATAGTCACCTCCATTTCTATCAAAGACGATCATGGTAGACCAATTTGTTTACAAAATAAGTTTGGTCTCAAACTTGGCCTGATTGATTATTTACACAGTACAGCAAGAATAACTACATAGGTGACTCCTTTCAAATTTGCTTTGCCAAGCCTGGCGAGGTATTGCTTGCCTGTGAGCCCAGCTACTTGGGAGGCTGAGGTGAGAGGATTGCTTGAGCCCAGGAATTCAAGGCTGCAGTGCACTATGATTGTGCCTGTGAATAGCCACTGCACTATAGCCTGGACAACACAGTGAGACCATGTCTCCAAAAAATAATTGCTTTGATAGAAATTTTGACAAGGAATCTCAGATTGGACTTTTTAAAACGTCTTGATGCTATGAAGTCAAACCAAGGCAGACATTAGGCTTTGCCTGATGTATCTAATATCTTGAAGTTACTGGGCCTCCCAGGAAGGAACGACTTTTTATTCACTCATTGTAAGGCTAGCAGCCCTTGAAGCCAGGAATTCTGTGCACATTTTCAAATATGATATTCTATTCAAAGCCTTGATAATATAACCAATGTTTTCCAATTGTATTCTATTTAAAAGAACAGATTCTATTGAACTTTCATGTAAATAATCATATTGCCATAAAAATAAGAATACTCACAAAGAGTTTCCAAATTCTGGAAGGATCAGGTAGAGAGGAAAAGCAAATGTTTCAATTTTTGTTTATGAAAGTATGCTTAACAAGGCTGGGTGCGGTGGCTCACATCTGTAATCCCAGCACTTTGGGAAGCCAAGGCGGACAATTGCTTTGAGCTCAGAGTTTGAGACCAGCCTGGCAACATGGCAAAACGCCGTTACTACAAAAAATACAAAAAATTAGCTGGGCATGGAGCCTGAGGCTGAGAATCACTTGAGCTGGGGAAGTGGAGGTAGCAGTGAGCCCAGATGGTGCCACTGCACTCCAACCTGGGTGACAGAGTGAGACCCTGTCTCAAAAAATAAAAAAAAAGTATGCTTAACCAAGTGGCTGTAAACTGCAGATAGCTTTAAAGAAAAATTTTCTTTAGATCTGGAAAACAAATATTAAAAGAACCAGCAATGTTTCAAATAAAAAAGCCATAAAACCTGTAATTCTTCTCCATCAGTTCATTCAGTCTCATGTAATTAATTCTTGCTCTGTTTGATCTTGGCTGGTAGTTTAATTCCAACGAATGGTATGAATTCAAAGTTATTAGAAACCTGTATTTGTCAGAGTTCTTTTCATTCTTCCCATATAACTCTTTGAAGTCACAGCACTTTAGAATTATAATGGCTTACAAAGAGCTTTCAGAAAAAGTATCAGAACAAAACAATTAACTGTGGACAACAAGACTTAAAGTGGCTATATTTAAAGATCTGATGTGAGTTACCCAATTGACAAGGATATTTGGATATTTCTGTGGCACACAACAATTTAAAATAACCAAAATTATGACTGGTAGCATTTATACCAAGACCTATCACATTTCTAGGAATGTTATATAATTTTGGAACATATTAATAACATATCTATAAAAATATAGCACAAAGAAAGTTAAACATCATTTCTTATTTTAACAGTGCTTCCCATATAATTTAACCTATCAGATAAGGCCATTTGGTTTAACATCTCTCTTTTACAGATTCTTTAAGAAATTCCAGGGTCCTCTGGAACATCCCAAAGTTAGTTCAAGGTCAAAAAGACTTAATTTTGATTTTTGAGAAGTTTGTCAAATACCAAAGGTTTAAAACATTTGATCAAAATCGGATCATAGGTCACTATGAAATAAAACCAAAGTGAAAAAAGAGTTCAAAGGCAAAAAGCACAAGAAGAGTTATATTGATGAAACATGAAATCTCTGTTTTCTAGGCCAGTTACCTGGAAGAGAAAATCCTCTCACAATTTTCTATTAAGAGTAAACCAATCCTCTGAGAAAACTCTATTGTTCCAACACATAGGCCCACACTTTAGCCTTCCATCAGTGTACTTTAATATTAATGCTCAATTTTTAGAAAAACTTATAAATAATTCCCTTCTACTTTTAGCCAACTCAATCACATAAAATTTTTCATGATATTTATCTTCTACAAACCTTCTACAACTTGCTTAAACCTTCATTTGGTCCTATACTTCCTTTTTTAAAATTGGCATTGTACCTTAGGACAAAGATTTACTTTTCTTTTCTCCTTATCATTTTGACCATATAAGGTTATCTCCTATACAAAAGAAAAAATTACTCTCTTTTCAATTTTCTTTATCTCTTCATACTTGTAAATTTCTTCTCACATCTTTCCTACCTAGTGGTTCCTTCCTGCCTTGTTTTGATTTCCTTCATAAGTCCATATTTAGAAACAACCTTTAAATAACCTCTGATTGCCAAGCTAGAGTTAAGTTTTAAATAAATAAATAGGCCGGTCATGGCGGCTCACATCTGTAATCCCAGCACTTTGGGAGGCAAAGGTCAGAGGATCACTTCAGGCCAGGAGTTTGAGACCAGCCTGAGCAACATGGTGAGACCCCGTCTCTATTATTTTTTTTTTAAAAAACAAAAAGCATAAAAACTCTGAGAACATTTTGAACCCAGAAAGATATTACTTCCAATTTGTGCCACAGAGCTGGTAATGTATGGAAATGTGTATCTTGACAGTGGGTGGGGGTGGGGTGAATATTGACAATGGGGGGATGTTGTTATGAGGAGAGCAAAGCTGGAGATTACTTAGATTCCTTAGAACAGGAGGACTCTCAAGGGTGTGAGTCTCTGTGTGTTTCTTTATGAATGTATGTGTGTAGGAAAGTGCTAAGGCTTAGGTTGAATTCTTTAGCAGCAGAGCCCAAGATGGGGATTCTTGCACAAGCGATTTATTGAGAATACATCTGAGGAAATTTATGAAGCAGTGAGGGGAGCAGGATAGGGAAGGGGAAGAAGCTGATCAAAGACATGGTTTCTGAAGTCCAGCGTAGATCCCTGATTTCACAGGGAGCACCACCACAGGAAGAGTACCAGAAGGTTATGCCTCCTTGAGGCAAGAGGACCTGCTTTCTCCCCCAGTAATGAGTCAGTCAGTGGCTGCAGGCCAGCCATGTGTGGGGATGAAACCTCCCAGTTCTCTTTATTTACTTATTTATTTGAGACAGGGTCTTGCTCTGTCACCCAGGCTGGAGTGCAGTGGTGCAACTGTGGCTCACTGCAGCCTCAAACTCCTGGGCTCAAGTGATCCTCCCATCTCAGCCTCCTGAGTAGCTGAGACTATAGGTGCACAACCACACCTGGCTAATTTTTGTATTTTTTTATAAAGATGGGGTTTCACCATATTGCCCAGAAGTTCTGGGTTCAAAGTGATCTGCCCTCCTCGGCCTCTCAAAGTGCTGGAATTACAGACCCAGTCCTCTTTAGATGACACAGCTCCCAACGGGCAAGGGAAAGTCTCCAGAGAAGGGCACAGCTGTGAAACATTGGCAGCCTGGCCCACAGCAGCAGGAGGATGGATACACTGGCTTGGCCAAAGGGACGTGATCGTCCACAAGGTTGACTACGACCAGTTATGGGATAACCATTCTATATACTACTGGAAAAGAAACTGTCATTTCAAATCTGGGTCACATTTTGGATAAGAGAAAAATAAATAAATAAAAGGAGGAGCTACAAAAACTTAGTATAGGTTGATGCTTTAAAATTTCTTTTCTTAGCTGGGCATGGTAGGGTGTGCCCTGTAGTCCTAGCTAATTGGGAGGGTGAGGTGGGGGGATCACTTGAACTTGGGACGCGGAGGTTGCAGTGAGCAATGATGCCACTGCACTCCAGCCTGGGCAATAGAATGAGACTCTGTCTCAAAAACAAACAAAAATTTCTTTTCCTAGGAACTAACAAAACATTGTGTCTTTCTTTTGAAGATTATGTGATAGAAAAGCTGGAGCAATGCGGGTTCTTTGACGACAACATTAGAAAGGACACATTCTTTTTGACGGTCCATGATGCTATACTCTATCTACAGAACCAAGTGAAATCTCAAGAGGGTCAAGGTTCCATTTTAGAAACGGTAAATATTCAACCTTTCTACAGATGTATCTTTTCTAAACTATCATGATTTCTATAAATGGCAAACATTACACAAGTCTAGTCTAGCTGTTGAATTTTAAGCTACCTATATAACTTCATGGAGCCTCAGTTTTTTCATCAGTAAAATGGAAGTAAAAACATTAACCTTGCTAGGTAGATATGAAGACTAAATAAGATAGTTTATAGGAAATTACCTGGTAGTACCCAGTACTGAATAGTTCTACAATGTGTAGGTTTATTAATAAAAGTGGGCATTAGCTATAATGCCTTTTAAGAATATTGAATCTTGGATCTTTTGTGATCTGGGATTTGTGTACATAAATTCCACTTAAATTCTCAGCAATCTGGAAAACCTTGAATTATAAATGTCTTTAAACAGGATCCACCAGGCCATAAGTGATCTTTGAAAAAGAAATTTAAAAATCAAGCCACAAAGAAGCCCAGGGTTAATTTTTCCCTACAAAATAGAATAGGCCCTGATGGGAGGCCTCATGGCACAACAGTAGCGCATCTGGCTCCAGAATAGGCCCTGATTTCCCATGGGTATTATTTTGTTAATTTTTCTGTCAAATACCCAGAAGAGGTGAGCATTCTGGTCTGGTTCATTGGGCTTGGCCTAATGGTGCTCCTGGTGGTACAAGAATCTCATTTCTCATAGTGAATTTAGGAAACTAAAGCAAATACCTATCAAGATATAATAACAGTAATGATTCCAGTGACATCGTGGATATTTTAAATTGCTTCCCATTTTTCTAAAAGTAGAATAAGTAGATCCTTATTGTAGATTGGCAGTTGATTGAAGAAAACTAACTTAGGAAATGATATTATATTATTCTTTTTAGGCACTGGTAGTGGAGAGATTGTTCTATTTGATGTTCCTTGGTAAAATACTAGTCCTAACTACCAAGCTGTGGATCTTAAATATAAAAAAGGAAAAAAAAAAAAGAGTAAAGCTACAAATCTAAAGAAAAAAAAACTGTTTATCATTGAAAATTCATAAACTTTTTCTATCCAACTTAAAATTCTCTAACCCATAGGTGATAAGAAAGTTGGATCATATGAAGTATCCTTTAAGAGATCCACATTAAAAGTAAAACAGAACCAAGGTATCAAGTTCTTTCTCAACATGAAAGCAGTTATTTTATTTGTTTATACCCATTCTTACTAAGATTTTAGGCTATGAATGTCATAAAAACCACTAACCAAGAGTGTATCTACTAGGTTAGACTCACTCTTGTTTGCAATCAGAGAGGTATTGTGAGTGGCTGGGATGGATTTTTTTGGACCTTAAACAAATAGACTAAGCATAACGGAATGCTTGTATTACATACTTACTGGTCCACTAAAAGTGGGTTGGACATTCCTGGTGGCCTGTGAGATCAAGAGGCTTATATTTCTGTGTCTTCTCAGAGTCTAGCACAAAGCTTTATATGTGATAAGTAGGTGAATGATGATAAACTCCTTCAAGAGGGAGTCCCTCTGTATCAAAGATATTGTGACTGCAATGACACAACCTTCTTCCTATCCCTTTATTTTACCATCACAGGACTATCTCAGGACACAACTTGTAGTTAGACTTATCCTCTACCTTTCCCATTATGTCATACCATTTGCACAGGGACTTAACCCTCTAATTCATTCTCATACTAGCTAAGAGAATTGGGCTATTTGTGAGTTGAAAAGTAGCTAAGTAGCATTTCAAAATGTTATTTTAGCCTGGATATATATTTGGAGTTGCTTTGAAAATGTCCTTTTCCATGCAAAACACAAAGCCAAAATTGTCGTTGGTTTCCTCTGTGTAGAAGATTAAATTACATGCCACCTCTAAACAGTAGAGCTTTTCTGAATAACCAACTTGGTCCATAGACATTGGTTTCCATCTCCAATAGAATTAATTTCCACCCAATTCCATTTGTGGCTGTTTTTTGTCATCAGTGACAAGCTCTTCACTGTGCATTCATTGCACACTCAACGCTGTGCTAAGTGCTCTTAGCTTAGCCATTGAGAGATGCACTATTGACTGCTGAATCATTTAGGCAGAGGGGGTGACTTGTTAAGAGGCATACACTCAAGAGGTTGGGGAAGAGAGCTGAAAAGGAGTTTACACAATGGAGAACTATACCAGTTCACCTTTCAATGTGCAAAAAAATGATATACAAAAAATTTTAGTTGGGAAATATAAAAGAACAATACAGCTGAAGAGGATTCTGAAGTATGTAAAGACAGATGAGAAGCACCAGGAAAGCTTCAAATCATTTTCAGTGGAGCATCAGGTGGGTTGATGCTATTCTATTTCTACCCTGTGTTCTCTTTTTCAAGATCACTCTCATTCAGGATTGTAAAGATACCCTTGAATTAATAGAAACAGAGCTGACGGAAGAAGAACTTGATGTCCAGGATGAGGTATGATCATTTTCTTCTGAAGAAAATATTTGAATTACATTTTGAATAATTAGAGTAATACAAATAGTGAATATATCTGATTAAGAACTGTCAGGGAACATAATTCCCCCAAATGCAGAAAAGATGGCTTCATAGCAGGGAAAAAGAGAAAATAAGAATTCTCCCTTGAAGACATTAAGTACTTGGGGATCTTTTGTCCCAGGCATTTGGGGATGATCAGCAACTGGCAAGAGCCAACACACTGCTCCTGATTTGATACCTACACCTCTGCATACTGCTCTTCTAGAGATGTAAGGCCATGGGGTAGGAAAAAAATGAATAGAGGAAACTTCTAAGCTAGGAACTTTATAAGCCTCAGGAATAGTATGTGAGGAACAGAAACCCTATGACCTTCCTTCATATGACTGATAAAGGCTTTAAAAACACACTCTCCCCACCCTAGACTGATTCTGTGTATTTCAGATGCTCTTGTGACATCAGACTATTCCTAGGAAACTTGTCTGAACTTGTAGCATCTGAGTAAATTTTGCAGCTTCGCCACTGGATAAGAGGTGAACACTGAAGGAAGATCACAGAATTGTAAAAAGTTGAAAGATTTCTTAGAATCAAGTAGTCTAACATTCTAGCCCATGCAGAAATCCTTCCTACACCATCCTTGATGAATGTTCATTCAGCTTTTATGTGAACATTTCCAGACATTGGCCACTAGCGGCTTCTCAAGGGAGTTTGTTACATGGTTGGAAGTCTCTAAATGTTACTTGTGCTTACAGAACTCAATTTGGCCTTTCTGTAGTAACCACCTAGTGAACTGAGATCTGCCTTCCTTAGCAACACAGACCTTCCCACTGAACAGCCCTTCAAATATTTGAGAATAGTTCTCATGTCTCCAGCAGACTCTCTTCCAGTTGAGACTCTTCTAGTTCCTTCTATTCCTTACAAACAAGCAGTCAGTGCTTCTCTGGTCACGATGGGGACACAAAACCCTAAATGCGGCCAGGCCAGCATGGAGATTATTCAACCATGACCTACCTTGATCTCATCAAGATATTCCTATTACTACAGCTTAAAAATGTGTTTCCTTTCATAATAGCAACATCAGAATTTTAGCTTCTATTGAGCAGGGGCCAACTAAAGACTGGGGCATTTTCATACAAGCTATGGTCTAGTAGAGTTCCCTAGTTATATTTATTTAATTGAGCTTTGACCCTAATACAGAACTACACCTATTTCTGCTGGATTTCATCTTGTTGGTTCTTGTTTACTGACATAATTTTGTATTATTATTAGTATTATTATTATTATTATTATTTGTGACTGAGTCTTACTCTGTCACCTGGACTGGAGTGCAGTGGTACAATCTCAGCTCACTGCAATCCCTCCCTCCCAGGTTCAAGAGATTCTCACGTGTGCCTCAGCTTCCCAAGTAGTTGGGATTACAGGCGCTCGCCACCACGTCCAGATAATTTTTTTTTTTTGTATTCTTAGTAGAGACAGGGTTTTGCCATGTTGTCCAGGCTGGTCTTGAACTCCTGACCTCAAGTAATCCACCTGCCTTGCCCTCCCAGATTGCTGGGATTACAGGCATGAGCCACCACATTGGCCAGTTTTGTGTTTTGAATCTAACATCCAGGATATTGTCTACCCCAGTACCCGTTACCTGGTGTCATAATCAAATCTGATAAGCCTGCCTTCTCTGCCTTTTTCTAGGTCTTGAAAAAATGTTGCAAAGAAAACATTCAACCCCCTATAGTGAAATCAGGCAGTAAGGATGACAGGCAGAGATTTCTGTGGAGGAAATACATTGCTAGAGTGAAAATCACAGTACCTGCATCTTGGCCCACCAGCTTAGTGAGCCCAGGAAAGTCATTATCGACCTGAGAAGTCCTTTTAGCTCCAGTAGTTTATGACTCTATGGATATAGGGTGCCTTAGTTTGAGTAAAAACTCATATGTCAACATTAAAACTTAAGACTGCTATATTATAGGATATTTATTGGTTGCCACGTAAAATAATCATTCAGGGAGGGTTTCTATAGATGGTAAAACAATATAGCACAATAGTTTCAAGGGCATGGACTTTAGAACAAGACAGACCTGGGTGCTAGTCCTCATTCTGCTACTTACTGGCTGTGCACCCCAGGGCAAATTACTTATCCTGTCTTCATATTAGTATCTTCATGTAAAGTAGTAATAATACCACAGAGTTGTGAAAATTAAAGGATAAATGTAAAGTAACAAGAGCAGTGCCTTGTACATAGTAAGTGCTCAATAAATAGTAATCATTGCTCTTAAATAAATCCAATTAAAGTGTGATGAATACAGGCCAGGCTCAGTGACTCAAGCCTGTAATCCCAGCACTTTGGGAGGCTGAGGCAGGGGGATCACTTGAGGTCAGGAGTTTGAGACCAGCCTGACTAACATGGTAACCCCCCGACCATCTCTACTAAAAAAAAAAAAAAAAAAATTAGCTGGGTGTGGTGGCAGGCACCTGTAATCCCAGCTACTCGGGAGGCTGAGGCAGGAGAATTGCTTGAACCTGGGAGGCAGAGGTTGCAGTGAGCTGAGATCACGCCACAGCACTCCAGCCTGGGCAACAGTGAGTGAGATTCAGTCTCCAAAAAAAAAAAAAAGTATAATGAATACGAAATGAAGTTTTTACCCTATTTCTATTGTGATGATATACACCTAAGATGAGTAGCAGTAAGCAATCAATACTATAAAAACATATTTATAAAAAAGATAATGCAGACTTAAGGAGAATTCAGTTGTATCAACACTTTGTTTTCCCCTTGCTTCCACAGGCTATGCGTACACTTGCATCCTGAAAGTGGGTTCGGGAGGTCTCTATGAGCAAGGAATACAAGACAAAACTTCCTCAATGCATTGACTATTTCTTCAGACTCAAAACACTCATTCTTTTTTCTATTAAGCCATTGAAAGAGAAGCACTAAGACTGCTTCTAGGCTTTATTTATAAAATAAACACCTTATCCCTAACATGGGCAAAATGGCTAGAATTATTCAGACGATTTGGCAGCGTCCAGGGTAAGCTGGTGTTATAATACGCTGCTGATCTACATCACAGATTTGCTAATAATGTTCACGTGGGCCCTGGCATATCTCTGTTCAGTTAGAGTGAGTGCTGACCCAACAGCCTCTGTGGTCAAGCGAGTCACGAATGATTAATCATAAAGAAAAATCAGTTTTTGACTGACCTGGATATCCATGAGCTGCACTGATCACCATGTAAGGTCACATTTAGTAAATGCTGAAATAAAATGATTAATGCATTTATCAATAAAAGCCTTTGAAAATACTTTGGATAATAAATTGGAGTTTTAAAAATGCAAATTTGCTTAGTATCTAATAATGAAGTGTTATTACATATAGCCGGAATTGAGGATCTCTTTGATCCTGGAAATGGTTTACCTAAAAGCTACAGAACCAGGCCAATATATTTTGAAATATTGATGCAGACAAATGAAATAATAAAGAGATTTTCATGGTTTATAAAAATCTTTTTTGATATGATAATAATCATGATCACAACTGAGATCAAAAAAATATATGACAGATTATTTTGTTTAAAAATGCAGTTTTAATTATCTTAGTCTATAGAAATGATCATTGCATGGAGGCATGTATAGGTATGATCTGTGTAAAATCTGACATAAAAACAGTGCTATTCTGAGTGAAAATTTTTTTGATGTGCTTACATAACCATGGTGATTAAAATGAGTTTATATTTTTTCTCAAAAATTTTAGCAGTGTGTAAAGTAAGTAATCTTTAACTGAACTCTGACCACTTAAAAAAAAATCTAAAAATTGAACTACCTATAGTAGTCTGTGTTTAAAGTGAATTTTTAAAGACAAAGCATTCTAAATGAACTCAATATAAAAACATTCATTTGGAATGTACATACTGAAAAATACAGGTTTTTTTGACCAAAAGTTTTTATATCTTTTCTTTTTATTTATTTTTTTCCTAAGTGCCAACAATTTTCTAGATATTATATACAACACAGGCTTTGATCTTGGGGACTTTTCCCATATATTTCACACTGGAGTGAATGAAGTTGTACTTCATTTCTAGAGAAAAGTTATACCCAGGTCCCCAATTGAGAATGTCTTGCTTGATTGAAAACGACATCATCCCTTGGTATACTCCAGGGATTGGTTTCAGGACCCCTGCATTTACCAAAATTTGTGCACACTCAAGTCCTGCAGTCACCCCTGCCTAAAGATAGAATGGCTTCTCTGTTTTTCTTCTGAAATACAACCAGAAACAATGTGTCTATTTCTGAAAGAATAGGATTAATGATCATACAAATGGGTTAATCCTGAATTCTGGTTGTAAATCTGGTTACAGCATAACTAGGATTATAATGCTGCCTCATTTTCACAGCACTACTTGCTTATATTGACAACAAATCATCTCGCTAAAGAGTGAATGTAGGCCAGGCGCGGTGGCTCATGCCTGTAATCCCAGCACTTTGGGAGGCCGAGGCGGGTGGATCACGAGGTCAGGAGATCGAGACCATCCTGGCTAACATGGTAAAACCCCGTCTCTACTAAAAATAGAAAAAAAGAAATTAGCCTAGCGTGGTGGCTGGCGGGCGCCTGTAGTCCCAGCTATTTGGGAGGCTAAGGCAGGAGAATGGCGTGAACCCGGGAGGCGGAGCTTGCAGTGAGCCGAGGTCGTGCCACTGCACTCCAGCCTGGGCGACAGAGCAAGACTCCGTCTCAAAAAAAAAAAAAAAAAAAAAAAAAGAGTGAATGTAATAGTCTTGCAGAAAATGAATGAATACCTTTGTTCAATAAAGGAAATATGCACTGCTCACTTTTTTGAAGGAAATGCCAAAGTTACGTTTTACAACAAGGCTAGAGTTTGTAAATTCTGGGTTCATTTGTGATGACATAAGTCAGCAAACTGCGGGAATACTGTCTCTTCTATGTATTTTGTGAATAGTAAGCATAATTTTAGTTTTGTATTATCAATGAAAATTTCACTTGAAATTAAAGCTGCCTTTTGTTATATTTTTAACCTATAGGATAAGATTCCAGTATTGTATATGAGTTTTAACAAATTAAAAAATCAAATCATGTACATTTGAAAATATTTGCACACATTTAAAAATAAATGTAAAGTTGTCTTTTAAACTACTCGGATGTGTCCTTTCTGAACAAAACTATTAAATATAATAAAGAATGTGCCAGGAGCAGTGGTGCATGCCCTTGTAGTCTCAGCTACTTGGAAGCCTGAGGTGGAAGGGTCCCTTGAGCCCAGGAGTTAGAGTCTCAGCCTGGGCAACACAGCAAGACCCTGTTTCTATAAATAAATAAATAAAATATAATAAAAATACTTCATTCTAAGTTTGTCATTGCTCTTATCAGTCATCATTATGAGGCATTCTTTATAGCACCACTTCTGTTTATAATTCCTTTGTGTAGATTTATCAGTGCAATAAACAACATTACTCACAAATATCACAGTTAAACCTTGTGATTCTTATCCAAATATTTCCAGTTTATTTTGTGCAATGGTTATTATTATTTTAAGCAAACTTTTCATTCTGGCACAACATATGTAAAAAAGGATACAAATCACAGTGTACTGCTTGAAGAATTTTCACAAAACAAGCACACAAGGGTGGCCTGTGCCCAGATCAAGCAGCAGAATGCCACCGGCACCACATAAACTCTTCATGCTCCCTCTTAGTTGGTTGCCCCAAAGGGCAATTACTGTCCTGACTTTTAAAATCTGTTTTTTTTGAATTGCATAGAAATGGAATCAAAGATTATTTCTTTTTTCCCCCTTTCTTTTGTGTCTGTCCTCTTTCACTCAACATTATAATCAAGAGATTCATCCATCTTATTCAATATAGCAATCATTCATTCATTCTCCCTGCTGTATAGTATTCATTCCATTGTAGAATTTACCACCACTTATGTATTCATCCTACAGTTTGTGGATATTTGTGTCGTTTCCAGTTTTGGGCTCTCATGAATAGTGCTACTATGAACATTCTTGTGAGGCATCCTTGCACATTCCAGAAATATTTGGTGGGGTGGGGTTCCTCTATCTGGGGCTTAGATCTGTGAGGTGAGAATCAATGAAATTAGGGTTATTTTCCATTTGCATCAGGTTAGGTATCTGAAGAAAGTTTGGTTTCAGTTAGAGTAGCATTTATCATGCAAACAATTTAACAGTGTAACAAAAACCACACAAACTTTAGTTAAATCACATGAAGTTCAGTTCTGTAAGAAAGTCACATAATGACAAATACCTAGAAAAAGAGTGGAAGAGAGAAAAAGTAGAAACAATGAGGGGAGAAGGAAAGGAAGTTCAGAGGGGAAAGTAAGGGAGAAAAAGGTAAGAGAACCACAGAGAAAAAGAATGACAATTAGGGAAGGAAGAGAAATAAGAAAGGGAAAATTAACGGAAGAAAGAAAAGACGAAGGTAAAATAAAAGGTGGAAGGAAGAGAAAGACTAAGAAGAAGAAAGGAATGGTGGCGTAGAGAATTTCATAATGGGAAAATAAAATCCAAATAGAGGATTGATTTCAATATAATCATATCCTTCGAGAACTCAGAGAAGTGAGCAACACTCCCTCCCCCACATGCCACACCATCTCCTGAATTCTTGGTCCCCCTTACCCAGCTCTTTTCATTAATATCAGCTTCTAGTATGCTGTGTAATTCACTTATTACTGTTTCTCTTCCTGCCGCCTCGCTTATACTAGAACATAAGCTTCACCAAGGCAGGGTTCTTTATTTTGTTCCTGGACATATACCAAGTATTCAGAAGAGTAAAGAGTGTCAGACACACGGTAGAGGTGCAATAAATACTCTCAGATGAATGCATTAAGCTAAAGTCAGTGATGCTGAGTAAGGTTAACATAATTTGAGAATGGCAGTCATTAAGTACATAAGACATTCAGAGTTTCCTGAGCTTGCAGGCCTATTCCAAAGACTTACTGTGACAGCTCACCTGCTTGCCTGTCTGCCTTACCTATTGGTCTCCAGAAAATGGCCTGGGAATTCACTTGTATGTTAGCAGAGCTTCAGGGAATTAAAGGCCCTTTAATGTCTATATCCATTTTGAATATGCCAACCAAGTCAGCCCACTTCATCCTTTTCTTCAGGAACATTTTTGGGCGTGAACATTGAGGTGCTGTTTTTGCATAAGGTCTTCTAGTTTCAAGGTGATTCCCAAAGCATTGTTTTAGATCAAGTGCTCCAATACTCTGAGTCCCCTTCCAGCTCCTTTAAAACTTTTTATTTTGAAATAATTATAAATTCACAGGAATTTGCAAAGAAATATATGGCAAGATTCCCATGCACCCCTCACCCAGGCTCCCACAATGTTAACATCTTGCCTAGCTACAGTACAATTTAAAAAAACAACACGAAATTGGCATTGGTATAAACCATAGACCTTATTCACATTTCACCAGTTATACATGGACGTGTGTGTGTGTGTGTGTGTGTGTGTGTGTGTGTTGGGGCACTCTATGCAATTTTATCCCATGTATAGCTTTGTGTAAACACCATCACAATCAAGAAGTTTAACTATGCCATCAGCACAAGACTCCTTCTGGGGACCCTTTTAAAAATGCACTCCAAGTGCAGATATACCTCTTCTTCTGACACCATTCCCAGACTTATGGCTGAACAAAGACATTCTGAATTAGAGGAATAGCTCTGATATTAGACTTCCTACAATCAGGGTAAGTTGAACACTGAATATTCTGTTGTAGAATTCATTTGCAATGACTTCTGGTGAGCCTCCAATGAGGACATACTCTTTCTCTGCAATTTCATTTTTGCCCACAGCCACCTCAGCCATGGAGGAGCTCTAGGTGATACTGGGGAGCATGTAAAGGTCACCTTTTAGATGTTAAAGAATTTTACAAGTCCTTGGCCAGCCAGTACTGCAAGCTGGGAGAGACTCTTCACAAGAAAGATCAGGTATGATTCTTGTCAAGGCATTTGCAAACTAGTGGCACTGCCTAACACTTGAGGACGGTTCTTATTTCCGCATGTTGACCAAAGTAGTGAAGCCTACTCTCTCCAGTTGCATTCACTTCCTAGCTCATCGATTTGTAGTAAACCAGCACAGCAGGATCATTTAACCCATTCCTTTAAGCCTATGCCATATACAAAAGAAGGAGGTCTGGACATCTTTCTATTCCCTGACCTGGAAGTATTTGGTTGAGTAAGAGAGGGCCAGACCTTTAGAACACACACATGAGCCCATGACCTGTCTCCAGTAAGTTCCCAGTTAAGTGAGTAAGGGAAGAAGGTGGTAAGAAATGAGGCTGGAAGATGACCTGGGGCCAGCTAACGAGAAGCCTTATATACTACATAAAGGAGCCTAGGTTTTATCCTCCAGTGTGGTAAGAGATAAAGACAAATGGCTGGGTTACATTACCTCGCTAATCCAATCAGGTGATCTAGGTATCTAGAAATAAATTCAGAAGGTGAAATTAAAGTGGAGATGAATGAGGCTTTTGTTTTTTGTTTCCAAAGGGAGTAAGAGATGAAAGCAGACATACTAGCTTTTGTGATTTAGAAATAAAAGGCTTGTTCCATGGATGTGATTTTTATTTTCATAGCCTATCCTTTAAAGATAATTTTAGTATTCTATTATTTATAATTACATGAAGCACTACTTTTATGGTAGAAAAAGAAATATGTGCTATTTAAAAACATATAGGTAGAAATAGATATTGATTTGAGATTGTGGAGTTAACATTTCCTTATAAACATGTTACTGTTTCTATGTGAGAGTCATTGTTTCTTCTGATTTTACTTGCTTGTAATAAAGAAACTTTTGGTCCCTAAAACAAAGCAAGGAGTGATTGCTCAATATTTCTGTTTAAACCCGTTATTAAATGTTTACAACAAAATACAAGCTGTGGCAAATGAGCATTCTGTGCTTACTGCCATCTTCTCCCAAAGAATTAAAGGGCTTGAAAGTGTGGGAGTGATGCTCTGCTCTTCTTTCTCCCCAGCCCTTCTTCTGCATAATAAGTGGCTGGCCTAACCAGAGGCAGAGCCAGCCACATGGTGTAAGGAGGCATGGGATAAAAACTTACACTCAGGGGAGAAACAATATGCAGGCCAAATTTGCCTGCTTAAATAGTTGAGGCTAGTTTCTCTTTTTAGTTTCATCTTCCTCTGCCCATCTGCATTCCTACCCCAAAGTATTAGATTTTTCCATTAGTTCCTCATTCATTCATTCATCAAATGTTTAATGTGCACCTACTTTGTAATAGACACAGAACTAGGGGCTGGGTATCCAGGGAATGGTTAAAAAAAAAAAAGACAGTTGCTATTCTCACGGAACTTATAGTCTAACGTGGGAGATGATCAGTAAAGAAGTAAACATACCAATAAATATATAATGACTACTTACATAGCCATAGCCATTATAAGGAGGTAGAGACTGAAGGCGACAAATGGAGGGCAATAATAGAGAATGATAAGAATAGCACACTCTCTAAAGAGGTAACATTTAAGGAAGGAATTGGCATGTACAGATCTGGGGAAAAAGTTTTCAGGCAGAGGGAACAGTATAGGTAAACACTCTGAGTCAGGAAAGAACTCAGTGGGGAGGGGGGTTGTCTCACAAGTGAAAGATCAGCAGGACTGGAGGGTGGTAAGAGAGAGAAAAGGCAAGGAGGTCATCAAAGCAGGATGCTAAACAATCAAAAGTTTGTAATGGGAAAGCACTGAAAGGCTTCAGACTCAGAAAATATGGTAAGATTTGTATTTTTAAAAGATTATTCTGGCCAGGTGCAGTGGTTCACACCTGTAGTCCCAGCACTTTGGAAGGCTGAGGCAGGCGAATCACCTGAGGCCAGGAGTTCGAGACAGCCTGGCCAACATAGTGAGACGCTGTTTCTACTAAAAATGCAAAAATTAGCAGGGCCTGGTGGCACACGCCTGTAAACCCAGCTACTTGGGAGGCTGAGGCAGGAGAATCGCTTGAACCCGGGAGGCAGAGGTTGCAGTGAGCTGAGATTGTGCCACTGCACTCCAGAGCGAGACTCCATCTCAAAAAAAAAAAAAAAGATTATTCTGAGAGAAGTGTAGACTGTTTGTTTCTATGTGCAGAGCATATCTCAAAGGATACAAAAGGAACTGGTCATTTTGGTTGCCTACAGGAAGGAACTGGGTACCTGGGGGCAGGGGTTCGAGGCCGAATTTTTACTGTAGACCCTTTATTAACTTCTGATTTTGTACCACAAGAAGGTATTGTATTTTTTATATATATATATATATATATATATATATATATATATATATATATATATATAAAATATTCCAAGACCGGAAGTAGGAACAGGAAGAAGGCCATTGCAGATGTTCAGGATCTATTTGAGACAGACTTAGGAAAACTTAGTGATCAGACTGTGAGGGGAGGAAGAGGGAAGAATTGAGATAATCTCTGTTTTTGAATTCTGGATTGAGTAACTAAGTGGATGGTGCTGATAATTACTGAAATATGGGAGACTTGAAGAGGGTCAGTTCACAAGCATTGGCAGCTCCATAATTTCTGTTTAGGGAGGCTTATGGGTGGCCAGCTAGTTGGAAGTGGGGGCTAAAATAGATGTATTTAAAATATGTGTTTGCATAGCATTTATATTAGTCAGGATAGGTTTAATTATACTACAGTAACCTAACACATTCATACCTCAGAACTAAAAAGAGCAAAAACTTTAGTGACTTATACAAGAAAAGTCTGGGGTGGTTTTTTCTTGCTGAATGTTTGCTGTGGGTCAAGGCAATTTTTTTTTCCATGTGATGACTTAGCATTCTAGGCAGCTTTGATCTTAGACATCTATTATCTCAACACAGGATCACCTTTCTTGAAGGCAAGGAAGAACAAAACAAAACAATAAAAGCAAGAATTGTGAACCTGCTTCAAATATTTCCACCCAGAAGCAACATGTAACTTTCACTCACATTTCGGTGGCCAAAGTAAAAAAAGCGGGCAAATATAATACTTCCAAATGTCTAAGAAGGGAAGGAGAGCTAAAAATATTGGTGACCACTGATACTATGTTCTTTTTTGAGAAAGGATCTCCCTCTGTTGCCCAGGCTGGAGCTCAGTAGCACAATTACAGCTCACTGCAGCCTTGACATCTCGGGCTCAAGTGAACCTACCACTCAGCTTCCTGAATAGCTGGGACCACAGACTTGCCACACTATGCCGGGCTAATTTTTGTATTATTTGTTTTATAGAGAGAGGTTCTTGCTATATTGCCCAGGCTGGTCTCAAACTCCTGGTGCTCAAGGGATCCTCCCACACACATACATACTTAAAGAGTAGAACTAGTAATGAAAGAAGAATTGAAAATGTACAAGAGGGAATAGATAACTGATGGTGTGTGGACAAAAGACAAGAGGGGATCTAACTTGTATAGGATGAATACTCCCCTTTCTCTGGGATGAAAGGAATTTAGGATGGGATGGGAGTTGGGGGTCAGGAAGTTGAAGGAATGGTTCTGCCACAGGCCTCTCTTTTATTTCTTTCTAAGACAGAAAGGCCAGGACAGATCGACTTCCCAAAATGCTCTTTTCAACTTCTACCCAATTTAATTATGTTCCAATTTGCTTACATCTCCTCTTCACTTTTACCCTTTTATGCTTTTTTTCTGTCAACTTCTCCCCGTCTGGGATCCATCTCCAGCCCCTAGGTCTTCAGCCGATTTAGAGTATTACCATGGCCAGTCTTCTGGGATCACCTTGCCCTTTGATACCCAAATGACAAAACAGTCCATCCTATGTAGGAATTCCAGGCTTTTATTCAATTTCTTTATTAATGAGTGCATTCACATGTTTAAAAGTTTGTCACCTTAATTCTATAACTCAGTTTCAACTGGTATAATAATACATCTCAAAGATGGACACAGCCTTACCTCCCTTAAACATAACTAGGATATGTTTAATAAGATTTTGCTTGAAGGCTTAGGGATAACAGAAAGGAGTCAAGACAGAAAAGTTGAAAAGTATTATAACTCAAATGTCTAGCCCATTTTGTTCTTGCTTTACTAAGAGTTTCTCAGATATCAGAAAAACATCCAATTACAAAAGGATTGTGGATATTTACTTGTCATGTAGAAAAACTGCCTAAAAACCTTATTTGAACTCTTGCTCTTCCAACCAAGTTCTTGTCCCTGTGTCAGCTGTCTACTCCCCTCCCTACTGCCCACAAAGAGTTTCCTTCCACAGAATGTTAGGTACAAAATCTCTGACCTTCAACAGGGTTCTTCTCCAAATCACACCCTGCTACAACATAAGTAGGAGGAATATATTTCTGCAAAACAAAAGCTCCAGTTGTTAGCCAAACCTGACCCTAATTACACTCCTGAGATGGTGAGGTTTAGTATCGTACCATCATACCCAGCTACAGAAAACGAGAGTTTCTCAAAGTTCGTCTGCTGATCCCTGCATCAGAATCTCCTGGGGCCTGGGAATCACAAATCAGAACATGTTTGCTTGTAAGACATCCATTAGGTAATTATTTGGGAGGAAATATCTAGTTTTGGGGCCACAATATATTTATATATCTCTCTCTATATATTGCATTATTGCCATTGCAATAATGCAAAATATTTTACATCTCTTCATGACTTCCAAACTTTTGGTGAAACGTATGTGGGAGACTTTATTTACCTGTGACTGGTGCCACCTAGTGGACACCATCTCCTAAAACGGTTTCTGTCTAGGATTTTTATCTACCTGTCAAATTTGAGGATGATGAAGACAAAGACGAAGATGACTCACAGTCATTAAGTGCTTATTATTTGTTAGGCATTGTGAAAGTTGTGATGCTAGTTATTTAAATTCTTTGGCTAATTTATTTTTTATTTACTTACTTATTATTATTTTTAGGGTCAGGATCTTGCTCTGTTGCCCAGGCAAGAGTGCAGTGGCACAATCACAGTTCACTGCAGCGTCAAACTCCTGGGCTCCAGCAATTGTCCCACCACAGCATCCCAAAGCATTGGGATTACAGGTGTGAGCCACCACACCTGGCCTCACTGGCTAATGTAATTTCCACAAAAACACTACAGGTGGGAACAGGTATCCTCATTTTACAGATAATGGAAATTGAGAAAAAGAAAGGTTAAGTGAATTGCCTAAGGAAGGCCACTCGGGAAGTAAACTGCTGAGTTAAATTCCAGAGCCCAAATCCTTTAACTACTATTCTAAAACACTGAGTCAATTCTACAATTAAAGAAATCAGTACAATTTCTTTTGATAAGTGAATGTTGATGGTGTGGTTTAACACCCTAGAGATAGCTGAAAAAGATTTAAATGTTAACAGGGTCCAAGGAAGCAGGTAGATTGTTCCCTGGGGCATTAATAAAGGGCCAAATAAATGTCCTGAATTGGACACTGGGCAGACAAGATTCATTCTGAATTCCTTTAGGTTAAGGAGAACTAGGCTATCATTTGTATTGCCTCTTATTGCAGGAGATAAGCAAACAGTAACAATAAATAGAATAGCTAAAGTTAGGTGAAGACTGACACTCTCCTCCCCATATAGCAAATTAGATAGAGAGCTCACACTCTGTTCCAACAATCTGGAGTGTTTATTCCTAACAAAGAAAGAGTATATTATTCTCTAGCCTCTCAGTGAGAGATTCACTGCAATTAAGTACCAATCTTTTCTCTTTCTAGTATATTTTATTTTCATGGTACTGTAAAGGATCTTCTGTGCAACTCAGGGAAATTAGGTCATTCCCAGGTATATTAGTCAGCTTGGGCTGCCATAACAAAATGCCATAGACTGGGTGGTGGAAATAGCAGAAATTTATTTTCTCATAGTTCTGGAGGCTGGAAGTCAGATCAGGGTGCTGGCATGACTGGGTTTTGGTGAGACCTCCCTCCTTGGCTTGCAGACAGCAGCCTTCTTGCAGTGTGGCTCACAAGACCTTTCCTCGGGGCAGGCACATGCAAGCTCTCTGGTGTTTCTTCCTATAAGGAAACTAATCCCATCATGAGGGCCCAATCTTCATGACCTCATCTAATGCTAATTACCTCCCAAAGGCCCCATACCCAAATACCATCACTGAGGGTTACAGCATCCACATGAAATTGGGGGAGGATACACTCCATAATATTCTGCCCCCTGGTCCCCCAAAATTCATGTCTTTACTGCATGCAAAATACATTCATTTCATCCCAACAATCCCCAAAAGTCTTATTGCAGGATCAATTCTGAAATCTAAAGTAAAAAGTCTCATTTAAATATCTAAACCAGGTACAGATAAGATTCATCCTGAGGCAAAATTCCTCTCCAGCTATGAACTTGTGAAACCAGACAAGTTACGTGCTTCCAAAATAAAATGGTGAGACAGGCATAGAATACACATCCCCGTTCAAAAATAAAGAAATAGGAGAGAAGGAAGGAGTGATGGGTCCCAAGCAAGTCCAAAACTTAGCAAGGCAAATTCTGTTATATCTTAAGCCTGGAGGAAATTCCTCTTTGGCTCAAATCTCGGTCTTCCAGACTCATTGAGGTAGTAGCATTACCCCCACTGCTAATGTGTGGCCACAAACATGAAGCTTTGCTGGGCAGAGACCTTTGAAACCAAGGTGGAGGCAGTCTTGCCCTACGCCATCCCCCTGGGCCCATGCACTCTTAGCCTGTGGTAGGAGTGGCAGTCCTGATGATCTCTCAATTGCCTTTGGGGTCCTTTTGTCCTTTTCCTGAAGAGTAGCTCACTTTCACAGCTGAATAGCTCTATGGTCCTGTCCTGTAAAATCCAAGAAGTCAGTCATACCTCCCACTGCCTTCCCCTCCCCTCCCCTCCCCTTTCCTTGACAAGATCTGGCTCCGTTGCCCAGGCTGCAGTGAAGTGGCATGATCATGGCTCACTGCAGCCTCAACTTCCTAGGCACAAGCAATCCTCCTGCCTCAGCTCCCCCAAGTAGCTGGGACTACAGGTGCATGCCACCATGCCTGGCAATTTTTTTTTGGTATTTTTTGTAGAGACAGGGTTTCACCATGTTGCCCACACTGGTCTCAAACTCCTGAGCTCAAGTGATCCACCTGCCTCAGCCTCTCAAAGTGCTAGGATACAGGTGTGAGCCACTGCACCGGGCCCTCTCTTTCTTTGTCCCCTTTAGTTCAAACAGATGGTGTCTCTGCTGGTATAATCCCATCTCTATGCCTGCTTTCTGTTGAAATGGCTGATTGTGTTCACGAACTGCACTCATGATCTTTTTATCAAATGGATGTTCATCCACACCCTTAGTATTCTTTTCAGGACAAGCTTTCTCATTTTTTGCAATATGGATAGGCTGATAATTTTCTCAAATCTTCAAGCTCTGGTTCCCTTTTGCTTAATTCCTTCTTCAATTCATCTCTTTCATTTCACATTTTGCTATAAGCACTCAGGAGGAACCAAGCTACTCCTCGGACACTTTGCTTAGTAAAATATCCAATTCAGCCTCACAAGTTCTACCTTCCACAAAATACTAGAACACAGTCCAGCTAAATTCTTTGCTACTTTATATCAAAGATCACCTTTCCTCCAATTAATATATTCTTCCAATGACTTGTTCTTCATTTCTGTCTGAGACCTCCCCAGAATTGCCCTTAATGGTCATATTTCTAGTATGCATCTCAAAGCTCTCCCAGTCTCTCATTATGCAGTTTCAAGCTGCTTCCACATATTTAGGTATTTGTTACACAGCACCCTGTTTCTTGGTACCAAAATCTGTATGAATCAGCTTGGGCTGCCATAACAAAATACCATAGACTGGGTGATGTAAACAAAAGAAACTTACTTTCTCACAGTTCTGAAGGCTGGAAGTCTGAGATGAGGGTGCCAGCATGGCTGGGTTCTGGTGAGACTTCTCTTGCTGGCTTGCAGACAGCTACCTTCTCACTGTGTGTTCACATAGCCTTTCCTAAGCACATGTGTGTGGAGAGAAACAGAGAGAGGAAAGCTCTTCAGTGTCTCTTCTTATAAAGGCACTGAACCCACCATGAAGCCCCACCCTCATGACCATCTAATCCTAATTATCATCCAAAGCTCCATCCCCAAACACCATAAACACTGGGGGTTAGGGCTTTAACAGGTGGAGTTGGGAGGATACAAATATTCAATTTATAGCACCGGATATCCTTTATTTTAATTTGTTTTGTTTCCATTTATTTTTGTTACAAATGAATCTGTCTAGAGTTTTTTTCCCCAACTTTTAATTATACAGTATTTTCAACACCACAGATGTTGAAAGGATACAATACTACACGCCCCCCACCAAGATTCACCAGTTGTTAACATTTTGCCATCCTTGCCTTATGTATATGCCTATCTACCTATATATATTTTGAAAGTAACTTGCACATCATGATATGCTACCTCCTACCGAGTCAGCATTCATCTCCTAACCAAAATACCATTATTATACTCAAGAATAATTATCTTATATCATCTTCTGGCCCATCTATATTAAAATTTCTCCAAATTTTTATAGCTATTTTCCCCTGAATTTGGATCCAATCAATTTCATTGCATTTGAAAAAGTGCTGTCATCTTCTATGATAACAATGCTTTTTTCTGGAATACCTCCTGAAGGACCCGCCTGAGGCTGTCTTACAGTTAATATTTTTAAAAAACAAGTAGTAGTATACTCTAAAATAATGATAACGATTAAATGCCTTTACTTTTATTAATTCAAAAAAGTCCTCCTACCCTTTTCTCCCCTCGTGACCTTGACTTTTTGAAGAGACAAAGGTGTGATAATGGCATTGTCACTATGTTATATTTTAGAGATTCATACTGAAATACTTACCAATGAAATGGGGGGAGAGCTGTTACAAAAATACAATGCATAATTAATTTGCCTCAGATTTAATTTAAACTTCTTACCTAAGTGGAATCAACTTCTTACCTAAGCTTATCAATTGCACAAGTAAACATACAGGATTGACTTACGTGGTGATAATACTGGAAAACACTGTATGTTTATGATTCTAGAATTCTACCTCAGTTTAGCATAGTTTTAAACTTAAGTTCATTAGTGATTTAGCTCATCAAAATATGTGGGTGAAAAATATTAAAACTCCAACTAAAAACCCCTCAAATAAGACTAGAATAAAATTCTAAGAATCACCCTAAATCATTCTACTCAGGAATAACTTTTGCTATGGTCTGAATGCTTTTATCTCCCTAAAATTTATATGTTGAAATCTCACCCCCAATGTGATGGTCTTAGGAGGTGGGACTGTTGAGAGGTGGCTAGGTCATGAGGGCAGCACCCTCATGAATGGGATTAGTGCCCTCAAAAAGAGGCTCCAGCGAGTGCAGTGGCTCATGCCTGTAATCCCAGGACTTTGGGAGGCTGAGTCAGGCAGATCACGAGGTCAGGAGATCGAGACCATCCTGGCTAACACAGTGAAACCATGTCTCTACTAAAAATACAAAAAATTAGCCGGGAGTGTTGGCGGGCGCCTGTAGTCCCAGCTACTCAGGAGGCTGAGGCAGTAGAATCGCTTGAACCTGGGAGACAGAAGTTGTAGTGAGCCAAGATCGCGCCACTGCACTTCAGCCTGGGCAACAGAGCAACTCCGTCTCAAAAAAAATTTTTTTTTCTTTAACATGGGAAGTATTTTTTCCAAAGGCTCTTTCTAGGTTAAGAAATTATGAAAATCTCCAAGAGGCTGAATATTTTTTATTCTTGATATTATTCTTAATAGTCATGCATCACTTAATGATGGAGATATGTTCTGAGAAATGTGTTAGGTGACTTCATCATTGTGCAAACTTCGTACGGTGAACTTACAGAAACCTAGATGGTACAGCCTACCACACGTCTAGGTTATATGGTATAGTCTATTGCTCCAAAGCTACAACCCTGTACAGAATGTTACTGTACAGAATACTGTAGGCAACTATAACACAATGGTATCTGTGTATCTAAACACAGAAAAGGTACAGTAGAAATATGGCGTAAAAGATAAAAAATGGTACACTTGTATAGGGCACTTACCATATATGGAGTGAGTCAGTAAGAGAATGTGAAAGCCTAGGACATCACTGTATGCTACTTTATAGACACTGTACACTTACGCTAACTTAAAATTATAAAAAATTTATTTCATCAATAATTAAGTTTACTGTAATTTTTTAACTTTATAAACTGTTTAATTTTTAACTCTGACTCTTTTGGTAATAACACAGCTTAAAAACACAAACACATTGTACAGCTGTTTGTGTTTTTGTTGTACAGGATATTTTTTCTTTATATCCTTGTTCTATAAGTTTTTTTCTATTAAAAAATGTTTTTCACTTTTAAAACCTTTTGTTAAAAACTAAGACAAAGATACACATTAGCACAGGCCTACTCAGGTTCAGGATCATCGGTATCACTGTCTCCCACCTTCACATCTTGTCCCACTGGAAGGTCATCAGGGATAATAACAAGCTTGGAGCTGTCATCTCCTGTGATAACAATGTCTTTTTCTGGATACCTCCTGAAGGACCTGCCTGAGGCTGTCTTACAGCTGACATTTTAAAAAAACAAGTAGTAGTATTCTCTAAAATAATAATAAAAAGGCCAGGCATGGTGGCTCATGCCTGTAATCTCAGCACTTTGGGAGGCCGAGGCTGGCAGATCACGAGGTCAGGAGTTTGAGACCAGCCTGGCCAATATGGTGAAACCCCATCTCTACTAAAAATACAAAAATTATCTGGGCATGGTGGTGTGTGCCTGTAGTCCCAGATACTCGGGAGGCTGAGGCAGAAGAATTGCTTGAGCCCAGGAGGCGGGGGTTGCAGTGAGCCGAGATCGCACCACTGCACTCCAGCCTAGGCGACACAGCAAGACTCCATCTCAAAAATAATAATAATAATAATGATAAAAGGTACAGTAATACATAAACTAGTATAATAATTTGTCATCAAGTATTATGTATTGTATATAATTTTATGTGCTACACTTTTATATGACTGGTAGCACCGGTTTTTTTATGCTAGCATCACCGCAACTTGTGAGTAATGAGTTGCACTATGATGTTAGGTTGGCTATGATGTCACTAGGTGCTAAGAATTTTTCAACTTCATTATAATTTTATGGGGCTACCTTTGCATGTGCAGTTGACCAAAACATCATTATGCAGCATATAACTGTATTTTAAACTGCTTTTCAATTTTAAACAGTAAAAGTAGACACTTTGTGAAAAATTAGTACCTACTAGGTTTGTCTCCTCTCTCCAAAACAATTTTTCAGTTACATGGTATTTATTTTATCCAGGTTTGAAATATTTGCCTTTTATTCTCTAATTATAATTTCCATAGTTGTTTAGTATTAGTAAAGTTACATATTTAAACCAGCTATACTTTACTAAAATGTAAGTTTCATGCAGGCATGATGAGTTATTTGCTTTGTTCAATGATGTATCTGAAGTGTCTAGAAGAATGTCTGGCACATAGTAGGCACTAATAAATACTTGTTGTTCAATAAATTATTTTCCCAATTTTTTACTTCCTGAGTTTAAAATTTTCTCTAATTGTATTTGATTGTTGCATATGGTATATAAATAAACATACACATATACACAGATGTTTACCCCGTCCCAAGAAAAACTCAGGCATGTTGTGTTCCTTGAGTTCCTTCATGTTTGAAAATGACTGTCTTTTGCCTGTATGCTTGTGATAATTAATACTGAGTGTCAACTTGATTGTATTGAAGGATGTACAATATTAATCCTGGTTGTGTCTGTGAGGGTATTGCCAAAAGAGATTAACATTTGAGTCAGTGGGCTGTGGAAGGCAGACCCACCATTAATTTGGATGGGCACCATCTAATCAGCTGCCAGCATGTATAAAACAGGCAGAAAAACGAGAAAATGTTAGACTGGCCTAGCCTCCCAGCCCACATCTTTCTCCCCTGCTGGATGCCCTCTGCCCTCGAACATCGGACTCCAAGCTCTTCAGTTTTGGAACTCGGACTGGCTCTCCTTGCTCCTCAGCCCGCAGATGGCCTATTGTGTGACCTTGTGATAGTGTGAGTTAATACTGAATAAACTCATATATGTGTGTGTGTGTGTATGTGTGTGTGTGTGTGTGTATATATATATATATATACGTATATATATATACGTATATATATATATATATATCTATATGTGTATATATATATATATATATATATATATATATATATATATATATGAGATTTTGGTACCAGGAGTGTGGTTCAGAGGAACAGAATATTAAGGATGGAGTAGTTAGGTTGGTTTGGGTGTTTCTGGAGGTGGCTGCTTAATATGATTAGACCCAAAAATGCTAAGGACTCTACTTCTAATAGTATGGAGAACACTGATAGTCCTTGGTGTGAACTGTTTAAAGAGTTATGCGAAATAAATGCATTTGACACTCCTGATTCATTGCTCGTGGGAGGCAAGGAGTTTAGTGACTCTATACATAATACCTTTGACCATATGTGGAGAACCAAGGAACATAATGAAGCTGGTTGGTTGGTTGCTCTTAAGTTCACTGGACAAAATGATGAAAGAAAATAATGAACTCAGGGATTCTGTCTCCCAGTTTCAGAAACAGACACTGAGCCTCAAATGTGCTGAGATGGCCCTGAGTGAGAGTCTTATCTCCTGTAGAGAAAGAGCTGAAATTGTGGAAAAACAGACGCAAGCTCTTATCACATGAGTGGCTGATCTGCAATGAAAGGTGAATGCACAGCCTCGCCAGGTGTCTACTGTTAAAGTGAAGGCATTGATTGGAAAAGAATGGGACCCTGAAACTTGGAATGGGGATGTGTGGGAGGACCCTGATGAAGCTGGGGACACTGAGCTTATAAGATCTGATGAACATTTTTTTGCCAGAAGGAACAGCTTCCCCATCCCCAGTAGTGGGAACATCCCCTCCCTGACCCATGCTGCCATCAGTCTTTCCACCTTTGTCTGAGGAGACACCTGTGATGTCTGAGGCAACAGTGATGGCATCCCCTCAGGCAGTTGCCAGGCAAGATAATGTTGATTCTCCTCAGGAGACACCCCCAACACCTCTCTTTGCTTCTAGACCTATAACTAGACTAAAGTCCTGACGGGTGCCTAGAGGTGAGGTTGAGTGTGACCCATAAGGAGGTGCACTACACTCAAAAAGAACTGCTTGAGTTTTCTGATTTATATAAACAGAAATCTGGAGAACCGGCATGGGAATGAATATTAAGGGTGTGGGATAATGGTGGAAGGAACATAGAATTGGATCAGGCTGAATTTATTGATTGGGCCCACTAAGTAGGGACACCATTTAATGTTGCAGCTCAGGGAGTTAAAAAGGTTCTAATAGTTTATTTTCTTGGTTAGCTAAAATATGGATTAAAAGATGGTCCACTGTGAGCAAGCTGGAAATGCCTGATCTCTCTTGGTTTAATGTAGAGGAAGGGATCCCAAGGCTTAGGGAGACTGGGATGGTGGAGTGGATTAGTCACTTTAGACCTACTCATCCCACCTGAGAGGGTCCAGAAGATATATCCTTGACCAATGCCTTGCAAAATATATTTGGGAGGGCAGCACCTGCATCTTTGAAGAGCCCTGTAATTGCTCTTTTCTGTATGTCAGAGCTAACAGTGGGAACCACAGTCACTCAACTACAAAATTTAAATACAATGGGAATAACTGGATCCCAAGGTGGCAGGGGCAAAGTAGCAGCACTCAACTGTAAAAGGCAGGGTGGGTATAGCTACTGTAATGGAAAGCAGAGGCAAAGTGGCAATCAGAATAGTCTGATTCATGTAGAGCTCTGGCATTGGCTAATTAATCACAGTGCTCCTAGAAGTGAAATTGATAGGAAGCCTACTGCATTCCTACTTAATTTATATAAGCAGAAAACTTCTAAGTCAAATGGATAAAATACTAATTTAAATTATAAAAACAGAGAATCATGCCCCCTCAATTAATTTCCAGACATGAGCCAGTTTACAGACCCAGAACCCCTTGAATGAAGGGGAGGCTGGGTCCCCTTGATGAAAGACCCCACTACATTACTGACAGTATCTTTCTCCCATCCTTCCCCAAGGAGACTTCTTGCCTTTTACCAAGGTAACTGTATCTTGGGGAAAGGGAAATGATCAGACACTTCAGGGACTACTGGACACTAGCTCTGAGCTGACGTTGATTCCAGGGGACCGAAAACATCATTGTTGTCCTCCAGTTAAATTAATTAATTAAATAAATTAAATTAATTACCAGTCAGGTAATTAATGGAGTTTTAGCTCAGGTCCAACTTACAGTGGGTCCAGTGTGTCCCCAAACTCATCTTATGATTATTTCCCCAGTGCCAGAATGCATAATTGGCATAGACATACTTAGCAGCTGGCAGAACCCCCATATTGGCTCCCTGACTGGTAGGGTGAGGGCTATTATGGTGGGAAAGGCTAAATGGAAGCCATTAGAGCTGCCTCTATCTAGAAAAATAGTAAATAAAAAACAATATCGCATCCCTGGAGGGATTGCTGAGATTAGTGCCACCATCAAGGACTTCAAAGATGCAGGGGTGGTAATTCCCACCATATCCCTGTTCAACTCTCCCATTTGGCCTGTGCAGAAGAAAGATGGATCTTGGAGAATGGCAGTGGATTACCATAAGCTTAACCCAGTGGTAACTCCAACTGGAGCTGCTGTACCAGGTTTCATTGCTTGAGCAAATTAACACATCTCCTTGTACCTTGTATGCAGCCATTGACTTGGTAAATGCCTTTTTCTCTATGCCTGTCCATAAGGCTCACTAGAAGCAATTTGCCTTCAGCTGGCAAGGCCAGCAATATCCCTTTACTGTCCTACCTCAGGGATATATCTACTCTCCAGTTTTGTGTCATAATCTTATTCAGAGAGACCTTGATCACTTTTCGCTTCCACAAGATATCACGCTGGTCCATTACATTAATGACATTATGCTGATTGAATCCAGTGAGTGAGAAGTAGCAAACACACTGGACTTACTGGTGAGATATTTGCATGCCAGAGGACCAGAAATAAATTCAACTACAATTCAGGAATCTTCTACCTCAGCAAAATTTCTAGGGGTCCAGTGGTGTGGGGCCTATCGAGATATTCCTTCTAAAGTGAAGGATAAGTTGCTTCATTTGGCCCCTCCTACAACCAAGAAAGAGGCACAATGCCTAGTGGGCCTATTTGGATTTTGGGGGCAACACATTTCTCATTTGGGTGTGTTACTCCAGCCCATTTATTGAGTGACCCAAAAGGCTGCCAGTTTTGAGTAGGGTCCAGAACAGGAGAAGGCTCTGCAACAGGTCCAGGTTGCTGTGCAAGCTGCTCTGCCACTTGAGCCATATGACCCAGCAGATCCAATGGGTGCTTGAGGTGTCAGTAGCTGATAGGGATGCAGTTTGGGGCCCTTGGCAGGCCCTCATAGGTGAATAACAGCAGAGGCCTCTAGGATTTTTGAGCAAGGCCCTGCCATCTTCTGCAGATAACTACTCTCCTTTTGAGAGACATATCTTGGCCTGTTACTAGGCTTTGGTGGAAACTGAATGTTTGACTAAGGGTCATCAAGTCATCATGCAACCTGAATTGCCTATCATGAACTGGGTACTTTCTGACCCATCTAGCTATAAAGTGGGTCCTGCACAGCAGCATTCCATCATCAAGTGGAAGTGGTATATACGTGACTAGGCTTGAGCAGGTCCTAAAGGCACAAGCAAGTTACATGAGAAAGTGCCTCGAATGCCCATGGTCACCAATCCTGCCACCCTGCCTTCTCTCCTCCAGCTTGCACCAATGGCCTCATGGGGAATTCCCTATGATCAGTTGACAGAGGAAGAGAAGACTAGGGCCTGGTTCACAGATGTTTCTGCATGGTATGCAGGAACCACCCAAAAGTGGACAGCTGCAGCACTACAGCCCCTTTCTAAGACATCCCCGAAGGACAGTGGTGAAGGGAAATCTTCCTGGAGGGCAGAACTTTGAGCAGTGCACCCGGTTGTGCACTTTGCATGGAAGGAGAAATGGCCAGATGTGTGATTATATACTGCTGAGACCAGCTTGGTCAGGGAGACCCCAACCCAGCGGCGCTAGAGGAATTAAAGACACACACACAGAAATATAGAGGTGTAAAGTGGGAAATCAGGGGTCTCACAGCCGTCAGAGCTGAGAGCCTAGAGCAGAGATTTACCCATGTATTTATTAACAGCAAGCCAGTCATTAGGATTGTTTCTATAGATATTTGATTAATTAAAAGTGTCCCTTATGGGAAACGAAGGGATGAGCCAAAATAAAGGGGTGGGTTTGGCTAGTTATCTGCAGCAGGAACATGCCCTTAAGGCACAGATCACTCATGCTATTGTTTGTGGTTTAAGAACACCTTTAAGCGGTTTTCTGCCCTGGGTGGGCCAGGTGTTCTTTGCCCTCATTCTGGTAAACCCACAACCTTCCAGCATGGGTGTTATGGCCATCATGAACATGTCACAGTGCTGCAGAGATTTTGTTTATGGCCAGTTTTGGGGCCAGTTTATGGCCAGATTTTGGGGGGCTTGTTCCCAACAATATACTGATTCATGGGCTGTAGCCAATGGTTTGGCTGGATGGTCAGGGACTTGAAAGAAGCATGATTGGAAAATTGGTGACAAAGAAATCTGGGGAAGAGGTATGTGGATGGACCTCTCTGAGGGGTAAAAAACAGTGAAGATATTTGTAACCCATGTGAGTGCTCACCAGTGGGTAACCTCAGCATAGGAGAATTTTAATAATCAAGCGGATAGGATGACCCACTTGTTCTGTAGACACCCCTCAGCCTCTTTCCCCAGCCACCCCTGCCATCGCCCAATGGGCCCATGAACAAAGTGGCCATGGTGGCAGGGATGGAGGTTATGCATGGACTCAGCAACATGGACTTCCACTCACCAAGGCTAACCTAGCTGCGGCCACTGCTGAGTGCCCAATTTGCCAGCAGCAGAGACCAACACTGAGCCCTCAATATGGCACCATTCCTCGGGGTGATCAGCCAGTTACCTGGTGGCAGTTTGATTATATTGGACCTCTTAAATCATAGAAAGAGCAGAGGTTTGTCCTCACTGGAACAGATACTTACTCTGGATATGGGTTTGCCTATCCTGCATGCAATGCTTCTGCCAAGATGACCATCCATGGACTCATGGCATGCCTTATCCACTGTCACGTTATTCCACACAGCATTGCCTCTGACCAAGAGACTCCCTTTACAGCTAAAGAAGTGTGGCAGTGGGCTCATGCTCATGGAATTCACTCTTCTTACCATGTTCCCCATTACCCTGAAGCACCGTTCTATCAATAGAACGGTGGAATGGCCTTTTGAAGTCACAATGCCAACTAGGTGACAGTACTTTGCAGGGCTGGGGCAAAGTCCTCCAGAAAGCCATGGATGCTCTGAAGCAGCGTCCAATATATGGTACTGTTTCTCCCATAGCCAGGATTCACAGGTCCAGGAATCAAAGGGTGGAAATGGAAGTGGCACCACTCACCATCACCCCTAGCGATCTACTAGTAAAATTTTTGCTTCCTGTTCCTGCAACATTACGTTCTGCTGGCTTAGAGGTCTTAGTTCCAGAGGGAGGAACACTGCCACCAGGAGACACAATGATTCCATTAAACTGGAAGTTAAGATTGCTACCTGGACACTTTGGGCTCCTATTACCTTTAAGTCAACAGGCTAAGAAGGGAGTTACAGTGTTGGCTGGGGTGACTGACCTGGACTATCAAGACAAAATCAGTCTACTACTCCACAACAGAGGCAGGGAAGAGTACACATGGAATACAGGAGATCCATTAGGGTGTCTCTTAGTATTACCATGCCCTGTGATTAAGATTAACAGGAAACTACAACAGCGCAATCCAGGCGGGACTACAAATGGCCTAGACACTTCAGGAATGAAGGTTTGGGTCACTCCACCAGGAAAAAACCATGACCTCCTGAGGTGCCTGCTGAAGCCAAATGGAATACAGAACGGACAGTAGAAGAGGGTAGTCATCAGTACCAGCTACGACCACATGACCAGCTGCAGACACAAGGACTGTAATTGTCATGAGTATTTCTTCCTTCTTTTGTTAAAAACATGTTTGTGCATGTATACACTTGTACTAAGAAAATATCTCCATTTTATTTCCTTTTTCTGTTACCATGTGACATAAGATTTATTGACTTCACATCAGCATTTAAATATTAACTTTATGTAATAGTATTTGGGTAGGAGATTGGTGCGTTTCCGTTTGTACAAAGGATGGTTTTATTATGTTAGATGTAATTATGACCTTATTATTGTCTTTATTTGAAGATGATGTGTGATCTCAGGAGATGTGTATGGGTTCAAGCTGACAAGTAGTAGACTTATGATGGTTAGTGCTGAGGGTCAACTTGATTGAAGGATGCAAAATATTGATCCTGGGTGTGTCTGTGAGGGTGTTGCCAAAGGAGATTAACATTTGAGTCAGTGGGCTGGGAAAGGCAGACCCACACTTAATCTGGGTGGGCACCATCTGATCAGCTGCCAGGGTGGTTAGAATATATAAAGCAGGCAGAAAAATGTGAAAAGACAAGACTAGCCTAGCCTCCCAGCCTAGATCTTTCTCCCGTGCTGGATGCTTCCTACCCTCAAACATCGGATTCCAAGTTCTTGTTTTGGGGCTTGGACTGGCTCTCCTTCCTCCTCAGCTTACAGATGGCCTATTGTGAGACCTTGTGATTGTGTGAGTTAATATTTAAAGTCCCTTTAATAATAATAGGATATTTAATAATTTAATAATAATAGGATCTATCTATCCTATTAGTTCTGTCCCTCTAGAGAACCCTGACCAATACAAAAAGCTCTTCAAAACATCATGGGAGCTATAAAGCAGTGGTTTTCAAACTTGAATTATAACCAATTAGTGCACTTTGACATTATTTTAGTGTATTATAACCAACATTTTTTTTAAAGGGACAGAATAAAAATAGCAGAGAGAACTGCATATAGAAAGGGTAAGTATAGTTTCATGACACTTACATATATGCTTAGGTGTTGTGAGTTTATGTACTGGACTATGATGTAGAATGTATTTCTGACAGAAACATTTATTTAACAGTAACAGGATCTACTTACAAACCAAGTGGACCAGGTGTTTTAGTCTGTTTGTACTGCTGTAACAAAATACCTGAGACTGCGTAATTTATAAACAATAAAAATTTATTTCTTACAGTTCTGGAGGCTGGGAAGTCCATGATCAAGGTGTCAGCAGATTTAGTGTCTTGTGAGGGTTCTCTGCTTCCGAGATGAGCACCCTGTTGCTTATATACTGGAAGGGATGAATGCTCTGTCCTCACATGGCTCACAGGCAGCTCTCTGAGGACTCTAACGGCAATACCATTCATGACAGCAAAGCCCTCACAGCTAAATCACTTCCCAAAAGGCCCCACCTCTTAATATCACCACCTTGGGGTTTAAGTTCCAACATATGAATTTTGGAGGAATACCTTCATTCAAACCATAGCACCAAGGAAGGCTGAAAGCCTTTTTCAACTGGCATGGAGTGGCAGCTGAGGTTAGGGTCAGGGGCCCTTGAACAAAAGCCTTCTTAAGTTTAGGAAACAATATACAGACTAATTGCTTACTACAGAGCAGTTTAATACCCTAAGCATTCTTTTAGGAGTGAACTGGAGGCAATTATATTAGCAAAGAAGCTGTAGGGAGGGACAGGTCTATCCAGCTCAAAGGATATCCACAACAAAATTTTCCTTCTCAGAAAAGAAGGAAGGCTGCAGGACCTCTCTAGATCAAAAGGTTCCTTTTCAAATGAGTACATATATTGCCAGGCCTCAACGAGAATGAATCTCCTTCGAGACAGGAACGGGACAATGCCTTCAATCAGCAACATTCTGTTTTTACAGTCTATTTCCCTCTTATTCTCTGAATCTGCCTCTTGCCCAGTTTTTCATGGTGTTTGAAAAGCTGGCTGCCATAGCTTGATAAGGCATATATCTAACCAGGATATTTTACTGCCTTTTCCATTTCTGCTTATCAAACGTATTAATATATACTGGACACTACCTGGATCCGTTTTTTTTTTTTTACTAACAATTCATTCATACTTCATGGCATTTTGGCTATCATAGGTATCGCTGGCTTCCTGGTCAATTGTTCTTGGTCTAGGTGTAATAGTATTACACTTTAATTCTGACTGATTGTTCATCAACTGATTCATCTCCCCACCCCAAGTTAAGATTTGCTCATTGTTTTTGAATATATTTTGCTGGATTATATTGTTTCTATGAATATATTATGCTGGGTTTTGTTAAATGCTCTATTTCTTTACTGTTACTCTGAAATCTTACTTTTTCAAGGTGCTCCATAATAACTTATTTTTTTAGAACTCCCAAACATGGATCAACAGTACAAATAAAGCTCTTCACTGTCCTCTATAGAAACCATACAATTCTCACATCTGTGCCCTTGCTTTTCTCTGTGTGATATGCCTTTTATTGCTCTCCTCCTCTCCAAATTTTATCCATTCACATAAGGCTCAGCTTAAATCCCTCCATAAAGCTAACCTAACTACTCTCAGTCCCACTACTTTATCTAAATGTAAGTAGCACTGAATTTCCTCTCAACACTTAGAACTAAATTATATAGATCTTCACATATTTCTTAAAATGATATCCTGTAGGATCCTTGAAGTAGGGGCCATTATTTATACAGCTTTTGCCTTATGCAGTCCTAGGCAGGCACTCAGTGGGATACAGTTGAAAGAGTGTTAGGAGATGAAGGTTTTTGTCCTTACTTGGTACTGAGGAGTCCGTAACAGGCTATTGGGGAAAACAAGCTCTCTGATACCCCTCTTACTTTTCTCATAGCATAAACAGTAACTATGTAAATGGGAGGCTATCAAAACATCTTGGAGACCACTACCTTATAATTCATAGGTAGTAGATGGTCTTGCCAGTAAGATAAAAAGGTGCACCTCAGTGCTTCAGACTGCCCATTACAGTAAGTTTTCACTTTTATAAACCTTAGGTCAGCACCTAAACTATATATAGCTTATATATAAGCAATATAAACCTTATGCTCTATAAATAAATATTAATGGCAACTCTTGATAAAGAAATTGTGACTGGTTACAGCACGCTGGTCGCTGAAAAGAGATACTAGAGGGCAGTAATAAAACATAGGTAAAGAAATTAATTTATCACACTGCTACTGCATTGGTAATTCAAGGCAACCACAATTAAGGGGGTAAATACAGACCACAGATGCTAAAGCAATGCCTGAAAGTAAGAGATGTCAAATCAAATCAAACAAATGTTTAACATTTTATCAGATCTAAAGTAAGTACATCTTCTCTCAGTAAATTTTCTTGATGCACCATAAAATGCCAACAAAACTTCTAACTTACAGGTTAAATTATATAAAATACAATTTGAAAGCTCTTTTTAATTCTAATTATTTAAATATTAGCATCAGCAGACATTAATAATACTATTCTGAACCTGGATTTCCATGAATCTGAAGGTTAACCGTTAGCTGATAGGCTAAGTATGATAGAACAAAAAAATCAAAGCCAGTGGTGGTGATGAGCATCTGTAGTCCCAACTACTCCGGAGGCTGAGGCATAAGGACCCCTTGAGCCCGGGAGTCCAAGGATGCAGTGAGCTATGATTCTGCCATTGTGTTCCAGTTTGGGCTGCCCCATCTCTAAAAAAAATTTTTTTAATATGAAAAAGAAGTACTTTCTAAGTGAAAACTTAAAAAAAAAAAAAAAACCCAAATTGGTGAAAAATGCCTGACTATATCAACACTGTATTTAGAAAAATAGGGAGGTATGGGAAAAAGGTTAGGCAAGCCCCAATGCCCAAAACAATAATCCCAGAAACTGAAAGCATCTTGAAAACCACCTAGCAATACAGAACTTTACATTTAAAAAAAGCAGGGGTAATTTTGATTCACAAATGTCCTTAGTTGTGAATGTACCTAAAAACTTGTTTATAAAGCTGCATATATAGAGCAGAAAAATCTTTTACAAGATCTCAGGAAAATAATCACCAAATAACATGGTGCACTTAAATCGCACTGATCATCACAGCATGATTCACAAATAATACCGTACAACTACAAAGATATAACACATCGCTACACATACTTTATTTGCAATTCAGTACCATGAAAACATTTCTCTAAGAGGTCAATGTAATAATCTTTTATTGATATAGGAACTCTGGCACTGAAAGCTTGAATAACCCAAGGTAATGATGTCGTCACCAAGGGAGGACAAGAATAGAACCCAAATCCCTTGACTCCCAAGCTTGTGTTTTCCATTAATTGTGCTCCTTTCTATTCATCCAAGAGCATCAAGTGTAAAAGGCTGGAGAAAGGAGTGGACACAAATGAGCCAAGTCCGCAAGGTGGAGACTGCACTGAAGGTCCTAGGAATCGCCCCTTGGCACTTTCCTTTTGTGTTGGCTGAGGAAGATGAAAGCAGCAACAACCACAAACTCCTGGGACCAAGAACTGGAACTAGGTACTGCTTGTTGTGGTAACTCTCTTCCTCATTTTAGGCCTTTCCTTTTTAACCTCTCCTTCCGGCCAAGCCTTCGCGCTCTCTTCCCCTCCCTCGGTTTCTATCCGCTCCCGTTAGCTCCACTCCGCACATTCCTGCAAGGTGTCCCCGTTAAGAGGAGGCAGCTGCGCCGCACTGGCTCTCCACCCTCCATCCGGCCCTGGCGCCCAGTCGTCAGGTGTTCGAGAGGTTCGTAGCGTCACAAGCGCTCTCCCTAGAAAGTGAGTGGCAGTCAAGCATTATAAACGTGTTTCAACTGTAAAGAGACTTAAGAGATGGGAACCGGGGCATATACCAAGTTAGCTCTGCGTGGGTCTAGGTAGCTCGTCACGACAAAGCAAAATTTAGACAAGCGTTGAGACTTTCCTTCTAGCTCCGAGTTTCACAGCTCCGCCATCCCCTGAGCAACCTCCCACTGGAGGGCGCCTTCCGGAGCGCGCGTGTTTACACTTTTGCTACACCAGGCGGAGGAAACAAGCGCTCGCTGACCCCGGGGGATTCCAAACCGTTACTCCGCCCGCCGGGGTGGGGCCAGCGCAACGGCCGAGCCTGCGCAGCCAGCCGGCTCCGGGGGCCCCGCGCACTACAAGTCCCAGAAGGCAGCTCTCCGCGGGGCGGGCAGTCGCCTTATCTGCTTCTGGCTCATTTTTACCACTGCTCTCCCCTTCCCCGGTCCCCCTGGTGTCCTTTCCACAGTTAAAGGCTACTTTCTCTTGAAGCACATGAGGAGAAGCCTTAGCAACCTCAATACCGAAGTTCTTCGCGCGCTCGCTCTTTCTGCCTCCGCCCGAACTATGCCTGAGTCCCTCACAGGAGTTGGATAGTAGAGGCGAGAGAAGGAAGTCTTTGCAGGCCAAAATTGGGACAACCTGCTTGGACTTCCGCCTCCCGGCCTCCGGAAGGCAGTGCGCACGCGCTCGCTGCGACTCCGGCGCGGTTGACTTCCGCTCCCACTGTGCTCTGCGAGCCGAATCATGGATCACACTGGTAAGGAGGCGGAGGCAGTGGGGGTCCCGGTTCCAAGCCCCCTTGGCCGGCCTGGGGCTGGTCGCACAGCAGGCAAAAGGGATTATGCTCGCCCCACAACACTAGGGTGTGGCAGTGAGAAGAAATCTCACAGATGCCTTCCTGTGCCCGGCAGGGGCCTGCGGTTTCCTGGCCTACCGTCTGGTGTGGTACCTACCTCCTCCGTGCCGGCAACAACCGCTCCTACTCTGGTTCTGCTGAGCTCCGAGCCCGGACCAGTGGGCGATGTAGGCCTTCGGGAAGGGAGAGCCCCGGCTCTGTTTTATTTAGCCCAGCTGCTCTGGCCTACGTTATGGAGACTGGCGGGTAGATTGCGGTCTCCGAGTCGCGGAATCCTCTTTACGCTGGGAGTGGACGGGCGAGAATGGGTTGGAGACTTCCTGCTGTCTCAGTCAGCTTTGGGCGGGTGCTGCAGTGGTCACCCCCTGTCGTCTCTCCGATCCTTTATGGACTAGAGGGGTGAAAGAAGGGAGTCTGATAGAGTTTTTGGAATCAAACTCGGAGCAGTTTTTCTACCTAAACCAAAAGCATGCCCCGCGCTTCGGCTGAGGTCCTTACTCATCATTTGAGGGTATTTACAAAGAGGAGTTTAAAATCAAGGCATTCTCATACTTTTCTCCAAGTAAGAGTGGCTCCACCCTTTGTTATGTATTTTCTGGCTTTTGCTTCTTTGTGGTTCTTGGATATTGAATGAGTGCTCTTGGAGTTATGTGCCCCATACATTTATAGCGACCGTATCACAAATAGAGAAAAAAAGGCTTTTTCTTGAGTATTGAGTTGTCCTCACTCATCAGATATCTACTTGGTTATATAATTAGGTGTGTATGTTTATTTATGTAGGTGTGTATGTTTATTTATGCAAGATACATGCAGATATCTATAGGTCGGGAGATGGAAGATGGAATGGTAAACGAGACGGACCAGGTCCGTGATAGAACTTCTGTTTTATGGAGGAACACAGACAATACGTTCTTTTTTTTTAAATTTATTATTTTTTTAATGTTTGCGGATTATTTTGAAGAAAATAAACGAGTGCTGTGGAGAGATTCATAGGACGAAATTTCAGAGAGGGTTGTTAGGAATGGTCTTTGTGGAAGCTAAGATCTGATGGATGAGAAGAACCCAGCCCTGGGAAAAAAGCAAGAGGAAGAGCATTTCCAGCAAGTGCGAAGGCACTGAGGTAGGAAGATACAGTGAAGTCAGCTGCAGCCTCCTAATAGCCAGAGGGTAGGAGTCCTGAAGTGAGATTGGAAAGGAGGGCAGCAGGCACATCATTCAGGTCATTGAAAGCCGTGGTAAACGTTTGAATTTTAATTTAAGTGAATATGAAGCCATTGAACAGAAGTGGAGGAGGAACACAGTCTCTTAAAAAATACAATAGGCTGTTCTATGAAGAATGGTGTAAGAGAGGGAGGTAAGAATGATGGAAAATAGCTGATTGCAGTAGACGGGAAGGGAAGGTTGGTTTGGTGAAAATGAAGGAGAATGGGCAGCTTCAGTAAATACTCTGGTGGTGTTTGAAGGAATGTGAGAGAAAGGAGAAATGCCTAGGCTTTTGGTTTGAGCAACTAGGTAGGGTCCATTATTGAGCTGAGGAAAACTTGGGGCAGAAAACAATCTTTTTTTGTAGAGGTGAGACGGGAATTTGGGAACAAGTGTTTGGTCTTGGACTGCTAGTGTGAGATAACTACTGAGACACAGGAGAGATGCCAAGTGGAGATGAGAGGAAAGATCTGCACTGAAAATACGTATTTGGAAGTTAGTACCTTTATTTATAGCTGGTATTTTAAAGCATGAGGACAGATGAGACCACTTAAGAAGGGTGTGTTCAGAGGAGAAGCCGGCCTAGAACGAGGCTGTAAAGAATTCCAGTGTTTGGGAATTTATAGAGTTGAAACTGGGATTTTGATGTTAGAATAGCAAACATTCAACTTTAGGAAAGTAATTCTTATTTGAGCCCACTACTGGAATTATGAGTCAAGTTCCTGCCATAGTTTAGAGGCTATTATGTTAGGAAATCATAATAGGGGTGAGTGTAAAGAGTGTTTATTATCTTAATTCTTGAAGTTTAGAGATTGCCTAAGGAAGTAAAACTCATCTTAACATGAAAATACTCACGAATGAGCTGACCACTTAAAAAATTAGTTCCCTCTCAGATGTCCCTTCTGCTTAACACTAGCTTCTTACCTATTTTATTTTTTTTAAATGAATCAATCTCTTTGATGTTTAGTATCAGAAGACAGTATCAAATACTGTGCACTGATTGTGAAATAAAATTATAAACCTTGTAGAAGATTCTGGTTTTCATGAAATTCGTAAACATGAATTTGATAATTGTTTAAATCACAAAGGCTTTGACAAATGAGGAAATGCCACTTAGCTAGATAATTGAAGAATCATGACAGGATAGGCATCTCAAAAGAATAATTGTAATATTAAAGGATTAAGAGGTCCTTGGGGAAACAGATGAAACCCTTGAACATTATGCAAAAATGACCCATTTTATGATCATACCGAAACATTCAAATGTGAAAATGAAGGTGTTCTAATAGAATCTTGCCAGAAAAATTACTCCAAGGGGCTCCCCATTAACACTGGATTTATTCTTTGGTCATTCTAAGAATTAGCACTTCTGTAACTGTATCCCAGATTTTGTAAAAGATCCCAGATTTTGTAAAATATTTATTGGTTCTTTTTATTCAAGATAAAAAATCCCCAATCTTTTTTAAACTATATGATATGGAAGTGTTGTGCCTTTTTAAAGTGAATTTATCTGAAGTGGCCAGTAGTCCTTAGTCACTTTCTATGTAATATCTAAGAAATTTTTGTTGTTAAGGACTTTATAATTTGTTACTGTATTCAAAAGGAAATAGTGCTTTATGCTCTGATTCTTAATTTAAAAACAACAAAAAGCAAAAAAGTCCCAAAGAAACCCAGAATGTTATCATTATTAAATGCTGTACCTCATGAACTTGAATCTGTGAAGCAGAGTGGGAAGGGCCAGCCAGCTCTTGAAAGTGGTAGACTATGCAAGCAACAGTAGAGACCTCAAGTGTTCAGGATGGTGTGAAAAGGACTTGTAATGAAGTGTTGGTATTTTCATTATTCACAAAGGTAAAACGATTAAACCATTTTGATATTTGAATATTTAATATTTGAGGGACAGCATTGAACTGATTATATGTCTACAACGACTTGCTTTTTAGTTCATTGGAATGTCAGGAATACTTTTTGAGCAAGGAAAAAAGTCATTCATATTTCTTTTGGCCAATGCATTGCTTGTAAGTACTTTTACATACATAAGCAACTACAATGAAAACAGATCAAATACATTAATCAGCTTGTGAGTCTATTTAATGAAGTGTTGAAAGCTGATCAAGTTGGGTTAACCCTAACTCAAGATTCTAGCTAACCATGTAATTCCACCCCTCTTTGTTTTAGGATTAGCTGTTATAAGAGTAGTAAGTAGATTAAAATAATCGTTATGGACCCATTTTTAATTTTGTTTGGTATTTTGTTCAGAAAAAGTGCAAATGAATGTGAACTTATTGTGTGTCTGTAATCCTAGTAGCCTTGGAGGCCATTGGTACTAGCTTACTACTTCCAAATTTGGCTTTGCTGAATTTAATGTGGATGGTTTGGCTATCAGTCTTGACTGTAATATTTCCTGCAGGGGCAGTTATACAACCTTGTTCAATAACTTGTCATGTTTAAAACACTACAAATTAAAAAATACGTTATTTGTATTTCCTATTTTAAGCATTTTCCTTCTTTAGTAGGTCAAGTTAAATATTTTCTGTATTATATATTTTCATCTACTTGAAAAAAGGTAACTCTTAAGCTTTAGATGGAGTCAGTTCTATGAAATAATACTCCTGTTACTCATGGGACAAGAATTAATTTATTCTATAGACAATAACAAGCAAAGACTCCAGGGACTAGAAAGTGACACTTGTTTAGACCTAGTTGTAGTATAGGAACTTTGCATCCTCTTAAATTATAATTTTCCATTACAGTGCTGACTAAGAACTCAGTCACATGTTATAGCACAAATACATTATTGCATGTTTTTACTACTAAATGGTATAATGATTTTTACTATATTTCTGAATGATTTTTAGAATAATTATTTTGCGCTTAAGGAATAATCACATTTCTTAACTTCATTTTCAAACGCATTGTTTAATTTTGCCTTCATCAGTATTAGTAAGTTCAGTTTACTAAATTTATTTTCTGCTTTGCATGCTTGATGATCAGACATGGAGACAGGGATGGTTTTCGTTCTTTTTCTCCTTCTTACTCTTTTTCTTTTAAAAAATTCTCTTGTAGTTCAAGACAATGGTTCTTGGGTTCATTAATGGTTTCATGTTTCTGTAAACTTCTCTGGAATTATATGAAAAATTTTATTCACTTTTCTAGGGAGAGGTCCTATAACTTTTATCAATTTCTTAAAGGATTCTGTATCTCAAAAGGGGTTAAAAAGCATTGCCTTAAGTGTTGATCCAAAATAAATAAAATTAGCAGTTAAACTTAATGTAATATTGAAAATCAGAACCCAGATCTTTAACCTTGATAATGTTAGGTATGGTGTTTTAATACCTGTGGCAGAATAATCTTTAAAAAGAAAAACTAAAAGAAATTACAACTTTTTTTTCCTAACACAGACAATGAGTTACAAGGCACTAATAGTTCTGGATCCTTGGGTGGTCTTGATGTTCGCAGACGAATTCCTATAAAGCTCATCTCCAAACAAGCAAACAAAGCGAAACCTGCACCGCGAACTCAAAGAACTATAAACAGGATGCCTGCAAAGGCTCCACCTGGTGATGAAGGTAATTTGTTTAACTAATAGGTCCAACACTCTTTCTGTTTTATCTGATTGCTTCGGACAGTCTGTGTGATCTTATAGCTACCTCTTTTTGTCTTACATATTCTATTCATTCTTCAACCTTCTTGTTTGACTTCTCATTGTAGCACATTGTATTTTTATTTTCCTTTATAAATATTTTTTGATTTGGTTCCTTTTGTTGTTGAAAGCAATACTGCCCATTGTTCAGTAATCTCAACAGTATTGCAGAAAGCATAACATTAAAAGTAAAATCCTTCTATCCAAAGATAATCCCTGTTGACTTTTTTATACAAAAGTATTAATTTTTTATGTGTAGTTGCCATTTTTTCATGTAATATGCATTTGAGATTTTTTTCTTATCAGTACTTACAGATGTACCTCATTAAAAAAATAGGTTTGGGTATTTATAGATATACCATAATTTATTTAACAGTTTTTCCAGTTTTTTCTGTTACAAAAAACATTGCACCAAATATTCTTGGACATACAGTTTAGTATGTATACTTTGTAGAATTTGTACTTTGCACAGATTTGGCCTTTTTTTTTTTTTTAAGAGCAATTTGACAGTACTTGTCAAACTCTAAAATCCACAGTATCTGTCAAGTTTTAAAATATCCAAATTTGTAGTTTTAAAGGCTTTGGAATTAAAAAAATAATAATAAAAAGGTATGTTAGTTTTTACTGCCATACACCAATACTGAGTACTAGAAACCTTTTAAAATTTTTGTTTTGATGTAAATTTATTTTAATTATGAAAGAGTGTATATTTTTTCATAGCATTGACCATTCTTGTTTAGATCCTTTCTTCTGAGTTCTTTGTAAATTAATAGGGTTTTTGTTATATGTTATGTATGTGCGTGTGTGTATATATATTTTTTTGTTTGTTTGTTTGTTTGTTTTTGTTTTTTTGAGACTGAGTCTTACTCTGTTGCCTGGGCTGGAATGCAGTGGTGGGATCATGGCTTGATATTCCAGGCTCAAGTGATCTTTCCACCTCAGTCTCCTGAGGAGCTGGGACTACAGGTGCACCCCACCTGCCTGGCTAATTTTTTATATTTAATTTTTGTAGTCATGGGGTCTTGCTATGTTGCCCAGGCTGGTTTTGAACTCCTGGACTCAACAGTCCTCTTGCCTTAGCCTCCCAAGGTGCTGGGATTACAGGCGTGAGCCACTGTGCCTGGCCTATATTGTATATATTCTTCATTTGTCTTTTGAATTTTGTATACAAAATATTTATTGCAGAGAATCTTTTTTTTTTTGAGACAGAGTCTTGCGCTGTCACCCAGGCTGGAGTGCAGTGGCGGGATCTCGGCTCACTGCAAGCTCTGCCTCCCAGGTTCATGCCATTCTCCTGCCTCAGCCTCCCGAGTAGCTGGGACTACAGGTGCCCGCCACCACGCCCAGCTAATTTTTGTATTTTTAGTGGAGACGGGGTTTCACTGTGTTAGCCAGGATGGTCTCGATCTCCTGACCTCATGATCCGCCCGCATCGGCCTCCCAAAGTGCTGGGATTATAGTTATTGCAGAGAATCTTGAAGATTCTATATAGTCAGATATCCGGTCTTTGCTTTTATGACTTCTGGGTTTTGTGACATTATTTGAAAGGCCTTCCCCTATTTCACCAGTATAAAAGAGTTTTTCCATCTTACCCTTGATTACAGGTTAGCAAACTATGTCTGTGGGCCAAATGTAGCCCTGTTTTTATAAACAATTTTATTGGAACACAGCTATGCTCATTCATTTAAGTATTATCTATGGGGGCTTTCACACTATAATGGTAGAGTTGAGTAATTGTGATTGAGACCATATGGTCCACAAAGCGTAAATATTTACTATTTAGCATTTCACAGAAAAAGTTCACTGATACTGCTTTAGAACATTTATGGTTATTAAGGGGAAAAAAGGTGGGGTCTGGCTTTTTTTTTTTTCCCTCGAAACATTGTCCCAACTCTTTTCCTTGCTGAATAGGGATTTTACTGTTATCATATATATGTTAAAGCAGCAGTCCCTAATCTTTTTGGCACCAGGACTGGTTTCGTGGAAGACAGTTTTTCCACAGGTGGAGAGTGATGGCAGGGTGCGGGGAGTGGTTTCGGGATGCAACTGTTGCATTAGTTAGATTCTTGTAAGGAGCACCAACCTAGATCCCTCTCTTGCACGGTTCACAATAGGGTTTGCGTTCCTATGAGAATCTAATGAGGCTGCTGATCTGACGGGAGGCGGAGGCAGAGGTCAAGTGGTAATGCTCCCTAGCCCTTCCCTCACCTCCTGCTGTGTGGCCGCATTCCTAACAGGCCAAGGGTACTGGTCCAAGGCCTGGGAGTTGGGGACCCCTGTATTAAAAGTATTTTTTTGTATTTCTGGACTTTCTGTTCTATTCCAGCAATTTGTCTGTATTTATTTTGTAGAATCAAACTGCTTTAGTTACAACATATGTTATGGTTTCTTTTATCGTAGGGTTCCTCTGCCATCTAAACAAGTATATTTCAAGTCAAAATGTTAGAAATCGTGTTAGTAATAACCTAGGGCTGCTGTTGCACTACCTCTAATTTAGGGTCACTCCTGCTTTGGCTTTGTTTAAAAAAATAGTTTTTTAAAACAACACGTTAGTGTACAAATAATTCTTTAATAGTTCAAACAATGCAGAAAAGCCAAAATCCTTTTCTCTCCTTTCCCTCTCGGATTTTGGAGTAAAATAAGTTTGTTTTTGATTGTTGTTTTCCTAGGCATCAATCAAAATATATATAGTTTAATGATGGGAGTACAGGTGGAACTACTCTGAAAAATGATAATGTGCTCCTAATTTCCTTGGCTGTTATCTCAATAATTTTCTGGTTTGAAAAATTGAGTTTCTGCCAGGTGTGGTGGCTCACGCCTGTTTTCCCAGCACTTTGGGAGGCTGAGACGGGCGGGTCATGAGGTCAGGAGATTGAGACCATCCTGGCTAACACAGTGAAACCTCGTCTCTACTAAAAATACAAAAAATTAGCTGGGTGTGGTGGCGGGTGCCTGTAGTCCCAGCTACTCGGGAGGCCGAGGCAGGAGAATGGCATGAACCTGGGAGGTGGAGCTTGCAGTGAGCGGAGATTGCGCCACTGCACTCCAACCTGGGCGACAGAGTGAGACTCTGTCTCAAAAAAAAAAAAAAAAAAGAAAAATTAATTGAGTTTCCTTATTTTGAATTTTAGATCACACCAGCTTTTCTAAGGTGTAAATGGGTGATATAGGAGCCTAGGAACACTCAGGTGTAACTTATAAGAGCATCCTGACTTTGGATTATACATTCGTATTGGCAGTAATTAAATAGCAGTACACTGAAGTGTCTATCAGCTTCAAAAACTTCTTGCATCATTGTTTGTGTGTTAATGTGAATGTGTCTCTCTGTGTGTGTGTGTGTGTGTCTGTGTCTGTGTATAGGTGCTGTAATTTAGTCATGTGGGTAAAGTTAAAACTTGTGTGCTTGGCTACTCTGTTTACCAGTTCTAGGGCCAAAAGAGTCGTGAGAAGCCTGGCTCCTTGGAGGGATATATTTGTCTGCTCAGCTTTACTTTAGGTAATTGGATTCTACCTAGAATTCCCATCAGACTGTTGATTGGTTTTCTGTTCTTTTGTAGGAGTTGAGAAGATTGCCATCAACTTTTTAATTAGGCCAGAGAAATTGAGCCCCTTTCATCTTCATATATCTTAAGTTTATTGATATTGATAAATGCATTGTAGGAAAGGATACATGAGAATACGATATGGCTCCTGTTGTTTGGGTAATTAATCAGGGAGTGGTTTTAATTGACAGGATGAAATATGAATATGTTAAAGTGTCTAAATCACTCATTTTAGGGCTAAAGAAGAGGATAACTTGTTTGCTAATAAAATCGATAGAATGCTTTATGTTTTCATTATGCTATTGGCAATACAATCAGTCTCTTAGCATACCATTTTTGTAGCTAGACTAGAATAAATGGTGATCAATATCTTAAAAATTTGTGCAACAAGCATGATCATCAGTAAAGTTTTACATTAGAAATAGTTTCATGAATTGATAAGAGCATTTGAATGGGAGTCAAGAGATCTGAGGTCTGTTCCTGGCTTTGCCACTTATCTTCTATATGTTGAGTTATGAGTCTCCATACAGTAATATTCTCAATAATGAAGTAAAAGAGTTGGACTAGATCACCAAGATCACTTCTAACTGATGTTTTAAAGTAATCTTGATTGTCTTATTCTTAGAAAAGCTTTGAAAGGCATCAGATGAGCTTTTTAGTGAAAAGGTCTATTTTGCCATGTATATGTGCTTCCAAAATGAAATTTGAGATTTGGAAAGTTAATGGGCAATACTTTTTTTTTCTCAGAAGGATTTGATTATAATGAAGAAGAACGGTATGACTGTAAAGGGGGTGAGCTGTTTGCAAATCAGCGAAGATTTCCTGGACACCTTTTTTGGGACTTTCAGGTATAATTAAAAATGAAAAATTGTATTATAACAATAAAATATTTTAAGTATTAAATACTTAAAATGTTTTATTGGAGTAATGCACAGTACATTAAGAATATTATGAACTTATAACTATGATTTTCAGCACATACAAATCATTTGTTAATACTCTATTTTCAAGAATAATTTGAAGTAATTTTCAGTAAAATCAATAACTGTTAACACTAAGAAGAAAAACTAATGGTATCACAACTAATGGTGGGGAATAAATGGAGATTATACCAAGAGGCTTCTATTTCTAATTGTTTTAACAACTTTTATAAAATATTGACCAATTCATTGTGTAGATACAATCTTTAGAATTGTGTAAGAAGGTAATTTTAATTATATCATTTCAACAGATAAACATCTTAGGTGAAAAGGATGATACACCAGTTCATTTCTGTGACAAGTGTGGATTGCCTATTAAAATCTATGGGAGAATGGTAAGTATAATTAAATATTGTTTTTGTAAGTAAGCATTTGCATAGAGGTGGGGTTCTGAAATTTAGATAGGTTTATCATTGTTTAATGACTAAGTTTGCAAAATTTTAAATAAGTATGAAATAACTAAGGGAAGTATTGGAATACTATGAATTTAATATGATTATCTTGACAAATTGTTGAATTCTTATAAAATATTAAATAAAACTGAAAATTAGAATAATTTCTGAAAACTAATTCCTTTGGAGTGTTTGATACCAGTGAATTTACAGTTATTCTAGTTTATTAAGGAAATTTTTGTTTCTTAATAAATAGAACAAAACTGCTTATTTTTGAAGGCCACAATTTTTTACATAAAACTGCATTAATAATATTTATAATTTCTCTTTTTTTCCTGAGGCTCAGAGAGGCTTAATAGTAATTATTATTTCTGAAAATTGAATTATAATCATTAAAAAAATTTTACAATCCTAACTGTAATTTTATAGTAATTTTCACATTTCTTCCCTCCAAAAAAGATAGTTTTGCATTTGCCTTTAGAAAAAAAAAATTGAATTCAATAACATACCTGTGATGGTAGATGGCATGGATTATGCAGTGTTGCTTTGCTGAACATCATAGTAAAGAAATAGTAACAGGCTGTGAATTTAAAAATGTGCTTCTAACATCATTTAATGTATCCTTCTGATTGATTTTTAGATTTTTATTAGTTAATTAACTTGAAACTACCAGAGGAAGATGCTGCTTACGTTAAATATAGGACATACTTGTTATTTTACTGCATTGGAATAGTTTCAGGAGAAACAAGATTAAAAAAAAAACACACATAATTAAAAGTATTCTTCAGGAGTTTTTGACCTGCAGGGGGCTGGGTGTGGTGGCTCACACCTATAATCCCAGGGCTTTGGGAGGCTGAGGTGGGAGGATTGCCAGAGGCCAGGAGTTTGGGACCAGCCTGGACAATTTAGTGAGACCCTGTCTGTACAATAAAATAAAATAATTAGCCTGCTGTGGTGGCACACACCTGTGTTCCTCGCTATTCTGGAGGCTGAGGTGGGAACATCAGCCAGGAGTTTGAGGTTACAGTGAGCTGTGATCACACCACTGGACTCCAGCCTGGGCAACAGAGCAAGATCTGTTTCTTAAAAAAAAGGAAAAAAACGTGTGGGGACCATGGGTGAAATTTATAGGGTTTACACCTCCAGAAAGTATAAGCAAATGCATGTGTGTACATTTATTGGGAAAAGAGCCATAGTTTTTGTCATGTTCTCAAAAGGCTTTGTGATTGAAAAAGGTTATTATAATTAGTACTTAATAAATGTTCATTTTAACAGGTATTCTCAAGTGTCTTCTAAGCCTTATGTATAGGTTACTATATATATATATTTTAAAAATATTATAAGTTCTAATATGCTTAACTGTAATATGTCTTTGTTTACAGATTCCATGCAAGCATGTTTTTTGCTATGACTGTGCTATTTTACATGAAAAAAAGGGAGATAAGATGTGTCCAGGGTAAGATAAGATTATCATTACCTTTTTTAAATAATAAAGTTTTAGTGCAATGATTTATAAGTTGGATTAAAGGTTAGGGAGTGATGTAAATCAGGCAGGAGATGAAACATACAGACATGGCTAATCTTTTTCTGTGAGCCCAGCTTGTGTTAGGTTTCTCTTTAATATAGGGCAAGGTAGCCACTATCAGTCAACTCAAATTGGTCAAAATGAAATCTGTTTGCCATTATAGAAGTATTATTATAAACAAAAAAGTTACTTTTTTTAATGGGACATTAAAGAAGTATTAAGATATATTGAGAGCAAAGACTCCAGAATTAGAATTCCTGGGTTCGAATCCTTGTTCTGCTATTTATTAGCTGTTTTACTGTCATAGGCTATTCTTTATTGATAAAATGAGACTGATAATAGTACCTACCTCCTTGAGGTATTTTTAGGATTAAATGAGGTTTTATATATATATAACATATGTACACAGATACATATATATAGTAGCTGGCATATAGTAAGCACTGTATATATAAGCTCTTGTTACTTTCAAATCTGATTATTGTATTTGGAGTATGTCTTAGAACACCATCATTACATAGTCTCAAACAAGTTATAAAAAGCTAGGTCCATTTTGGGATGGTCTTGAAGAAAACAGAATAAGAATTTTTATATCAGTTCAGAATCGTTGATAAGGAAGGCTTAAGAAAGAATGAAAGATACTTGCTTGGAGTAGCCATAGGCTTCTTAGATCACTTATAACCTGTGCTTAAAGCTATACCAAGATTTGTGGTATTGATTGATAACAAAGCTGTGGACACTTGTCAGCAATGATTCCCTTTTATGGTGTAGGAAAATTTGACGTCACCAGGAGAGAAAGGGGTGATTTATTAACAGCTCAGTGACAACTAATTCTCTTGGCATGTTTTTATTAGCATTTTAAAGTAACAGATTATAACATTTGTTCTATGAATTTAAAAAATATTTTGTTTATAGAATTATAATTCAGAAGAATTAAGACATTAGAAATACATATCACTTGTTTTTTGGGTGTTTTCTCTCAGGCCTAATTTTTCAGCATGGTATACATTCATTTTAAGTTACATAGTAAATTTAATTGCTTCATCGGGATAAAGGATTTCAGATGTGATAAAACATTATTTAGAGGACTTTTAAAGGTTTCCTCTTTTGTATAAGTATTAAAAGGAAATTAAAAGGTACTTATTGTTTAAAGAAATTACTTCCCAAGGTACTAAATGTAACTAATGTACTGAATATTCTAATGTACTAACCTTACTAATGGACTTAAATGTAACAAAGTACTAAATGTCACACCTCACTTATGTGGTCCTTAGTAGCAATTTTAGGACAGAAGCCTATCTGGATTAACAGACCCAGATCAGGAAGTGAAGAAATGGCAGTCAGAGTTAAACAGTATATATTACTGTTCTTAAGCACCACCCAAGAGAAAGTGCTTCACATCTTGTTAAGGTGGAGATAGTTCGGAGTTTACAGTGAACTAGAAGCAAAAAGTGTGCCAGATGGCCACTAAAGGGAAGCATAATAACATCAATAAGGAGTGCCAGCCTTATAGTAAGGATGGAAAGATAGACACAACTCAAAATCAAGAGTATAGAGCCATTTAGTATAGTGTCAAATGACCTGACACACATATTCAATGATAATTGCTTATATATGTACACACACATATATTTATATATAGTGCTTAATTGGGGATTAAATACTGTCACTTTCATTGTTTCATTTGATATTAATATTCTTTTAGGTAATATGAAATAGATATAAAAACATTGTGAAGTAGGTAGATACTTTAACCTCATTGTATAAATGAAGAAACAAACTCAAAAATGGTTCAATGACTTCAAATTACTGAGCCAATACCAGATCCCAAGATCTTCAGATTCCTATTTCAGTCCTCTTTCCCCACTGTGTCAAGAAAGCTGTAATGGCAATTATGGATTAAATATGGTAAATGAAAAATAGTTATAATTTTGACCCTGAGTTTTTAAGAAAATGTTAAGTTAAATTTAGTGCTCACAAATTAGAAAGTTAGCAAAGTGTAAATTTGTCTGACAGTTCAGAAAAAACCCTTCTTTAAAGGACTTTTAGTAGTCAAGGCTTGGATTGAAATTGTTTGTTTAATGTTAAGAACCCTAATGATGAGGCTGATGTTACTTGTTGTAGTCCTTGCAATGTCTTCTACTTACTGTTTTCCACTTAGTATTATTTGCTCAACAAACAGTTATCACTCAATAATACCATACTAGTTTGAATTCCATGATTGTAAGTAATCTACCCGTTGGTTTTTTTCTTGCTGGGTTTTTTGGCAAATGGATGCAGAAGGTACAATTGTTTGAGAAAACTGGATAAATTCTAGGCCTTGGGAAGAATGAGGTCTCTTCTTGAAACATACCGTTTGATATTAGGAGTTCTGAAGTTGACAGAAATGCCTATCTTAATGGCTAACAGACAACAAAGTAGGGAAGATTAAAGGTTTGCGTAGAATAACTGTAACTTCTAATTGTGGACTTTTGCTATGTTTTATGTAACAGTCAAATTTTAAAAACAAGCATATTTTTGAAAATTACATAATTTTTTGTATTCTCTTTTAGTAAATCACATTTCTTTCCCTTCTAATTTAGCTGTAGTGATCCTGTGCAGCGAATTGAGCAGTGTACACGAGGTTCTCTCTTCATGTGTAGCATTGTTCAAGGGTGCAAGAGAACATATTTGTCTCAGAGAGACTTACAGGCTCATATCAACCATCGCCATATGAGAGCTGGAAAACCTGTTACCCGTGCTTCACTTGAAAATGTTCATCCTCCTATTGCCCCACCACCAACTGAAATCCCTGAGCGTTTTATAATGCCACCAGACAAGCACCATATGAGCCATATTCCGCCAAAGCAGCACATCATGATGCCACCACCTCCTTTGCAACATGTGCCACATGAGCACTATAATCAGCCACATGAGGATATTCGTGCTCCTCCAGCAGAATTGTCCATGGCTCCACCTCCACCTCGATCGGTCAGTCAGGAAACCTTTCGTATTTCAACAAGAAAACACAGCAATTTAATAACCGTCCCTATTCAGGATGACTCAAATTCAGGTGCTAGAGAACCACCACCTCCTGCCCCAGCACCTGCTCACCATCATCCTGAATATCAGGGTCAACCAGTGGTATCGCACCCTCATCATATTATGCCTCCACAGCAACATTATGCACCACCCCCACCTCCTCCACCACCAATAAGCCATCCAATGCCACATCCTCCCCAGGCTGCAGGTACTCCTCACTTGGTATATAGCCAAGCTCCACCTCCACCAATGACCTCTGCTCCACCACCAATAACCCCTCCCCCTGGACATATTATTGCCCAGATGCCACCTTATATGAATCATCCTCCTCCAGGACCTCCCCCACCTCAACATGGTGGTCCACCTGTAACTGCACCCCCTCCTCACCATTATAATCCTAACTCATTACCCCAGTTCACTGAAGATCAAGGAACTCTGAGCCCTCCATTTACACAACCAGGGGGAATGAGTCCTGGTATATGGCCTGCACCAAGAGGGCCACCACCACCTCCACGATTGCAGGGTCCGCCTTCTCAAACCCCACTTCCTGGACCACATCATCCAGATCAGACAAGATATAGACCGTATTACCAATGATAATAGTATTTTGAATGGAAGATATGAGGGGGAAAAAAACTTATGTGTAGTCAATCTTTTAAGCTTTGACTGTTTTGGGAAGGAAGAGTACCTCTTATCGAGGTAGTATAAAACACATAGGGTCTTGTTTCTTAAAATGGTTTTAAATCTTGACCTTAAGATTGATTTCAAGTACCATACTGTAGTACAGATAAGTGGCTCAGTTGAGCACAGCTATATTTTAACATCTCTTTGTTCCCCTAGTTTAGTAAATTGACCCAGAGGTGACCATTTGTAAAAAATTTGAAAAAATTTTTCATTGTTTTACTTCAAAAGTATTGTTTTGTTAAACCCAACGTTTAGTTTTTCTTGTGATACATTTTGTTAACCTGTGTAAAAGGATTAAATTTCAATATGGTTGTAAAAATGCTATTTTTATGTGAATTTAAGTGCAGCCACATACTGTTTTTTAAACCATATGTTTTACCACTAATTTCCCAAAGTTATAATAAAATCCTGAAAGTAAAAATCTACTAGAATTTGCTGTAAGGCAGACTGTTAAATGATAGAGAATTATTTCACATTTTAGGCACTGAAATGTTGAGGTTTCGAGGTATAGTAAGTATACAATGCACTTCACTTGGATGCCTTTTCATTTTTAGGCAGCCTCAGGAGCACCAAAATACATTGGAATTCTAGTACTAAGATATATTTGTTCGTAATGTTAAAAGACATTACTAATTATTTGGAAAGAGATGGCCAAAATAATCAACTCTACAGGCTTCAAGCTGGTGGGGGAATGCTGTTACTCATTAATGCTTTTTTACTGAATGGTCGGAATCACATATGCACCACACATACTGATCTTAAGTAACATTATTTTATAGAACTGTTTAAATGGGTTTAAATGGTGTTCTTTAGATGAAATGTGTTCTGTTTTGTTCATTGTCTTAAACTGAATAGGGCTGAATAGGCTTTATGTAATTCTTCATTTCATGGTAGAGTTTGATGCTGTGTTTAAGTGGGTTCTTGTTTATAGGATTTTCAACTACAGTTTGAATGCCATGGAGGAATTTGAATAATATATTAATGAAGGACATATTCTTGTAATCACAAATTTGCATTTGCTCAGGTTTCATTGCTGTGTGATAGGATTTTTCCTCTAACTTGAAATTTAAAAACTTTTATTTCCTATTCCTTTTGTCGGTAAAGCAGTCTGAATTTGGAACATTTTATCATGGAGTCAACAGTGAAGACTACCAGATAATTTTGTATTGGAGAAGAGGAAATAACAGCTAAATTGTGGATTTCAGTGCTTTACATGGTGCCTTTCGAGTCAGCTTTTACATTATAGGGGCTTGTTATAGTTTAGCTAAGATGACCACTTAACAGTTTATACAGAACTCATATGTATAAATCAACATTCTTAGGATATTATTTATATCCTTTGAATAAATCCCTGTGAAGTTTTTCCTCCCCACTAAAATGGTGCATAATAAAACATGAAATATGTAGTATGCAGATATCATTTATTAGATAGTTTGTAGTGTATACATTTAGAACATACTTCTTTTGACAAAGGGTGATCTGATTGCTAATTTACCATTTTATTCTGTCAGGTACAGGTGAAACAAATTCTCATCTTGAATGATCAGATGCAAAATCATTTCTGAACCCTAGAGCAGAAGTTAGAAATAACAAAATGGCCGTTTCAACCTTGACTGGCCAAAAATAACTAATAAACTTTTTTGTTTTAAGTCAGGCAAGTGATTTTCTACATTTAGCAGTTTGAAAGTCCAGTGTTAATGCAATATTTCTAGTGAGAAATGCTTGTTATTAAAAGCATGGGAGTGATAGTGTGAAATGGTGGTGAGTGCTTCTATCATATTACTGTAGGTACTTGGACTGGTGCAAACTTGATTCCTTTTCATCCCCCTGTTTAGGAGCTATTAAAATATTACTGTTAAAAATCCAAACCATTCTTTGTTCCATGTAATAAGAAAATAGCCAAAATCACTTTAGAGCTTCTCAACTATTTATGAAGAGCTATCCTGCTTTTATTGAAAGTCACTAGAGTTGAATGTGGTAAGAAACCACTTAGCCTATGTATTGGACGAGAAAATCAGTATCATGATAAAATTTTGAATTAAGAGAACCCTTGTAGAGTTTTTAAAAAATGATTTATTTTCAATTAGGTTTAAGAAATCTATGTTATGCAGGGAGGCATATCAGATGAATGTTGTAGCAGACAAAAGTTTTAAATCGTGTTAGACTTGAATTCATCAATTGTTTGAATGAGGGTGGGTGGGTAGAAGGATAACAAAATTACTGTTAGTGTTTCTTTCCTTACGGAAAAAGATGTGAATCCCAGCCTTATTTCAGGGAAGCCTTTGAAGCTATGATGGACATAAGTCTAAATTAAATGTATGTATGTTTCATTATATTGCTCTTAAGACTACTGAGGTGGCAGTTTAATTCTTAAAAACAATAAAATGGAAGCATAAATACTATTTTGCCTAGATGAATTTTTATGTTTTGGCACATCTGGGAGAATGCAGAATTTTCCATGTTTATATTGATACAACTTTCTACAGTAAAAGTAAGTTCACTTCTAAAAGATTAAAACCATCAAGTTGAATGTCATATTTCTTCATTGGCATGTTTATTCAGAGTATAATACAGTATTTGGGGAAATATCTGTTGCAAAGACTGTAAGAAACTATATTCATTTTGCCTTGTAAAAACTACTTGCTCAAAATTATCATGTAAATACTAATTAGATACCACTGAAATGTAAATGGAAGAGATACTTGAACATATCTTTTAAAGTCAATAAGAGGCTGTATGAAGTATACCGAACTGCCGAAGGCTTTGTTCTGACTAATATATTGGAAGAGTATCTTTTGTAATCTTTTTGGGAAAACTCTACAGTTCCGTCTTTCATTTTTTGAAAATGCCCCATATTATGAGTACATGAAAAAAGTGCATGAGTACTCAAAGATATTTCTTCATTAGATTAGCCGTCAAATTAGTATGTTGATGTTAAGCATATATAAACATACTATATTCTGACTGAAGTGGACTTACTCTTCATACTAATATAAACATACTATATTCTGATTGAAGTGGACTTACTACTCTTCACTGGTTTGTAATTTGCTAAATTATGGCCTAGAAACCAATCAGTTTGCTTAATACAGTATATGTGTAATCAAAGCAGTATCAGATACACTAGGCTTAACGAGAAGTGGAGATAAGCCAGGTAAAATACTTGGCAGTGATGCTAATAAAACCTAATTTGGATTTTTAAACACCTTGTTTTGATTCATGTCCCTTCAGTTTTCCATCATTGAGGGAAAAAGTTTTAAGGCAGAATTCTTAACACTTTAGTGCTTAATTTTCCCACATCCCCATCTTTAAAAATTTTGTATTTTTTGGCACTGTAGAAGCACAGGATTGAAACGAACAATAATAAGTCATGGGTTTAGTTCTCCAAATTGGGTAGGACTTCTTTAAAAAAAATTTATTCACTTAAAAATGTTAAAACTTTTTTTTTTTGGTAAAAGGATTATTCTGACTGTGTGATAAGACAAAGGAGGCTAAGATGGAAGCAGAGGGACCAGTTAGTAGGGTGTTTTAATAATTTACACAAGAGATGATGGTGGTAACATTACAGGTATCAAGAAGTGGGAAGTGGGTGACTTGTGGAAGGATATACATAAAGATACATATATATGAATTATTGATTTATAAAGTTAAATACCTATTATATATGTTAGATGTGGGTGTATGATAATGAACAAAATAGATGGTCTCTGCCCTTTAGGAGCTTACATTCTGACTTACTTAGGAATTGTTCTTGATAGTCGTCTTTAAATTTTCTTCAAAAATTTTCCTTATATTCAAAGTATTGTGGCCAGGACATAAATCTTAATGTTTAAAAATACATTACCAAAATACATACAAAACCATGAGAGAAAATGTATTTAATTCTGAACATTACTATTTCCTAGCAGCTTTTCTGGATATAATTGTACAATGCTAAATTAGTGAGTTTGGAACAAATCTGTGGAATGCACTTATAATTATTCCTGAGTTTAGTCCTATCTTGTAATCAGTTTTTATTTAGGTTTTAATTTCTTTTGAGAAGTGATGTTTTCTAATATTTAAAAGCCTGGGTTGTATAGAGTTAGACTGTCCAGACAGATTTCTGGCTTTACCACCTGTGACTATCTAATTTAGACTAGTTACTTGCTCTTTGAGTCTTCATTTACTTTGTTTTTTTAAAAAATAGGGGAAATCTTAGTACTGACATTATTGGGGACTCTTTTGACAGTTAAATGACTATATTTTAAAAAGAGAGTCAGTAGGATTTCCTGGTGGATTTTTTGGCTTGATCAGCTTAAGAAAAATGGAGTTGTCATTAACTGAGGTAGAAAAAATGCTGGTAGAGCAGATTAGGGGAAGATCAGCAGATCAGCCTTGACATGTTGAAATCCAGAGGAAGATGCTAGAAACATGAATTAAATATCCCTCTTTTATATTCTTGTTCATGCAGTGTAGGGTCAGCCATTTAAAAAATTTCATTTACATTTCTAAGTGGTAAGTTCCTGTGTTTAGACAAAAATATGTATCAAGTGCTTAAATAACTTACAAAATAATTTTAAAGATACACTGCTCAACATGTATTACTTTCACACTTTATGAATTTCTGTAATGTATTTGTCTCTTCACAAGTTGTTCTGTCTCCCAGTTGCCTCCTCTCCCCTCCAATCTTGTTCTGGTTTATATACGTTTATTTTTATCTTCCAACATGGTCTCTTGACTTCTTCCTAAATTAGGGATCAGATTTTGGTACTAGGAAATTTCCAATATGTGCTCTGAGGCAGGCAAGTAGAGGCTCAGCCCCATGTATTCCCATTACTAGAAGCATACCCAACCTTAGTGGCCTACAAGAAAGAAAACATTTAAGGATAAGGATAAGTAAACCTCTAAGGTGTTAAGGTTGAATGTACTGTGATGTGGGCACAAGAATTGGAGTGCTTGTGCTTGTTTCTTGAGTTTTTTGTTTTTGTTTGGTTTGGTTTGGTTTGGTTGGCAAGAAGAGTGCAGAGGGCACCTTTGCTTGGGAAGATGGAGACCTCAGCGACAATCCTATATATAAGGCATTTGCCTCAACTTCAAGCCAAATGATTGAGTAAATAGGCTCCTGTTTTCAATTTCGACTTCCTACTCTTTTTAGAGGAGAAGTTCTTAACCCAAGATTTGTGAGGCATTTTATATGTAAATTGTGTGTGTGTGTGTGTGTGTGTGTGTGTGTGTGTGTGTGTGTGTGTGTATTTTTTCCCCCAAAGTCCATAGGGTGTATGAGACTCTATAAGGAGTCCATGACTCAGAAAGTTAAACACTACTATAAAGAGTGCTGTGGCCGGGCACAATGGCTCACACCTGTAATCCCAGCACTTTGGGAGTCCGAGGCAGGAGGATTGCTTGAGGTCAGGAGTTTGAGACAGCATGGGCAACATAGATCGTGTCTCTACAAAAAAATGGGAAGATTAAAGAGTGCTGATATTCTACTTTTAAGATTGGCTGTGTAAATAACCTTTATCTTACCTTTGTGTATGTAGTTTTAAGTCCAATAGACAAACCCTCTCAAAGACACTACCAGAGAGTGGAAAGGTACTTTGACAACAATGTTGAGAGGTAAGATCTAAAACAGTTGGGGCAGCTTTTCCCATTGACAAAGTTGTTTGATGTTTAATAAAGGGCGTTGAATATTTTTCTGTTGGTGCTGATGTTTAATTTCTAACTATTACATAAATACAAATTTGCACCAAGAGCCATGCCAGTGGAAAAAGAGAAGCAGGTGTGCTGAATCTCCTCCAGATAAATTGAGCTCTAGAGCTGTTATTCTGCCCTGTGAGTTACAAATAATAACCAGCAGTGAAAAAAGAAGAGAGTCATACTACTTCCTGCCATCTGTTTTTCTTCTTCCCACTGAGACCCGGAAGAATTGGCTACCCATCTTTTCTTTTCACCTTCCTTGCTTTCTCATTTTTTAGCTTGTATAGTTTTCATACTAAATCTATATAGGTACAGATATTACATTAGAAGGATTGTGTTTAAAATCTGGATAGGAGGTTGGATGCTTTAAAAAACTGGTAATCATAAAATCTGAGCAAAGAAGCCTGATTACAGGGGTTCTGTTAGAAGATTCTCATGTAGCAGGTTTCCAGCCAGACCACTATATAACAGGACCCACAGCAAGCATGTTTCAGAAAGCTAACAAATTTAACAAAACAAGACACATCCACTGTACAACTGATTTTTTAATGGAAATATATTAATATGACCTGTATAAATTATGAGATTCAAAACAGTGGCGCCACTATACTGCTAAACCTATGCATGAAGGTAGTGACTAGGATGGAAATCTGTCAGTGCTACAAAAATATGTATGAACAAAATAATTTTCACCCTTTGATAAAGCTACAAGATATAAAATTTAGAATACTTATATAATTTCATACTAGATATGTGAAAAATATGCCATGCTAGAACCATCTTGTTCCAAAGTTTGAAACATATTCTGTCAAAAATACTCTTCGTACAATGTATGAACTTATCAATAACTTTCTGGGTATAAAGTTGTTTTTATGTCATAGTCAGATGAAGATCCTTCTGAATTATATGTTGATTAGAATTTTGTTTCAACTGGCACCTGGAAGAAGACAGAAAGTTCTTGTTTTAAAATACTCGTCAAGTTCTGTTACAATAATCACATCTTAGGAGCTAGAATTTACCAGAGTTAACAGGTTTTTTTTTTGTCTTGAATTTTAATGATCAAGTACCTTCCATCACTGCTTGTTTAACATAGATCTATGTGATACCACATTGTAATTCAAAGGCCTAACTTAACTTAAAGTAATGGTACAGTGTGTTGTAGCAATATCTTTCTTCACATTTATTCCAAAGGACTATGTGTGTTGGCCTGGTATATTCAGCTGTTACCCCAGTCACCACTGGTGGCCTATCCACAGCTGGTGATTTACCTTCCTTGAGACCAAAGAGCTGGTGTTAAATGTTTCTTTTTTTTAATATGGGGAAGCCAAGTTCCACCACTGTGCTAGCTAGATTTGTTAGACAATTGGTTCTAGTGTTTGGGTCAGACATGAGGTAAATGCTATTCCTACCCTTTATCCTCCAATACTTGGTGACAATTCTGAATACAATTACTGAGGAGAGGGTTTCTGGTGTGAGACTTTTCTTATAAGGTACTCAGGCAAGGTGCCAGTTTTATTGGGTTTCTCTGGAATCTAGTCCTGGGAGACAGAATCATGGTGCTTATGTACATTCGCCTCTTACCTCAGGTCTATCCAATTTTCTAGAATGGCCTTTTCATCTGACCTTTGCTACTTGATACCACTCTTAATAATGTTCCAGATTTATCTTATGCTCTACATTTCTTTTTCATTTTGACTAGAAATTCCTTTTTTGAGACCTTTCAACTAAGAGAAATACCACCAGCTGCCTGCCATGCTTGAAGACAATCATTAAATTCTTTCTCTGGTCCCTCAATCCGTTGTCTTTCACTAGAGGATAGAGATGGTGTACTAGAACAGAAGACAGGTCTTGTCATCAGAAAGATCTTAGTGCAGTCCTGTTGGGGTCACTTGGTATGTGACCTCAAGCAGATTAGTTAAGCTCTCTGAGCCTGTTTCCTTTTTTTTTTTTCATTTGGAAAATGAAGATATCTTCTTTGTATATTGTTATAAGGATTGAGATAATGAATGTAATACACCTGCCATCTACCTGGCCTACAGCAGAAACCCATTTTAATTTGTGATTCTACTTTTCCCAAACTAGAAACATTGCTTTAAAGGACTGAATGTTCTAGAAATGAACATCTACAATGAAATGGGACTCTCCAGTTAAATGCTGAATTGGCAACTCACTCTAGTAAGGAAGGATAGAAACTTGTTTCATTGCTTGACTGGGCACTGTGCTAGGGACTTCTCAAGCATCTGGCTATTGGGAGGTGTGTATTAGCTTATCATTTTCATTGCTAATTCACCTGTAAATGGAAAGAGCAATACCTTCCCTGCTACGTGGATTATTACAGGGCCAGAATAAGAGCATTGTTGTAAGTGGTTTGAAAAACAAAAGAAGATATGCTCAATATTGCATTAATGGAGATCTATTATCACTATTTTTTCATCCTGTTTTTGTACGGGTCTGAGTTTCTTTTCCTGAAAACTCCCTGTGAGATTGGTTAGCATTGCTTCAGTTTTCTAGGGATGAGGCACAGAGGCTCAAGCAAGTGCTGGACTTTCTGCCACATGCAGGAAGTGGCCTCACTACTTTGAAGGTTTTTTTTTGCTGTGATGTCTAGGTGAAGATAAACCTGTTGAAGAATCTTACCTCATATACCCGATTACGTAATCCTCCATTTGTATTTATGGTAAAATCAATTTTTCCATCTTTTTCCTGAGAAAAAGAGAATGGAAATATGGATTAGGGGCTGATTTTTTTTAATGTTGAAAAAGAGAAATTTAAGGAGTGCAGATGGCTGCTTATGCAATTGTGAAAGTCACCAAAGAGCTGATACCTGACTGGGATTAAACTTTGAAGTACTGTAATCTTTCTTCATCAAAATATGCAAAACAGCATCATGGATTGTTAAGAAAAATATTGAGCTTTTCACTTCACCATCAAAAAATTCATACCGGTTAAGCTTCTCAATGAAGTCATCTGAAGAGAAAAAAACAGTAACTTTTAGGAAGAAACAATTGTTTGGCTACCGGTTTCCCCTTGAGGCTAGTAATTTCACCTTCCATTTGCAAATGTGCGTTTCATTGACATTTGGTTAAGTGTGTGTGGGTTGCAGTGGTATAATACCAGTCTATCTTTAGTACAATGTCTTTTGGAACTAACAAATACCTTTCTAATAAAAAAAATTTAATGCCCTAATGTAAAAAGGAGGAAGGCAAAGGAGCAAATGAAAAACAGTAGTTCCTAGAAGAAAATTCATTTAGGCAGGAGCCTAGTGAATTGATCTCCCTGCTTAATGATTAGAGTATCAAGTGTGGCTTCTTATTAAAGTTTGGGATTCTGCCAAAATGGAACATATGTTTATGGACCAGTGATATGCTGTGGTTCTTTATTGTAGCCCATTTTCCCAAAGCTGCTGGGTTTTATGGGAAAACATCTTCCTTACCACTTACCTCTCTAATCATCTTTGAGAAATCCCATTTTTGTAGGCACTAAGCAGCATTCATTTACATAGATGACTCAACCAACTATTACCTTATGTCTGCCATGTGCAAAACTCTGGCTGAGTAATAAGAAAGATCAAAAGATAAATTAGACCTGAATCTTGCCCTCAAGGAAGATAGAACATTTATATATTCCTGTAGTACTGACAGAAAACGTGTGGTATAATAATGAGGGAAAGGAGCAATCTAGTTTTTTTCCTTTATTGTTTTCTTAGTTTTAAAAAAATTCCCAGCACATAGTATGTCTTCATATTTTTTGTTGAATATATGAGAGAGATATAGATCATGTACTATGAAAATTCTGAGAAATTTTCCTCTTGGTGGGTATCTGGGAAAACTTGAGCAGATACCGTCTAAACGTGCCTAGGATTTGCAGAAAAGTGGAGGAAGAGAAGGTACACAGTTATGAAGATGGATTCTTCTGTTTACAGAAAGCTTTCAGTGACAGAGGGAGAGGGAGCGTGGAGGGCATTGTGGCCACCAGGATCTGGGATGGAGTGGGTGGCATGCAATGGGAAGGAAGGTGATAATCTTTGATAAAGACTGAAAAGAATGCCAGGCAGCAGAGACAGCAGGAACAGATACTTTCCAAAATATCTGGGATGATGAGGAAAGGGTAAAATTGTTAGTAAATTAAAGGTTTCTGGGATCAAGGGGATGTTTTTAATTATAAGGAAGCCTTGACAATGGTTGAACTAATTTTCACTCCCACCAACAGTGTATAAGCACAGTGTGGCGATTCCTCACAGGGCTGAAGACAAAAATACCATTTGACCCAGCAATTCCATTACTGGATATATACCCAAAGGAATATAAATCATTCTTTTATAAAGACGCATGCATGCATACATTGATTGCTGCACTATTCACAATAGCAAAGACATGGACTCAAATGCCCATCAGTGATAGACTGGATAAAGAAAATGTGGTACATATACACCGTGGAATACTATATAAAAACATATAAAAAAATTAAAAAAAAACAATATCCTTTGCAGGTACATGGAGTTGGAGGCCATTATCCTTAGCAAAGTAATGCAGGAACAGAAAACCAAATACTGCATATTCTCACTTATAAGTGGGAGCTAAATGATGAGAACGTATGGACACATGGAGGGGAACAACCCACACTGGGGCCTATCGGAGGGTGAAGGGTGGGAGGAAGGAAAGGATCAGGAAAAGTAACTAATGGGTGCTAGGCTTAATATCTGGGTGACAAAATAATCTATACAATAAACCCCCATGACACGAGTTTACCTATGTAACAAACCTGCATGTGTACCCCTGAACTTAAAAGTTTTTTTTAAAAGTCTTGAAACTAGAATATGTCTGTATATTTTAGGGACAGGATCCAGTAGAAAGGGAGAGATTAAGGATGCCAATTTTATACTTTTCGAAGGATATGTGTACCACTTGTCTCCTCTCCCTAAAAAGCTCCCCCTAAGTACTGTCAAGGTTGACTGCCTCACTTCGTTCTAGTCTGTACTCAAAATGTCATATTGCTGGACATCCCTGATCACCAGTTTTTCTTTCTGCCTCCCTCCCTCCCTTCCTTCCTTCCTTTTTTCTCTTTCTTTCTTTCTTTCTTTCTTTCTTTCTTTCTTTCTTTCTTTCTTTCTCTTTTCTTTCTTTTTCTTTCTCTCTTTTTTCTTTCTTTCTTTCTTATTTCGTCTTTCTTCTTTCTTCTTTCTCTTTCTTTCTTTCTCTCTTTCTTTTCTTTCTTTTTTTTTTTTTTTTTTTTTTTTTTTTAAAAAAAAAAAGGGGTTTTTTTTTTTTTTTTTTTTTTTTTTTTTTTTTTTTTTTTTTTTTTTTTTTTTTTTTTTTTTTTTTTTTTTTTGATTTGAGACAGGGTCTTGCTCTGTCACCCAGGCTAGTGTGCAGTGGCACGATCACAGCTTACCGCAGCCTTGACCTCCCAGGCTCAAGCGATCCTTCCATCTCAACCTCCTGAGTAGCTGGGACTACAGGCACATGCCACCACACCCAGCTAACATTTTTTTTTTTTTTTAGAGACGAGGTTTCACCATGTTGCCCAGGCTAGTCTCAAACGCTGGGGCTTAAGTGATCTGCCTGCCTCAGCTTTCTGGAGTGCTAAGATTACAGGCATGAGCCACCGCTCCCAGCCTCTGTTTCTTAACTCTGCTTTTCTCTTAGCACTTATCACTACCTGAAATATGCTTTTGTTTGTTTATTATGTGGCTTTTCTATGAGACTATAAGCTTCATGAGGACAGAGGCTTGTCAGATTCACTGCTATATTCCCAGCACCCAGAACTGTGCCTGATAAATAGTAGGTATTCAATAAGTCTTTACTGAATGCCCATCATGTCCTAGGATCTAGGGAAGAGACAGGAAGAAGGTAAGCAGGAACAATACCTGCCCTGGAAGAGATATAGTCTAGTAGGGACAGAAACTGAACTGCAAAATTATGTGATACGTGCGTACTCTGTAGATACAAACAGTCTGAAGACCCGGTGCTCTGCCTGGGGAAGCAAGGATGTTTTCAGTTATTGTCGGAAAAATTCCTGAAGAAGGCTTCTTTCAGAAAATGGGATGGGAGAGCATTATAGGGATGGGCAAGGATATTAGTTAGAAAGTCCTTCTAGAAGGCCTAGTTGAGAAGTGAGAAGGGTCTAGATTAAAGTTCTGGAAATGGAGAGGAAGAGACTGATTTAAGAGGAAATATTTATAGGACCTGGTCATTGACTAGAGGGAAGGAGAGCAGAAATTGGTGATGGTTTCAGGGTTTCTATCTGGAAAACTAGGTAAGCAGTGATGCAGTGATTGTGATAGGAAAGAAGTATTTTTGGGAGGGGGAATCATATACGTAGTTCTAAAAGCGTGTATCTGAGGTGCCTGGGGACATCCACAGTCGAGTCCATTGGTCTGCAGCTTAGAAGAAAGGCCTGGGCTGGAGGTATAGTTTGGGGATTCATTAACAAGTAGATGCACATGAAATCATAAACATGTAGGAAATTGACTAGAAAGAGTCTGTGGAATTAGAACTATGGTATAGAGTGTACGGTTGAAGCTTGGGGGAGACTGAAAGTGGGAGAAGAACCAATGTCAGACCCTGAGGAGATGTTTGAGAGGTAGGAGGTGAATAAGAACTGTCCTGCCAGAGTCAGGGAGGGAGAGAGTTTCAAAGACAAATGCTAGAGAGAGTGCCAGATGCTCAGGTAAGCTGCTGCAGAAGGACCTGAGATGAAGGCCGTTAATCCTAACAATCTGGACATCGCTGATAACCTTGGCAAGGATGGTCTCATCAGCAGGTGAAGCTCAACCAAATTGTTATGGGCTGGATTGTGCAAGGGAAGGGAGGAAGAGAGACAGAAAACAAGGCTACCTTTTCAGGAAGTTTAGAGTGAAAAATAGTTAACATGTTCCTCCTTTGTTGCCTATGAAATCAGGATTCAAATTGTAGAATGTATTTAATTACATATCAACATAACTAAAATACAAAGATGCTGTTTCCATAGGGATTTTTATTGGGCTGGCTGCATATTAGATTTTCATCATGATTATATAAAATACTCATTCTTTGGAGAGGCTGTCTAGACTGAGAGTTGGCAGTGAGCCTGAAGTGATTGTCAGAACATAAAACAAAAATAAAGCCACTTACCATCAGTTCCAACGATATACACATCTACCTTGATCCTGATAAATTCTTGCAAAATCTGTTAAAAAGAAAAGTATATCTTCCTTAGGGAACAGTTTCACTTGTCAGAAATATAAAGAAAACAATCAGAATTATACCTTACGGGTGATATATTCCTTTTAGAAGCTTTAACATTTTGAAAAGAGATAATAGTGTCAGAAGATACTAAAGTTAAAAACAAGGCTCTGTGACAGAAATAAACCCAAACAAAAGAACCCTTCTCCTCAGTAAGAAGTTAAAAATGATCATTCTTGAAGGAAGTATTATGGGAAAATGTTCTGTCTCAAACTCATAAGAACAACTCTGATTTAATTTTAAAATAGTGTCTTCTTTGGGATGATCTCAACTAGAGCTTTCTTGCTACATAAAAGTTTTAAAAAAGAACCTATGGACCATGAGTTGCTAATTATTTTTGTCCACAATGAATGGATGTATCTAGCACCAATGAATGTTTATACATTTTTCTGGTCTCTAGGCTAAGAACAAATACCAGTAGTGATATGAGTAAGATCATGTAAAGTAAGAAAAGTAGCTTATATTGTTTGATCAGGTTAGATGATCATTAATGTCATTGCCATCATCAGTAAACACTTTCAGAACCTCTTCTAGGCACTTAACTAAGAATTAGAGCCCCTGTCCTTTGTGTTATACTGCTAGAACCAAAAAATAAATGTGTGTGTGTGTGTGAGTGAAAATGCAGAAACAAAAGCTAAAGTAATCAAAAGCTAAAATAAACAAAAACCAAAACCAAAAAAGAAAAGAAAACGCAAGTAGACTTGAGAGTTACATGATGTTAACATTTAAAAAAAATTCTTCCATTTTCTAATTTTGTATCCAGTTCACCCATGCTGAATAGGTCTTATCTTAGGTCAGCTCTCACTTGGGCAGATTTTTTGTGAAAACCCAAGAAAAAGAGAGAAAGATGTAGAATTTCTTAAATTTTCTTTTTATATGTTTCTGCATTTCTGTTAGAAACTAATTTATTTTAGAAATATGATTAATCTGTGGAAAGAAAACACACTGCAATCTGATTGTTTCAGTCGTGTTTTGAAATCACATGTGACATTTATTCTTTCATATATCTATTTGGGTTTTAGCCAAGTGAAATTTCATCAGCTTATAATGGATGAGGATAAAACAAAAGGATCCACTCTTACATTTTTTCCCAGGACCTTTCCAGATCTTCTCTGATTTCAGAATAATTTAGACACAATGCCCACAAAGATTTGAGAACACCACAGAATTGAAATTTGAAAGGAATGTGAGCATAGTTGTCCACCAGCAGATTCAGCATACGTTAGAACTGTAGATTTGATTCCCTTCAATATAGTACCCAGTCTCATGGAAAAATGCCCTTTCAAGAGTCCACTGAACACCACCTTTCCCTCCATGGAATACTCTAAGATTATCATTTGCTTCTAATTAAATGCATGTTACCTAAAGGAGCATCCTTCCACAAATACAGTTTTTTTTGTTGCTGTTTTTGAGACAGAGTCTCACTGTATTGCTGGAGTGCAGTGGTGCAATTTCGGCTCACTGCAATTGCCACCTCCCAGGTTCAAGCTATTCTCCTGCCTCAGCCTCCCGAGTAGCTGGGATTACAGGTGCACGCCACCACACCCAGCTGATTTTTGTATTTTTAGTAGAGACGGGGCTTCGCCATGTTGGCCAGGCTGGTCTCGAAGTCCTGACCTCAGGTGATCCACCCACCTCGGCCTCCCAAAGTGCTGGGATTACAGGCATGAGCCACTGTGCCCAGCCCACAAATACAATTTTTTTTTTAACCTTTAGTCATTGATTGGTTGTTTCCATTAAGAACAAAGAAATTACCGATTTAAGGCCCCTCACTGAAGAAACATCAAGAAAGGACACTGCTGAAAAGTCAAGAATGAGGCTGTGGAGGCTGATTTTGGGGACCTCAATGTTGAGAGGAAGATCATCATTCCAGTCAATGTGGAAAGGCAGGTCTGTGGTATTGATTGGCTGGTCCAGTACTTCTATCTGATTGTTGTCCAGCTCTTCGTCAGAATCTTTTATGGTGTCAACAGTACATATAAATCCTTTCTGCAGGAGAGGATAACAAGTATGAAAACTGTGACCAAGAAAAACATTGTGTATGTCAGAGATAGCCAGTGAGTTTCAGAAGCACTGATTCTGAGTTGAGCCAAACGATGGGATTGGACTAGGTGTGGTGGCTCATGCCTGTCATCCCAGCACTTTAGGAAACTGAGGTGGGAGGATCACTTGAGCCCAGGAGTTTGAGACCAGCCAGGGCAACATGGTAAGACTCCATCTCTGCAAAAAATAAAAAAGTTAGCCAGGCATGGTGGCACATGTGCTTGTAGTTTCAGCTACTTGGGAGGCTGAGGTGGGAGGGTCGCTTGAGTCTGGGAGGTCAAGGCTGCAATGAGCTGTGATCGCACCACTGCGCTCCAGCCTAGGCCACAGAGCAAGACACTGTCTCAAACAACAACAAGATTGTGGACAATTGTGTTTGGTACTTTTCCCAGGAGAATAAAAATTTTAGGGAGACCCTCAGAAGGATGTCATTTTAAAATATAACACTCATTGACACATGAAATCCCTTGTTTATCTGGCATTTCATTTAAAGGAATGGAACTACACCTTGAATCATCCTTTACTAAGCTTTTAGCTATAATGCATAGAAATGTGGTCAAGGAACTTACTGGTGTCACTTGTAGCAAGCCTTGCTTCTGCAGTTTTCGGATTTTCCTCAAAGCTTTGTTGCGCTTGCGTAGAATTCGAAGTGGACTAAAGCCAACCTGAGAAACCCATTGCTGTGTTACAAGAGTACTGAATATTCTGTTATTTATATAGCATAGTTCTAACAACTTTAACTGGAGTGATTTGAGGGATTGGGACAGATAATAAAAATATTTGTGACAAAATTTAAAAGTGGTTTAAACAATATCAGCCAGAACATTGGGTCAGACCCATGGTCTGCTCCACCTGTATGCAGTTATCAACAGTCAAAAGCTTTTGTATAACACAGTCCAGGATTCATCCATAAATTATCCATGAATGGACATAAACTCTATTTGAATCTGTTTGTGTTTGGAACCTACACAACTCTTAGGGAATTTTATTTTACTTATTTTCTATTTATTGAGTACGAGTTGCACCTACATAAGTATTCTGCTTGTATGTAATTTTTATCTTATTAAAATTTATAATGGTATGTTATTTATTATTGTACAATTTTATTTTATAATTTTAGTATTATATTTGAGGCTAATCTTTGTTTTTTTCAACACTAATGAATTCTTATTGCTGTAATATTTAGTTACAGATAAGTAAGAGAGGAGGATCAAATTATGTAATAAAAAATCCTTGGCCAGGCGTGGTGGCTGAAGCCTCTAATCCTAGCACTTTGGGAGGCCGAGGTGGGAGGATTGCGTGAGGCCACGAGTTCAAGGCCAGCCTGGGCAACAAAGCAAGCCCTCGTCTCTACAAAAGATTTAAAACTTAGCACTTAGCGGGGTGTAGTGGCACATGCCTGGAGTCTCATCTACTTGGGGGGCTGAGGTAGGGGGATTGCTCAAACCCAGGAGTTTGAGGTTGCAGTGAGCTGTGATCATGCCAGCCTGGGTGACAAAGCGAGACCTTGTCTCAAAAAAAAAAATCCTTGACAAAAAATATAGTTAGATGGAAGTTTACTAGAGTAATCGAAAAGGGCAGTACAGAAAACCAAATATACAATATAATCTCATTTTGCAAACAACAACAAAAAACTCGGTAGAAAAATGTCGGATGCATATCAAACTAATAATAATAGTTAAGGTTTAAGGCAGAGGCTGTATGCAAGGTACAGAGTAGACCAAAGGCATGTTTCAAGAGGGAGGACTGAGCTTTTTTTCTTAACTGTCAAGACTGCTTCCTTGTCATCATCTCTCCAGTTTGCCAGGGACACTCAGTATGTATTGTTATTCAGTATTAACTATTCATTTACAACTGTTATACTGAATCTCTTTGAGGATGTGGTCAAATATTAAATGCTCCTTCATTGTTTCTGAAGTTGATGCCCAAAGAAAATCTGTAGGATGACATCTACTAAAAGCTAGCAGCCCAAAACTTGGTAAATTTCTTTTACTCTACATCAGAATTTGAGAAAAGGATTCTTCTATATTAGATGTCATCTGAAGAGGCTTATTTCCCAACCTATTAACAAACTCCCCATAAGGTAGTTTCATCTGTTCTGGGACGTGGGACAAAAAATACTGACACAACCCCACCTCAACATATGTGACACAACCCAGTCTCAACAATGACCTTACAGAACAATGACATTCCCAGAATTCAGTAAGATTACAAGGAAAAAAATTAAATAACCCCAAACCTTACAGCATCGATAAGTTTCCGCCTAAAGAAACCAATGTTTGCAAAGTAGATAGGAGATGGACATCTGAAAATTTTCACTCCTTCTGGCTCATACATCTGTAAGGCAGAGAAGCATTGTTAGGTGTTGCCCATTAGATCCATAGTTAATATCATTTAGCAAGTCAAAGAAAAACATGAATCTCCCTTACATCATAATAATCTTTTTTATTCTTATAGATGTTGGTTCTTCCAATATTAGCCAGCGTGCTGCATTTTGGACTGTAGGGAGAAAAACACCAAGTAAATCATTCATGTATGTTTGTTAAGCCTATAAGGCTAACACTGACTTTTTCCAGCATACCAAAGCAGGCTCACTTTTCAAAATGTAAAAGGTTGGGGAATCATCATGCCATCAGAGACTCTGGAAGGTGAACACCTTGTTTTACTTATCTTTGTGTCCTCTCACAGCACCTGAAAAGTGCCTCCCATTTGTCATGTTACAGTTTACAAAGCACTCCATATGCTTTTGCCATTTTGATTGTGAATATCACAGTTATTCCATGAGGTAAGGTGGATATGATTACCCAGTTGTATGGATGAGAACATGGAAAAGTAAAATGACTTGCTTATGACCATTCAGTTTGTCTCTATGTTTGATGGGTTCCCAGTAAAAAATGGAATGAAATATAAATAAATGAAAGAGTTCGGGAGTATTTCAATATGGATGTATTCCATCAGTCAGGGATTGACTTTGTGATAACAATTTCTGTTGTAGAACTCCTTAGTTCCCCAGGAAGCATCTTTTTCTGTCACACCATGTAATTCAAAATAGGCTGAGCAACCACATGGTAGTGATGTTACATGGCAGAGATTTTAAAAAATCAAGGCTGGTCGCCATGGCTCATGACTGTAATCCCAGCACTTTGGCAGGCTAAGTCGGGCGGATCACCCAAAGTCAGGAATTCACGAACCAGCCTGGCCAACACGGTGAAACCCTGTCTCTAGTAAAAATACAAAAATTAGCCAGTGGCAGGCACCTATAGTCCCAGCTACTTGGGAGGCTGAGGTAGAAGAATCGCTTGAACCCAGGAGGCAGAGGTTGCAGTGAGCCGAGATTACACCGTTGCACTCCGGCCTGGGCGACAAGAGCGAAACTCTGTCTCAAAAGACAATAAATAAATAAATAAATAAAAATTAAAAAGATGCTTGGACTGAATGATTATTAAAAATCAAGAATTCCAAATGGCTTTTGTGGAATTTTAAGGTAAGAGGGGCCTTTGAGAAGTTCTCTAATCCAGCTCCATATTTTAAAGGTACGAGGGCAATCTAACAACCTATAAAGAGGAAATCCATCCACTAGATGGAAACAATCTCACAATCTCAGTAACACATTTCCATGTTTAACAAGTACAAGGCAAAGACATTAAACCTGCTTGGAATAGAATTACTTCTGGTTTATAGCTGGGCGAATAGACTCAGAGATTTATATGATTTATTTGAACTGGAGTCAAAGCCAGAAGCAGACCAACAGCAAGTCTCCTCCCTGGGCTGATGTTCTAAAGCTGGGCCGTGCTATTGCCCTTCAGGCCTTGAGATGAGCAACTGGAGGGAGGATAAACTGCCCCATCCTGATAGAAATGCACACCTATCAACCAACTACTGTTCTTTTAGCCAGTGACATTTTTTTTCCTCTTCTGATTTGGGCAGGTCCAAGCCTGCCAGGATGCAGAGCACTTTGAGCACTCACAATTGGGTCCTGAACACGATGGTTAGCAGTTGAAATGCCACACTAGCTGCCAGGCCTAACCCGAGTCCCAGGACAATGGTGAAGATGAAGGTCATGATCCAAATTAACTGTGAAAAGAAAGCAACACATACACTACAATTTACTTTGATTAAAGTACAATGTCGAGACGGGGTCTTTTAAAAAGACTTTTTTTTTTTTTTTTTGTAGCGACAGTGAGACCTTGTCCCTATAAAAAAAATTTAAAAATTTGCCAGACGTGGTGGAAGTTGAAAGTTGTCATCTTGGGCCAGGGAGCAAAGTGCACAGAAGACACTTTTCCCAAGAGGTCATTTCTGCTGGCTCAGGTTCTGGGCCACAAAAACACACACAAATATAAGAGGATTCAAAGAAAGTGTATTTATTTCTAATCCCATCTCCAACTCATTTAGGAAATGGAATTATCTGTCACAGTGATAATTATAATTGCAAAAACTGCAATTACTTTTGCACCAACCTAATAGAACCAGCTGCTGTTCATTAAAATCAGCAAATTAGACTGGGCGTGAAGGCTCACACCTGTAATGTCAGCACTTTGGGAGGCTGAGGTGGGAGGATCACTTGAGGCCAGGAGTTCAAGACTAGCCTGGGCAACATAGTGAGAATCTGCTTCTACAAAAAATAAAAAAAAATAGCTGAGGATGGTGGTGTGCAGCTGTAGTCATAGCTACTCAGGAGGCTGGGGCAGAGGGATTGCCTGAGCCCAGGAGTTTGAGGTTATAGTGAGCTAGGATGGCACCATTGCACTCCAGCCTGGGTGACAGAGGGAGATCCTATCTCTTAAAAAAAAATCAGCAAATTAACTGGTAGAGCTTATACTAATGTTTTACTCTTGGTCTGTTGATTTAATTAATGGTTGCTATCTTTATAAGAATTTTAGCATGCCAAAAGGGTGTTAAAACGCCCCACAAAAGTAAACCAAGTGTAGTTTACTAGTTATGATCTTTAAATACCTAAGGGTATGTTAACAGGCATTTTTACACCACAGACTTTGACCCTGTTAAAATAGCAAAGCATGTGAGAGCAAGGGGGAGCCTTTCCAAATGAGAGTATTTCCAAAAGCAATGTTCAGAAATTAAGTTCTTCACAGATTCGTGGAAACAAAAACATTATGTAATGAAGAACAGAAGCCATGCGTACCCTAAATTCAGAGAGTTTCTGTGGTACTTGGGATTACTGCAAGAACTTTTAGAATAGGCCTAAGGAAGTTCTAGACTAGTGTTTCATGGAGCCCATTCTTTTAAATTAAAAGTAGCCATTTAAAAAAATTAAAGTCCCAGAAAATGACCATTAGAATATGCAATTTAAAAATAGCAAATAAAACAAACTAAGGTTTTTTTGAACAGATATATAGAAACAAAATTTCACTTAGTTTACAATATAAACATGCATTTCACATTAGCATTAAAATGCTATTGTGATTTATCTCTCTTTCAAATACTATTGCCTCTACTTACACAATCATATTTGTCCTTTCGCCACAATCTGCCTATTTCAGCAAACTGCATCAGCATTCCCTTTAAGTTTCCCAATGCTAAAGCTGCCAGGACGGACTGTGAAAAACACAAACATCAGATGTACTTTAAGTTAATGAAATAAACCACAGGGAAGCAAAGGTGAAGGCTATAGATAAGTGTGTGCTTTAAAGGGCCTCAAAGCAAATCAAAGCATTACACCCTTTTCCGGTGTGCGATGCCACGCAAGACACACCAGAACTGGGACTCTGACCTGTTCCTATGAATGACTTTGTCCCCACAACAGTGACAAGGCCTAGGCTGCTCTTGTGATTATGAGATAGATGATCTGATGGCGTTTAGTAGCCTGCACCTTGGGACAGAGAAAGGCAGACCTTCAGACCTATGACAGACTAACATTTGGAATAAATTCCTCCCAAGCAGAGACAGTCTAATGTGTGTTTGTTTATTGGAGTCAAGGAGATGGGGGTTGCTCTTTGTTAAAAAAAAAAATAGCTTGGGAAGCTTGAGGTCCTGGAATGAGATGACTTGAGGCGGGCTTTCTGGGACAGCATGAAACATATCTATCTAGTTCCTGCTATATCCCCAGAACCTACTATGTTAAATGCATACAGGAGGGGCTTTAAAATTAGTCAGTGAATGAGTGGCTGAGCCAATGAATGAATATTTCCCAGGCCAGTACTAATCCCTACAGCCAAGCTTCAGACTTCCAATTCTTCCACAGCCAGAATGTGATCTTTTATCTTGCAGGAATTGTGATAGTTAAGGTGAAAAATGCTGAATAGCTAAGTATATTCTCTTCATTCTTTGGATTTTATCGTAATTGTAGGAACATGCCCCTCACCGTCCTGTTCCCCCTGCCAATTTATTTTATTCTGAATGGAGTATGGAATTTGTATACTGCTATACCATGAAAACACAGTGTACAAAGAAAAGCCAAATACAGTTTTTATTTTTATATCTTGAGGACAGTTGAACTGATCTGCCTATTTCTAATTTTCACAGGTAATCCTTATAATATAATATCTAAGCAATTAATTTTACTAACTGTGAGAATAGAGGTCACAGTTTAGAAGAAATATGGTCTTAAGTGACTTTTAAAAAATTTGGCACACAAGTGAATGCCAGTTAAAAAATGGTGAAAATTGAATAAAGTCTGTAATCTACTTAACATACTATACTAATGTATAGTACTGATATTGTACTACAGCTGTGTAAGATGTCACCATTGTGGTAGCTAGGCAAAGAAGTCAGAGGACTGTACAACGGGCCTCTCCATTTTGCAGGACTTTTAATTCTCTAAGTATAAAATATGTCAAGAGACACCTGTGCGAAGAGACTTTTTTTTTCCATTGGGCATTATTTCCCACCTAGTCAGTATTCTACGGAAAAACAATTTGAAGTAATTTACGATGACATACATATACAACAGATTACTTTTAAAGTAAAGATTACAGAGCATTAAGAAATCATAGAAAGGAAAGGGGGATAATTTCCGCAGTAATCTGGTATCCATACTGCATTTGATATAAAGGATTAAATGAAGAGAAAACGCTTAGAGCTCTGCTGACATGCAGTGAGCACTCAATAAATACCTATTATGAGCTTTTATTATGGGTTATTTTGCCTTCATATGATAAAAAGAAGCAAATAGTTATTTGGGTGTTTGAAACAAAGACATTCCTGACCACAATGGCCTAAAAAGAACATATCACAGGACCCTTTATAAAAGGGGCTTTGATTAAATCTTGGACAAGATTTGGTAATTATTTCTTTAGTGTCTCCAAATTGATGTGGGCTAGGTAGAACTCAAGTTTACACCCGGGGAGAAGCATGAGAGGGTGGAGTTCTCTCTGTAGGGGTGAGTGTGTGTGCGTTTATTTTTATTGAGATAACATTCTTCTATTTCTTTAGTGGTGACTTTTTCATTCCTTTTATGCCACTTATTTTGAAATCAGAAGTATAGCCTATGGAGAATGCATATTTTTGGCAAATTGTTCTCTGCCCTGCTTGAAGATGGATTTGGCCATTGAGCTTTTTGAGATGACCACACTGGGAGTCCAGCAACCTGGGACCACAGTCACCGTTCGGCTACCAACCAACAAGGAAAAAAGGCCTAGGTAACAGCCAATAGACATTTGTGGGCTGTATCATATCTCTATGTCTTTTATAGCCAGGAGTGTAATACAATGTAGAATAATAATATTATTAACAATAATGACTATCATTTATCAAGTATTTATCATATGCCAAACCCTCAGCTAAGTAGTTCACATACATGATCTTATTTATTTTTATAGTCACTCTGTGTAGTGGGTATTATTTCCCTTTCTATTTTACAAATGTGGCGCTTGAGGTTCAGCAAGGTTAAGTAATTTGCCCAAAATCACACAGATAATAAGTAGCAGAGCCAGGATTAGAAGGAGGTCAACAGGGCTCCATGTACCACCTCAAAATTATATTAAAACCACAAGGAACAATGTATTTACTGTCATCTTGTTTCCTAGAGAGCCTTTGCTTTCCAGGGTCTGATGGTATGTTTTATATCTGAGTGCTGCAGCAGTTTACAAAGTATTAAACTAAACCCTCAAGCTTATAGGCAGAGGAGCATGAGAGTAGGGCTGGGAGGTCTGTGCTGGCTGTTCACTCCCATCCCACAATCCAACAGTGTTGGTCTTGGAGTTAAACCAAAGTTCTAGAAGCTTCAGGGTGTGTTCCTAAGAACGAGTTGTGTGGCTGGTAGGGCCATTCTCTGAATTAGATAGAGGGCCTGATTACCTTAACCTTTAAGAAAACCTCTACTCAGTCCATGCGTGTTGAAAGTGTGGTGCCAGGGTGCCCTCCTATTTCAACATTAATTCTATTTGGGGCTATGCACATGCAAAGTGTAGAGGAGATAAGGCAGGTTGGGCACCTGTGTTCCTAACATTCAGAACATGTTGCCAGGGAAAAAGAAATATTTTTGGCTCATACAGAGTATTGGCTAAGAAGAGTACTTGAGAGTTTGTCATTACCTCATTTCCCCTAGTTTAGTTTGTGCTTTCAGAATTTAAGAACCGGGGTCCTTGATTTACCACTAAAAGTAGAGATGCTATCCAAAGACAGTGTTACCTTTTGTAGAGGCGCCAGGAGAAATCCAATGGCTAGAACGACAATCAGCACGATGATGGCACCAATAAGCCCAGCAATCTGTGAGGATAAAAAAATTATCATCACCAACTCAACTTTTCCCCTGGCTTGAATTTCCTAGTTACTAACGCTAGGACAGTGCTTGCAGCAAAGATCTTGACATACCTGTGTTTTGCCTCCTGTGCTCTCCTGAACTGCTGATCTGGAGAGGGCAGTACTCCCAGCAAATCCTCTGAATACTCCACAGACTATGTTACCCAGTCCCAAGGCTATTAACTCCTGACAGGAAGACAAGAATGAACCTTTTTCAGAAGTGGCACCATTGATATTATGTGTGCAAAATATTATTTAAAGTTGCCCAGTGAGACCCAGTGTAGTTTGTTTACTTACCTGATTGCCATCAAGTGGATAATCGTATTTGAGGGAATAGACGCTGGCAACTGAAAAGGCCACTGCAAATGCAACCATTGCGATGCCGAAGCAATCTCCTACGGTGTTTTGGAAAGTCTCCACGTCAGGTGTAATAGGGGGCTGAAATCTAAAATTGAAATTAAGCAAGTCTGAATGTCACCAACCAATTTATAAACTGATATAACCATTGGGCAAATCAATGAATGAATGCAATCTAGGCTGAGTTGTGTCTCACTTTGGAGTATGATTAACGAGAATTTAGCTCCACTAACAATTTTGCAATCTGCTTTCTTAATGCTGAAAAGCAACACTGCCTGAATTTGGTAAAAGACTGCAAATTCAATCCAAGGATAGTGGTAAATCAGATATGATTTTGCCAGTAAAACCACACTATAATGTGCGTGTGTATTCTTATAAGCTTCCTGCAAAATGTCTTCTATTCCACTTGTATTGTTACACTGGGCTGCAAAGCATCACTCAAAATGCTCCCAATAGTTATCCATACATGAAGTCCTTTGAGCAAACACAATTGTGAGACAAGGAAAGCAAAAAAGTCTTCTTTCCATTGATAATAATAACCTTTCATGGAAAACTCCTGGCAAAGAGATGGGCCTTGGACTCTGCCCTGCACTTCACAGAAATGCTAGAGACAACCATGACCCTAATGGAGAGTGGATTTCTCTTTAAGGTGATATATGTCAGAGAAACCTTCAACTCACAGGGCGTACTTCTGTGCTTAAGCCTCATGAATGTAGACCAGTTCAATTATATTTACTAATTGTATCATAAAAGGTGCATGTATCTTAAACTCAACATCAATTTACTAAAATGTTCCACTCCTATAAGCATATATTTCTGACATCAGACTTATTGGAAGTGGGTTAATTAGGTCCAATCAACTCTTTCTGAATTGCTGTTCCACATTTTGTGAATATCTATGGTAATACATTTTTATCTCTAATTTTGAAGAAGTACTATTATACCATAATTTTGAAGAAGTACTATTATATCTGATGCCATTATAAATCCAAAAGTTAGCTTGGAATGTTTTTGTTTTTTAATAACCAGGATCTTATTATTCTTTTGTTCTGGTCTCTGAACACCATAGACAGAATGATGTGATGAAGATTTACAGTCTAAAGACTTGGGTTCATTTCCTGGCTCTGCCACTTGCCCTTCCCAAGTCACAATTTCCTCATTTGTAGAGTGAGGATAATAAAACTTGTTCTCTGTTTTTTTGAGATGGGGTCTCCTCTTTCCCAGGCTGGAGTGCACAGCTCACTGCAACCTCCACTGTCCAGGCTCAAGAGATCTCCCCACCTCAGCCTCCCAAGTAGCTGGGACTACAGGTGTGTGCCACCACGCCCAGCTAATTTTAGTATTTTTAGTAGAGACAGGGTTTTGCCATGTTGGCCAGGATGGTCTCGAACTCCTGACCACAAGTGATTCACCCGCCTCGACCTCCCAACGTGCTGAGATTACAGACGTGAGCCATGGCGCCCGTCCTTGTTCTCTTTTCTTCACAGTTTAGTGGGAGGGTCAAATAATAAATGCAAATACTATTTACACACTGTAAAACACAAAGTGCCTGTTAGCTATTATTATAGGATCCCTCTGGAATCTGAATATACTCCTTGTGTTTCCTTTACTGTTTCAATGAGCACTTTTCTTCAGCCAAATTATTTGTATTTAGTGTATGAGACTTTGCAAAATAACTACTAAGGTGGCATAGTCATGAACAGTAGGTTAGCAATAATTAATAATCACTACCTTCCAGTTATAGTCTATTTGCAATCAACAAAAACTTAAAATACCTACTCAATCATCACCCAGAAAAAAAAATGGAGCATAAAAAGCTCAAGTGCTTGCTACCTAATTTAGGTGTTAAACTAGTTAACAATAGTAGTGTAATTTGAACATTTATTGTAAGTCAGGCACTTAAGCATGTTACATGTATTAACTCACTCAACTCTTAAAAGAATCCTACTTGATAGCTATTATTTTTAGCCTCATATTTACAGCCAAGAACATTGAGGCACAGAGTTTTTGGTAATGTGCTCAAGCTCAAAAAGTGAGTCAGAATCAAATCTCAGGTACTCTGCCTCTAGAACACTGGAGCTTACCTACTAGGTTACACTGCCACTCTATTGAACGTAATGGTTACCCGTTGCCACACCCTACACACTGTGGAGAGAGGTACACTGACATTGAAAATACATTCACTAAATAAGACTGTTGTTGAGGTATTTAAGGTGTAACTCAGTGATCTTAAGTTTATCTTTTATTTTCCAAGCCCTTCTGACAAGATCCTGTTTGGTTTTGCAAGTATTCATTTTTTCTATTTGGTTTATGTCTCCCAAGACATTTAAGTAAAGTGAAATCACTTCAAAGTGGCAGAATAGAAGGAAACCCTAGAAACAGTCTTTCAGTTTCAGCCTAATTTCCACTTTAAAACTTTAAAAATTAAAAGTGATGCTTGAGATTCGTGAAATGTAACACACGAAGATCTGGTAATAAAAAAAATGTTTTTTCTTTAAAAAAATAAAAAGTACATATATTTGCCTTTAAAAGAATTTGGCTGTTTTAAAGTAAAAAAAATACATATAAATGCTGATTTCTCGAATTCTCAAATATTTCTTAAGCATAGAGAGGGAGAGAAGTCTTTTAAAAAAACAAAACAAAACAAAACAAAACAGGAAAACACCTTTTCCTTGGTAAGTTGGAAGAAACTGATTCTGTGGTTAGAAGAAACAACACAAAATGATCTTCCTTCTCAATCCACTGAATGTAATGAAATACATTTTAAAATTCTTGTACAAACTGGACTTCTCATCCTTTTGCAGTGGGAAAAGTTGCTCTGCCCTTGTTTTGAATCTGATCGGGAGAAAGGACAGAGTGTGCCTATCTGGACTGCTCACGTGGAGTGCCTGTGTTCCTTCAGTGTCTTCTTTGAACTTTCAGAACTTGGCTCCAGTAACTTCAAACAAAGCATTACATATTGTTTATAGTAATTTATGGACAAGGAAATCTGGTTTCACTTGATGTTTCTTTAAGAGGAGAAGCAGTTTACTTTGCCTATTTTTCTTTATGGTATTATTTATATATTTTTAAAAAAACAAGAGATGGGGGTCTTGCTGTGTTGCCCAGACTGGTCTTGAACTCCCGGGCTCAAGTGATCCTCTCACCTTGGCCTCTCAAATTGCTGGGATTTCAGGCATGAGCCACCGGGTCTGGCCTTACTTTGCTTATTTTTAGACTTTCACTACTTTGCTAACTTTTACTTTCCTGTGAGTTTCTACTGGTCTGTGTCCCTGCTTGTCTTGTTTGTGAGTTCTTCCACAAGGAGAAGCCTTCTGATATTAAGAACTGCATTCACTGTGGGGAGGCGAAAAAAAAAAAAAAAGAACTGCACACCCTGCCTTTCTTTGTAGCACCTTCCTAGAAGGAAAGCAGTGAGCCTTCCTTAGGGATGCAGGGTGCAGGGAGGATTCTGATGAGGGTTACCTGCAGGCTGAACTGCAGTTCGGATTGTACCTCTCCTGTCACTACTGCTAACTCTCTGCTTAGTGCATGGTGATGCCATCATCGAAGACACACTTACCCAGGATTCATGTCCCCAACCACAGCCACTTTAAACCTGTTTTTAAAGTCACAGCCGTAGGATACACCTGCTGCAATCACGGTCTGCAAAGTTGCAAATGGCCCAAGTTAGAAATGTGAGATGCAAGTAAGAGTCTTGCTTTGAAGAAAAATAAATTGCCAAAACCCACTTCTGTACCTGTTAAGTAAGAACTCCAGCCCAGGCTTTGTTACTTTTTAAGAAATTCGGAGGCAATTCTAACATGCCGCCAGGATTGAGAACCACAGCTAAATTCAAATGGCTCTAACACGACATTTTGTCAAGGGTCTTGCTCTCTGCACTATCCTTGTCTCACGTGGAAAAAATTAACTCAAAATCATAAGAGGAAGTTATTAAATTCTGAATGAAAATAAAACCATGCTAAACATTATGCCCGAAAACTGCAGAGATGGCCTCTGCCCCACTAAAACTTCCTGAGCTACAAATGGTGAAGGACTTACAACATATAAACAGTAGAGTAGCTATGACAGAGTCTGAAAATGATCAATTACCATAATGAATTCGATTGGAATGGGCACTGGAAGTTTGTCTTTGAAGCGCTGATTTATTTCTTTAACAATGGATACAACCAAAAGGACAATCAGAGCTGTCACCAGGTCTGCAATATTAGTCTTCTCTATTTGTGAGAATACAGAGTATAGTACCTACAATTATAAAAACAAAAACCACCAAAGCCCTATATTAATGCACAATTTGGATACAACGCATCTCCAAACAAATAAAAATAAACATGGAAGCAAAAAGACTGATAGAGACTGATAGTGATTTCCTGTATTGCCCCGGTTTAATTGTGAATGTGAAATTGTAGAGAGTAGCGATGGAGATATGAGAAGAGTAAGTTAGCATAGTGTAGGTGGCACACTAGTTTAAGAATGCTTCTGGCATTTTTGCTGGGAATCTCTTTGGCTAGTGTCAAATTTTGTTGGATACTTTTCACATTTTTACCACTGGTCTTCTGCCCTTATTAGGTCTCTTTGGTCGTCATTTTTTATTTCACAGCCATCACTACTCTGTCCAGGGAATAACTTCTGATCTTTGATAGTTTTGCTTAGTATGCTCAATTCCTGGCCCTCTTGGGGGGTTTACACCCCCTCATATTTCTTAGCTGACTCTCTATGTCACTTTTGGAAAATAGTTTTCTGGCTAACTGTGCACTATGCATGTGCACATACTTCTTGAAGCTAGTTGGGTTCCATATCCACTTACCCCAAAAAGCTCAAGCAGGCCAAAACTGGATCCCAAATTGCTTCTAGAACACTCCACTTTTGGAATACCTCTGGATGAAAGAGAGTGTTGGTTCCAATTTGGAGCAAGTTCTGTCTCAACTCCCAAAAACTTTTGGGAGTCGTTAAAAATCAAACACATCTACCATCGAGCTAATGTTAACAACAAAAATTAAGTAACACTTCTCCTATATTTGACTCAAGTATTTTCAAAAAAATAATCTATGTTATTAAAAGCTTTACCATTTTGTCCCAAGTTTTAAAACTAAGAACACTATCTGTTCTACTTTGCATCCTCTGGAGGAGGGGAGAACTGCTGCCCTATCTACATAGTGGTAAATGTTCTTTTGTTTTCTAAACAGGATGCAAAAAGACCCAAGAACTTCAATTCTAAAAGAATGAGACATGCTTTTCAAGAAACAGGAAAACATCATAACTCAATTAGCAAATTTCTTTCAAAATAAGATTTTAAGAAACAGTTTAAAACTTGGGACAAAATGGTAAAGCTTTTAAAACATAGACTTTTTTTTTCCTTTTGGAAAGTACTTGAGTCAAATCTAAGAGAAGTGTTACTTAATTTTGTTGTTAACATTAGCTGTATGGTAGATGTGGTTGATTTTCAGTATTGTTCCCTTGCTACTTTTTCTTTTCTTTCGTTTCCTTTTTTCTTTTCTTTTCTTTTTCTTTTTTCTTTTCTTTTTTTTTTTTTTTTTGAGACTATGTCTCGCTCTGTTGCCCAGGCTGGAGTGCAGTGATGCAATCATAGCTCACTGCTGCCTCTAACTCTCTGGCTCAAGAGATCCTCTGCCTCAGCCTTCCAAAAAGCTGGGACTGCAGACATGCACCACCATGCCCGGCTAATTATTTTATTTTTTGTAAAGGTGAGGTTTCACTTTGTTGCCCAGGCTGGTCTTGAACTCCTGGGTTCAGGTGTCAAGTGATCCTCCTACCTCAGGCTCCCAAAGTGCTGGGATTACAGGTATGAGCCATCATGCCTGGCTTTACTTTCTTTTTCTTTTCTTTTCTTTTTCTTTTTTTTTTTTTTGAGACAAGAGTCTCACTGTGTTGCCCAGGCTGGAGTGCAGTGGCGTGATCTCAACTCACTGCAAGATCCGCCTCCTGGGTTCACACCATTCTCCTGCCTCAGCCTCTGGAGTAGCTGGGACTACAGGTGCCTGCCACCATGCCCGGCTATTTTTTTTTTTTAATTTTTAGTAGAGACGGGGTTTCACTGTGTTAGCCAGGATGGTCTCGATCTCCTGATCTCGTGATCCGCCCGCCTCGGCCTCCCAAAGTGCTGCTTTCTTTTTTAATATGAAAAAATTTTACAAACTGTAGGTAAACCCCATGGCAAAGGCATTAAAGGAAAGCTCTCTAAAAACACAGTAGTGAGTTTCATGTATTTCAGTATTTTTTAGGTGAAAGAAATACTTACTTTGAAAATTGAAACTGGATCAGTGTGTGACGGGACTGTCAACTGAAAAATGAATTTGAGTTGGGAAACCAAAACATGAACAGCAGCAGCAGTAGTGAAGCCACTGATGAGGGACTCAGACAGGTATATCACTACAAATCCAATCCGCAGAATCCCAAAAGCCAACTGGAAAGAGAACAAAAGCCTTTGTCAGCATAGATTAGGAGTATACCTCAGCAAACTCAAGGATCCGCAACTGAAATAATATTACACAAAACGTAAAGGCTCAACCTGTATGTACATGCCTTGAAGAAGCAAATGTCCCTGCCTCCTGGGACGCCTCCCACCCAGGGCTCCTCTCTCTCCTTCCCTTCCACCGCATCATCCAGGTGGAACGTCACATGGTATTCACATAGGATATAAGTCTAGTTTGCCCCCAAGAAGTAACAGGCTTATTTGCACTTAATTTATTTTTAAGTGTGCTGTCTTTGGAAGACTCATAGGCCTTTTCTAGTAGAATCTTACCTAGCATCAGCCCTCATAAATTTGCTGATGTAATTTTAAGTTATACTTTCTAGCTGCTGGAGCACGCATGAGCGAGTGTCTATCCTATTTCCTCAAAGTTGCTCAACTTGCTTAAGAAATACATAACTGCATATTGGACATCAGAAGTGCTTGGTTCTAGCTGGGGGAAAAGGATGGTTAATTCCCCCCTAAAGCATCATTGTTTTGCAATCGAGTGAATCGGATGGATTCTCCTTCCCTTGGATACTTGGCCTGTCTTTCTGCTCACATCTCCAGAACGCAGCCAGAGCTGTGGCTGCCCAAAGCCCAGTTGGGTTCCATTTCTATACTAAGTTCAGAAATGTATTAGAAATAACTAACCAAATTGTCAATAAGACGCATGCTTATGTCCTTGTAGAAACTGACTTTTCCTTTCTTTAAGAAATGGTCTTAACCAATAATATCATTATCCATAAACTTAGGCAACATCTCAAAAAGTCCATGACATTTTCAGTATTCAGCAGGAGTGTCAGCATACGGCTTGGAAGTGAGACTTTAGGCTCCACCATAATCCTCGTCAGTTTTCCCCAAAATTGACATGAACAGTTCAAAGCCCCCATCCCTTCCAACTAGATTATAGTTGCTGAAGAATTAAAGAAAAAAATTCCAAAGCCACCAGTATGACGATTTCTTGTATACAGTTATGTTTCTTGACTCTATCAATTCCCAGATATGCTGTTTCTTGACTCTATCAATTCCCAGATATATGTTGAAGCATTTCGCTTGTCACTGTTTGTGCCTCTCCATTCCCCTTCTTCCTTCTGTCTAGACCCACATTCATTCGTTTTTGTACTGTTGACCCACTCCTCTCCCTCTGGTTGTGGTGAGTGACCCTTCGTACAGTATTTCCTATGGGCCATGAGGGAGAGACAAACCAAAGGGAAGATGGGGAGGAGTGGCAGGGGGGAGGAAAAATAGAGAGATGTGTAACAGTCAAGATGAACAGATTGAGGTGGGCAAGTTACATGAGAAGGTGCTCACCTGGATGATTCCAGAAAGCACTGTGACTGATGCCGCCGCCGCCACCCTCACCCTCTCGTCATCCAGTAGTGAAGAATTATTCGAGTTGTTAGGCAATCCCAAAGTAGTTGCATTGCGATCTGGGACTGCTTTTGAAACTGCTCCTGAAACTGCTAGTCCCACCATCATACTCAGAATCGGAAACGGACCTAATTAACAGTGGGTGAATCGTGGTCAGTATATGCCTCTCTAAAGCACATTGTCTTTCAACCACAGAATAAGACCATATAAAATGACTGGCAAGGCTGGGCGTGGTGGCTCACGCCTGTAATCCCAGCACTTTGGGAGGCCGAGGCGGGTGGATCACCTGAGGTCGGGAGTTTGAGACCAGCCTGACCAACATGGAGAAGCCTCGTCTCTACCAACAATACAAAAATTAGTCAGGCGTGATGGTGCATGCCTGTAATCCCAGCTACTTGGGAGGCTGAGGCAGGAGAATCGCTTGAACCTGGGAGGTGGAGGTTGCAGTGAGCTGAGATCGTGCCACTGCACTCCAACCTGGGCCACAAGAGCAAAACTCCGTCTCAAAAAATAAATAAAAATAAATAAATAAATAAATAAATAAATAAAATGGCTGCCATCTGTGACCCTGCCCTCCATCTCAAACCCTGGTCCTAATTCTCACAGGAGACCATGACTCTTCTCCTGGATTATGTGAAATTTGGAATTGATAGAAGGTATGGCTAATAAAATTCATAAGGAAAAAACAATGTGAGCATTAATCAGCTCAGTAACTGACTTACCCACGGATATGTGTCTGGAAGTGCCGAAGAAAAGGTAGATTATGGCTGGGAAAAAGGATGCATACAACCCATAGACTGGGGGAATGTCGACCAGCAGAGCAAATGCTAAACCTGTAAACACACAAGCAGCAGAGCCCTTACTCTGTGCAAGAGGAATCAAAGACATTCTCATTTGGTTCTTATGGTATTTAGAATTGGATCCTAAAAATAAGTTACCTCATTAATTCAAAATGTATTAAAGATGTAAATGTAAGAACTAAAACTATAAAACTTTTAGAAGAAAGCATAGGTATAAATCTTTGTGACCTGGATTTGTCAATGGTTTCTTAGAAATGACACCTATGGCATAAGCCAGCAGTCCCCAACCTTTTTGGCACCAGAGACTGGTTTTGTGGAAGGTAATTTTTCCACTGACTAGGGAAGGGGAGATGGTTTTGGGATGACTCAAGTGTATTACATTTTTTGTGCACTTTATTTCTATTATTATTACATTGTAATATTTAATGAAATAATTATACAATTCACCATAATGTAGAATCAGTGGGAGCCCTGAGCTTGTTTTCCTGCAACTAGATGGTTCCCTCTGGGGGTGTTGGGAGACCGTGACAGATCATTAGGCATTAGATTCTCATAAGGAGCATGCAACCTAGATCCCTTGCGTGCACAGTTCACGATAGGGTTTGCACTCCTATGAGAATATAATGTTGTCGCTGATCTAACAGGAGGTGGAGCTCAGGAGGTAAAGAGAGCAATAAGGAGCGGCTGTAAATACAGGTGAGGCTTCATTTGCTCACCTGCCACTCACCTCCTGCTGTGTGGCCCAGTTCTTAACAGGCCACGGACCTGTACTGGTCTGTGGCCCAGGGACTGGGGACCCCTGGCATAAGCACCCAATGAAAAATACAGATAGACTGGACTTAATCACAATTTAAAAACGTGTACTTCAAAGGATACTATCAAGAAAGTTAACCAATAATTCACAGAATAAAAAAGTTATCTGCAAATTGTATATCTGACAAGGGTCTGGTATCCAGAATATAGAAACAACACTTGCAACTCCACAACAAAAAGACAAATAACCCAATTTAAAAATGGATAAAAACTTTGAATAGACATGTTTCAAAAGATATACAAATGGCCAATAAACACCTGGAAAAAATATTCAATATTGTTAGTCATTAGAGAAATGCAAATGCAAACCACAATGAGATACCACTTCACACTCACTGGGATAGCTAAAAGAAAAAAGATGGACAATAACAAGTGTTGATGATATGGAGAAATCTGAACCCTCATACACTGCTAGTGGAAATGTAAAATGGTGTAGCTACTTTAGAAAATAAGTTAGCAGTTCCACAAATGATTAAATATAGAGTTACCCTATGATCCAGCAATTACAATCCTAGTGATATACCCAAGAAAATTGAAGCATGCTCACACAAATATTTGTACACAAATGTTCAAAATAGCATTACTCATAACTCATAATAGCCCCCAAGTGGAAACAACTCAAATGTTCATCAACCGATGAGCAGATAAAAAAATTGTGATATGTCCATACAACAGAATACTTATTTGTCCATAAAATGGAATGAAGTACCAATACATGCTACAATATGGATCAACCTTGAAAACATTACGGTGAGTGAAAGAAACCAGACACAAAGTGCCATGTATTGTATTATTTCATTTGCATGAAATATGCAGAAGAGGCAAATCCACAGAGAAAGGGTAGGGGGGATGTGAAGTTAATGGGTAAGGGATTTTTAGGGGTTGGTGGTGGTGAAAATGTTCCAGAATTAGATAGTGGTGACAGATGCACAACCTAGTGAATATACGAAAAGTCCCTGAGCTGTACACATTCAGAGGAAGAATTTTATTGTATATAAATTATACTTAAAAAAAATTTTACCTTGTAGTACGGCCACAATCCCTGTGCTGATACCAGAAACAATATCACTGAGCAACCATTCTTTAAGCCGGTATGCTGGCAACCAAGATGCTATGGGGAACAAAGAGAGGACAATTCTCTTGGCCTTTTGTGGGGAACAGCTGAAAACATGGAAAGCCACAGGTCAGTCAATTAATATCAAATTTTAAGTTTAGTACCTGTCGGTGGGAAATTGGTAAAGATGGTAATATGCTAAAGATTAAACTAGTAATTTCACTCCCAGTAACATTCTTTACCCATAATCAGCTGCCCTCTGGTCACCAACAAAGGATTTTTTAAAATGCTTGCTTTTCTTTAACCATAATAGACCTATTTGTCATCCTCAGCTCAAATCATGCAATATTTCAAATGAGAATTTTCCTCTGTCCCCATCTGTTAGTTGTCTGATTTGGAAAGACCGTGTTGATAAGCCGAGATGGGGTTCATTTTAGACACTACCTTTCCAACTCTGTCAGGGAGTAGGAGGTTTGGAAACTAAAGAGGAAAGGACTGTAGGCTGTGGACTAGAGCCAGAAAGGAGAGTTGGAAAGTTAGAAAATTTAGGGGAAAGTGCTTCAAAAATGTATTCCTAATGCCAATACCTTAAAAAATATCTTACCTACAACACACTTTGAGATGATCCAGAAATGTCTTATGATGTCTTCCTGTCTTTTTATGATTTTCCTCAAAAGCATTTGTAGAATACACTGGCCTGGCCACAATATACTGATTCCCAAAGGGTTCAATCATTTTGATTTTTCTGTTGGCTGTGGCAAGTTGAAGACCTTTGCAACTATGTGGTGAACACTTCTTCTTGCCTTTAGCAGGTTAAAAATGCCTGAAACCAAACAGAGCTTGCTTCTTAAATAACTCAGAGATAATGTGATGCAATTTACAGATGAGTGAGCTCCGAACTGAATGTTACCACCTTTTAAGATCAAAAAAGGCAGGATTAAGGGACCTAGATTGTGTTTTGCGACAGCGATGTTTTATTCCAGTGAGCTGGACGTGGCTCTTTTAGGTAAGTAAACAAGAGCTTTATTTTTTAATTTGCCAAAAAGTAACAAAATTGACTCAGTTTATGAATCAATTAGTCAATTTTTTACTTACAAGGCAAGATATTCTCATCAACTTTTTTTCCCAGAAATATTTCCAAAGTTAAGGCATTTAAGTGTTGGGACAGGTTAGATTTAAAGTTTTTTTATTGCCCCAACTCCAGTCCAGACTGTTCCAATTTACCCAACAGAATTTTAAAATTTGTTTTTTTTACCTTGTAAAATTAAAAAATTGTGAAATTCAAAGGTATTGCCTATTTCAGTTATTTCCTTATTGTTTCTGGGAGTTAGAGTTTTACAATTTATAGTTAAGGAAACTATGAAACAAACTAAATATTATTTGTTTACTTCATTTGTGAGTAATAAGGTCTTTTTAAAGGAATGATCCTGGGCAAGTTCCTTAACCTCTCTGAGCCTTGCCTGTATAATGGGGATAAAGATATTCAAGTTTCAGGTGATTGTGAAGATTAAATAAGGTTTCCAAAGCATCTGGTTTACATCCAACACACTATAGGCATTTACTAAATGGTAGTTATTATTTTGATTATTAGCATTTTTTACACAAAATGTTTAAGTTTTTAATTCTTATCTCAATCCTGTTTCTATTATGCTTAAAAGATCAATTTGACAAAATGTTTAAATGCACATTACCAAGTTAGCCTTCACAATTCTTTGAGGCAGTTACCCTTATTATTTTATTATTATTATTTTATTCTTACAAATGATAAAATAATCACACACACTCCAAACCCACACTAAATTGGAAATACTTTTTCTTGGGACATACAGCTTGTTAACATGGCAGAAATGGTACCTGCATTTTCAGACTTCTTTGCTCTCTTTTCTATGTCATGCAGCTTCTCTATTGTTCAATATAAACATAATCGAAGAACATTCCAACTAACTGCTAGCATTTTTTCCCTCTAATCTTGTTCTGTATTACTACTCATAATGCCCAAGTTTTGTTCCTCAGCTTCAATCACAGTGATTAATTGAATTATCTCACACTAGATAGTATCTTGTTACACCGTGCCCTCATATACCTTATGGGATTTTCAGCATGTTTGCAGAGCTCAAGTTATAACCAGGAATCAGATGCTGGCCTCTACTGCTGGCCCCACTTGACCTCTCTTTGATCACTCATTTTTCTCTCCCATCCCATTTTCTAGTTTCCTCTAAAGTCCTCTGTACTCACTTTTGACCACAATATACTGCTTCTGCCCCACATCTCTGGCTTGATCTCCAGAATTTGAGTTCCTTTGAGCTCAGTTATGACTCCCTTATTATTATTATTATTATTATTATTATTATTAGAGACAGGATCTCACTGTCGCTTGGGGTAGAGTGCAGTGGTGCAATCATAGCTCACTATGGCCTCTTAACTCCTAGGCTCAAGCGGTCCTCCTGTCTCCTGAGTAGCTGGGACTACAGGTGTGGCCCACCATGCCCTGCTAATTTTTAAAATATTTCAGTAGAGGCAGGGATCTTTCATATGTTGCCCAGGCTGGCCTCAAACTCCTAGGCTTAAGCAATCCTTCAACCTCAGCCTCCCAAGTTGCTGATAGGTGCACCACCAGGGCCTCGGTTATGACATTTAGATCCTCCTTTGCTATTCTTTCTGGGCCTCTCCTCCCCTGCCACTCCCAAGTGCTTGTTTTCTCTTTTGTTTCCATTCCCTCTTCCATCTCTCCACCCACACTTCAGGGGTCAAATCCCACTAACTAGACAGTACTTCCCATTGTCAGAAGAACTTGCTCACAAAGTGGAGGTGACTTGTGCATTGCTGTGCAGAGCATGGATTTTTGTCTTTTTTTGGCTGATTACCAACAACATGGTTGGGGCAATAATAATTAAGATCTAATCCATGGTCAATCACTTCTGACATCTTGGATTTCTCACAAAGGGTATCTGGAATATCTTATAAGAACAGCTTTAATCCTTTGAAGGAACCAACCTAGCCAACCTTAGGATGAAGAAGACTTCAGCACTGTGCATTTGTACTTCTGTCAGATGCTGCTATGGCCAGGAAAAAAAAAAAAGATTCTGCTCTTTGCTTGCTTTACTCATGCTTTCCTCAAGGAGTTCACAGAAATTTATTAGTTGTCTTCCCCAAAAAAGATCTTGAAGGTACTTTTATTCTTCTGGCTGTTGTATTTTTTTTATTTTAATTTTTTTTGCCGATGACAGTGATGGGAGAAATATAACTTCATTTCTAATCAGTTTCCTTCTCTGAGGATGGCTATGGCTGTCTCTTTAGTGGGCTTTCTTATACCTCCAGCTGGATCAAGAGCCTGAACTCTGGCTGTCCTGCCAGTAAAAGCCTCCTCCTCATACCCAAGCACTGCCTGCAAGGGCCCTGCTCAGGGTAGGAATCAGGGGAGCTTAAGAAATCTTTCCGGCCAGGCGCGGTGGCTTACGCCTGTAATCCCAGCACTTTGGGAGGCTGAAGCAGGAGGATCACTTGAGGTCAGGGGTTCAAGACCAACCTGGCCAACACAGTGAAAACTTGTCTCTACTAAAAATACAAAAATTAGCCAGGCGTGGTGGCGGGCACCTGTAATCTGAGTTACTCGGGAGGCTGAGACAGGAGAATTGCTTGAACCCGGGAGGCAGAGGTTGCAGTGAGCTGAGATCATGCCCCTGCACTCCAGCCTGGGTGACAGAGCGAGACTCCGTCTCAAAAAATAAAGAAAAGAAAAGAAATCTTTCCAGACTTTAGAGAGAAATCTTGAGGGCCACATTCCAGCCTTTCTGTTTTCCCCTTGCACCCATCCCCGCTTCCAAAAGCTATGCCTCCATGTGTAACATACAATGTGGGCCTCTGAATCAACTACCCCAATGGTGCCTCTGCTGAAGAGATGTTCCAGATAGTCATAAATTAATGACATTCTCCATGTCATCATTTCTGAGATTCTTGAGCAGGACCTTTTTTTTTTGAGACGGAGTCTTGCTCTGTCGCCCAGGCTGGAGTGTAGTGGCGAGATCTCGGCTCATCTTTAATTAGGAATTAAAAAGAGATTGTTTAAACTCTTTTTTCACCTGAACAAGTTACATTTTTGCCAGAAATTCTTGGAAAACACTTTTTTCTGGTTCCTGGAATCACAATTCCAATTTCAAATATTACGCCCATATTAATGTAAAAGCCTTTTCATGTTCTATCTTCATGGATCTCTGAGTTCCTTAGGGTGTCAGTGGATTTGGGGATTGAAATTCATTCACAGAGTCCCTTCCTCTTACTAATTATAGAATCCCAAGCCTTGTTTGTATATATTTCCACTTTTATTTGCTTCCCTACGACGTGCTTTTTATTATTTTTTTGGCCTTTATGATATATATATTACATACATAGACACACACATGAAGACATTCATATACCTACATATCTTGGTGCTGTGGCTTAGTCATACACGTTGTTGTTCTCTGCTTTTTTTTTTTCTTTTTGAGCAGAAATTTAATCCTGGGATTAATTTCTGAAGTTCAGTTTCTCAGTTTAACTATTCCCATGTATTAATAACTTTTTGATATTTCTAGGGATTGTCATGTACATACCTCCCCACCACTTCAAGTTCCACCCATTTCCAACCTGCAGACTGGCCTCCAGTTACGAGAACCTCCACTCTGCCTGCCCCGCTCTGCTGAGAAGTGTCTTTTGGCCCTGACCTTTCCACTCAGTGTTTATCTATTCTGTGTTTTAGTCTTTCAGAGGTCTGCCCTTTTTGCTGGGAAACAACTAATTTGAACCAAGATGCTGATGAGCGGTGCTAGGATTTGTCTTTAATTAGCGGTCATTTGAAACCAGCAGACAAGCAAGGGTGCAGAACACTTCCCAGCCCCTCCGCAGTCACATTAGATGCCTCCACTCTTGGACAAGGCAGCTCCTAGCAGCATCACCCCTTCATAGCTGTTCAAGCTGAGGAAGGCCTTCGATAGAGACATCACTGAAAATGCCACACTGTGCCTGAAATCTGCTGAAAACACAACTCACCTCATGGATCTCAAAATATCTCTGAGCCAGTCAGTGCAAAACCAGAGGTAAGCCAGCCCTATTTCATGAATTAGTCCTTGGACAATGGGAAATACAGCAGCGTCCTGATAACTATACTTGGGGGAGTGGGTGAGAGATGGGGGAACAAGCAGAATAATTGCTCCAGTGAGCACCTTCAGAGGGATCTCCATCGGCAGCCAGAGGAATCAGAAATCAAGCTCACAAAAAGCTCCACATTCTGGTTAGCGTGAGGCTGGATAGAAGCAGGGAGATGATGGCATCAGAATGGGAGAGGGCTGGAGTGGTGAATGGAGGGGAGGGGTCTCAGCACTGAGGTTGATTAAGAGAGCTCAGAAGGGGTCAAAGGCTGAGGTGGGCAATAATTGTTACTACTATTTTTCATCAATTCTATTACTACATTGCCGAAGATGCTGAAGAAGGAAGTCAAACCTAAATTAATCGGGAGGTACAACAGAAAAGAGTGAGACTTTGGCAACTAAGCACACCAGGTTTCAAATCCTTGCCTTGCCATATCTTAACTATGTTTGCTATAAGCCAGTGATTCAAGCCATCAATTTTCTTTTCTTTTCTTTTCTTTTTTTGAGACAGAGTCTTGCTCTGTCGCCCAGGGTGGAGGCTGGAGTGCAGTGGCGCGATTTCATTTCACTGCAAACTCCACCTTCTGGGTTCAAGTGATTCTCTTGCTTCAGCCTCCCGAGTAGCTGGGACTACAGGCACCCGTTACCATGCCCAGCTAAGTTTTTATATTTTTAGTAGAGATGGAGTTTCGCCATGTTGGCCAGGCTGGTCTCGAACTCCTGGCCTCAAGTGGTCTGCCTGCCTTGGCCTCCCAAAATGCTGGGATTACAGGCGTGAGCACCCGGCCCAAGGCTTCAATTTCCTTAAAGCAAAAGGAGGAGACCATTATTTTCCTTCTAGGGCTGTTCTTAAAACTGAAAGCAGGGTATACAAAGGGAGACTTCTTAGCCTTAAGTTCATAGGTAGCAGTCTCAGAAGTGAGTTAAATATTGACTGTTGGTGGAATTTACAACTGGTCCACAAAAGTCAGCTGGAACCTGTTGGAAAATGTTAGTGCTGCCAACTTTTCTATGACTTTATGTTTACTCTGAGCTTATCTTTAGAAGTAGCAGTTTTCCATTTTTATCCCAGTTTGTTTTAACATAGTTTTAAAATAATCTAGCTATCCGAGCTTCCTAGAATGACATACAAGGTCCTTCATGTTTTGGCTCTGGTCTATCTCACAAGCTTCTTCACTCCTCCTTCACAATTGCAGCAGGTTCCTAACACGCTATGATATTTAACAGTTCCGTATCTCTGTACACATGATTTCCTTTGTGTTCTTCTTCTCCAATACCTGGTAGATTCCAATTCATTCTTAAAAATACTCAGCACAGCTGGGTGCAGTGGCTCATGCCTGTAATTTTGGCACGTTGGGAGACTGAAGTGGGGAGATTGCTTGAGGCCAGGAGTTCAAGACCAGCCTGGCCAATATAAAGAAACCCTGTCTCTAAAACAAACAAACAAACAAAACACAACTCAGCTGACCATTGATTCATTTCTTCATTCCTTCAACAAACATGTATCAGCCTATTATTTGTCAGGAACTCAGTTCCTAACACAGTTGTAGAAGATAAGAAAATGATGTAAAGCCTTCATGGAATCCCTAGATAGAGTTGATCATTTCCTTCTTGTAAGTACCTTGTATATATGTCTATTCCATGTCATACATTATTTGTTTATGTTTCTGTTCCCTTTAAGACTGAGTTTCCCAAGGGCAAGGCCCAAATCTTAACCATTTTTCCCTCTTTTGTTAGGTCCTATGACATAGTAAGTATACAAGAAAGTTTGTTGAAATAAACTGAACTATGAGCAAAAGATATATAAATGACGTAGACCTAAACTCCAAAGTTTACATACACAGGAGAAGTGCCCAAAATAATTGGTGCAGATAATAAATTGGAAGAAGGGATGTAAATGTGGGTTGGAGTTAGGAAGGTTTTGTGAAGGAACTGTGAGTCTTGTGTTAGACTTTAAAGAACAGATAGGTTTGGCAGGGGTGATGACAAAGCAGTGGGCAATAAGCAAATCATGTGAAAGGTTATTGAGAGTTCCAAACACTGAAACAGAAGGCTTTGTTGGCCCATAGGCTAAACCATTAGAGAAATGTTGGGATGCACCATAGCAAGGGATTTCACACCCAGTAGGCTCACAGCAGGCAAAAGAGAATCCCTGGCCATTTCTGTAAGGCTTTGAGATTTTCTGAGCACTTTCACTTTTCTTCCTTGAGTATTACTGTGGATGGAGGCAGACAAGATAGGCTGTATTGTCGCTAATTTACAGATGAAGAAATGGAGATGAGAGAAGATAAATGACTTTCTCAACTTCCCAGAGCCAGGATGAGAAGCCACATCTAGTGAATAACTGACTCTCTCCACTACGTCTTCTTCTCTGCTACATATTCAATGTCAGGGGTCTCAGCCCCTACCCCCAAGAGAGACAAGGTAAAAGAACAAGGTGAGGCACCATCAGGGTCCTTGCTTTTGAGCATGAAAGCCTCACACTCCTACACTCAATATCCACAACACAAAACATGAGCCTGGTGGCCTGGGGACAAATCTCCTTGAGGTGACTTGCTTTATTCTTCCCCTTGCTTCTCAACAAAGTGACACAGAGGCTAGAGGAGCCTCTTCTCTTCTCTTTGGAGAATCAAAGACCTTTATTGTAGAGAAGCACCAGACTGTGTTATTACATATTTATTCTTGTAATTGAAAAATATTCATTCTCATTTTCTGAACGATTTTGTTTCTTAGTCGAATATGAGCTGTTTAGGAGGTATTAAACATTTGTTCATTTCTTTATATACTTACTTATTCCCTTATCCAGAGGGAGAAGGCAAAGTATGTATTGTGTTACCCCATTTTTCTTGTTTCTGAAATCAAATTAGTTGCTTCCTAAATTTTCATTAGGAATAATCCTTGGCCGGATGGGGTGGCACATGCCTGTAATCCTAGCACTTTGGGAGACTGAGGTGGGAGGATCACCTGAGGTCAGGAGTTCGAGACCAGCCTGGCCAACATGGCGAAACCCCGTCTCTACTGAAAATACAAAAAAAAAAAAAAAAAAATGCCAGGCACAGTGGAGCGTGCCTGTAGTATCAGCTACTTGGGGGGCTGAGGCAGGATAATCACTTGAACCTGGGAGGCAGAGGTTGCAGTGAGCAGAGATTGTGCCACTGCACTCCAGCCTGGGCGACAGAGTGAGAATCCGTCTCAGAAAAAAAAAAAAAAAAAGGAATGATCTTTATGCAGTCAAATTTCATGACACAGTTTTTCCAAATGACTAACTTACTTCAGAAAAGAGAATTATTTAGTCCAATAATTTGATAAATTGTTCCTCACTTGCATATATAAAGAAAGTTGTATAATCTTTTCCTGACATTTTAAAGAATAAAATAGATTTTATCTTGATAGAGTTAGTAATGTATGGGATAAGTACCCATACATTACTAATGTATTATATTATATTATACTACTTGTGGCATAGGGCATTCTGCTACTTTCCAGTGACCATTTTCTCCCCATCTCTCTTCTCTTTCCAGTCTCTATCCTTCTTACTCTCATTGCCTTTTCTTCTCTCCGTGTTTCCCTTAGTCTTGGACTTTCTAGGATGTCTAGCAGATAAATCTCTCACTTCTAGACCATATGTCCCCTACCCCCTCCCTTTTTTTTTAAGAGACAAGGTCTTGCCATGTTGCCTAGGCTGACCTCAAACTCTTGGGCTAAGCTATCCTCCTGCTTTAGCCTCTTGAGTAGCTAGGACTATAGATACATATCCCTATGCCTGGCTGGGACCAGATGGCCTTTCTGAATCCTTTCTAGTAGGTGATTCTCTCTCCTGGAGAAACTCTTTCCTTAAAGCTTGCTTTTTTTTTTTTTTTTTTTGCCAACCCTCAGAGCAGACAATCTATCTATAAAGTCAGATTTGAGTGGAGAATTAAAGGAATTATCTGAATAATTAAAACAAGAACACTAATATCTTTGAAAAGGCTATTTAAGACTTAATGATGCCTACAACCATTTACTTGTTAAAGTCTACTTAAATATTTATTCTACATTGCTAGCGCTCCAGACATACATGCATATCTTATTAGTGGATTCATTCAAAATATTCACACACATGGAATAAACTCAAGAACATAATAACTCCTAAATAGGCTTTGATCAGAAAAAATACCATTTTCAAGGAACAGAAAACCAGTTTGAATATAACAATCATAAATTTGGTTCCTACCTGACACATACTCTGTGAGGAGCTTCTGCAACAGTGGTACATTTTCAAGATAAAGTTCTAAGTTCTAGTTCTAAGAGGCAGTGTCCATCCACTCAGGTCTACAGGCTCTGTGTGCATCCATATGCATAGGGATGTCTATATATAGGCTATGTAAGACAGTGGACAAATTACCTTTCTGTCAGCTTTAATAATTAACTCTCATTAACTTTTACAACAATGAAAAGACTGCAATGTGGTCTTGACCTTTGAGACTTTGATCAGCAGAAGTGATGATGAAGATTGCTTCCTCAAGTTCCTTGTGAGATTAAACCACCAGTGGGTGGTTTAATGCACTTGTGTGTACGTAATTTCATTGGTTTGCAGAGATTGCACAGCAGATGCTCACGTGTACTTAAAAAAAAAAAGAATCTTCTCAAGGGTTATCTCCTTGACATTTCACCAACCTGTTTAGATGAGAGTTTAGTGGTGGTGTTTTTTGGCTGGATGACTCCATGGAATCTGTCATGGGCTGCAGAAGTGTGGTGTATAGGTTAACTCCTGGTATGATAAAGGCCCTCATTAGGAACACTCACCCAACTCCCAGCCACAGGCCATATCTGCATTCCAATTTCTGCCCCCACCACAGCTCTTCCTAAGAGCAATAAACCCTATGTTGCTAAACACAATGAATACTTTCAACTCTCATCTTACTTAAAAGCATTTGGCATTGCTGACTACACTTTCATGAACTCCTCTTTTTATTTTAAAAATTATTTAACTAATTAGTTAATTTTAGAGATGGGGTATTGCTGTGTTGCCCGGGCTGGTCTCAAACTCCTGGCCTGAAGTGATCCTCCTGCTTTAACCTCCTGAGTAGCTGGGATTAGAGGCCTCAGCCATCATGCCGGGCTAAAATCTTCTCTTCTTGAAATGCTAAAAAAAAATTTTTAACACACTTGTTTTTCACCTCATCCTTTTTGCCAATTTCTCCTCTAACTCTTTCTTTGGCATTTCCTAAGATTCTGTTCTGAATTTCCTTCTCCTCTCTTGCTACCCTCTTACCCTAAATAAGAGTCCTATGGCTCCCAGCAACATTCAGATTTCTAACCCCAGCTCTCTAGGTCCACATATTTAACTGCCTATTCCACATCTTTGCTTGGATGCCTCATAGGCATCTCAAACACGACACATATCGAGATTAAGACCTCTTGATCTTTCCTCCCAAATCTGCTCCATCTCTAGTCTTCCCCATTTCAGTAAAGAATATTCCCCTTTACTCATGTCAGAGACCTGGGAACCATCTCTGACACTTCTTCTTGCAGACCTTCTCCCCACCCGCAGCCAATCCATCCTTAAACCCTATTGAGCATGCCTCCAAAATACATCCCAAAGCCATCACTTTTCTTCATCTTCACTCTTACCTTTGCTGCACTTCTTGCTTCCTCTCGCAGCCCTCCCCATCTCTTTACCACTCATTAATCAGAATGATCTTTTCACACTAGTCCTCTTTGTGGGGCTGATGATTACACAGAGGGAAAACAGGCCTCCAAAGTCTTTGCATGATCTCCCCCTGCACAACTCTCCAACCTCATCTGACTCTGCTCTTACTTTTGTTTTCTCCACTCCCACCATGGTGGCCTCCTGTAGTCCCAAATTTGCCCACTCTTTGCAGACATCATTTTCTCTGCTTAAATGCACTTCTCTCTCTCTCTCGGTTTGGCTGTTACTTAGCTTCAACATCACTTTCTCAAGGAGAACCACTTTGACTTCCTAATCTCAATTAGCCCCTCTTGTGGCATTCTCTCAGAGTATTTTTTTAAGTCCCTTGGTTAATTTGCATGTACTTTTTAAAACATAGCATCATAATTTAAAAATACACAATTATTTACTTGGCTAATGTTTGGCTTTCTCATTAGAATGAAAGCCCCACACAGGCAGGGACTTTGGCGAATTCACTGCTGTATGCCCAGTACCTAGAATGAATCTACCACAGAACAATGACTCAATAAATAGTGGTTCAATGACAGTTCAATCAATGAATTATGTTTGCTATAAGACAATTCCAAAAGAATGTGGACAGGTCATTAGCGTTTGTTAGAAATTAATCTAACCTGTGTTTTTAAATCTGGCTCACACCTGTGCTAACTGCGTAACTGAATGAGCTGTGGTGCCACTTATCATGCTTTTATCAACATTAGCTAACTTTAATTAGTGTTTAGTATGGGCTGTAACTTTGCAATGTGTTTTATTGGGTTTATCCCATTTAATCCTCATAACAACCATAGATAGCTTAGTATTTTTATTCCTATTTTACAAATGAATAGATTGAGTTTTCACTTGTGGTGAAATCTCAATTTTTAATTTTTATTGGCTTTTATTGAAGCCAGCTAGAATCCAGAAAGCCTAACTTTGTCATGTCTTTACTGTATAATACTGCTTTTTATAATTTTAACAGATGTACAGAATATTTATTCAGAACCACTATACACTGATTAAATTTTGTATTTAGATGTGGTTGATGGAAGAACTGGAAAATATTGCACTTAAAGGTAGAGGCTCAGAATTATTGATCAGCATAAAAATGATTTATTTTAGAACAAATAAGAGAGTATTGCAAGATTGATGGATACAAGCTGAACAAAGGCAAATTATTACACGATATATATTACATAGTGTATAGCCTTCCTATATACTAATAATAACCATGTAGTAAATGTAATAAAAAGAAAGATATCATTGGTAATAGCAACAAAAGCTACAAAGATTAGTAGAAATAAATCCTTTTTGTTTTTTATTTTTAAGAGACAAGGTCTGGTTCTGTCACTAAGGCTGGAGTATAGTGGCTCAATCATAGCTTTCCGAAACCTTGAACTCCTGGGCTCAAGTGATCCTCCTGCCTCAGCCTCCCAAGTAGCTTAGACTACAGGCACATGCCACCACACCTGGCTAATTTAATTTATTTATTTGTTTTGAGATGGAGTCTCACTCTGTTGCCCAGGCTGGGGTGCAGTGGCTCGATCTCAGCCCACTGCAACCTCTGCCTCCTGGGTTCAAGCGATTCTCCTGCCTCAGCCTCCTGAGTAGCTGGGATTACAGGCACGCACCACCACGCCTGGCTAATTTTTGTATTTTTAGTAGAAATGGGGGTTTCACCATGTTGGTCAGGCTGGTCTTGAACTCTTGATCTCGTGATCTGCCCGCCTCAGCCTCCCAAAGTGCTGGGATTACAGGAGTAAATTTTTTAATTTTAATTTTATTTTGTAGAGATGGGTTTTTTCTATGTTGTCTAGGCTGGTCTCCAACTCCTGGCCTCAAGCTATCCTGCTACCTCGACCTCCCAAAGTGCTGGGATTACAGGCGCAAGCCACTGTGCCTAGCTGGAGTAAATCTTATCTAAAGATATATAATGATGAACTTTATAGAGATAATTAGAAAACATTATTAAAGGACAAAAACAAAACCTAAGAAAAATATAGCCGGGTGCGGTGGCTCACGCCTGTAATCCCAGCATGTTGGCAGGCCGAGGTGGGCAGACCACGAGATCAGGAGATCGAGACCATCCTGGCTAACACGGTGAAACCCAGTCTCTACTAAAAAATACAAAAAATTAGCCGGGCGTGGTGGTGGCAGGCGCCTGTAGTCCCAGCTAAGCAGGAGGCTGAGGCAGGAGAATGGCGTGAACCCGGGAGGCGGAGCTTGCAGTGAGCCGAGATCGCACCTCTCCACTCCAGCCTGGGCGACAGAGCGAGACTCCGTCTCAAAAACAAAAAAAAAAAAAGAAAAAGAAAAAAAGAAAAATATGAAGCCATAAATCTTCATGAGTGTGAAAGTTCAATATCATATAGATGTTTTCTTCAAATTAATCTATTACATAAATGCTATTACAATGAAAAAGCTTTTCTTTTTTTTTTTTCATAGAACTGGACAAACTTGGCCTAAAACTTGTATGGAAGAACAAAGGGCCAAGAAAAGTCAAGACGTCAAGACAATTTTTGAAATTGATGCATAATAATTGTATATATTTATGGGATATATGTGATATTTTGATATATGCATACAATGTGTAATGATCAAATCAGGGTAATAATGATATCTATCACCTCAAACATTTATCATTTCTCTGTTTTGGGAACATTCCAAATTTTCTCTTCTAGCTATTTTGAACTATACAATAATTTATTGTTAACTACAGCCACCCTACTGTGTTATGAAACACTAGAACTTATCCCTTCCATCTAACTGCACGTTTGTATCCATTAATCAACAGCTCTCCATCCCCACTCCCTGCTACTTTTCCCAGCCTGTGGGTAGCCATCTTTCTACTTTCTCTCTCTATGAGATCCACTTTTTTGGCTCCCACGTATTAGTGAGAACATGCAACATTTGTTGACAACTTTGAAGAAGAAAAAATGGGGAAACATTTTGCAGATATAAAGACTTATTATCAAGCTATAGTAATTATGGCAGTTATATGTTTGTGCTGTGGGAAATAAATATACCAATGGAACAGGACAGAAAGCCTAGAAACATGTATTGAAACTTGATATATAATAGAGGTTACGTGGCATTAGAGAAAAGATGGACTATTCAATAAATGGTGCTGAGACAACTGGCTATCCATGTAGAACAAATAAAATTTAGATCTCTATTTCACAGCAATCACACACACATTTTTTCAATTGACCAAAGGCCTAAATAGAAAAGGTAAAATTTTAAACTTTTAGAAGAAAAAGTATGCTGTTATAACCTTGGAATAAAAGTATTTCTTCAACAAGTCACATAAATGTGCATATCATAAAGGAAACGACTGACAAATCCATCTTTATTAAAATTAAAACATGGAAGACACCACAACAAAAGTGAAGACAAGCTCTAGACTGAACAAGGTATTTGCCCAGTTAAGTCTTAGAAAAGATTAATATCCAGAAGATATCAAGAACTCCTACAAATCAATAAACAAAAGGCAAAATTCACAGAAAACCTGAAGTGCCAATTAACATATGAAAATATGTTCAAGTTCACTAGTAATCAGGGAAAAGTAAGTACAACCATATACATTTCACATCCATCATTAGCAGGGCTGTAACTAGCTTCAGTGGAGCATGAAGATTATGCAATTTGTGGATGTCGTTTTAAGAAAAAGATTACAAATTTTCACATATAAAATTAACTACAGGGCCTTTGAAGGGGCCCATGCAAATGAAAGGTCCTGAAGCCTAAACCGCATTTGCTTTATGGTAAATCTGCTTTTGTCTATCAGATGGTAAAAATGAAATGCCTGAAAATACCAAGTGTCACAGAGGCTGTGGAGCAATAGGAACACTTATACTATCGTTGTGAGTTGTAAATTGGGGCAGTCATTTCCGATAGCAGCGTGTGACTGTCTTGTCAAATTGAAGATATATATCTTCTAAGACCTGGCAATTCCACTAGTATGTATCCTTAACAAACATTGACTCATGTTAATGAATATTTCTAGCATATATAAATATGCAATATTTATAATAGCAAAAAAAGAAAATAAGTATCCTTAATCCACTAGATAGTCTGGTTGATAGTCTACTGACCTTATAAATAGCCTAATATCTTTTATCTGCTATCTACTCTTCATTAATAGGACAGTAGACAGTGCATAAAGAAATCATGCCAACCTGTAACTAACACTAAGGAGGGCAAGTGGCAGAAGCCCTTATGTGAGTGACAGCCCTTCCCTGATAATTATGTGGACCTGAAAGAGCTGTACTCAGAAATACCAATATTGGACTGGGGTATTTGAGTTGAGTGTGGTGATCCATCAGCTGCGTGGTGTCTATGTTTTTGTGGTTATCTGATGTTACATGGACAAAGGGTTTCTGGGTTTCTGGTCTCCCACTGGACTTCTGGGACTGGCCTGGCTTCTTCACTGACTGCATATGTTTTATTTGATCTTGATTAGAGGTGAAGGGTGGAAGTAGAGTGGGCATGTCCGGTGGGCTGACTTGAAGAGCCTGTAGTCTTCATTACTTTCATCTATGGCTGTTTGCTAGTGTCGAAGACCCTGACAGTCTGTCAGCACTGACACCATCTGTGCTGTGTTAGTCTTCACGCTGTTAGGCCACCTCATCTGCTTTCACTGTGGCACCAATGCTGCCGTTGTAGCCATCACATTGTCCTTGAACACGGCCATCATTGCTTCTGTCTGCCTGTCCTCATGCCTTCCCTGGTCCCTGTATGCCTTCATCATGGTGACATTTGCCATCCAGATTTTTGCCCCATGGCCCATGTTACAGGAGAAACTGAAGGCATGTGCTCTCCCCAGCTGTGTGGGTGTCACACTGCTCTTTGAGTTTTCAGCCTTGAGAGGCCTGCGGTCCTATAGTGCATGGAGTCATCCTCTTCGTCCTTCTCTAGTTTCTATCTCATGTCTCTGTCCTTTCTACCTCATTCACCTGCAGCTTTTTAAAGAAACCAGTCATGGGCCTTAGGATGAAGTTGAAATCAAATTCTTGTCCAGGTGCCTCAGCTAAGTTAGGTACCTCCATTACATTATGAAGGCAAGTTGATGGACTAGCATCTTAGCTCGTGTAAAAGTTAAAGGCAAAGTTCTATTTTGGAAGCAGCATGCCAATGTGGATGAGAGAACAGGGATCAAAGGAAAAAATTAACCAAAGGCTTGGGTGCTTACCTTTTCTGTTATTTTGTGGGATGAGAAAGCTTTTTGGGTCCCTTTTGAATTATTGTGTCTCATTTATTATTTGCTGTAACAAATGAAGTGATGTGGTTTCTATTAAAAAATAACAGTACAGGCCAGGCGTGGTGGCTCACACCTGTAATCCCAGCACTTTGGGAGGCCAAGGCGGGTGGATTGCTTGGGCACAGGAGTTTGAGATCAGTCCAGTTTGAGACCCTCATCTCTACAAAAAATTTTAAAAATTAGCTGGGCGTGTTGGCACACGCCTGTCATCCCAGCCACTCAGGAGGCTGAGGTGGGAGGATGGTTTGAGCCCAGGAGATGGAGGTTGCAATACATTAAAACAAAAACAAAAACAAAACAAAGGTTGAATTCATAAAAACAGAGAATAAAGTGGTGGTTTACAGAGTCTGGGTGTATAAACTTTCAGTTATAAGATGAATGAATTGTTGTGATCTGTTGTATAGCACAGTGACTGCAGTTAATTATACTGTATTGTATACTTGAAATTTGCTGAGACAGTAGCTCTTAAGTGTTCTCACCATATATGTACACAGAAAAGGTAACTGTGAGGTGATAGAGGTGTTCATTAGCTTCATTGTGGTAGTCATTTCATAATGTGTACACGTATCAAATCATTGTACCCATACACTTATCAAAAAAAAGAAAGAAATGAGGAGTTTCTATTTTTGTTCCAATAAATGAAAAAATAAAAACATGCAAAAATGCTTGATTCATAGATATATAGCAAATGTATAAAAATAAGCAATGAAATGATAGATAAGAAATTAAGGATAGTGGTTACTTCCATGGAGAGAGGGAAGTTTACTGGCAGGACTATGAAAGGGGCTTCAAGTGTATCTGTAATATTTTATTTCTTTTTGTTACTCCAGATTTAAACAAACTTTTGAGATATATATTAATTTCCTAGGGTTGCCATAACAAAGTATCACAAACTGGGTGACTTCAAACAATAGACATTTATTCTATAGTTTCAGAGACTAGAGCTCCAAAATCAAGGTGTCAGCAAGGCCACACCCCCAGCAGACACTGAGTGGAATCCCTGATTGGCTCTTTCTAGTTCCTGGTGATCACTTCTTAGCATTCCTCATCTTGCAGCTGTGTCACTTGAGTCTCTGCCCCTGTCATTGCGTGGCATCCTCACGGTATATCTTTGTCTTTCCCCTTCTTGTAAGGACATTAGTCACTTTGGGTTAAGGGCCTATCCCACTCGCTAGTATAACCTCATCTTTACTAATTATATCTGCAATGACCCTATTTCCAAATAAAGGCTTTCTGAGGTACTGGGGATTAGAACTTCATCATATCTTTTTGGGGAACACAGTTCAATCCATAACAAGGTATAATTTACATGCAGTGATACATATAGATCTTGAATGTACCTTTTGATGAGTTTTGACAAATGCATATACCTATGTGTGTTAGTTCTCTATTGATCCTGTAATAAATTATCACAAATGTAATAACTTAAAACATCACAAATTTATTATCTTACACTTCTGCAGGTCAGAAGCCTGATATGAATCTCACTGGACTAAAATCAAGGTGTTGACAGGGCTGTGTTCCTTTCTGGGGGCTCTGAAGGAGAATCTATTTCCTGGTCTCTTCTAATTTCTAGAGACCACCCACATTCCTTGGCTCATGACCCCTTCCTGCATCTTCAACACCAGCAATATTGTATCTTTTTGCCCTTTTTGTCTGATACCATTCTCTCTGCCCACAGCCAGGGAAAAGTCTGTACTTTAAGGGCTCATATGGCTAGATTAGACCCACCCAGATAATCTCCCCATCTTAAAGTCCTTAATTTATTTATTTATTTATTTATTTTTGAGACAGTCTCGCTCTGTCGCCCAGGCTGGAGTGCAGTGGCACGATCTCGGCTCACTGCAACTTCCACTTCCTGGGTTCAAGCAATTCTTCTGCCTCAGCCTCCCGAGTAGCTTGGACTACAGGCATGCACCACCATGCCTGACTAATTTTTGTATTTTTAGTAGAAATGGGGTTTCACCATATTGGCCAGGCTGGTCTCAAACTCCTGACCTCGTGATCTGCCTGCCTCAGCCTCCCAAAGTGCTGGGATTACAGGCGTGAGCCACTGCGCCCAGCAAAGTCCTTAACCTTTATCACATCTGCAAAGTCTTTTTTGCCATACAAGGTAGCATATTCTCAGGTTTGGAGTATTAGGATGTGGGCATCTTTGGGAGCCATTATTCTGCCTACCACATCGTGTAACACTCACCCTCCCGCAGTGGAGAATGTTCCTCTCTGAAAATTCCTTCGTGCTTCTTCTCAGTTCTTCACAGCCAACTGCCAGAGGCAACTTCTGTTCTGATTTCTATCATCTTTCATTAGTTTGGCCTGTTCTAGAACTTCATACAAATGGGACGTACAGTATGTTCCCTTTTGTGCCTGGCTGCTATCTCACAGCACAGTGTTTTTGAGGTGCATCTATACTGTTATGTGTATTAGTTGCCCATTCTTTTTATTGTTGAATAGTATTCCATTAGTATGAATATGACAAACTCTGTTTATACAATGTCTTGTTAATGAACGTTTGGATTGTTTCCAATTTGGAGCTATTACAAACTTTCTTATAAAAGTCTTTTGTGAACATATTTTTATTTCTCTTGGGTCCTGGGAGGATTGCTGAGTCGTGGCATAGAAATACATTTAACTTTATATGAAACTGCTAAATAATTTTTGAAAAGTGGTTTTACCGATTAAAATTCCTACACTCAACATATGAGAGTTCCAGTTGCTCCTATCCTTGCCACAATTTAGCTCTATCAGTCTTTTCAGTTTTAGCCGTTATGATGGGTGTTCATTTTACTTCTTTAAAAAAAAAAAAAGCAAAAACTTTTCCTCAAACACCAAAATGAGGAATATCCTTTAAAAGTTTAGCCCAAGTTTCATGGAGTTAAAGCTTTGGTAGTATATGTTACTCAACTATATTTAAAGCCATTGTATGATTATAACTTAGTAGCACACTTAATAATTTAATATTTAAGGCTTAATACAACAAATGTATTGACTTACCTCTATATCCTAGAAAAAAGTTCTTTTTTTTAGCTTGTCGCACTTTATCCCTGTAATTGACATTATACCTTGTATTAAATACTCTTGGTTTCTCACCATTCTCCCACTTCTTGGAGATGGACTGTGTTTATTTATATATCTTTCTGTCCCACGTGCCTAGCATAGTGCTGGGCACACAGCCAGTGCTCAATAAGGTTGTTGAGTCAATAAACAAATAAGCAAGCATATTAATTTAAAGCATAAATATGAAAGACTAGAATCACCAATCTTTCTTTTAAAAGATTTCAAATTTATACTGAAATCTTAATGTGACCCCATTTACAAATTTGGATTGAGGTAAAAAAATCCTGTTTTATTCTGTTCTTCCATTTCTGGTGGAAGGAAGTGTACTTAATTTTTTCTTTTTCTTTTTTTTTTTTTTTGAGACTGAGTCTTGCTCTGTCACTCAGGCTGGAGTGCAGTGGCGTGATCTCGGCTCACTGCAACCTCTGCCTGCATGGTTCAAGTGATTCTACTGCCTCAGCATCTCCGAGTAGCTAGGATTACAGGCATGTGCCACCATGCCTGGATAATTTTTTGTATTTTCAGTAGAGACAGGGTTTCACCGTGTTGGCCAGGCTGGTCCCGAACTCCTGACCTCAGATGGTCCTCCTGCCTTGGCCTCTCAAAGTACTGGAATTACAGGTGTAAGCCACTGCTCCTGGGCTAATTTTTGTATTTTTAGTAGAGATGGGGTATTGCCGTGTTGGCCAGGCTGGTCTTGAACTCCTGACCTCAGGTAGTCTGCCTGCCTGGGCTCCCAAAGTGCTGGGATTATAGGCGTGAGCCACCATGCCCAGCCTGGATGTGTACTCAATTTAAGAAGAAAATTAGCACTTGTTTAAAAAAGGGGATTTTGGAGGTCCATTCATGTTCTCCCAAGCCATCAAGTTTTCCACCCACGGGGTTGTTCCAGATGTGATAGCACATTACTCATATCACTTTTGAGAGGGGTATTTTCATATTTAGTAGTGTGGTATCACCCTACTCTATAGCCTGAAAGGCATGGCCTCTTGGCTGTGCTGAATTTTACTAGAAGAATCTCTGGATAAAATTTTCCTGACTGAAACTCATCTAAAGGTAACAGAAGTGCCTGTCTGGGCACCCCCAGGGATATGTGGTTAGAATTCAGGGTATCTATTAAAGCTCTACAAAAGACATGTGTGTGCATGTTTGTGTGTCGGAGGGTGGGGTGGGCATGCAAATGTGAATTTTTCAGGGGAAAGTGTCCATAGTTTTCATCAGACTTGCATATGTGAAGAAATATGAAGAGTTATAGAGTAAAAGTTAAGAAACTTAATATTGTGGCTAGCCTGACTGGCCAATTATGACAATTTGTGTGTAACAATTAGTGGACTACATTTAAATAATGAGCTTGGTTTTCCTTCTCCTGAGTTGACCAGTCAGTGTTTGACTGCAGGTGCATCCCCAAACATCATTGACAAAATGGGCAGAAATTACACTGGGAGGCAAATCTCTTGGTCATGGAGGGAACAAAACTTCACCTCCCCTAGACTTACTATTATGCCTTGACTTCAAATCATACTGATTTTTTTTAATAGACTCCAGGCTTCATTTTCAAGGACCCAGTGTGTCCATTCAGAGCATCTCTTTCTGTTTCCCTGTTAAGTTGGAAATGAGACAGTTATTCTTTTGTTTGTTTGTTTGTTTGTTTTTGTTTTGAGACAGAGTCCCGCTCTGTCGCCCAGGCTGGAGTGCAATGGAGCCATCTCGGCTCACTGCAACCTCCAACTCCTGGGTTCAAGCGATTCTCTTGCCTCAGCCTCCCGAGTAGCTGGGATTAGAGGTGACTGCCATCACGCCCGGCTAATTTTTTTGTATTTTTAGTAGAAATGAGGTTTCATCATGTTGGCCAGGCTGGCCTCGAACTCCTGACCTCAGGTGATCCACCTGCCTCGGCCTCCCAAAGTGCTGGAATTACAGGCATGAGCCACTGCACCCGGCCAAGACGGTTATTATTATATACTTCATAAAGATTGACCCCAAAAGGAGTCTAACGCAGCAAATATATAATCCCTAAATTTAATATGAATTTCTACTAATCCCTCTCAGTGTCAAGATGAGTCCAGAGCCAGCCACTATGGTGTGTGCCTGTAGCCCCAACTGTTTGGAAGGCTGAGGTGGGAGGATCACTTGAGCGCAGAGGGTTTGAGGATGTAGTGCACTATAATTACACCTTTGAATAGCCACTGCAGTCCAGCCTGGGCATCACAGCAAGATCCTATCTCTTAAAAAACTAAAACAGCAGCAGCAACACCACCACCACCACAAAGATGAGTCCAGAGACATCAGATGAAAACTCATATTTTAGAATAGAGAGCAAAAAGTAAAATCAACGAGTAATCACCAGTCGGAAACAAATTATATTTTCTGATGTCTTTTATCTTGGTCAAACTTTAGTCTTGAGAGTACAAAAGGAAGACAAGAAATAATCCTGTAGAATACAATTATAAGGCATTCTTCTTCCATTGGAAGAGCTTGGATTGGAGAGGCATAGTGGAGTTGAAGTCATCTTCACATATATATGGAGGGTGTGGGTGGTTGAGGAAGGGAGTGGGAGACGATGCTAAGACACTGGCAGGAAGTACACTTTGCACAGTCTTGACATTAGTCACCTAGGGTTCATGATTCTCATTCCAAGAATAAGTCATGATTTCTTTATTGCTTCTTATTTCAGTTCATTTTATTATGTGTAGCAGTATGAATAGACTTCTTACAGCAATATTGGAATAAAGATTAAATTTTATATGTTTAAATGTAACACGATAACCTTTTATCCTCAACCTTTCAGGCCTCCCTTGCATTGCTAGAGTCTTCATTTTAAAGGTGCAACTGCTAGTAAAACAATGGGTGTGCAGGGTACATTGGGATGGGATGGTGAGAATGGTCATTTCAAAACTACCCTCCATTTTATTGCCAGCATTATTTAACATTCTGGAAATGGGCCAACTTCGTCTCTGGAAAAATTTAAAGAGCTTAGCTGGGTTTCTCATCTGTCGTGTTGTGGTGGAATTTTCTAATAAATAGCAAAGGTTTCAACCATAGATGTGGCTCACATGAGTTCCAACATATGGATAATAAAACTGAATAAACCTGTTTTCATTTATCTGACAAAGCAAATAACTTCTTTTTTGGTTATTTTCCTAGTTCTTGATGCAACATGTGACACGTCTCACTTCCTGGACTCTCCTCTTTTGCCTTCTGTAATCTTAAGTTTCTCCGAATTTTCCTAGGCCTTATAGTTTCCTTATAGCTGATTCATCTTCTTCTTTCTGTCATCACTTCTCATCCCCAGAGCTTAGTTTTGTTCCTCTGCTCTTTTCACTGTACACTTACTCTTTTAGAACACTTTAGTTTTTCATGGGCATGATTCCAAAATCAACATCTATATTCCTCCTTGTTCATTCAAATGTAGATCCTATACTTCTAACTACCTACAAGAATGCTCTTTGTAAGTGACCTTGCAGCTCCTCAAACTCAAAAAACATTTCATGCAGCAACTTAAAACAATGTAGTCACATTATTCATGTGTCAGTTTGGCAAGATGAATTAGTTTGAAAATACACATTCTGGCTGGGTGCTGTGGCTCACGCCTGTAATCCCAGCATTTGGGAGGCCAAGGCGGGCAGAAGACCTGAGGTCAGGAGTTCAAGATCAGCCTGGCCAACATGGCGAAACTCCGTCTGTACTAAAAATACAAAAATTAGCTGAGTGTGATGGCAGGCGCCTGTAATCCTCGCTACTTGGGAGGCTAAGGCAAGAGAATCACTTGAACCTGTGAGGCAGAGGTTGCAGCAAGCCAAGATCACAACACTGCACTCCAGCCTGGGTGACAGAGTGAGACTCCATTTCCAAAAGAATAAATAAAATAAAAGTAATAAAATAAAATAATAAAAGTGTGGAGAATAAGGCCCCCCTGTGTTCTGTAGGTATGGCTATTTGTTAGTATGTTTATTTGGTAATATTTATTAACATTTAAAAGACATTTATTAAAATTTAAAAGAAATTATTTGACCTAACTCTTCCATTTATTTTATTTAATTAATTAATTAATTTCTTTGAGATGGGGTTTCACTCTCGTTACCCAGGCTGAAGTACAGCGGCGCAATCTCGGCTCACCACAACCTCCGCCTCCTGGGTTCAAGCAATTCTCCTGCCTCAGCCTCCCAAGTAGCTGGGACTACAGGCGCCTGCCACCACGCCTGGCTAATTTTTTGTATTTTTAGTAGAGACAAGGTTTCATTATTTTGGCCAGGCTGCTAGTCTAGAACTCCTGACCTCGGGGATCTACCCACCTCGTCCTCCCAAAGTGCTGGGATTACAGGCGTGAGCCACCGCACCCGGCCAGCTCTGCCATTAATATGAATTTCTCTCAGAAATACATGTTCATAGGCCAGGCACGGTGGCTCACACCTGTAATCCCAGCACTTTGGGAGGCTGAGGTGGGCAGATCATGAGATCAGGAGTTCGAGACCAGTCTGGGCAACATAGTGAAACCCTGTCTCTTCTAAAAATACAAAAAATTAGCTGGGTGTGGTGGTGTGTGTCTGTAATCCCAGCTACTTGGGAGGCTGAGGCAGGAGAATTCCTTGAACCTGGGAGGCGGAGGTTGCAGTGAACCGAGATCACACCATTGTACTCCAGCCCGGGGGACAGTGGGAGCGAGACTTCGTCTCAAAAAAAAAAAAAAAAAAAAAAAAGAAATACATGTTCATAAATATGTTTTAAAATTGCATATAACACTACCCAAATAAATTGGCAGATTCAGTGCAATCTTGATCAAAATATCAATGACATTCTTCACAGAAATAGAAAAAAAACCTTAAAATTTGTATAGAACCCAAAAAGATCCCAAACAGCCAAAGAAATCCTGAGAAAAAAAAAGAACAAAGCTGAAGGCGTCACACTACTAGACTTCAAAATATGCTACAAACCTATAATAACCAAAACAGCAGGGTACTGGCATAAAAACAGACACATAGTCCAATGGAAAAGAATAGACAACCTATAAGTGAATCCATACAGCCAACTGATTTTTGATAAAGGCACCAAGAACACTCATTGGAGGAAAGGACAGTCTCTTCAATAAATGGTGCTGGGAAAACTGGATATTCATATATGCAGAAGGATGAAACTAGGCACTCATCTCTCATCATATACAAAAATCAACTAAAAAGGATCAAATACCTAAACGTAAGAGCTGAAGCCATTAAAATACTAGGAGAAAATACAGGGGAGACGCCTGAGGATATTGGTTTGGGAAAAGATTTTATGAATAAGACCTCAAAAGCACAGGCAACAGAAGCAAAAATAAACAAATGGGATTATATAAAATGAAGAAGCTTCTGCATAGCAAAGGATATAATCAACAGAGTAAAAAGACAGCCTACAGAATGAGAGAAAATATTTGCAAACTATTCATCCAACATGGGATTAATATCCAAATATACAAGGAGCTCAAACATCTCAACAGCAAAAAACCCAAGCAATCTGATTTTTAAATGGTCAAATGATCTGAATGGGCATTTCTCAAAAGAAGACACATAAATGGCCAACAAATATAGGAAAAAATGCTCAACATCACTAATCATCAGAATCAAAACCACAGTGATCCATTTAGGATGGCCATTATCAAAAAGACAAAAAATAAATTCTGGTGAGGTTGCAGAGAAATGAGAACACATACATTGTTGGTGGGAATGTAAATTAGTACAGCCACTATGGAGAACAGTATGGAGGTTCTGGAAAAAACTACAAAGAGAACTACCTAACGATCCAGCAATCCCACTACTAGGCATTTATTTAAAGGAAAGGAAACCAGTATATCAAAGAGCCATCTGCACCCCCAAGTTTATTGCAACACTATTCACAACAGCCAAGACATGAGATCAACATAGGTGGCCCAAAACAGATGAACGAACCATAAAGAGCCATAAAGAAAATGTTTACATACATATTTGAATATTATTCAGCCATAAAAAGAAATCCTGTCATTTGCAGCAACATAGATGGAACTGGAGGTCATTATGTTAAGTGAAATAAGGAGGAACAGAAAGGTAAACACTGCATGTTCTCATTCACATGTAGAAGTTAAAAAAAAGTTGATCTCATAGGAGTAAAAAGTAGAACAGGAGATACTAGAGGCTGTGAAAGATAGAAGGAAGACGGGTATAGGGAGAGACTTGCTAAAGGATACAAAATTACAGCTAGATAGAATAAATAAGTTCTTGTGTTCTATGCCACTGTAGAATGACTATAGTTAATAACATATAGTTTCAAACAACTAGAAGGAGGATATTGAATGTTCCCAACACAAAGAAATGATAAATGTTCAAGATGATAGATATGTTAATTACCCTGATCTGATCATTTTACATTATTATTATGTAACCCAAAAAATATGTAAAATTATTATATGTCAGTTAAAAATGAAGCTGGGCACAGCGGCACACACATGAAGTCCCAGTACTCAGGAAGCTGAGAAGGGAGGATTGCTTGAACCCAGGAGTTTGAGGCTGTAGGGCACTATAATTGTGCCTGAATAGCCACTACACTACAACCTGGCAACATAAGGAGAGACCATCTCAAAAATAAAAATTAAAATTAAAAAAAGAAAAAGAAAAATTTCATACAAGAATTTGCATTGCAGCAATGTTTTGTAGTTGTAAGTAATAATAGTGGCAAAAACAACACCATAAACAATCCTGCTAAATACAGCCAAAATACTTATCAATACAGAATTGGTTAAGTTTAACTGAGTACAGAATTGGTTAAGGATAAGTGAGTACAGTGAAAAACGATGCAGCTTTTAAAAAGAATGAGGCACACCTGGAAAGCTCTAGCTTAAAAATATACTATTAATGGCAACGTAAATAAGAGTTGGTAGTGTATGATCATTATTTGTGTGAAAGAAACTTTTAAGGAAGAATACACAAGAAGCAGTGAATAGTCACTAAGATTTGAGAGTGGGAATGGGAAAAGGAAGAAGATTTTTACTTTTCAATGTAAATCATATTGTATTGCTGAATTTTAAAAAAATACTTTTATTGTTAACATTAGAAAAAAACCACTCCTTTCTTTCCTACAAATTTATCTCCTGGTTTCCCCAATTTCATTTGCATTACTCTTTTAACACCATGGCTTAGGAGTTTGAAATCAGCCTTGATTCCTCTTTCATTTTTGACTGTCTTGTGGAGTCACCAAATCCCCTTCCTCCTCCACAGTGTCTCTTAGCTTCATCTTTCCATCTCCATTAAGGTTGCCTTTCCCTGATTCTGAACTTATTTGCAGTGAGAACGTGGGTAAGCCACTTAATCACCCTTTAATTTGTTCATATGTAAAATAAGAATAATAACTTCTACATAGTGAAGAGGGGTTATTTTAGGATTAAATTATGTAAGAAAACCAAAATTATGGCATAGAGTGTGTGCTCAATAAATACCATTTTCTACTTTCTCTCTAGGGTTTTTTCCTATTGCTACTATATCCTCTAATTCATACTACATGCTGCTATCAAGTTTAATTTTCTGAAATACTGTTTTCATCATTGAATTCCTTTGCTAAGTCCCTTTTGTGCTATGACCCTACTCCGGAATCACAGATTGACTAAACTGGCATCATGACAGCTGGTGAGCTGGTGAGGCTCTTGGAGAATTTCTTCTGAAGGAGAAGAGATGGTTGTTGCTCTTACCATGGATCTGGACTGGCAGAGTTAGGGGTTACCCCTGGAACAAGTTTTCCCACAGTCAAACCCCTTAACATCCATCCTTGAGACCCTTTTGTAAACTCTCCTTGCTGTAATTTGAGTAGAAAGTCATCAGTAAGCAGGGGAAGCCTCAACTGCTCTACTCATTACCCAAGATCTTGCATCAATCAGCTTTACCGTATCTATTTTATTTTCTTTTCCACTTTTCTTTAATTTGATTCAAGTCAATCCATTTCTCTGCAGTCTTTCCCATGCTCATTTTCAAAACAGAAAACTTTTCTTGGTGCAAAAGTTACACATGGTCATTGCAAAAAAAAGCGTTTTTTTCAGGGTAAAATGGAAAGTTCCCTTCTATCACGCCAATTTTACTTGTTAACAAAAAAGCTAACCAAGAGTTATTTATGATAGAAATTTTGGTAGTGTTAGTAGGCTTAGATGAGAAGAGAAACTGTAATTGTTCACCTTTTGTACCTGTTTCAATAGCACTGATCTTTTTTTTTTTTTTTTTAAGGTTTTGGTGAATGTGAGGCAAAAATGCCATTCTCTGGATGTGCTCATAGGACAGATTAAATACTACTATTCCAATTGCTGAACAGAGGAACTAGAAACAAAGAACCTCTAAAATGAGAAAAACAGATAAGCTTTGTATAGGAGATCCCCAGAGCCAACCAAAGATTGGGTAAAAGGAGATACTACCTGGCTCTGCCAGGTATTCAATATTGAATACCTCAGTTTCTCCCAATTGAAGTGTGTAAGAATGAACTGGGGCCTACCTTGCCTCCATTGGCCTTGAACCTTCAGGGCCCTGGTTTCTTCTGCATGTAGATCATTTCCTAGGAACTGCTCTGCCTCCTGAGCCCCAGATACAATATTTCTTGGGATGATCAACGTTCTTACAGATCAGCACTGCTCCTGCCACCAAAATTCTCCATAGGCGCCCTTAAATAAATACAATTCTTACACTTGGTTGTGCAACTGAATTGGTCTTTGATTTATATACACATTAAAAAGTGTATTACTGTGTGGCATATAATTTAGAATTGATTAAATGTGATAGTATGGTCATTAAAACAATACATGGCATCAGACATTTGGTTACAAACATAACCCTGTTATTGCAGCATTGCTCCTATGCGAAAATCACAATATTTTCATTTATTATACCTCTTTGACTAATGCGACCCATTGTAAGTTTAAGTATTTCTTGTCCTAGTGTTACTATTTATAATCATTGAAAGTCTGTTGAATTCATTAAGAAGAGATTGATTATGAGAATATTGCCAACTCTAATGTATTATTTGTCGGGTAATCAAAATTTTAAAAACAGAGAGAGGCCAGGTGCAGTGGCTCATGCCTGTAATCCCAGCACTTAGGGAGGCTGAGGCGGATGATCACGAGGTCAGGAGTTCAAGACCAGCCTGGCCAATGTGGTGAAACCCTGTCTCTACTAAAACATACAAAAATGAGCCAGGCGTGGTGGCATGCGCCTGTAATCCCAGCTACTCAGGAGGCTGAGGCAGGAGAACTGCTTGAACCTGGGAGGCGGAAGTTGCAGTGAGCTGAGATCGCACCACTGCACTCCGGCCTGGGCGAGAGAGTGAGACTCCGTCTCAAACAAAACAAAACAAACAAACAAACAAACAAAAACAAAAAACAGAGAGGGACGAACACATACATTATGGGCAGTAGGGTATGAAAAGGAAGGAAAAATGACTCCCTTTATTGAAAAGAGAGAAGTTTTTCTTCACCATATTAATTAATACTAATTAATAATTGACTTTTATGTACTTGCAGTCAGTACTACATTGCCCTGTTTTAAAAAATAGAAAACAGTATTCCCAATGGCTTTTCTCTTTTGTTCTGTAACATTAAAAATTTTTTACTTTGACACCCTGCTGATCCAATCTAATCCAGCAAGGAAAGGCAGGCAAAGTCAGAGGACAGACCATTGTGAATTTTATATCCCTTTCTAGACACACAACTGTAAGCTCAAAAATTCATTCTCTTATACATTTTACTTGAATTAGTTATCAACTCCAAATTTCATGTTCCACCTCTTTGCATATTTATAGAGCCCTTAAAAGTCTTCAAAACAAGTTCAGTCCTATTGGCTTGTCCTTTCATATTCCAACACTACGTTGTCACATACAAAAGTCTGACTATACAGTGCGTCTTCCAGAGCATATTATTAAGATGCTAAGTGATACCAGGCTCAGCAGTGAAGGCTAAGACCACTTTGGTAACCCTTTCCTAATGTCAAATATTCCTTTTTGTCTTTCCTGTTGGTTTGAAAAAACTCATTTCCTTATATTCAAGTTTTTAGACACTTTTTCTCTGAGTCTGTAAGAGGAAAATTTTTGACAGCAGAAAATATGAATTGAACTTTCTCACATCTATTGTGAGTGTGGGGATAACAACTCAAGATCTCTGGTTTATATAAAAGAAATAAACATCTCTTTTCATGCAATTTTCTTAGCAAGTTTGCTGTGATTGGTCTTTTATCATCCATTCATTCAACATCGATTGATGACCTAAAATGTGCCTTTACCTCAACATTTTCCTAAATCCTATGATAATTTGGTGTTTTGTTTTATTTTACAGCTTTGGGAATAAAACATTGTTTTAAAATTCAAAATAAATTATGTAAATGATAACCCTTATTTATGTTCTTTTTTGGGTAAAACCTAAAGGATTATTGATAGATGATTTCTCTCAATAAAAATTTATAAATACCCCTCAGAGGGCCTTGGAATGACCTTCCTTTCACTTTTCCTGCTGATGAGACTTCAGATGTGGTGGTGCTATTTGAGGTCATATGCACACATGTAACCACTCTAAGAGGATATAGAACAAGATGGAAGAAGCCAGAGTCTGTGAATCATGAAGACCCCATATTAGCCCCAATAAGATATTCTTAGTTTTGTGTTGAATGATACTACCTTCGATTGTAGCCTTGCAACTTGTACAATAAAGAAGTTAGACTCATTAATCCACGGTGTTCAAGACTTCTCAAAAAAATTATGGTTGAATTTTTAGCTAATGAGGAATGTGAATCAATATTAAAACTACATAGTGACGATTTTTTCCCCTAAATGTTCTGGGTGGTTCCAACTTTAAATAATTTATGCTATTTTTCCTGTACTGCATATAAACTGGTAAGACCCTGCAAGATGTTTTGAGTGGAAAAATACTATACAGTTACTGAAGCAGATAGCTTCAGTTGCAAATAACTGAAACTGCAAATCAAATAGGTTTTTGTTTTTTTTTTGAGACGAAGTTTCCCTCTTGTTGCCCAGGCTGGAGTGCAATGGCATGATCTCGGCTCATCACAGCCTCCGCCTCTTGGATTCAAGCGATTCTCCTGCCTCAGCCTCCTGAGTAGCTGGGATTACAGGCATGAGCCCCCACACCTGGCTAATTTAGTAGAGACGGGGTTTCTCCATGTTGGTCAGGCTGGTCTCGAACTCCTGACCTCAGGTGATCCACCCCCCTCGGCCTCCCAAAGTGTGGGGATTACAGGTGTGAGCCACCACGCCCAGCTCAAATAGGTTTTAAAATAAAGAAAGTGTTAAGTCTCAGGCAACTGAAAAGTTCAGAGGTAGGCCTCAGGGAAGGCTTGGTCTGGCTTCATTTCTTTGAGAAATGTCTTGGCTCTGCTATTCTCAGTAATCTCCATCACTAGGTTAGATTTTCCTCATGAGAACCAAGGTAGGGACTTCTATTGCTTCTGATAGAATTTTTAGCTAGATCCATGATTGCCCAGTTAAAGGCTACCTTTCCAAGTCCCATTGCAGTTGGGTGTGAACACATGCCCAGGTCTGGCTAACAGGAGATGTGCAGAAATAAAGTATGTAGTTTCTGAGTCTTTCCCTAAAGAAAAAGAGTGTGCCCTCTTTTCACCATTTTCCTCCTTCTCATTGGATAGAATTTAACCATGGGTAATGCATCACCTTGAATCATACAGTTGAAGGTGATACCTTTAAGGCAAAACCATCCAAATCCTACAGATTAAGGCAGAGCAAGAGGAAAGTTTCCTGGGTCCCTGATACTGTAGAACTGCCATGACAGCCATTCTACAGTTTATGCCTTAACAGTAATGTGTGAAAGAAATATGCATTTTGTTCAAACCACAATTATTTTGGGTGTCTGTAGAGTAGCCAGCCTGGACCCTGGGGGTCTCTGAAACGTTTTTTAGTGTTCCCTGAGGTCAAGACTATGTTTACAATAGTACTGTGATCGGCTGAATAATGCTGGCCTGCAAAGATGTCCATGTTCTAATTCAGGGGACCAGTGGATGGATATGTTACTTTACTTGGCAAAAGGGAATTTGCAAATGTGTTTAAGTTAAGGATCTTGAAATGAGGAGATATCCTTGGATTATCTGGGTGGGCCCAGTGTAATCACAGTGTCTTTATAAGAGAGAAGCAGGAGCATAGAGTCAAAGAAGAAGCTGTGATGACATTACGTTGCTGACTTTGAACATGGAGGGTGGGGCCACAAGTTAAGGAATGTGGGCAGCTTCTAGAAGCTGGCAAAGGCAAGGAAATGGATTCTCTCCTAGAGCCCCCTGAAGGAACCCTTCATGCTGACACTTTGATTTTAGCCCAGTGAGACTGATTTTGGACTTCTAACCTCAGAAGTGTAAGATAATAAATTTGTATTGTTTTAAGCCATTAAATTTGTGTGAATTTGTTACAGCAACAATAGGAAGCTAATGCAGATATTTGAATGCTATTTGTCTTTTTCTCTCTCATTTTCTCCCAAGCATAAAGGGGAGTATTCCAAGGGCTAGATGATATATTCTAACAACACAATGAGTGCATCAGATATTAGGATCTAGCTGTCTTCTATTACACTAGATATTAAAAGTATTTACAAAAATATGAAACAATGCCAATCTTCTCACTAATTTTTGGGGGAGAGACCATTCAGCTGCAGACACCAGCAAAATACCTGGGGACTGGTCCAGTTACCCTTAGCAGTCATCAGTCTAGAATAAAACATTTGAAGGGGGGGATAGGGCTGGGAATGTCATTGTTTTTTCATTTAAAACTATGTTGTTTATATTAACCTGTAAGGGGTTTATTATTGTTATTTATTTTTTAGAAACAGATTCCCATTCTGTTGCCTATGCTGGAGTGTAGTGGTGCAATCACAGCTGCAGCCTCAAACTCCTGGACTCAAACGATCCTCCTACCTTAGCCTCTGGGGTAGCTAGGACTACAGACATGCATCACTATGTCCAACTAATATATATATTTTTTTGTAGAGATGAGATCTCACTATGTTGCCCAGGCTGGTCTCAGACTCCTGGCCTCATGGGATCCTCCCACCTTGGCCTCCCCAAAATGCTGGAATTATAGGCATAAGCCACCATACCTGGCCTAATATTATGTTAAATGAAGTAATAGTTTCAAAGTTCTCAGTGTTAATTTAAATAAAGTAGATATTTATAACTATAACACACATAAATAAAAGTTCTTCGTGGTCCTCAATAATTTTTTTTTTGAGACAGTCTCATTCTGTCACCCAGGCTGGAGTACAGTGGCACAATCTCAGCTCACTGCAACCTCTGCCTCCCAGGTTCAAGCTATTCTCCTGCCTCAGCCTCCTCAGTAGCTGGGACTACAGGCGCACACCACCAGGCCTAGCTAACTTTTGTTATTTTAGGTAGAGGCAGGGTCTTGCCATGTTGGCCAGGCTGGTCTCGAACTACTGACCTCAAGTGATCCACCCTCCTTGACCTCCCAAAATGCTGAGATTACAGGTATGAGCCACTGCACCCAGCTTCGGTCCTCAATAATTTTAAAGGGTATAAAATGATCCTCAGACCAGAAAATTTGAGAATTGCTAATACAGCCTAAACAATGTAGTGGCAAAATTGGCTACAGTAATTTTAGAGAACAAATTCACTCACCAAATCCTATAAAAGAGAGAGCTTTCTCCCAAAATGTCAAATAGAAGTAACAGCTTTCACTCTGGTTGAACCAATTTAGGATCTGTGCCCACTTTTTGTACCAATCATTGTGACAAGGGGCTGGATTACTCAGATGAGTAATCACACCTGGAGCTGGGGGTGGCTCAGTCCCACTTACAATACGTAGCTGCTACCTGGTGGGAGAAGAATTATATGAATGCCAGGGAGTTGGCCATGTTCATTACAGTTACTAGGAAAATAATAATAATGACGACAGCAAGGATATAGCACTTATTGTCAGGCTCTATTCTAAGCTCAATTTTCACAACCACCCAGTAAGAAAAGCAGTATTATTATTTATTGTAGCATGTGATGTACTTCTGCCACCACTTTGAATATATGCTTGAGGAACATCAAAATGTTTAACCTCCCTATGGTTTTGACTGCAGCCTTACCATTAGCATACGCTAGTAGTAGAATGCAGTGGTTAGAGCACAGGCTCTGGGTTCAGACAAATTTACTGACACTGTCCAGATTTTGGCTGAAGATTTTTGCTGAGAAAATGAAGTGGTTCTATAACTGCATAATATCCTTTATAATCTCCCATAGTATTTGTTAGCGAGGAAAAATTGGATTTTAACTTAATAGTCTAATTTAAGTCAGTAGTTAAATTGTCTCTTTAGACTTAAATTTCCATTTCTTTGGAGGCAGTGCTCACTCTGTCAGATTTCTGGCCCCTCTGGTCCTGATGGTGCTAAGTGTTTTGGGGGACAGGTGGGGAGGGGAGTGATGTGAACGTCTGTGGTGGAGGATGGTGAAGTCCTAAGAGTGACATCCTGAGCTGGTGACCACTAAAGGTGTCTGAACCAGTCCCCAGGTATTTTGCTGGTGTCTGCAGCTGAGGAAGGGGAATGGTCTTTTCTCTTGGCTTGGTTAGGTTGTCCTTCTCTTCTCAACACCTCAACCCTGCCTTGGCCTTCACTGGGCCTGAGGGCACCTTGGACATGAATACTTTTGGCAAATTCTCCAGACCCTATACTCACGTCCATGTCATGCTCCCCCAACCTCAAATATCCCATGTGGAAATTGATATCCCCTAGTGCAACTAAAATGAGGCCCCTCCCCTGCCTAAACATGCTGCGTTCTGAATTTACTTCAACATGGCTGCCTCCATGTTGGCACAAGACCAAGACAGTTCATGTGGGTGATTCCTTCCCAGAGTCCTTAGCAGAAAGGGGAACAGAAGCCCCTTTAATTTAGACTTCCTCTCACCTTATCTGTAACTCCTCTTCTCTCAGGGGTATTGGCACAGAGAGGGAAGATTGGGACACATATCTCACCCTGCCAATCTAACTCTGCTCTTCTCTTCACAGACCACTGAGAGAGGACAGAGGGGGCTTTTTCATGTTATCTAGATCTCTCCTCTATGAAAGTCTCTGATCAAGTCTTCCATGTATGCTTCTTGATATGGTAGAGGAGGAGATAAGAAAATTTGGAAAAATCCTTTTCTTTATTGACAAAGCCTGGTGATTTCAAGTCTATTGTCCTGCTAAGGCATTAAAAATCTCAGTTTGGATGTCAAAAGCTGAATATTAACTCTCTCTTTCTTTTTCTTTCTTGTTTTCTTTTCCGCTGTAACAATCCTAAACTTACACCCTCACCTGCTCCCCAGCTCATCCAAGTCCCTCAGTACGCCCCAGGCGCTGTAGGGAGAAGGTTGTATACCTATGACAGAAAAGTATACAACATGAAAATACATATGTGGAAGAAAAGGGCACATTCATACATTTTATAAGGTTTTCCTGTGACATGGACAAACTAGCTTAGAATTCTGGCTTTGTTACCTATTAGTTGTATGCCCCTGGGCAGGTTAACATCTCTAAGCTTTCTTTAGCTTCTTTGCATGTAACACAAAGAAAACAAAAAAGTATCTACCTTATAGATTTGTGATGAGGGTAATATAAATGTATATAGGTTACTTAGCAGAGTTCTTGGTTCTTGGTCAGTGTTCCATAAATGTTATTTATTATATTATTAACACATATGTTTTATCACATGCCTGCCAATATCAGTTATATATGCACCGGATATAACACTTGCAATGTGAAAATACATGCTGATGACTCTATATGTATTGTTCTTGAATTAGCAATTTAGTCTATGCTTGGGATTAAGTTGAACTAAGTTTATATTGTGAGAAAATGTTACTCAATGACTTGTTAAATCACTTTATCAGCATTTTGCTTCCTACCAGTGCCGTCCAGTTTTTATAAACTATGCAAAATAAGATTTCAGAATGTGCTCTCCGTCTCTGGGTTTACTTATTCTGGATATTTCATATAATTGGAATCGTACAATATATGATTTTTTTGGTCTGGCTTCTTTAACTTAGAATGATGTTTTCAAGATTTATCCATTCTTCTGTTGATGGACAGTTGAGTGTTTCCACCTTTTGGCTACTGTAAATAGTGCTGCTATAAATATTTCTGCACCAGTATTTGTTTGAATATGTGTTTTCATTTCTTTGGGGTCTATACCTAGGAGTGGACATACTGAGTTATATGGTAATTCTATGTTTAACTTTTTCAGGAACTGCCAAATTGTTTTGTATAGTAGCTGGACCATTTTACATTGTATAGTAGCTAGACAATTTTACAATGTACAGGGATTCTAATTTCTCCATATCCTTATCAGCACTTGTTATTTTCCATTTTTTTATTACAGCCATCCTAGTGGGTATGAACTGGTATGTCCCTGTGGTTTTGATTTACCTTTCCCTAATGACTAATGATGTTGTTCATCTTTTCATATGCTTTTTAGCCATTTGTATATCCTCTTTGGAGAAATATCTATTCAAGTCATTTACCCTTTTTTTTTTTTTAACAGAGTTGCCTTTTCTTATTGAATTATAAGAGTTCTTTATATATTTTGTATACTAAGTCCTTACCAGATAAGCTTTCTCCCATTATGTAGGTTCCCTTTTAACTTTATTAATAGTATTATTTGATACACAGAAGTTTTTAATTTTGATGAAGTCCAACTTATCCAATTTTTTTGCTGTTTATGCCTTCTATTTTTAAGAATCCATTGCCAAATCCAAGGTTATAAAGATTTACCCTTGGCTGGGCGCGGTTGGGAGGCCGAGGCAGGCGGATCACGAGGTCAGGAGATCGAGACCATCCCGGCTAAAACGGTGAAACCCCGTCTCTACTAAAAATACAAAAAATTAGCCGGGCGTAGTGGCGGGCGCCTGTAGTCCCAGCTACTTGGGAGGCTGAGGCAGGAGAATGGCGTGAACCCGGGAGGCGGAGCTTGCAGTGAGCCGAGATCCCGCCACTGCACTCCAGCCTGGGCGACAGAGCGAGACTCCATCTCAAAAAAAAAAAAAAAAAGATTTACCCTTATGTTTTCTCCCAAGAGTTTTATGGTTTTATCTCTTCAATTTCAGATATTTGATACATTTTCAGTAAATTTTTGTATATGGTGTAAGGTAGGGGTCCAACTTCATTCTCCTGCCTGTGGATATCTAGTTGTCCCAGCACCATTTGTTGAAAAGACTATTCTTTCCCCATTGGATGGTCTTGATACTCTTGTCAAAAATCAAATAACTATTGGTATCCACTCCATTGACTTTTGCACTTTCTCTACCCAGACCAGACCAGATGGACATGTGAACTTAATCTTTTTTTTTAAAGGCATTTCTGATTTAGCATGTGGAATCTATCCATTCTACTTCCCAAATATATCTCATGTGTGCGCTTTTCCCCATATTAACTGCTACCACTCCAGTCCAAGTCTCCATCAACTCTTATCTGGACTCCTATATTGACCTTCCACGAGGTCTCCCCTTTCCTCTCTTTATCATTCCAATTAGTACTCAAATGAGCCGCCAGAGATATAATGTAAAATTAAAATCTCATAATGTCATGTCACTCACTGGTCTTAAATCCTGAATGTTTCCAGAATAAAATTCAAAATCCGTAATGATCCCAAGCCTGCATGATTTGCCTTGACAGTACTTCCTCATTTCTTGTTTAGAAAAATTATACTCCAGCCTCTCCAGACTTCTTTCTGTTTATTGGACTCACAAAGCTCTTTATTGCCTTAAAGCCTGGACTAATGATCTCTGCCTGGAATGTGTACTTCTCTCCACTCTTCATTTAGCAATAATGCATGCTTTAGCTCTGCGCTTACAAAGTCACTTCCATGAAGAAGCTTTTGCTGACTTCCACACCTTTATTCTCTCTCATTGATCTTTGCACTTTTATTTCCTAACCGTTATTATATCATGTACTTATTTATTTATTTGTGTGTGCTCCTTTTAAATGTCCGGTTTCCCCACTAGAATGTAGGCTCCCTGAAGGCAGAGGCATGTGTGTTTTGTGTTGTTACTGTATGTTCTATGCCTAGGGCAGTATCTGGTACATTTAAAAATGATCAATAAATGACTGTTGAACAAATACATAGTCAATACCTGCAAAATAAGAGTGTTTAGTTTATTTATTCTCCAACTCTTCATTAAACATTTGTTGAATCCCTATTAGTCCTAAATGCTGGGAATAAAAATATGAGCAAAATCCTGTCCCTGCTCTTTAGGAGGTCCCAGTTTATTGGGACAGTGCAGTGGACTGAATGGTGGCCAAAATATCAGACCCTAATCCTCCCTAGAACCTGTAAATGTTACAATATTTGGAAAATGGGTCTTTGCAGATATGATTGCAGATATTGAGATGGAGAGATTATCCCTGATTATCCAGGTGGGCCATAAATGCCAATCCTTATAAGAAGGAGGTGGAAGGAGATTTTACACACACACACACAAACACACACACACACACACACACACACACGAGAGAGAGAGAGAGAGAGAGAAGGTCATGTGAAGATGGAGACGGAGATTAGACTGATGCAGCCACAAGTCAAGGAATGCCAGAAGCCCAAGTCAAGGAATGCCAGCAGCCACCAAAGGCTGAAAGAGACAAGGAACTGTTTCTACCCTAGAATCTCTGGAGGGAGTACCGCCCTGTTGATACCTTGATTTTAACACACTAATACTGATTTGAGACTTCTGGCCTCCAGGAGTGGAAGAGAATAAGTACCTGTTCTTTTAAGTCACCCAGACTCCAGTAATTTATTACAGCAGCCATAGGAATAGAATGCAGACAGTGATGCAAGTAAATAAATCCTTGCAGAATAACATTAAATATGGAGGTAAGAATCAAGGTGGTGGATGGTTGCAGAGGAAGGAACTGTCTGGTAGGTGTCTGGGAGGGGTCCCAGAGGCAGAGACACTAAGCTGGTTTTCAAAAGGTAAGCCATCATTTTCCAGGCAGCGTTGGGGTCAGTGCACAAGGAGGTGATTCCTGGCAGGCACTGCAGCATGTGAAAGTCATGGGGACACATAGAGCATGGCCTCTTCAGAGAAACGGAATATCTGGGTTCAGTTGGAGAGTCAGGAAGAGAGAAAAAGTATTAGGCTGTTTTCACATTGCTATAGAGAAATACCTGAGACTGGGTAATTTATTTAAAAAAAAAAAGAAATAAAGAGGTTAAATTGGCTCATGGTTCTGCAGGCTGTACAGGAAGCATGATGCCGGCATCTGCTTGGCTTCTGTGGAGGCCTCAAGAAACTTACAATCATGGCAGAAGGCAAAGTGGAGAAGGCATCTGACATGGCAGGAGTGGAAGCAAGACAGAGAGCGACAGGGGAAGTGCAGCACACTTTTAAACAACCAGATCTCGGGAGAATTCTGTCACAAGAACAGAACCAAGAGGATGGTGCTAAGCCATTCATGAAGGATCCACCCACATGATCCAATTACCTTCCACCAGGCTCCACCTCCAACACTAGGGTTTACAATTGGACCTGAAATTTGGGTGGAGACACAGATCCAAACCATATCCAAGAAGAATGGTGGGAAATAAGGATGGAGAGAATTAAGTTGTGACTGCACTGTGAAAGGCCTTGTATGCCATGGCAATATGCTTAACCTTTCTTCTGTAAGTAACAGGAAACTGATGGAAATAAAGGGATGACTGATTTGTGGAAAGTGAAGCTCTGCAGCAATATAAATAGTGGACTAAAGTGAGGTGAGCGCATCTCAGTTCTGCTAGGAGTTAGATCTAAAGATAAATAAGACATAGTTCTTGCCTTTAAGTAGCTTAGAGACTGTGAAGGAAAACAAATAAGGAAGCAAACACATATTCTATCCCAGATACTCCTTATAAGCCTGCAGCAATCATCTTGTAAGAGATGAGGGACTAAGGCAGTCATAGTAGGGATAGAGAAATGAAGGTATTTGGAAGTCATCTCAATGGTATAAACTAATAGAACTTGGAGACCTACTGAATATGGGGTGTAGGAGAAGAAGAACTCAAGGATGAATCAAAGACTTTAGCTTATGAGGCTGAAAAATACCATTAACAGAATTGCATGGGGGAAAGTTCGAGGAACTCTGGTTGAATTTAAGATGGCTGAGGGATAGCCAAGTGGAAGCTTCAGAAAGATTGTTGGAAACATCAGTTGAGAGTCTAGTTATCAGCAAGAGAAAAGGGAATGAGTAGGCAGACATGTAAAAGAAAAAGATCTGGGTCAGAGTCCCGGACAGCACTAGAACTTGAATACAAAATGTATAGATGGTATCAAGTACCAAAAGAATTGTAAACATGAATGAATGTTCAGGAGTTGTTGAGGCATTGATGACTTTTTGTTGTTTTTGGAGACATGTTCTTGCTCTGTCACCCAGGCTGGAGTGAAGTGGTGTAATCATGGCTCACTGTAGCCTCAAACTCCTGGGCTGAAGTGATCCTGCCACCTCAGTCTCCAGAGTTCCTGGGACTACAGGCGTGCACCACCATGCCTGGCTAATTTTTATTTTTTTTTTTATTTCGTGCAGATGGGTTCTCGCTGTGTTGCTCAGGCTGGTCTCAACTCATGGCCTCAAGCAATCCTCCCATCTCGACCTCCCAAAGCACTGGGATTACAGGCATGAGCCACCATGCCCAACAACATTGATGGCTTAATCCCTTTATTTAAAAAAATGTGTGGTCTCTTATAAACCCATATTGTCCCCAGGCCAATAAACTGGGGAGTTTATTGGCAGCCTATACTTTTGTGCCTGCTGGCCTCTCTAGGACCCAGCTAAGGGTAAGGTTATGTAATTTGGTGAACCTGAACACTCACGTCAATAACCAAACCCTTGATCAAATTATTAAACAATTAATCCAGTGAGCACTTAATGATCCGATCTAATTGGTCAATAGGCTGACCATAATGAAAATCGAAATGCTTCTTTGTCACAAGAATTGGACCAATTCATCATGTCAGTGTTCGTTGAGATAAGCATTCACTGTTTCAGTTATTAACAGGCTTCTGGCAAGATTGGCAGTTACTCTGAAGCTAAATGAGTCTGCTTAAATTAACGAGTGCCAGAACTCATTAACATTTTCAGCCCTCATTGCCTATTCTGGGTGTCACTGGCAGACTTGAGACATGCGCAAGGGAGGGAAAAAGAAGGACGTGAAACAAGGAAAAGAAAGAGAAGATAGGAGAAAAGGAAGAGAAATGGAGACAGGAAAGAATGAAGAGGAGAATTAAGGAGAGAAGCGAAAACAGAGGATCAGAAAAGGAAAAGATTTATCTGAATTTGTTCCTAAAGGGTAGGATGAAATAGTTCAGCCACCGCAAGAGGAAGGCAGTAATGAAGTGCAGTGGGAAGCAAGACTATTTTTTTTTTTTGAGACAGCATCTACCCCTGTTGCCTAGGCTGGACTGCCGTGGCATGATCACAGCTCACTGTAGCCTTGACCTCCCCAGCTCAAGCAGTCTTCCTGCCTCAGCCTCCTGAGTAGATGGGACCACACACAGGTGCGCACCACAACTCCCAGCTAATTTTTAAAAATTTTTTATGGAGACAATATCTCCCTATGTTGCCTAGGCTGGTCTCAAACTCCTGGGCTCAATCAATCCTCCTGCCTTGGTCTCTCAAAGTGCTGGGATTATAGATGTGAGCTACTGCACCTGGTTGAAAGCAAGAATTTTGATGTCAGACAAAGCAAGGCTCTGAGCCCTGGCTCTGTGCACTCTAATTGTGTGACCTTGGACCAGATAACCTCTCTGAGTTTCATTTTCCTCCTCCTGAGAGGTAGTATGGTGCAGAGGTAGAGGTCAGTGTTTATGGAGCTGGGCTTAAATCTTGATTCTGCAATATACCAGCTGCATGATCTTGGGCGAATTATTCTTAACCTCTCTCTGACTCAGTTTCTTCATGTATTAAAGAGGTGATAATAGAATCTGCTTTACGCAGTTGTGACTCTTAAATGAATTAATACTTGTAAATCACATAGCACATTGTGCTTGATAATGTTAGCTATCAACTATAAAATTGAAACAATTAGATTGTAAAATATTTGTGAAAGCTCCTAGCACAGTGCCCGGCCTATGGAAGGTGCCCATAAATTGTGAATCCCCTTCCCTTTTCTCAATTTCTCACGTGCCCCAGATGGAGCTGATGGTAGAAGAATGACTGTTCTTTAACTCTTCTTTCCTCATCAAGTACATCTGAGCCCACTCGGACCAGGCTATTCTGACCCCCATCTGTGTTTCGGTCTCACTTAGCTCTGGGCCAAACAGAGCACAAGCGAGAGAAGGGTTATATAATAGGTTGCTTTTTTCCAAAGCATTCTTAGGAGTAATTACAAATGGTCTGATAAGTTCATAGTTAACTTTGCAGCAGCTTCAAAAGCTCAAGACTTTTTGGACAGTAAACTTGGTATAGCGTGGAACGTTGAATAAAACAGTAACCCAGACGACAGATCTAAGAAGACAGAAATTAAAGTCAATACTGGTAAAACTCAGTAACTAGAAAACCACTGCAATGTTCATCCCTTGGTGTGTGATTTGAGAGCAGAATGTGGAGTAAAAGAGTGAAGCAAATATTTGTGACCCTTTTCTTACTAATGGAAGTATACACCTTTACAGCACGCACACACGCACAAACACACTTCCTTTTCACAAAATTCATTAGCTATGTGAAACCAAACTGTATGTTTTTTTTTAAAAGTCATTCTTTCCATATTTAGCACAATCTTTTCATCCAAAACCTGGGCAGGTATAATAAATCCTAAAGAGACACATCCATGAATGAGTATGGAGAAGTGTGCATGGCGATTTTACTCCCACAATGAGGGGAGCACAGAAACCACTCTCTCCACTTCCCCTAGCCTCCACATCACATCTAGTCTCCAGTGATTTCCATTTACTTTCTTTTCCAGAAAATGTGATTGACACGTAATAATTGTACATACTTATGGGATACAGCGCAATAGTTCCATATATGTATACAATGTGTAATGATCAAATCAGGGTAATTAGCATATCCATCGCTTCTCGCCTTTATCATTTTTTTGTACTGGGAATATACAAAATTGTCTCTTCTATCTATTTGAAAATATAGAATAAATTATTAACGATAATCACTCTATAATGCTAAAGAACACTAGAACTTATTTCTCCAGTTTAGCTATAATTTTACCCTGATCAGAGGACTATAAGAAACCATGGTACCTGACAGTTACCCTGTGGTGCCAGCAAATATAGACAATACTAAATGGTTTAAAGGAGTATCTGGAGTCAAACTACCCGAGTAGGATCCCCACCTCCACCACTTATTAGGGGTATAAATTGTCCAAATTTCATACCTTCTTCTTGTCTATTTTCCCCCATCTCTAAAACAGAGATTTTCCCTATCTCTAGTACCTACCTCATACCCTGCTGTGGAGACTAGAGAGATGAGTAAACTCAATAAATGGTTAGCCCAGGCTCTGCCTCATGATAAGCAGTCAAAAAACAGTTGCTATTCTTTTCAAATAGTTCAGGAGGAAGCCCAAATACCAGGTGGACCGTGGAGAAAATCTTTTGCCCGTTGCCAACAGATGAACTATTTTCCCAATGTGCGGGAGATATTGAGTTAGTCATAAACGCAGCAATGTGTTAATCATGTTGACGTTATCAGGATACGGCTATCTTTTTAAGTGTTTGCTGTGTGCTGGGTTATCTGTCATGAACTGCTGTCGAGGTCACATGTCAGTTGGCTTGGAACTACTGATAAATGTTATTATTAAGTATCTGCTTCTTCCACATACTATGTGGAAGCCTGAGCAGCCTAAGGGATGTGAGGCAACCTGACAAATATTTTCTGGAGAGAAACTTCAGGGAGAAGGATTGTTAACACTTACCAAGCTCAAATTAGGGTGTGGGCAATGGTGGAGCCGTTATGCAGTCGCTCCTACATTTCTGCCACCCAGATGGTCTCTGAAGGATTTAGCTAGGGGAGCATCTCCTCTTTCTTAAATTTGGCCTCTGCTTCTCACCTGGTGATATCATTCAGGAAGGTCAGCTAGAAGGGGAATAAGGATTTTCATGTATTCAGGGCTGACCTCAGCAGGGCCCACCAACTTTTACATGACACGGCATTTAGAGATAAGATATAGTTAGTGGGGGGAGAAAAGAAAAAGATCCTTGTTGGGAGTGTGGAAAGAGCCTGCAGGTGCAGAAAGGGAGAAATTCAGGTGATAGGTAGTGGCACCAGGGCAGATCACTAGTTCCCTGGAGCCAACAGGGTTTTTTTGTTTGTTTGTTTGTTTGTTTTGTCTAAACAGGTTTAAATTGGTTTTAACTGGAATTGAAGTGATGCTTCAACTTTATACATCAAAAATTCCTCTTGTGCATTTCTCATCATTCTGTACTCCTTCTTTGTCCTCACCAAATTAATAAGTCAACATGGGAAATTCATTTGCAGGGAAAAGGTCAACGTTGCCTAAAAAAAACCAGGGTGGGGCAGAGCTTGGTGTCCTTCCATACTCTCCATCCCCTAAAGGTGCTGGGGGGACATCAGTTGGCTTGGGAGGAACTTTGGGGAGTCTGCCTACATCCTTGCCTGATCCCACCTCTCCCTGTCCAGCCAGGACTCTACCCCTCTGCCCCATGTCCAGGGCTTCAGTCTCACCAGCCCCTATTCCCATCCTAGAGCCTTCATAACAAGACTCTAAGTCTGAAGCTTAACACCCATTCCCTTCACCTAGATGACTCTATCTACTCTTCCCCTGAGGCCTTGTCTCATTCTCCCTCCCCAACTTTAAATGAGCTCCTCCTGCATTTATTTTTCACTGCCCCATGCTTTTCCCCTTCTCAGCACTTAACATAATTTAGGTTTGCTTGTTTGTTTTCTTTCTTTATTGCCAGACTCCTGCACTGAAAGTTCCTGGAGGGCAGGTACCATGTCTATCTTAGTCACTCTTTTATCTTCAGGTGCATGGAAGACTTCAATTAATTTTTGTTGAAAGAATGAAAGAACTTGGGTTTTGAGACTCTGTGTATCAAGATTACACTTTGTTGGTACCAGTCAGAAAGTCTGGATGAATTTTTTTTTTAATTCTTTTCTCCAATAAGCAAAGTCTTAGAGGCCCAGAGAGGAGATAATACATTTTTTCCCCGAAACATTTCTCTCAGGGGAAGTCTTAGAAGACTTTGGCCCTAACTATTCTGTGAAAGATTAATAAAAGACAAAGATGCACTTCACAGACCCACATCAGATATGTTCCTTGACGCACAGACTGAACTGGCCAAGAATGCAATAAGCCCAGCCCCAAACCCAAACACCACACACAGTCTATGAGTGTTTATTTTTTTTTTAGAGAGGCAGGGTCTTGCTATGTTGCCCAGGCTGGAGTACAGTGGCTATTCACAGGCTCCATCCAGCACACTACAGCCTTGAACTCCTGGGCTCAAATGACCCTCCTGCCTCAGCCTCCCAAGTAACTGGCACTACAGGTATGTGCCACTGTGCCTAGCTGATTCTATGAGATTTTAACAGACATGCGGTTTGACAATGCATACTGAGTTTAACTGCACCCACCACCACCACCACACCACACTCCTCCCAGTATAAATCAACCGCCAACCTAGATATAAACATGAGGGAAGGAGAAAAATAGCCAAAAAGAAAGGGGAATCTGATATAACACAAAGGACAGGAATGCAGAAGCTGCTAGCTAAATTTTAACCTAAGTATTTTCAGATGTATAAGGACAGTAGTAGTATTCCTTGGGATTGGAGACAAGACGGCTATCAATCTAGGAACAAGCTTGTGTGGCTGCATGCGGCCCAGGATGGCTTTGAATGCAGCCCAGCACAAATTCTTAAACTTTCTTAAAACATTATGAAATTTTTTTGCCATTTTTTTTTTAGCTCACTGGCTATCATTAGTGTTAGTGTATTTTATGTGTGGCCCAAGACCATTCTTCTTCTTCTAATGTGGCCCAGGGAAGCCAAAAGATTGCACATCCCTGATCTACAGACAACATTGAGGGTTTGTTGAGGAGCGGGGAAGGGGTTTCTCTCCTAGGTGCCTTGTGTTTTGCTAGTTTGTAGCAAGGCAATGATGGAAGGGGCACATCAGAGAACATGCACGTGTAGCTGACGTAAGGTAACTGGCTGGAGCCACCAGTTCACCAAGTACCAGGTACACAGCAGGTGCTCAGGACATTTCCTGAATTGTAAAATCCAATCAATAATTCTCCAGAGCCTGTAGCTATTTTTTCCTCGATCAGTCTGAAGTCCTATTTAGTGTATGTCAAAAGGAACATCACCCCCTAAAAAATGAACTGCCACCTCCATACTCTGCTTCATACTTTGGCTGAAATTCTTACCTTCATAGTTTGTCTGAAATTGTTCTTTCAGAATAAGCCCAAGAGCTCCCTACAATCTCCATTAATTTTTTTTAACTCATGTGCATTAGTCCATGAATGCCAATTAGCTCTGGTGAGTTGATAAGACTTCTGCAGCAGAGTAGGACCCAGAGGGTAGGGTAAGCAGTGAGTAATAGGGAAGTGGGGAAAGACTTCTCATTTCACCCACACTTCAGCCTGATAAGGGAGGGAGGGCAAATACTGCCTCCATTTTACAGTTGAGGCAATTGAGGCTCAGAGAGTTAAGTGACTGGGCTGACACCACAGAGATATAGAGTCCTGAAGCCCAGGACAGTGGTATTTCCATCGTGTTGCCTCCACCTGATACTTGCTTGGTTTGTGCTGAGAATTTCAGAGAAATACTTAGTGATTGTCCATAGCTCAAGAGCACCCAAGAAATGTTAGTTTCCCCTGAAACCCTTGCAGCTCCTGAGCACTGAATGGCCACCTGCCAACAAGAGCTAACTGAGAAACAAATGAATATTGTCCAGGCGGGATCGGACACAGGATATGATGATTGCCATTAATTTTGTATTAAGTGATTGATATAATAAATTGCATCAATCTGTTAAATATTCATCCGGCACATATTTAGTGATCTCCTACTGTGTGCCAGGCACTGTTTTAGGCCCTAGAGATATAATAGTAAATAAAAGAGTTTAAAAAACCATCTTTGATCTCCTTAAGTTTATATTCCAGTGAAAGCAGACATCAGGTAAACAAAACAAATAAGTTACATTTACTAATGGCAGATGGAGATAAGCGCTATGGATATAAGTGAAGCGGGAAAGAGGAATGCAGAGTATGGGGAGGGGAAGATGATGGATGTGATTTTATATTGCATGATCAGTGATGGGTCTTTAATATGGTGATCTTTGAACCAAGTCTGGTGGGAAGTGAAGGAGTAAGCCACGAGGAGATGTGGGAAGAGTGTTCCAGGCAGAGAAAACAGGAGATACAAAGACTGCACTCCAAAAAAATTAATGATGGCCGGGCGCAGTGGCTCATACCTGTAATCCCACACTTTGGGAGGCCGAGGCGGGCGGATCACAAGGTCAGGAGATCGAGACCATCCTGGCTAAAAATTAGCTAGGCGTGGTGGCAGTTGCCTGTATTCCCAGCTATTCGGGAGGCTGAGGCAGGAGAATGGTGGGAACCCGGGAGGCGGAGCTTGCAGTGACCCAAGATGGAGCCACTGGACTCCAGCCTGAGTGACAGAGGGAGACTCCATCTCAAAAAAAAATCACAAGCATTCTTATACACCAATAACAGACAAACAGAGAGCCAAATCATAAGTGAACTCCCATTCACAATTGCTTCAAAGAGAATAAAATACCTAGGAATCCAACTTACAAGGGATGTGAAGGACCTCTTCAAGGAAAACTACAAGCCACTGCTCAGTGAAATGAAAGAGGACACAAACAAATGGAAGAACATTCCGTGCTCATGGATAGAAAGAATCAGTATGGTCAGTATCGTGAAAATGGCCATACTGCCCAAGGTAATTTATAGATTCAATGCCATCCCCATCAAGCTACCAATGACTTTCTTTACAGAATTGGAAAAAACTACTTTAAAGTTCATATGGAACCAAAAAGGAGCCCGCATTGCCAAGTCAATCCTAAGCCAAAAGAACAAAGCTGAAGGCATCATGCTACCTTACTTCAAACTATACTACAAGGCTACAGTAACCAAAACAGCATGGTAATGGTACCAAAACAGAGATATAGACCAATGGAACAGAATAGAGCCCTCAGAAATAATACCACACTTCTACAACCATCTGATCTTTGACAAACCTGAGAAAAACAAGCAATGGGGAAAGGATTCCCTATTTAATAAATGGTGTTGGGAAAACTGGCTAGCCATATGTAGAAACTGAAACTGGGTCCCTTCCTTACACCTTATACAAAAATTAATTCAAGATGGATTAAAGACTTAAACATTAGACCTAAAACCATAAAAACCCTAGAAGAAAACCTAGGCAACACCATTCAGGACATAGGCATGGGCAAGGACTTCATGTCTAAAACATCAAAAGCAATGGCAACAAAAGCCAAAATTGACAAATGGGATCTAATTAAACTAAAGAGCTTCTGCACAGCAAAAGAAACTACCATCGGAGTGAACAGGCAACCTACAGAATGGGAGAAAATTTTTGCAATCTACTCATCTGACAAAGGGCTAATATCCAGAATCTACAATGAACTCAAACAAATTTACAAGAAAAAAACAACCCCATCAAAAAGTGGGTGAAGGATATGAACAGACACTTCTCAAAAGAAGACATTTATGCAGCCAACAGACACATGAAAAAATGGTCATCATCACTGGCCATCAGAGAAATGCAAATCAAAACCACAATGAGATACCATTCTCACACCAGTTAGAATGGCAATCATTAAAAAGTCAGGAAACAACAGGTCCTGGAGAGGATGTGGAGAAATAGGAACACTTTTACACTGTTGGTGGGACTGTAAACTAGTTCAACCATTGTGGAAAGCAGTGTGGCAATTCCTCAAGGATCTAGAACTAGAAATACTATTTGACCCAGCCATCCCATTACTGGGTATATACCCAAAGGATTATAAATCATGCTGCTATAAAGACACATGCACACGTATGTTTTTTGTGGCACTATTCACAATAGCAAAGACTTGGAACCAACTCAAATGTCCATCAATGATAGACTGGATTAAGAAAATGTGGCACATATATACCATGGAATGCTATGCAGCCATAAAAAAGGATACATTCATGTCCTTTGTAGGGACATGGGTGAAGCTGGAAACCAGCATTCTCAGCAAACTATTGGAAGGACAAAAAAACCAAACACCGCATGTTCTCACTCATAGGTGGGAATTGAACAATGAGAACACTTGGACACAGAAAGGGGAACATCACACACTGGGGCCTGTTGTGGGGTGGGGGGAGTGGGGAGGGACAGCATTAGGAGATATACCTAATGTAAATGATGAGTTAATGGGTGCAGCACACCAACATGGCACATGTATACATATGTAACAAACCTGCACGTTGTGCACGTGTACCCTAGAACTTAAAGTACAATAAAAGAAAAAAGAAAAAAAATTAGTGACATATGTTTAAGAGAATCCTGAGTAAGAAATGTTCAGTTTGGTGGTTCCTATGGATGTAGTTTTTGATGACGAGGGAAAAAATACTTAGTTAACAGATAAGACTACAATTTAAACATTTGGCCTATAATTACCAGAGAAGAAATCAATATTTGAGTCTTGGACTATGATTTAAATAGGAAATTATCTTTTTAAATAACATTCATTAGGAAAAGCTTTAACTTATTAATTATTTACTGACTGAGAAGTGTTGCATAATGTATTGATCAAACCAATTCTTTCATATTTTAGAGGTGTTTGCATTCATCCTGCAGTATTACATAGGGCAAAGGTATTGTGAACATACACAGATCTTGTGATATAATTGTTTGTCTCAGTGTATGATGGACACGATTTGGTTCCATCCAAACCCCATGGAACTCACCCCAGCAGTCTTCCAACTTGGAGGAGAAATGCATCTGTGAATATTATTTCGCACATCTTGGGTTTCAGTGCAGCTCAACAAGGTACAGACACCACTGTGTCTTAATGGCTGGGGGATAGCGACTGCAGGTTTTAAAGATAACCTCAATGCTTGGTCAACTTAGGCTGCCGTAGATTTGGTCTGCTTACTCTAGACAAGGCCTCCAGTCTCCTTGGTTTAACAAACATTTACTGAGCACCTACTCTGTCTAGCAACTGTGCTGAGTGTTAGGGATACAACCAGAGACAAGGCAAAAATGGTGCTTGCTTTTACAGGGCTTCCATCTCCAGGAAAATATAGGCAATAAACAGGTCTATCAATGAACACACGAGAAAAAGCTGAAGACCGTGATCAGTGAAGCACACAAACGGGGCATGGTGATAGAGAAAAACAGTGGGCACGCAATCTAGCTTGGGAAAATGAGGTAGCACCCCTTTCAGGAGGTGATTTCAGCAGAGACCCGCAGGTACAAGGACACCACCCAGGCGAGGAGCCAGAAAGAGCAGCCGCAGCAGGTGGAGCGCATGGGCAGAGGGGCGGTGGTGGGACACGCGACTGTTTGGGATTGAGCGAGGCCACCTAAGCAGATTGCGGTGAGTGAGCGCGGAATGACGTCACTGACCTCCAATCAACTGTCACATGAAAATACCAAAAGCGGCAGTGTTCCTTTAGTCATGTGGATCACGCGGATCCAAAATGGTTTTTACAAGAGCTAAGAATGGGGTTTGCCTTTGTCTTATGAAGATCATAAGATACTTATGATCACAGATTGCTTAGGGATGTAATTTACACACAATAAAATTGAGGTATTTTATTGTACAGTTCTATGAGTTTTGACAGTCATATACAGTGTTGCAGTTACCACAACAATCGAGATACAGAATGTTTGCCTCACCCAGAAAAATTCCATTTTGTAGTTGCAAACTCTGTCCTCTGCCCCCAACTTCTGGCAACCACTGATCTGTTTTCTGTTCCTAGAGCTTTTGCCTTTTCCAAGAATTTCATATAAATGAAATCATATATTACAGAGTGCTTTTTGAGTCTAACTTCTTTCACTTAGAGATTTATCTATGCCCTGTGTGTATCAGTAGTTTGGGCCTTTTTATTTGCTAACTAATTAATATTTCAGTGTATGGATGTATTGTATCAGCCTCCTGTTGAAGGGCACTGGGTTGTTTTTGTTTTTTGGCAATGATGAGTAAAGTCAGTATCAGTATTTGTATTGTGTGTGTGTGTGTGTGTGCATATATTTTTATTTTTCTAGGCTAAATATTTAGGAGTGGGATTGCTGTGTCATATGGTAACATATATTTAACTTTATTTAAAAAGTGCCAAACTGTTTTCCAAAATGGCTGTATCAATTTGCATTCCCACCATTAATGTATAAAGTTCAGGTTAGCACTGGAACAAATCCAGTTAGCACAAATCTTTTTTGTTTGGTTTGTTTTAAAGGTAATTAAGATTTCCTTTCTTTTCTGTATCTCTTATTTATTAAATTTGCAACATTCGCTTCTCTCTTTCTTTTCTTTTTTTTTTTTTTTTTTTGAGATGGAGTCTTGCTCTGTTGCCCAGGCTGGAGTGCAGTGGTGTGATCTCGGCTCACTGCAACATCCACCTCCCTGGTTCAAGGGATTCTCCTGCCTCAGTCTCCCTCGTAGATGAGATTACAGGCTCCTGCCACCACGCCTGGCTAATTTTTGTATTTTTAGTAGAGAAGGGGTTTCACCATGTTGGCCAGGCTGGTCTCGACCTCCTGACCTCAAGTGATCCGCCAGCTTCGGGCCTCCCAAAGCACTGGGATTACAGGCGTGAACCACTGTGCCTGGCCTGCAACTTTCACTTCTGGATTGGCAGAAGCAAGGGACCTTCAGCTGGTACCATCTGTTTTCAGTTTATGATCCCATTTTAATTTCTTCTACTGTTATTCACACAATATGTTACATTCTTTACCCGTTTCCTGACGGCATAGACTCCAGTCCAGAAGTGAATATTGCATTGAATTCTATGCTGTCTGGAGATGGGTAGAGAATGCAACATATTGTGTGAATAACAGTAGAAGAAATGGAAACAGGATCACAAACTGAAAGCAGATAGTAGGAGCCGAAGTTCCCCTGCTTCTGGCTCAGCCACCCCTGAGTCCTGGCCTGGTTTGCAGTAGGCTTAGGGTGCCAGTAGGCATAGGGTGCCAGCCTGGCAGGTGGTACTTTGGGCTGCTCCAGCCACATGGTTCAGGGTCAGACTAAGACAGATGAGTAGTGCAGCCCAGGAGACTGGAATTTGATGGCCCAGGCCCTGCATAAGTACCATAAGTACCTGTAATTGGAGAGCAGATCTTGGCAGCTTGAGGACTCAGCTATGCTGTTTGGGAGTCTCTAGGGTGACAATTGTGTGGCTTCAAATATACATCTTGAATGCCTGTGCACTGAAATGTCCTATGCTGGGGAACTAGCTCCTAAACTGTGTATCTGGAGTTGCCATCCAGTTTGAGGTGCCCTACGGATCACATGAACTGGATTATTGCTCAACTTACCCTCCACTTTATGCTACATAAATTAGCCTCCCTAGGAGGGTGGAATTTAGTGGATACAATAGACATCAAATTACCATGACATGTCTAAGGGACTAAGTGACATAGTGGTATCTGGGTCATATTATCTGAATCACAAATAAGGAAATATGATTTAAAAATGATTTTGAGGGACTCTGTATATTTTATTACAATGTTTATTCACTTACCATTTTGAGGAAACATTTGAATTTCTAGGACATTGTGGCAATTTTTTGAAAACAAAGAGACAATATTTTAAATTAGCAAGACAGTTCTGGAAAAATCTAAGGTGTATGCTCGTCCTACAGGACAGATCTAGAGCCACTTGTCCTGCTACCTTTATGGCAATGGTAGGGCTAGAGGAAATACACAAAGCTCTGGGGTAAACTGGATTAACCAAACTTATGGTCATTGTTAACTGTATAGGCTTTGGAGTCACAGGAACTTGGATCCCAGTCTTGGTTCTGCCCATCTCTACTAGTCGTGTTGGGTAATTTTCTTTACTTTTAAAGGCTCAGTTTCTTCATGGAAGTTAATGTGGGAATATAATGTGACAAGAGTTGTAGTACTCAGTACAGTGCATGGTAAAAGCAAGAGCTCACAGTTAATGATAGCTATGATAATGATTTTTTTCCTTCTGTAGCTATTACACCCCCTAGTAATTCTGTGAGTTTTGACAGTCATACACAGCGGTGTAGTTACCACCACAATCAAGATACAGAATGGTTCTATCACCTGGAAAAATTCTATTTTGTAGTTGCAAACTTTCTCCTTCACCCCTAGCTTCTGGCAACCACTGATCTGTTTTCTGTCCCTAGAGCTTTTGTCTTTTCCAAGAATCCGTAGATATAGGGAGAAGGGAATATGAAATTTAAAACTAGCTGATTTAGATGACAAGGATGCAGAGGATTTCTTTTTTTGGACCACTAAAATCTTTTATATTTTCCACTTGTTCCTCCAGTTTGACAGATAAAGATATTTGGAATGCCATTATTGAAATTGCTAGCTTTATTAATTTTCTTTCTGAAGTGTGAATTACCACAACTAGTGGTTTAAAACAACACAGATATATTATCTTACAGCTTTGTATGTAAGAAGTTTGACACAGTTCTCACTAGGCTAAAATCAAGGTGCTGACATGGCTATGTTCCTCTCTGAAGGCTCTAGGGAACAATCTGTTTCCTTCCCCTTTCCAATTTCTAGAAGCTGCCCACATTTCTTGATTTGTGGTCTTTTCCTTCATCTTCAAGGCCAACCATGGCAGATCACATCCTTCTCATATTGCTTCTCTCTGACCTACTTTTTTCTGTTTTCTAATTTTAAGAACTCATGTAATTAAATTGGGCTAGCCTAGGTAATCCAAGATAATCTCCTCATCTCAAGGACCTTAACCCTAATCACCTCGGAAAGTCCGTTTGCAATATACCATTATATGTATACAGATACATTATCCATACCTATGTATTAATCCAAAAATGAGAATGACACCCAAGTAACCATAAAAACTGACATTTTTTTAATTCAACAACTCTTATTAGAGAAATCTCAAATAAGAGTGATTTTATTATGTTTTCCATTTAAATAACTCAATCATTGAAACACTTAAATAGCCACTTTAAATTATGCTTGAAAGACAAACTAACTGACCACTCCAAACTACATTAAGATAAAAAATTCGTTGTCTTGGAGTTCAAGACCACCCTGGGCAACATGGCGAGACCCCATCTCTACAAAAAAATACAAAATTTAGCGAGGCATGGTGGTGTGCACCTGTAGTCCCAGCTACTTGTGGGGCAGGGGTGGGAGGATGGCTTGAGCCTGGGAGGTAGAGGCTGCGGTGAGCTGAGATTGTACCACTGTACTCCAGCCTGGGTAAGCAGAGTGAGACCTGTCTCAAACAAACAAACACACACACACAGAAACCTACTCATTCACATGTACAACTTCTGCACACATCTCTCACTGTACACATACTTGTGCTATTTTTCAAAACTGTGAAAAGAAGAGTGGGCTGTTTCCATGGTGTTGCACTTGAGGAGTCTTGCTCAACTGCAGCTGGAGAGCATAATCCTCCAGTTGATAGAACTGGAGAAGGCTCTCCCTCTCCCTCTCCCTTTCCCTCCCCCTCCCTCTCCCTTTCCCTCCCCCTCCCCCTCTCCCCTCTCCCCTCTCCCCACTCCCCTCTCCCCTCTCCCCTCTCCCCTCTCCCCTCTCCCCTCTCCCTCTTTCCACGGTCTCCCTCTGGTGCCGAGCCCAAGCTGGACTGTACTGCTGCCATCTGTGCTCGCTGCAGCCTCCCTGCCTGATTCTCCTGCCTCGACCTGCCGAGTGCCTGCTATTGCAGGCGCGCGCCTCCACGCCTGACTGGTTTTCGTGTTTTTTTGGTGGAGACGGGGTTTCGCTGTGTTGGCCGGGCTGGTCTCCAGCTCCTAACCGGGAGTGATCTGCCAGCCTCGGCCTCCCGAGGTGCCGGGATTGCAGAGGGAGTCTAGTTCACTCAGTGCTCAATGTTGCCCAGGCTGGAGTGCAGTGGCGTGATCTCGGCTCGCTACAACCTCCACCTCCCAGCCGCCTGCCTTGGCCTCCCAAAGTGCCGAGATTGCAGCCTCTGCCCGGCCGCCACCCCCTCTGGGAGGTGAGGGGCGTCTCTGCCTGGCCGCCCATTGTCTGGGATGTGGGGAGCCCCTCTGCCCGGCTGCCCGGTCTGGGAAGTGAGGAGCGTCTCTGCCCGGCCGCCATCCCATCTAGGAAGTGAGGAGCGCCTCTGCCTGGCAGCCCATCGTCTGAGACGTGGGGAGTGCCTCTGCCCCGCCGCCCCGTCTGGGATGTGAGGAGCGCCTCTGCCTGGCCGCGACCCCGTCTGGGAGGTGAGGAGCGTCTCTGCCCGGCCGCCCCGTCTGAGAAGTGAGGAGCCCCTCCGCCCGGCAGCTGCCCCGTCTGAGAAGTGAGGAGCCCCTCCACCTGGCAGCCACCCCGTCTGGGAGGTGAGGAGCGTCTCCGCCCGGCAGCCGCCCCGTCCGGGAGGGAGGTGGGGAGTCAGCCCCCGCCCGGCCAGCCGCCCCGTCCTGGAGGGAGGTGGGGGCGCCTCCGCCCGGCCACCGCCCCGTCCCGGAGGTGGGGGACGCCTCTGCCCAGCCGCCCCTTCTGGGAAGTGAGGAGCCCCTCTGCCCGGCCGCCACCTCATCTGGGAGGTGTACCCAACAGCTCATTGAGAACGGGCCATGATGACGATGGCGGTTTTGTCTAATAGAAAAGGGGGAAATGTGGGGAAAAGACAGAGAAATCAGATTGTTGCTGTGTCTGTGTAGAAAGAAGTAGACATAGGAGACTCCATTCTGTTCTGTACTAAGAAAAATTCTTCTGCCTTGGGATGCTGTTGATCTATGACCTTACCCCCAACCCGGTGCTCTCTGAAACATGTGCTGTGTCCACTCAGGGTTAAATGGATTAAGGGCGGTGCAAGATGTGCTTTGTTAAACAGATGCTTGAAGGCAGCATGCTCGTTAAGAGTCATCACCACTCCCTAATCTCAAGTACCCAGGGACACAAACACTGCGGAAGGCCCCAGGGTCCTCTGCCTAGGAAAACCAGAGACCTTTGTTCACTTGGTTTTCTGCTGACCTTCCCTCCACTATTGTCCTATGACCCTGCCAAATCCCCCTCTGTGAGAAACACCCAAGAATGATCAATAAAAAAAAAAAATAGTAACTGGAGAAGGCTCAGTTGGAGTTGTTGAGGAGGTATAAACAACACTTTTAAATTTAATTTAATTTTATTTTATTTTATTATTTTTTGAGACAGGGTCTTGCTCTGTCACCCAGGCTGGAGAGCAGGGTGTGATCTCAGCTCACTACAGCCTTGACTTCCTGGGATCAAGCCATCCTTCCACCTCAGCCTCCCAAGCAGTCAAGACTACAGGCACACACCACCATGCCCAGTTAATTTTTTAATTTTCTGTAGAGACCGGGGTTTTGCCATGTTGCCCAGATTGGTCTTGAACTCCTGGACTCAAGGGATCTACTTGCCTCAGCCTCCCAAAGTGCTGGGATCACAGGTGAGAGCCACCGCACCTGGCCTGCTTTTATTTTTGAATAGTAGACTTCTTTTCTCTCTTTGGCTACTTTATCAAAACTTCAAAGGAGTTCCCACTTCTTTTGATAGTCACAGCAACCTGATTCATGGAGAAAACAAAAAAGATTAAGGGAGATGAAGTGGTGGTTATGGGAAGGGGCACATGTGAATAAACTTATTGAGTAACCCCACTTCTTAGGACAAAATCATCCAAAACACATATTCTTTTCCTTATGTACCATTCTTTACTATGCTAATAAATACATACATAAATAAATAAATGTGTTGTCAACTACTTTCTCTAATCTGCGTCTTGAATAGTTTTTCCAAGACTGATACATTTGAACTCATATCTTTCCCAATACTCCATGTGTCACAGAACCTGTATTTGTATCATGGCTGGCCAGAGGGGATTTGTAGTCTACAGCTGAAGAATGGAGTAAAGATTACAGGTAAATTAAATGAGGTCAAGTAAAGCCCCTATGTTAGAAAAAGGCATACTGTAATAAATATAAGTTATTTTGCAGCTGGGTGCGGTGGCTCACGCCTGTAATCCTAGCACTTTGGGAGGCCAAGACAGGCAGATTGCCTGAGCTCAGGAGTTCGAAACCAGCCTGGGCAACATGGTGAAACCCCGTCTCTACTAAAAATACAAAAAAATTAGCCAGGCATGGCAGCGTGTGCCTGTAGTCCCAGCTACTTGGGAGGCTGAGGCTGGAGAATTGCTTGAACCCTGGAGGCGGAGGTTGCAGTGAGCCGAGATCATGCCACTGCACTCCAGCCTGGGTGACAGAGCAAGACTCCGTCTCCAAAAAAAAAAAAATATATATATATATATATGTGTGTGTGTGTGTGTGTGTGTGTGTGTGTATACATATATATTTATGTGTATATATATGTTATTTTGCACTCCTGTTGCCCACCATTTATCACGCATGGCAGATCAGATCTGGCCTTACATAGGGTGCTTGGGGATTGTGGTCGTTGGATTAACAGCTGCTGGCAGTAGACAGATGCAACTTCCTTCCATTAACATCTGAAAGGCTAGACCTGGGCTCACTTGACACAAACATTTCCCAGTAACATAGAGGTTTTTGGATCACCCCAGGTCTTCCACAGCCAGCCCCCAGATCTTGGGTGCATCTGTGGGCAGTGGAGCCCCGTGCTTGGAAATGTACTGCTCTAGGGGATGTGAGCATGTCAGCATCGAAGACATCATTGCTGTGAGAGCAGAAGCTGGAATGGAGACCAGTTCAGATGGCTCCTGGTTTTTCCTACTTGTATTTTTCCTTCCTGGGCCTATCACATCCAGAAGTGAGCCTTACTCCAGCTGATGACTGTAATGAAATGTAACTATGCAGGAAAACTTGCCATTTCATCATTCCACTCTGGAATCTTTCCATGAGGCCCCATGGACTGGGATGTTTGACTTTTTCACCTTTCAAATCACTTCCCCGACTCTAAAACCCCAACCTCTCCAGTATGGGTAGGGCAGTATGGTGGGTGTGGACCAAATGAACTTTAACATGGGTGAGGTCCATGTCTAGAAGCTTAGTATTACTCACTTAAATGATGTTAAACTGGAATTAGGGCTGGGAAAATTGAAAGGTGAGGATGAGGAGGAGAGAGTATAAGGATGCATCTTTATACTCAAGAAAACAGAGGCATAGTCGTGAGTTTTTGCACTGGACGTCAATAAGGTCGGTTTATAGAGAGCATTCACTGATGCTCTAAGTGCCAGTCATTCAATAACTATTTATTGGGCACTGACTTAGGGTCAGACTGTTCTATGTACTAGGGAATAAAACAGATGGAACTTTCAAGTTTACATTCTAGTGAGGGGCGCCGATGAAGCATAAATAAGTTATGAACAGAGTAAAGTGATTCAGACTGGAGAAAGAGAAACTCAAGCTGACATCTGCCTGTTAAGAAGGAGCCATTTATGTGAAGTGCTGGTAAATAGTATTCCAGGAAGACAGAAGAGCAAGCGAAGGCCCTGGACTAATAGAAAGCCAGGTGGTCTTCAGCAACAGGAAAGGGCCAGTGAACTGGAAACTTTTACACCTGAGACTCTGTTTTGTTTTGTTTTTAAATTGTGGTAAAATATACATAAGATTTACCATTTTAGGCTGGGTGTGGTGGCTTATGCCGGTAATCCCAGCACTTTGGGAGGCTGAGTCGGGCAGACCATCTGAGGTCGGGAGTTGGAGACCAGCCTGGCCAACATGGTGAAACCCCATTTCTACTAAAAATACAAAAAAAAAAAAAAACCCAAAAAATTAGCCAGGCGTGGTGGTGGGCGTCTGTAATCTCAGCTACTTGGGAGGCTGAGGCACAAGAATTGCTTGAACCTGGGAGGCGGAGGTTGCAGTGAGCCAAGATCATGTCACTGCACTCCAGCCTGGGTGACAGAGCAAGACTGTCTCAAACAAAACAACAACAATAACAACAACAACAACAGCAACAACAAAAAGATTTACCATTTTAATCATTAAGTATATATTGATTATACATTTTCAGTGGCATTAAATACATTCACATCATTGTGAACCACTATCTGTCTCCAGAACTTTTCCATCATCCTAAACAAAAACCACCCATTAAATGGTAACTCCCCAGTCTTCCCTCTCCCCAGCTCCTGGCAACCACTATTCTACTTTCTGTCTCTGTGAATTTGACTACTCAAGGTAGGTGGAATCATACAAATTTGTCCTTCTGTGTCTTGCTTATTTTATTTAGCCTAATGTTTTCAAGGTTCAACCATGTTGTAGCATGTGTCAGAATTGGATTCCTTTTTAAGGCTGAATAATGTTCCATTGTATGTTTATTCCACATTTAATTTTTCCATTAATGGACATCTGGGTTGTTCCTACCTTTTGGTTTTGTGAATAATGCTGCTATGAACATTAGTGTTGAGACTCAGGTTTACATTGTTAGACTCAGTAGTCTCATTTAACTCTTGCAATGAATGCATGGAATTGAAACACAGGTGAATCATGTTTTAAAAAAACAAAGTGGGGCCGGGAATGGTGGTTCACGCCTATAATCCCAGCACTTTGGGGGGTCGAGGCAGAAGGATTGCTTGAGGTCAGGACCAGTCTGGACAATATATTGAGACCCTGTCTCTACCAAAGTAGATAAATAAGTGACTTGAGTGTATGTTCCCCATCACTAAGATTTATAGTTTACATAGTTCTTTGACTTATTTTGTTAGTTGACTTAGTATTTCTATGCATTTCTATATATTGACTGGGTATAATTATAAAGAATATTCATTAAGTCTAGGGATTGCATTTTGAAATCATTGTAATTATTTTCTTTCTTCAAGTGTTCAAGGTAAAGCATATAATTAAAAAATAAACATTTAAAAAATTGCCTAATGTGGAGAAGTGCCAGGAATATCTTGGTCTCTAAACTGACCCAGAGCACATCACTCAAGCTCAGCCAGAATACTCCAGTGTAAGAGGGTAAGAGTATGGCTCTTACTGTAAGGAAACCGAAAAAAAAAAAAAAAAAGAAACGTGAGTTATATTCATGTGACTGTGCTTGTATCTACAAAACTGTGACTGAGTTGAGAAAATACGCTGTTAGCCATGTTTTCCCCAAAATCATTGCACTGTGTTTTGACATTGGGGCTGAAATTTTCATAAGCCCCACTCTACCCCACACCCAGGATGATGAGGAACAGAGATGCCCATTTCACCATTCACGTATGGGTGGTTTTCCAAGGTGCTCCTCAAGAAGCCTTGGACATTTAAGTCTACATCTGATATTTATCTAATGAATAATGTGGTTTACATAAGGAACCAAGTGATTTACTCCCTAGCTCCCCAAAAATGCTTTTTCTTTTCTTTTTTTCTTTCTTTTTTTTTTTTTTCTTTTTTTTTTTGAGACAGAGTCTCACTCTATTACCCAGGCTGGAGTGCAGTGGCAGGTCTCGGCCCACTGCAACCTCCTGCTCCTGGACTCAAGCAATCGTTCCATCTCAGCTTCCTGAGTAGCTGGGATTACAGATGCATGCCATTACACCCGGCTAACTTTTGTATTTTTTGTAGAGACGGGGTTTTGCCATCTTGCTGGTCTTGGACTCCTGAGCTCAAGTGATCCACCCACCTAGGCCTCCCAAAGTGCTGGGATTACAGGCATGAGCCACTGCGCCCAGCCTAAAAAATACTTTTTGAAATCTCAGCTAGATTCATTGGCTAACAAGGTAATTCTGTCAGAACTGAAGCTATTAAGGCAGGGAAGATTCTACTCACTTTTTAAATCCTAGTTTAAATTTTTAAAAAATCCTTTAAAATTCATAAGTTCTAAATCTGCATAGAAACATATACAGATATAGCTATCCAAAGCATTCTCACTTTAAACTTTTGTGAGACCTCACAAAGAAATTATAGAGTTTTCTAGACTCAAAATCACGAAACGTCTGGCATCCTTTGCTGTCAAGAACCGTACAAGAATCACCCTCACTTATTGAGATGCTGTTATCTGTTCCAACCAAGGAATTCCAGACGTTAACAAACGCAGAGAAGGACCTGGGAAGCAGAGGCAGCTGAGGTGGGGCTCACTGAGAAGATGTCTTAGGGTTTGGGGGTGTTCCTACCCTTGCACTCATCAACCATGTACCCCCGAACATCACCTCTTCCTGAACTAGGGGACCGGAGGTCATTTTACAGAGATTGCTGTAATGGTTCATTCTGTGGGCAGGTGTGATTGGGCAGGTAGGGGAGAGATGGTGAATTGGAAAGACATGTTGAACTGAGTCTGAATTAGTTTCTTTCTTTTGCCCCTGATGAAGATGGAAATGGGTTTCCTCTTTGCCTTTTCACACAAGTGCTGCAGACAACGTCTGTGATTGCACCAACTCCTGGTGCCTCACCCAGAGCATCGCCTCCCCAGATGTTATTCATCCTTGTGTTTTCTCCTGGCCTGAAAGGAGACAGCTTTGACTCTCCAGGAGATGGGAAACTAGTTTTCTACTAAATTCCCATTCTAGCCTACAAATTCCTATCAGAACAACAGCCCCCCACTAACTGGATTGTTGTTACGCCTCCACTTTACTCTGTGACACCTGCAGACATCTCTATATTGTACTTTTTCCCAATGAATTAAGATCACAAGAGGATATATGCTTTTCACAATTTGCCTCTGTGTCTTAGTGCAGTGTACATACTATTGTGAAAATATAGATGTAGCTGGGTGTTTGTGTTGGCTCTAAACAAACCAGTTCTTGCAATCCTGGCCAGTTTCCACCTGTGTCTACATATCCCTCAAATACAAGAACAATGCATAGCCCAAAATCAGCCTGTGTGATAGATGCAATCTGGGGAAGGTGAAGTTAACTTATGATGCAAAAAGGCAGAATGGAAAGCCATGGTTGGCAAGATGATGACAAAAGCTAAATAAATGTCCTTGACCTAGAACTACAGAGAAGATGTTCTCTGGGAAGACTTGTGAGTGCACGTCTCAAATTTCGAAACTCTGATCTTCCTTGCCAACCCCTACCCCACCTCTATTCCCCTCCAAAGCCCTAAATATAAATCGCTATGTCTTCTTTCACAAAATAGAGACCAAACTCCTCGTCAGGCACAGAATATACAAGGCTTTTCTTTGGTCTAGACTCTCTACCTTTCCAGCTTCCTCTTCAGTTATCTCCCTCTCATAATCCATGCTCCAGTCAAAGTGAGTTATTGTCCTCATCCTCCATTATGCTGTGTCTTACCCCCAACACCCCCAGGTCATGTTCCCTCTCCACTAGACCCTTTCCTCCCTGCTTCACGTGGTGGAGAGTCTTTGGCACGTGTTGACTCATGTCCTCTGGATCCTCTCCAAATGTGTGAGGACATTCCTCACTTGTGAGCCTTGTTGGGAGACAGTGCTTGTCTTCCTTTACAGAAGTTGAAAAGACCCAGCACTCAATCTGCCGCTACCTTGGCAGATAAGATGTGGGGAGATAGCCTTGGCTTGGTCCATCAGCTGCACCTATTAGCAATATTGAATCTGGAAGTAATGATACAAACAAGCAGGGCAAGGAAGACTCCCTTTGGCCGTGGTGGTTGGCAGGAGTGAGGGGGGCAGCAGCATGTGATTTCCAGCAGCCAGTCTGTGATGCCACACCACCAATGGCATCCTCACCTCACTGGCACCACTTTCCCAAATCTTGTTCTCCATGTTTCCTAGAAATTGTATGATCATCTGATAGTCTCTCTATACATTCTCTGCTTAAAATGGCCAGTCTGTTTCTGTCACTTGCAATGAAGACTCTGACTGGCTGGGCACAGTGGCTCATGCCTGTAATCCCAGCACCTTTGGAAGGCCAAGGTGGAAGGATCCCTTGAGGCCAGGAATTCAAGATCAGCCTGGACAACATAGCAGACCCCATCTCTACCAAAAAACAGCTGGGCATGATGGTGCATGCCTGTAGTCAAAGCTACTAGGGAGGCTGAGGCAGGAGGATCACTTGAGCCCAGGAGTTTGAGGCTGCAGAACAAGACCCTGTTTCTTAACAAAAAGAAAGCCTTTGATATACCTGGCCAGTTTCTATTTGTCTTTTGAGACTCCTCTCAGTGACTATTTTCTTGGAAAGCAGTGCTCATCCCTGCCCCACTCCTAGCCAGTGTTTCTCCTATAGACTCCCATAAAAGTCTGGTCCATTCTGGCTCAGCGTTTATGCTGACATTAATAGCATTAGTCATATTATTAATGCTGACATTAATCACAGCATTTATTAACACTGTGTCAGGACCTGCCACTAACTCACTTGTCCCCCTTCTGGGCTGTAAGTTCTTGAGGACACAGACTAGGTTTTGCCCCTCTCTATCCCTAGAACCCAGAACAGTATGTTAACATGGCATGCAGTAATAGCATTACAGCAACAGTACTAATACCAGTAATAACAATAACTTTTATTGAGCACCTATTATGTGCCAAGGTGCAGAAAAAAATGCTTATTTGATAAATAATGTACACTGAAAATTGCTCACCGAATATTTTTGAATACTTTCATACTCACAGAGTATTTTTGTATTTTGAATACAGGCAACCCTGAGGAAAAATTGGTACATCCCACTTCACCAATTAATTCCCTTTTCATTTTCTCTCTCTTTTCTCCTTCTGGATATGTCTCTTGTGTTCCGCTCTTGCCCTCAAATAGATGTTATTTAATACCTAGAAAGATGAATAGCAGTGGCTACAGTGTTAGTTGCTAGTGACTGCGCTTGCCTTTCAGAAGAAGCTTCTTATAGTGTGAAAAGTTTTCAGAAGGAATGAGGTCTTTATTGTGGAATGCCTTACAGTAGGCCATACTTGTTTTTATAGCTTGGGTGCAGGAGCTGGAAATAGAGGGAGAATGCCTATGTACAAGTGTGCGAAGGAGAGGGAGAAGCTGCTCTCACCCCACTCCTGACTTCTTGTCTGCTCTCTTCTCAGCAAAGTCCTCTTCTGGGGTCTTCCTAGGCCTCACAAAGCTGCTCCCCAGGCCTTGGCCAACCACCTTCCCTGGAGCAGGCTCTCGGTGAGAAAACCTCATGGAGAGAAGAGGCCAGGAGTCCATGGCCACTCCTGTTTACTTTCCCATTCCCATCCTGCATGTTCCTGCCTCCTGCCTGAGTGAACACAGATTGACATGCCCTCTGTGAATGGCTGCAGACCCTTGTTCCAGTTCAGCTCTGTCCAGCACCTGTCATATGTATTACCTGAAAGAAAAACCTGAGATCAGCAGAAGATCCTCAGAGCAGACAAAAATTTTTCTTAAAAACAACAAGACAAGTGAAAAACAGGACAAGGGTGGGGACAGGACAACAGCAGGCTGCACCCAGAGAGTGCACCCAGGTCATCGGCTGTTCTTCATTTCTGACTTCCTGCTGGCTGTCCTGTGAGGTTGAGGTTACGTGGTTAGAGAAAGCCGGTTACTTGTTTCAAAACAAACAAAGTCCTCAAATCCTTTGAACAGCTAAAGGAATAGAGCACTCCTTGAATATGTATTCTTTCATATCCTCTGAACAGATCTTTATTTACAAGGAAGGCTGGTCTTGGCTGGAAAAATGGTAGTCAGATGTAGATCAAAATGATAATCTCAGAACACAGCACCAAGTGTCTTTTGCATGGGCCATGGGACTTAATGTCTTGATAGAACAGAGGATGTCAAGGAGAAAAAACTGAAGGCCACAAGAAAATGTGAATTTTTTAAATAGTTTACTCTGGTTGGAGGTTTGCCATATTCCTGACTCAACTTTATAATGTTTCCCATTTCTAAGCCAAATGGCTCAGAAGTGTGGCTGGGGTGTGACCTTGACCAGGTACAACCATGGCAATGAGTCTCTATTCTTTTTACTTTGGAATCCAACCAACACGTTAAAGCTCTTTGAATGTGGGTATCATATGAGTCAGTGCATGTGTGCTGACTGCCTGCTGTCCTCATAACACAAAGTGGAGTGGGGGCTATGGAGGCTACTGGATTATTTCCGTCAGTGTATACAGCAAAACTAAATTAATCCCCAAGTTTAGGCTTTTTGACCTCGAGTATCAAGACTAGTTTACTTGCATTGTGCAAATTAGTCACCAACCTACTTTGTATTATAGAGAGTTTTAAACTTTTGTGTATTTCTCCAGATTTGCATCAATGAGATTTTTGAAGTCAGCTTTTAAAATAAATACTAAAATGTAACTGCTTTTGGGATTCTTTTTCTTTATCCACCACACCACGAAAGTAGTAAGTTCCAACACTTCTCACCATTTGCAGTGCCACAATCTGGTTCAAGTCACCGTCAGCTCCCCCTTCAACACTGAGGAAGCCTCCAGGCCCATCTCCTGCCTCCAGTCTTATCCCACTCTCCTCCCTGTCAAGCACAGTCCATACAACACGCAGCAGGCAGAGGTATCTTTACCAGGTGTAAATCAGGTTACATAACTCTCTGGTTTAAAACTCTCCAAGGCTTCCTCTTACAACTAGAGAAAAACTTACCCTCCAGTCTTGGCCTACCAAACCCGCCTGATTGGGCTCCTTCATGGCTCTCCCAAGTGACCCACAACTTGCTTCCTGGTCCTCAGCACTCCAGTCCCTTCAGCTTTCTATCTCTTGAACGAATGCACCAAGCTCAGCCCTGCTCTGGGCCTTTGCACTTGTTCCTCCTTCTGCTGCGTGCCTCTTGCCTAGATCTTTGCACGGCTGTCCCCCTCTCATTATCTGGGTCTCAATTCACATCCACTCAACAAACCACTCTAGATAAATCAGCACTCTCTGCCCACTTCTTTTTTTTGTTGAGATGGAGTCTTGCTTGTCACCCAGGCTGGAATGCGGTGGTGCAATCTCGGCTCACTGCAACCTCTGCCTCCCGGGTTCAAGTGATTCTCCTGCCTCAGGCTCTGGAGTAGCTGGGACTACAGGCGCCCGCCACCACGCCCAGCTAATTTTTTGTGTTTTCAGTAGAGACGGGGTTTCACCGTGTTGGCCAGGATGGTCCGGATCTCCTGACCTCGTGATCTGCCCACCTCGGCCTCCCAAAGTGCTGGGATTACAGGCGTGACCCACTGCACCCGGCCTCTCTGCCCATTTCTACCACTCTCTCATTATCCTATTAGAGCCACGTCTGGCACTTAGCAGGACTTAAAACTAAATTATTTTAAAGCCCTGTTTATGTGTTTTTTGCTTGTTTTCCCCCAACCCACAAACCAGCCCAATATGAGAACATGAGCTCATTGAAGGCAGGAACTCAGATCCTTGCGGTCCCTGCTGTTCCCACTCCTGTCCCCCCATACCTGGAGCAGTACCCAGCCTAATACATATTTATTGACTATCTGATAACTTAACAAATTTAACATTCAGTAAAATTTACCCGATAAATGAACGAATGATTAGGGAACCACATGCATGACTCTCAACTACATAGTGTAAAGTTCCACCTACATGGCATTCTGGAAAAGACAAAACCATAGGGATAAAAAATAGATCAGTAGTTACCAGAAACTGGGTTTGGGATGTTAAGGGCTGACTATAAAGGGACATAAGGGAACTTTTTTGGATGATGGAACCCTTCTATATTTTGTTTCTGATGGCAGTTTCGTGTTAAAAATCATAGAATTGGTTGGCTAAACAGGATAAATTGTGTGTACGCAAGTTATACCTCAACAAACTGGATTTTATTTAATTGCCTGACAGATCTTTCACTTACCCTGGAATAAGCACCGAATGGTTTGTAGAAACGCTCTCATATTGGCCCTTTGTGAACAATCTCCATGTACACATATTCTGAGTGCAGAAACCCCGGGAGCAGCATGGTGGAGTAGAAAAGTATGAGCTGGGCATTAGACGGGCTGGGGTTTGAGTTTTGGCTTTGTTGCTTGTGTACTTCAGTTAGGATTTCTTAGTTGCAAGCAGCCCAGAACAGCTCTGGCCAGCCTCACCATGCCTTGGCTATGATAAAAGCCATAAAGAGGAATGGCACCGCTCCTTGATGCTTGTTGGCAGCAGGTACCTGGAATTATGCTCCCACCAAGACTGCATGCATGGGAGGGATGGGATTCCCCCAGAGAAAACCAGGGTGCTCTTAGGATGCTAGGCAGCCCAAACCAACAAACATCTAATGTATTGTGTGACCTTACATAACCTCTCTGAATCTCAATTTCCTCATACTTAATACCTACCTCTTAGAGTTTTAAGAATTTAACAAGATAACTATGTAGAAGGCCTAGAACATAATGTTGCTTTATAAATGTTATTTCTCTTTTCTTCTTCCTTTTGGTCTACATGTCTGAAACGTCTACCTCTAAGCACTCCTAAATTCAGTTAAAAGCTTAGTAATTTATCTACCTCTCCAAGCTAGAAGTCAGGAGTGAGTGTCAGTCGATTTTCTCATTGTTTTCACCTCCTAAATAAAGCATATACATCTCTCCTGGACTATTACATAAGTTTTACAACTGATCCACCTGCCTCTCCTCTCTGACTCTCTCTGCCGCTCTCCCTGAGGCAGTATAATATAATGACAAAGTGCATGGACCCTGGAGCCAAACCAACTGCCTCTAAATCTTGGCTTTGCTCCTTAACTACCATACAACCTCAATCAAGTTGCACAATCTTAGTGTGCCTGTTTCGTCATGTGTAAATTGGGGATAATATTCCTACCTCAAAGAGTTGTTCGGGGATCAAGTGATTTACTATACGTAGGCACTTAGAACAGTGCTTCGGTAATGGCAAGCGCTATCCATGCGTTTGTTCAGTAAATCCACCTTTTTACTGCTTCCAGAATGACCTTGCTAAAATGTAAATGTGAACCTTCCTCATAGAGAAGCCATGTCCTCCTGTCTAACCCCTTTTACTTTTTCCAGCAGCCTTCTCCAACTACCTGCCTCAAGTTGGCACTGGGTCCTTATCTGTGCACTTTGTGCTAAACCCTTTTATTGCACCCGGCTCACTGTGTTGTGACTATTTCTATCAGTTTTCTTCACTATCTGTGAATTCTTGGAAACATAGATACGTATCTGATTTATCTATGTATGGCCAGCACCTATCTATCCAAAGGAAGTGTTTAGTAAATGACTGCTCATTGAATAAAATGAGCAAAATGGTTGATACTGTCCACTGAGCAAAAGACAAGCTATTGATTTCAAATATAGTTTTACTTAAAATTGGAGGGCTGGTATTTCTGTGACTACTCCTTTTACTAACTCGCCATAAAAATCCAAAGCCATAATACTAAAGGTTACCATTGTGGTGACATAAAAATAGAATCTAAAGTACTAGCACAGGTGTGGCACTGTCTGGCTAGCTCCATGCAGAGGGATGGAGCATATGGAATTGAGCCAAGAGGATGATTCTCGTGGACCTTGAAATTTGATTATGATTTCAATCGGATTTTATTTGGCACTGAAGAGCAGAGAGTTCCAGGCTGTATTGCTTAGCAGGTCCTGAAATGTAGAAATTCTGTTATTAATTGAAAATAGACTCATCTGGTTTAAATTCCAGGCATGCCAGTGGGTAAAGTTTTTACCTTGTTGTGAAATATAGAGACCTGAATTCTTGCCTAGATCTGGAGTCTTCTCACATCATACAGAGGGCACAACAGGAAGCCAGAGGCAAGGCTGGTGTTTTATAAAGAGGATCTCTGGAATTGGCTCAAATGTCTGAGCAAGTTCTCAGCTGGAGGCCCAGAGTTCAGCATCACCGAGCGTGGGAGAGATGGCGCTGGCCAAGACCACTGAGGGCCATGAAAGTACTTTGATAAGGGAGGAGGGGGTAATGTTTGCTTTGGGGAATAACTGCGTCCTGTAGACCCGAAAGAAGTTGGTTGCCTAATGCAGCTCCAAACAGTTTGAATTTATTAATATTGCATCGCCTGCAGAGTCTGAAAAAATATCAATATCCAGGTGCCAGCTCAGACAATTTGACTGAAAAAATCTCTGCGGGTTGGGCCCAGGCATCGATATTTTTTTAGAAACCTCTTTAGGTGATTTTAATGTGCATACGGGACTGAGAACCTTTGGTGAGGAGGGAAGGAAGAAGGCCCTTTCCTATTTGTTGTGGCAGGGGTGTATCTATCCAGTTTATCAAAAAGCTCTGTCAGGTACTTAGACTAACATAAGAGAGGAGAACTCTGGAACACCCTACCTCCATTTTATATATTAGGATTGAAATTCAATCTGTCCAGAGTTCATTATTGCTACTCTGATACTAGCAGGGCTGTGGTAAAACTCACCAGACGTAGCAATTGTCTGGGATCAATATCAGGATCACGCACCTCAGCTCACAGAAAGTTCCTGCTGATAAAATCAAAAGTTGATAACAGATCAATACATACTGGAGGGGAAAAGAGTCTAAAATTACTCATATTTTCTCTAATGAAACAGAGGATAGCATAAATTAAAAATAGAATAACCTTTATTCAAGATGTTCAATGCATGCAAGAAACCTGCAATTTAATAATAGAGTTTTAAAGGGATAGCCAACACTCCAATAACGTGTTTACAATAATTACCATACACTCCAATAGTCTATATAATATACATAACATATGTATATAATCTGAAGTTAAGGTAGAAAGTTGTCATTTTGGAAATGATTTGTTGAACAGAAGAGCAGTTGGGTTTAGAGAGAAGACCAGCATCTGATGTTCATAGACCTCTCATAAGCCCTGAATCCATGATTTTGAGTTTACCTTGAAGGTGTTTCTTCCTTTATGAAATGTGGTTACTCAGCTGGGCACGGTGGCTCACACTTGTAATCCCAGCACTTTGGGAGGCTGAGGTGGGTGGATCACCTGAGGTCAGGAGTTTGAGACCAGCCTGACCAACATGATGAAACCCCGTCTCTACTAAAAAAAAAAAAAAAAAAAATTGGCCAGGCGTGGTGGTGGGCGCCTCTTGAACCTGTGAGGTGGAGGTTGCAATGAGCCGAGATCGTGCCATTTGCCTGGGCAACAAGAGCAAAACTCCGTCTCAAAATAAATAAAATAAAATGTGGTTACTACTACTACTAATATATTCATCACTAGGTTGTAATGAGATAATGTATGTGGAAGTGCTTTGGAAACGAAAAAGTACTATGCTAATGTTAATTATTATTTTAATTCATCATGAGGGAATAACACTAGCTTCCCTCTGTTAATTACTCTAGCTTCCTAAGAATTGAAGTCTATAATCCATAAGGGGATACATAAAGGGACATTTATTAACTTAATAAATTAGTATGTTTTTTTTGAAAATAAGTAACACATGGCTGATGGCAAAGAAAGTTAAATAACATGAGAGAATATTTATTAAAATGTAGATTTCCCTTCCAGTCTCCATCTTCTTCCTTGAGAAACAATCATTAACAGGTCATGAGTATACTGAAATTTTCTATACATATATATAAATACAACTTTTACGTTATAGGAATAGGAACACAATCTACTACACTTCTTCACCTTGCTGTTTTCATCTAGTAGCATGGTTTGGTGGCCATCAGATTAGCAGAGTCTTCCCAGAGTGCTTTAATAACATAGCACCAAATAGTGCCTAGGATGGACAAGACCAATGCAAGTGTCTTCCCAGCAGTAAGTGGTGGTGGTGCCCTCTGCTTTCTTCTCTCCCCTCCATCTTTCTAGTTCAGTCTCCATTACCATCAGTCTAGATTCTTGCCATAGTCTCATAATTGGTCTCCTATATTTTATTTTAATTCAGCAATATCTATGGAATATTTACTGTGTGCCAGGGACGGTGCTAGGCTCTGGGGTTGGAAGTGTTGATCACAAGATAGATTTGCCACCCACACAAAGTTTGCAGTCTCCTGGGGTGGAGGTGGGGGTGGGGTGCAGAGAAGTAAGCAGGTATTCCTTCATTCATCCATTCAACACATATTTAATGAGTGCTTTCTAAATGCCAGGTCCCATGCTAGGAGTTAGAGACAAAAAGATAAACAAAATAGTCAAGGTCCTCAACTTCCTGGGGCTTACAATTTAGTGAGCAAGACAAAGATAAAATGAGAAACCCATAAATAAAATAATTACAGATGGTCACAGATGCTACAAAGGAAACATGTTGCTGAGATAGGATGTAATGGGTCATCATACTTTTAAAAGGGTAGTCAGGAAAGTCTCCTGAGAAAGTGCCATTTAAGCCAACACTGAAGATGAGAAGGAGCCAGCCATTGGAATAGTGGCAGGAAAAATAGTTCCAAGCACAGGGCTCAGCCTGTGTAAAGGTCCTGGACTGGAATGAGCTTGGCATGCTGAGAAAATGAAAAGTTGGGGAGTAAACAATAGCCAGGCTTGAATTAAGTTTGGGGAGTTGGGCCGGGCGCGGTGGCTCACGCCTGTAATCCCAGCACTTTGGGAGGCCGAGGCGGGCGGATCACGAGGTCAGGAGATCGAGACCATCCCGGCTAAAACGGTGAAACCCCGTCTCTACTAAAAATACAAAAAATTAGCCGGGCGTAGTGGCGGGCGCCTGTAGTCCCAGCTACTTGGGAGGCTGAGGCAGGAGAATGGCGTGAACCCGGGAGGCGGAGCTTGCAGTGAGCCGAGATCCCGCCACTGCACTCCAGCCTGGGCGACAGAGCGAGACTCCGTCTCAAAAAAAAAAAAAAAAAAAAAAAAAAGTTTGGGGAGTTGGTGGTAACATAATTCAGGATCATGGTAAATAGTTTGACATTGACTTTATTCTAAGCAGAGTGAGAAGCCAGGGAAGGATTTTGTTGCAGAGAAATAATCTGCTCTAATTTGTGTTTGAAGAAATCACTCTTGGTGCTGGTCTGTGAATGAAGTGGACAGGGGCATAGAATTGAATGAAAGCAGAGAGAGCATTTAGGAAGCTTTTACAGTACAACCGGTAAGAGGTGAGGTGGTATGGCTTGAAGTGGGGCTGGCAAAGGAGAGAAGTGGGTGAATTTGAGATACATTTGGAGCTAGGTTTACCAGTGCTTTCTGAAGGACAGAAAGTAGAGGGGAAATGAGGGATCAAGAATATCTTCTGCGTGTTGGGCTCAAGCAATCTTGAAAGGCTGGTATTGTCATTTTCTGAGATGAGTGAGATTTGCAGGAGGAGCCGGAGGGCCAAGGTGAAGATGAGAGTGTATAAGTTATATCTGAGACATTTTTGGGACACTTTGTTGGAGTTGAAGTACAAATATTTTGTAGTTAAGTATATTTTGTAGTTAAATATATTTTGAAGGGATGATGATAGATACTCTTTGAGAATTGCTTAGCCTTTGTTTTTTTAATGTGTTTACGTAGAGACGTCCAACAGGCAATGAAGGATCTGAGCTGGGAGCTTGGGAGAGAGGCCAGAGTGACAGATAATGCCAGGCACATGAAGAATTCAACAGAAGGGCATGAGGAGTTTCCTTGGTCGGCTATACCTCTGCATAGCTCATGCTGACCATAACCAACCATCAGCCTCCTCTTTTCCTCCCTGTATCTCAGTGCGCAGCCCATGTTGACATGTCTTCTATATCTCTTCAAAAGTCTTAACTGTCAATGTTAAAGTTGAATATGGTATTAATGAGAATCCTGTCATTTAGAAAATGCCTTCGAGTTACTTAGCAGGATGGTGACACACAAAGTTTCAGAGTGAAATACAGAGCTTTCCTGAAATATGGTATATTTGCCATTGTAAAGTTTCCTTATGCTGATTCCCCAATTCACGGTAGCAATGCTACCAATATGCTCATCTGAAATGATAGGATAAGTTCTTTTTTTTTTTTTTTTTTTTTTGAGACGGAGTCTTGCTCTGTCACCCAGGCTGGAGTGTGCAGTGGTGTGATCTCGGCACACTGCAACCTCTGCCTCCAGGGTTCAAGCAATCCTCCCACCTCTGCTTCCTTAGTAGCTAGGATTACAGGCATGCACCACCATGCCTTGGTAATTTTTTTTTTTTTATTTTTAGTAGAGACGGGGTTTCACCATGTTGGCCAGGCTGGTCTCAAACTCTTGACCTCAAGTGATCCTCCCACCTCAGCCTCCCTAAGTGCTGGGATTACAGGTGTGAGCCACTGCACCCGGCCTAGGGTAAGTTCTTTAACTGACGCTGTAATTCACTGGCTATAAGATCTCATAAGCAAGTCACTTTATGTTTCTGAGGCTCAATTTCCTCAATTGTGAAATAAATAGAGCAGATTAAACAACATATAAAGGGTCTTACCACCTATAATGTTCCATGATTCAATTATTCCACCCATTTACCATGAGCCCCAAACACTCACACTGAATCATTGTTTACATCCTTTTCCAAGACAGAGCAACAGGAAAAAGAGAGTTCAGATTTCCACTGAAGACCAGGCAGTAAACAGGCAGAGGTCTAAGACACCAGCAGCCACAAATACCACTTTCGGGGTCACTCATCACCAGTCCCACTTTGTAAAAAAGCAGATTACCCAAACATCTTAGGGCAGCTGTGGCTGCCAAAGAAGTGAGACAAAATGGAAGGGGAGGGCTTAAAGTTCTTTTGTGTGATTTTATTTGAAATCTGTTTTATGGGATTTGCTCTAAAGGCTTTTCTGTGATCATAGTGAATCCCACTCACAGTGCTGAGAATACCTGTGTCTTCAGAATCAACTAATTCAGCAAAGACATGGGCTATAACTCATTTGTCAACTCATTTAGTGAAGACATGGGACAAAGGTACACATTTATTGATTATGAAAAGAGTTTTACCATAATAATGAAACCCAGCCAAGGTGAATCTACTGTGTGTCACTGCAAATATTTTGTGGTCATATTTGAGATGCTTTGAGGATATTTCATTGGAGTTGTTAAATAGGTAGTTAAATATATAATTTCAAGACTGAATTTTACCCTAAACCATAATACTTTTAGTACTTTGTAAACAGGATTAACCTAAATAATTACTAAAGAATGCTGTAGGATATTTTCTTCTAATTGATAAACATTTCTACTCATCCACAGCTTACTTTGTTTTAGGCTAAATCTAACATGGTTTAAATTCTTTACTTATTGGTCTAATTTCTTCACCTTCATTATATAATAAAGTTTTTTATTTATTTGAATATCCATAATACAAATTCAAACAACTGTCAACTTAAGAATATGACTAGAAGAATTTTAGGCAAGAATTATATTTATGGGCTAGGGAAGAAGCAGTGGGATGAATAAGCAAAGCACAGAGGATTTGTAGGGCAATGAAAATAATTTGTATGATACTATCATGATGGATACATGTCATTCCACCATTTTTTTAAAGACAGGTTATTGCCCTGTCACCCAGGTTGGAGTGCAGTGGTACGATCTTGGCTCACTGCAGCCTTGACCTCCCAGCCTCAAGCAATTCTCCCACCTCAGCCTCCTGAATAGCTGGGACGACAGGCATGTGCCACCATACCCAGCTAATTTTTGTATTCTTTTTTTTTTTTTTTTTTGAGATGAAGTTTCACTCTTGTTGCCCAGGCTGGAGTGCAGTGGCGCCATCTCAGCTCACTGCAACCTCCGCCTCCTGGGTTCAAGTGATTCTCCTTCCTCAGCCTCCTAGTAGCTGGAATTAAGGCATGTGCCACCATGCCTGGTGAATTTTTTGTATTTTTAGTAGAGACAGGGTTTTACCGTGTTGGCCAGGCTGGTCTCGAACTCCTGATCTCAGGTGAGCCACCCACCTCAGCCTCCCAAAGTGCTGGGATTGCAGGCATGAGCCACCAACCCGGTGTCGTTATACATTTGTTCAAGCTCATAGAATGCACAACTCCAATAGTGAACCCTAATGTAAACTATTGACAGGGTGATAATAATATCAATGTAGGTTCACCAATTGTAAAACATGTACCACTCTTGTGGGGGATGTTGATAATGGGAGAGGCTGTGCATGCGTGGGGGCATGGGATATATAATGCCAGGCACATATGGAAAATCTCTGTAACTTCATCTCAATTTTGCTGCAAACCTGAAACTCCTCTAAAAAATAAAGTATTAAAAAAAATTCAAAATATTTAACAACCAGTACAATATGGTGCTGACCAATCAGAATGATCATTGAGCTTAAACAAGAGATGCTCCTGCACCACTGTGTATGGGCCAAATAGCGGCCTGACTTCAGTATGGTATTAAATTAATACATTTTGATTTCTGCTTTAAGATAGCTACTTCAAACTTGAAAATTTACAGAGACCAAGCAAGTGATGTAAACAAGGAAAGGAAGCTAGGGGTCAGCAAAATACAGATTATTGAGATTGGGTCAGATGTTAAAGCTCAGCAACTGTTAGTACCTAATGAGCCCCAGCTGATTGTTGCTATTGGCAATGTAGATGGAAAATGATTTTTCAGAACAATTTCCAATTTGAATTTTTGGCAAAACAACTGTATGGGCTGGGGCTTACCCAAAGAATACCTGTTTGCTCACCTGTATTCTAAGCCAAGGCCATTTCCAAGCTTTTGCTGGACAAAGTACAGAAATTTCTAATTTGTTTTGAATACTCTTTGCCAAGATTGACTCAGAAAAAGTCAATAAATTCAGAACTCTTGCTTCTTTTGAAAACGTAATTACATTTCTATAATAAGCATTTGTTTATTTAACTGTGCAATAAGCGAATGACTTTTTTGGATGAATGTTTATCAATCCTATTTTAAGGAAATGATCTCTCCAATAAACATAAACCTGCATTATACTATACCTTATATAATTTTTAATCTTTGGCCTTTTCCTGACTCTCAACTTTTGTTCTCTTTCTGCAGAATTTGAATTTTTTCCTAATTAAATAAAAGGCAAATGTAGATGTAAAGGGGTAGAAGTCATCCTGGATGTCACCTGCATGCATTTCCTTCTGCATTCCAGCTGGAACCATTCCCAATTAATTGGATTTAATTTTTTTTCCCACGAAAGTAGAAGAGGAAGAAATGGAGAAGGGAGGAAAGATTTAATTTTTTTTTTCCGCGAAAGTAGAAGAGGAAGAAATGGAGAAGGGAGGAAAGTGGAAGGAAGCAGTGAAATTGGGGGAGATATAAAAGCTAAAAAGTTATTTCTGGAAAAACCAGAGATGCAAGATATTTAGCTCTTATCTCTCATTGTCTATTTATTCAATAAATATTTATCAAGTATCTACTCTTTGACAGGTACTATTCTAGACTGTGGAAGTAGAACAGACCAGGTCCCTGCTTTCTTAAAGCTTCCATTCTAGTGAAGCTGATAAAGTAAAGGAGAAATAAAAATAAATAAGCAAGAGCCTGGCACGGTGGTGCCCAAGTGTAGTCCCAGCTGCTTGGGAGGCTGAGGTGGGAGGATTGCTTGGGCCGGGGAGGTCAAGGCTACAGTAAGCTGTGATTGTACCACTGCACTCCAGCCTGGGTGATAGAGTGAGATCCTGTCTCTAAGAAAAAAAGCTTCCTAGTTTTACATTTGCCTTTCAATGTTGTTTATGACATTTATCCCATACAGAAATTTCAAAGGTTTATGTATTTGATCTATCCCTGTATGATTTTAGTTGTTTAGTCTTATAAGGCATAAGAATACTTTTACATGTGTACACCTATATTTTTTCTAATACTTTTTATATTATGTTATCCAAATCTTTGCTTCAAATAGTACCTTTTTTTTTTTTTTTAAAGAGACAGGGTCTTGCTCTGTCACCGAGACTGGAGTGCAATGGTGTAATCGAAGTTCACTGCAGCCTCAAACTCCTGGGCTCAAGCGATCCTTCCACTTCAACCTCCAAGTTGCTAGGAATATTGTCATGCCACCACTATGCTTGGCTATTTTGTTTTTAAGTTTTTGTAGAGATTAGGTCACGTTATGTTGACCAGGGTGGTCTCTGACTCTTGGCCTCAAGCAGTCTGTCCACACTGGCCTCCCACAGTGCAAAGATTATATGTGTGAGCCACTGTGCCAGGCCCCAAATGGTATTTTTTTTATAGGAGCACTTTGATAAATAACCTTTCAAATATCTTTTGATGCATAAATATATACTTATAAATATATGTTTATAATTTTATGCTATATATAGTATGCATGATTTTCTGTAACTTGATTTTTTCATTTAGTGATACCATAAACATATTTTCATGTACATAAATATAAATGTATTCCTCATCTTAATGTTTCCATAAAATTGTATCTTTATTCCCTAATTTACTTATTAATTGATGGACACTTAGTTTATCTTCCCAATTTTCCTATTTTATTACAATGAATATCCTTATTTATAAATCATTTCACACCTGCAAAAATAACTTGTTAGTATAAATAACTGGAAATTCAATTGCTAGATAATTTACATGATGATAAATATGTTGAAAAACTCTTCTCCAGAAAGATCATATCAATTTAACCACACCAACAGTGTGAGAAAACAGAGTAGTGCCATTTTTCAAAGATTTTGTCAGCCTTTTAAATATTTGATAATCTTATACATGAAAAAAAGTCAAAATTGTTTTATTTGCATTTTTGTGATTATTAGTGAACTAAAATATTTCTTCATATGTAGGTTCACTGACTCAAACAGGGATGGCCATGAAATTAGACAAGTGTCCTAAACTGGAGAGACACTAGAAGAGTAGAGCCAGGGAACAAAAGCTGGTATTCACAGAGAGCCAAAACTCAAGATCCGGGGGCTGTTGACAAGTAATGGGTCAACTGAGAACAGGGTAAGCTTCAAGAAGACACAACAAGTGATAACTGGATGGGTTAGAGACTATATGTGACAAATTAAAGCAGTGAGTTAAGGTACAGTAAATATTTGAAAACTCGGGGACGAATGGAAACAAGGGTAATTATTCCAGCCACAGGGCTGGAGTTCAGAAGCAACAGTGCCTCCAATAAGGCTTGTGAAGAACAGATGATCAGCTGAGTGCAGTGGCTCAAACCTGTAATCCCAGCACTTTGGGAGGCCGAGGTGGGTGGATCACTTGAGCTCATGAATTTGGCTCAGCTTAGGCAACATAGGGAGGCCCCTGTCTCTACAAAAAACACAACAATTAGTTCTACAAAACAACAGGTGTGGTGGCACATACCTGTGGTCCCAGCTGCTCAGGAAGCTGAGGCGGGAGGATCACATGAGCCTAGGAGTTCAAGGCTGCAGCAAGCTATGATTGCACTACTGCACTCCAGCCTGGGTGACAAAATAAGACCCTGTCTCAAAAAACAAAACAAAAAACAGATTATCAACACAGAGACAGAAGATGCGGGAGGGCAGTAGGATGCAATGGACATTGTGCTATACCACCCAGATACCCCTTCAAAATTAACATACTAATTCCTCCAGCTGCCAGGGCTGCCAGCCCTCTCCAGAAATTGCCCTAGACTGAAGAGGGCTGCCATGCCCAAGGTCATTGCCTATATCCAATGACTGGTCACTGTGGAGGTTTAAGAAACTTGCAAAGTAATTTAATAAGGTAACTAATAAAGATAATAGAAAGGGAAAGGAAAAAGCCAGTCCAGACAGAAGTAATTCTGTGTCCAAAGACACAAGTAATGAAGCAGCATGGTGTTCAAAAAATAAAAATGTAAATTGATTTTGCCAGAATATGGCAGTTTAAAGATGGCCACAATTCTTTCTCGTTCTTCCCATCCAGACTTGGGATACTGACTCTGGGCTGGTCATGTAACTTGACTTATTAGTAGAATGTAATGGAAGTGATCTTGTGAAATTTCCAAGGCTAGGAAATTTAGTTATCACCTTTGTAGAAGCCAGTTGCCATGTAAAGTACTTGGGTCAGACTATTGACCAATGAAAGACTGTGTGGAGAGAAAGGCCATGGGCAGAAGCACCAAGAAGACAACAGAATTGTCAATAACCAAGCCCCAGACATATGAATGAGGCCATCTTAGACATTTCAGCCTCAGCTAAGCTTCCAGATGAATGAAGCTATGCACATAACTGCACACCTATGTGAATAACCACATGGCACACATGAGCCGCCTAGCTGAGTCCAGTCAACCCCAGACTCATGAGATATAATCATTGTTGTTGCAAGCCAGTGTGTTTTGGGACAGCCTGCTGTGTAGCAATAGAAAACTGGTGCTCAGAAGGCGGAGTGGGAAATGCATTGATGGACAAGGGCAAAGACAAGTAGATGCAATTTCCTCAAGATCCTTATAGGTTGTGCTAAGGATCTTGAGATTTGTGCCTTCTTCTGATCTTTAAACATGCTGAGACATTTTCCACCTTGGGGTCTTTGCATTGTTGGTCCTTCTGCCCGGAATCTTCTTTCCCCAGCTCTACCAGGTTTCCCTCATTCATTCCTTCTAGCACTCTGGTGATTGGAACCCAAGCAAAAAACAAAAAAGCTCTTATTCCCAGCATTCTGAAGAAAACCACTAAAAAATATGGTAAGGTTCTTCCCCCAAGCCATACACAGAAGTAGCCATCTACTACCTCTGCCATCTACTACCTCCCCTACACTAGTTGCCCTCTAAATAAGGAGAGGCCTGGGGAAGGGGATGTGATTTGTGGTGGAGTAGGAGTTGAGAGTTCTTGAGCTTTCATCCACCGGGAAGTGTCTTCCCCACCCCACCCCCATGCAATGTGTCGTGGGTCTCTGAGGGAATCACTCACAAAGACCGGAGGTCCTACAAGAAGGGGAGACTGGCTTCTTGATCCCAGGCTGGATACTAGCTGTGCAGCCAAATGTGCGGCTGTGGGTGGAAAGTTAGCTGAGCATATTTAGGAGAGATTGATGAGTGTCCCCGAGGGTGAGGGATTTTTCTATATCCATGAAGACTGCTGTCAAGTTCTTGTCTGGAGATCTGCAGAGAGTGAGGGTTTCTTGGAGTAGCCCTTTGAATAAAGAAAAATGAAAGAAAAGGTAAGGGGGCATCCTCAGGCCAGTTCCAGTGGCCCTAGGACAGCAAAGAGATGAACTGGCATGTATAAAAAAACATACCCCGCACCTCCATCATACCTGCTCCTGCTCCTGTACTCCATTGTGGGTGAAAGGCATCACCAGAAACCAAGTATCCTAAGTCAGGAAACTGAAGGTCATTTTTGTCTTTCTCTTTCTCTCTCTCTCTCTCTCTTTTGAGACAGGGTCTTATTCTGTCACCCAGGCTGGAGTGCAGTGGTATGATCATAGCTCACTACAGCCTCGGCCTCCTGGGCTCCGTCAATCCTCCCATTTCAGCCTCCTGAGTAGCTGAGATCACAGGCATCCATCACTACACCCAGCTAATTTTTTGAAAAATTATTTTGTAGAGATGGGTATAGTGGGGTGCGGGGGGTGGTCTCCCTATGTTGCCCAGACTGGTCTTGAATGCCTGGGCTCAAGTCATCCTCCTGCCTTGGCCTCCAAGAGTGCTGGGATTACAGGCATGAGCCACTGTGCCCAGCCATCTTTATCTTTCTCTTTTTTATCCCCTACATCTAGTAAACCACTAGCCTTTTAACTGTGCATTCTTTACTGCCTCTTCAATTTCTTTTCTTCCCTCCACCTCTATGAACGTAGTTCAGGAATGTATCACTTGTTGCTTGGGTTACTTCAAGAAGTCTCTTTTCTAAGATAAGGAAAGCCTAGACTTTAATGCTACACTTTTGAGAGGGTGATGAGAAGACATTCCTTGTTTCTTTTTTACCCCAAACCAGGGAAAACTAGGCAATGAGGATATTACAGATCTCCCCAAACCAACAAACAGAAAATCTGCTTCCTTTGAACCAATACTCCTTTGAGCAGACCCTGACTTAGCTATCTCTTTTTTTTTTTTGGAGACAGAGTCTCACTCTGTCGCCCAGGCTGGAGTGCAATGGTGAAATCTCAGCTCACCGCAAGCTCCGCCTCCTGGGTTCAAGGGATTCTCCTGCCTCAGCCTCCTGAGTAGCTGGGACTACAGGCACGCACTACCACACCTGGCTAATTTTTGTATTTTTAGTAGAGATGGGGATTCACCATGTTGGTCAGGCTGGTCTTCAACTCCTGACCTTGTGATCCGCCCACCTGGGCCTCCCAAAGTGCTGGGATTACAGGCGTGAGCCACCATGCCCGGCCTATCTTTCCTTTTACCACCAAACATCATGTTTACATTTTCTGCCTATATTTCCTTATCACTCTGCTTTCAATCCCTTAAATTATGGCTTCTTTTTAACTGAAATTGGTTCACAAAGTTCATTCACTAATGCCAATGTACTGATTTAGGCATTTTTCTGTTACAGGCAATAGAAATTCTAACCAAAATTAGATTAAGCAAAAAGGAGAAGGTATCAGCTCATATAACTGGGGAGTCCAGAAACAGAAATAAGGACAGGCACAACATCATCCAGGACTCCGTATCACTGTGATGCCATTTCTCTCCTTGATTACCTCTAATTCCTTAGAGTTTGCTCCATCATAGGACCACGCATGGAGGCAAGGCAGTTGCAATGGCTTCAGTTTCTATATCCACTCAGATGGACATCTCAAAGGAACAAGGGTGTGTTTCATTCTTTCTCATTCTGTCCTAAGTCCCTAAACCGATTCCTGTGGCCATGGGAATGTGTTGCTCTGATTGGCCAGGCTTGAGTCACATCTCTACAGGGCAGACATGTCCAATAGAAATATAAGGGGAGCCATAAATGTGAGGCACAGATATAAGCCACATATGTAATCTTACATTTTCTGGTAGCCACACTTTAAAAAGTGAAAAAAAAGGTGAAATTAAATATAATGATACATTCTATTTAACCTAGTATATCCAAAATGTTATTCTTTCAGCATGTAATCAACATAAATGATGATTAAAATGTTTTATATCATTTCTTGTACCAAGTCATCAAAACTCATCATTTTAACAAGGCTTCCAACTGATGATGTGTTGGGGGGTGGAGGGCCTGTGAGACATACTTTGAGAAACACTAACCTACACTTTCATTTTTTCTGTGTTCCCAAAATTACCTTTAGAGTGCTCAGAGTACTGAGACATCTGCTGAAATATGCTGGAGCAATCCAGAGTGAAGCAGGGTTGTTACTGGATAGAGCAAGATAGGATCAGAGACGTTTAATATTGCTGCCATGTTGCCGCCATCTATTGGTTGTGTCACATATTACAGGTTCATAACCGAAAAAATGAAGCTGGTCATTTGTGGGCCCCTTTATACTTCTGGCAAGACACCTCCTCAACTGCATCCTGAAATGACTTTTCTTTAGAATTCTTATTTATTACAGAATACAGAAAAATCTTAATAGTTGTGCATTATGGATTATCAGGCCTACGTCTAACAGAATGTTGTTGTTGTTGTCAGCTACAGAACAGATAGATTTCCTTTAAATATAACCCTATTATCCTGTCAGCAATCCACTGTAAGTGACCTTGGTTTCTGTTTCTGCAGATTTTCTTCACCTTCTGAAGGCATTGACCAGAGAAAATTTCTTAACATCTCTGAGCCTTAGTTCCTTCAGCTATAAAATATAGGATAATAATGCTACCTTCTTCATAGCGTTATTGTGAAGATTAAATTGCATAGTGTTTATAAATTATTTGGCACAGTGCCTGATGTATATAAAGAACGCTGTCAATGTTATTGTTAAGAAGAATAACAAGTCTTAATGGAAATTTGAACAGTGACTGGAAATTTGATAACATTATGGAATTAAATTTTATTTTGTTTTTTTTAAATCCTTATATTAAAAAAATCCTTATCCTTTACAGATACACACTGAACTAGTTATAGGTGAAATTATATGACTACTGGGATTTGTCTCAAAATAAAATGGAAGGGAAGTGAGCAGTAAAGCAATATTGGCTATAATCTGATCATGGTTTAAACTCAGTGAAGGATTTATGAAGGTTTATTATGCTACTTTGTTTTGTGTATGTTTGAAATTTTCCATAAAATTTAAGCAAACAAACAAAATTGCCAGGCGCAATGGCTCACGCCTGTAATCCCAGTACTTTGGGAGGCCGAGGAGGGCGGATCACCTGAGGTCAGGAGTTCAAGACCAGCCTGGCCATCATAGTGAAATCCCGTCTCTACCAAAAATACAAAAATTAGCCGGGTGCTGTGGTGCGTGCCTGCCTGTAGTCCCAGCTACTTGGGAGGCTGAGGCAGGAAATTGCTTAAACCCAGGAGGCGGAAGTTGCAGTGAGCCGAGATTATATCACTGCACTCCAGCCTGGGTGACAGAGCAAGACTCCATCTCAGAAAAAAAAAAAAAAAAAATTAAAAAAAAAAAGAACAATATGTTTTTATATTCTTCACAGCAGCATGTATAATGCTGGACATACTGTGGGTACTACATGTTGATTTGTTGATTAATTGCTACCATGGGATAGAATTTTGTCATCTTGGGGAGAACAACTTAAAAGATGAACTTAAAAGAATTGACTTCACATGCCTCCAGAAAAAAATTAGATGGGAACACGTTTTAGCTTAACATGCTAAAGGTGATTTTGTCAGAAAAATCATGATGAAGTGTATCACTGTTGGCATAGCAAAAATTGGCAATTCTCTAAGAGATGCAGAAAGGAAGAATTGTAGAGATTATGTCTTTCAGCATCTATCTTCTTGACTTAAGTAAATAAATAAGAAATACCTACTTCGTTTGTGGATAGGAATCAAAGAAATATCCCATCTGTGGCAGATAATAATTATGTTCTTTGTTATAGCATATCAGAGAACCCATCCGTAATAGTATTGGTAGGGATAGCTATATTTGTATGGTAGTTACAGCTCTTGCATTCAAACTTCATCTAATCCCATTACATCTAGTTGATTCTTTTTTTTTTTTTTTTTTTTTTTTTTGAGATGGAGTCTTGCTCTGTCACCCAGGCTGGAGTGCAGTGGTGCAATCTCAGCTCACTGTAACCTCTGCCTCCCGGATTCAAGCAATTCTCCTGTCTCAGCCTCCCGAGTAGCTGGGATTACAGGTGCATACCACCACACCCAGCTAATCTTTGTATTTTTAGTAGAGACGGGGTTTCACTATGTTGGCCTGGCTGGTCTTGAACTCCTGACCTCGTGATCCACCCCCCTCAGCTTCCCAAAGTACTGGAATTACAAGCGTGAGCCACCGTGCCTGGCCACATCTAGTTCATTCTTAAACCCGCCCGTATGTACCTCTTTATACCCTGTCATGTGAAGAGCAAACTCCAGTTCCTCTCTGCCTAATAGATTTTCTAATGCCCTACCACAATTTTCTCCTACATTATTTCATGCTCTTTTAATCCTTGGATATAGCAATAACTTTTCCACTTCAATGTGGATTTATTCACAGATCTTGAGTGTTTGGGTCATTTCACTTCTTGTTTTGTTTCTTAATTCTTTCTTAACTTGAAATATTAAATGAAATGTGTTGAAAGAGATAAGTATTTTCCCTCAAGTACCATTTCCACCTGAAGGGGTTTAAATTCTGTGAGAACAAAGACCATGGAGAGGAAATCCTTCATAAGCTGGCAGAAAGTGGCCTTTAAGAGATACACTCCAGTTCTCCCGTTCCTCTTATCTCAGTCTCAGTTAGAGAGAGAAAGGAAGCGAGAAGGCATCTATGGGTTTCAGAGGCATTTAGATTTTTTTCAATTGATTGAACAGATCAACAGTATAATTGTGTTGGTTCAAGTCCCGTAAAAATGGTTAGAGGCAGAGAGTCATTTTATAAAAAGAGTGAGGGACTTGGGATCAGAAATTCTGAATATGAGTTCTGTCTTAATCACTTGTCAGACTTGTAAGCTTCGACCAGCAACTCAATCATATTAAAGCAGTAGTTTCATGCTTTATTATCAGAAGTAATGATAATAATAATATCGATGTCAGGATTACTACTATGTAGACCAGTACTGGTAATGTCTGTGACAGAATTCTATAAAATGTAAAGTGCAATTAATACTTGCTCTTAGAGCTCATTAAAGACTCATATTTCATGGCAACTACTTTAATCCATTTTATGGAAGATTCACTATAGAATACCTGTAGAGACTCAAGTGACTCAAAATGTACTCTGAAAGTGAATTCTTTTGGGAGGCTGAAGCAGGCAGATAGCTTGAGCCCAGGAGTTTGAGACCAATCCGGGCAACATGGTGAAACCCAGTCTCTACTAAAAATACAAAAAATTAGCTGGGCACATTGGTGCATACCTGTAGTCTCAGCTACCAGCTACTCGAGAGGCTGAGGTGGGAGAATCACGTGGGCCTGGGATGTCAAGGCTGCAGTGAGCTGTGATTACACCACTGTACTTCAGCCTGGGCAATGGGCATGAGACCGGGCTAAAAAAAAAAAGTTAATTCAACAAACCTGCTTGATAAGTGTTCAGTGGGTTATAGCAGTATAATAATTTACCTTTTTAAGGACATACTGTGAACCAGGTGGATTATTTACAAGTTTTCTCTAATTGTCCCAACAGTCTTCGATGAAAGTATTATCTCAATTTCACAGGGGAGGAAATAATTGAGAGGTCAGCAAATTTGTCCAAGGGCACAAAGGAATTGCACAATGAGATTCAAACCCCTAGGCATTACCCTAAAGCCCATACCCTTTTCCCTGTACTACTTGGTAAATTATTATGCCTTTGTCCTTTATTCCTCTTTGCCCAGATGTCTCTAGGCCTCAGGAGTCACATTCTCCCTGACTTTTCATCTCCCTCTATCAAAATCCTACCCACCTTTCAAAATCCAATTTCAGTAATTACGTCTTGCACAAAGACATCCCCCAGGTCCCTGGCCCCTTACTTACCATCTCCCCACCTCCAAATTCCTGCAGCACTTATCTTTCCTACTGACTTTCATTCATTGAACAATTTTTTTTGAGTCCCTATTACATGCAAGGCATTGTTCCAGGCTCCGGGGATGTATCTGAACAAAACAGATGGAAATCTTAGTACTTGTGTAGCTTAGATTCTACTGGCAGGAGAAAATGTTATAAAACAAACACAACAAAGTAATTATATAGAATGTTAGAAGATGATAAATGCTGTGGAAAAAAAAAAGCCAGGTCAAGGAGAATGACAGTGCAGGGCAGAAATGGGTTGTGTTGCGATTTTCATTAGAGTGGTAAGGACAGATTTCACTGAGAAAGTAACTTTTGAATAAGGACTTCAAGGAGGCAAAGGAGTGAGTCATATGTCTACTGCTGGTTTGAGGAGAAAGGTGGAAAGGGGCGTGTGTGAACGGAAATCCAGCCCAGGATGGCATGTTGTCTGATATTTCTTTTCTTTTCTTTTCTTTTTTTTTTTTTTTTGAGACCAAGTCTTGCTCTGTCACCCACACTGGAGTGCAGTGGCATGATCTTGGTTCACTGCAACCTCTGCTTCCTGGGTTCAAGCGATTCTCCTACCTCAGCCTCCTGAGTAGGTGGGATTACAGGTGCATGCCACCATGCCCAGCTAATTTTTGTATTTTTAATAGAGATGGGGTTTCACCATGTTGGTCAGGCTGGTCTTGAACCCCTGACATCGTGATCCACCCGCCTTGGCCTCCCAAAGTGCTGGGATTACAGATGTGAGCCACCATGCCTGGCCGATATTTCTTTACTGCTTGCATAGATGCCTGATATCCTCAACTAAATCATGAGCTTTATAAAATCAGGGAGATGTGCTGATAACTTTTTTGTGTTTCCTTCAGTGTCCTGTGCAATATTTTATATCCAACAAACACTCAACAAACACTTGGTAATTGTTGATTATTGAGTATGGCACATCATGGCCTAATAACTTTGTATTTAGAATCATTTTGAAGCGTTAATGGTAAATCCTTCGGTTCCTACCACAGTATATACATTTCCTTTTTGGAGTTCCCAGCTTTTGCAGATAGCATAATGAGAGAACGTTGCCCTCTTCTGGGCAGAAGGTGCTGGTGCCTTTTGATTCTAAAACTCTGCTCACTTAGATACTGTTAACACTATGACTCATTATTATCTACTCAATCAACCACAATTAATTAGATTAGCATTTTGACACAATTTTGTTGTTGTTTAAGCACCATCTAAGAAAATGAAATTTCTCAGGAAAAAGATGATTAGGAAGTGAATTACAGTTATTCCCTAAACAAAACCCAGAGCTGTGAGTTGTATGGCAATAACTCTGAAATCCATTTGGGCTGATTTTTTCCATAATGAAGGGGAGAATTCAATTCCAGGAAACCTGGGTTACATAATCAGGACAGGGGAATGCCAGGGATGAAGTCTTCCACAATAAGAATATGAGGTAGTAAAAAGGAAGAGTCAGGGACACTATTCTCTGCCAATTAGTACTGTGTCTGGTGATGTAGTATATAACTGAGGAAAGATTGGGGCAGATTAAGTGGACTTCTGGCTACGTGACCTTAGATATGCTATTTAAATTCTCTGGGCTTCTGTTTCCTTGCCTATAAAATAGGCAAATGAGACTTCTAATAATAAAATAGGACTAATAATTCTAATAATAAAATAGGACTTTCTAATAAAAAATAGGAAAATGAGACTTCTAATAATACTTCACTTAAAGTGTCTGGTATGTGGTGGCTTTTCAATAAATGGTAGTGTACCAGTCAGAATTCTGGGTTGCAAATAGCCTGAGAAAAATCTCTTGTTCGCTTATGCAGAAAAGGAACTTATTGGCAGGCTATCCAATAGCAACAGAATTAACATGAAGTTTTGAGAAATGAGCTTGGCAAATTGGCAGAAAGCTAAATGGCCCCGGCTGAGATTTTCCACAGGAAGGGTATGAGTAGGACACTACCTTGCCACCACTGGCCAGTGACACTAGAGTCACTGCTGCTGCCAGTAGGGTGCATTCTAAGTTGTCATGGTTTCTTTGTGCCGCCCATTTTGATTCGGGTCCTGGTGAATACATCTGATTGGCAGAGCTTAGGTTCCGTGCCTGCTCTAGCTGCTAGAGGCCGGGAGAGCCAGGGGTGGCCAGTTGGGCTTGCTAATGGAGTCTGGTCTCAAACTGTAGTGGATTCCTCAAACATGGAATGGGAGTTCCCATAAAGCAGCGGTCCCCCCCGCCCAAACTTTTCAGCACCAGGGACTGGTTTCGTAGAAAAGGGGGATGGTTTCGGGATGAAACTTCTACCTCAGATTATCAGGCATTTAGCTAGATTCTCATAAGGAACAGGCAACCTAGATCCCTCGCATGCGCAGTTCACAGTAGGGTTCACGCTCCTATGAGAATCTAATGCCTTGGCTGATGTGACAGGAGGCAGAGCTCAGGCAGTAACGTTCACTCGCCCTCCACTCACTTCCTGTGTGCCGCCCAGTTCCTAACAGGCCAAGGACCAGTACCGGTGTGTGTGTGTGTGCGCGTGTGTGTGTGTGAAGAACACTTAAGATTTACTCTCGGCCGGGCGCGGTGGCTCACTCCTGTAATCCTAGCACTTTGGGAGGCCGAGGCGGGCGGATCACGAGGTAAGGAGATCGAGACCATCCTGGCTAACATGGTGAAACCTCGTCTCTACTAAAAATAAAAAGATTAGCCAGGCGTGGCGGGCTCCTGTAGTCCCAGCTACTCAGGAGGCTGAGGCAGGAGAATGGCGTGAACCCGCGAGGCGAGCTTGCAGTGAGCCGAGATCGCACCACTGCACTCCAGCCTGGGCGACAGAGCAAGACTCCGTCTCAAAAAAAAAAAAAAAGATTTACTCTCTTAGTATACAATACAGTATTATTAATTATAGCCACCCTGCTGAACATTAGATCCCCAGAACTTATTCATCCTATAACTAAAAGTTTGTTCCTTCTGACCAACATCTCACCATTCCCCCCAACCCACCCTCTGGCCCCTGGCAACCACCATTCTCCTCTCTGCTTCTATGAATTTGACTTGTTTAGATTCCACATATAAGTAAGATCATATACTATTTAGCTTTCTGTGTCTGTCTTATTTCACTTAGCATAATGTCATCCAGGTTCATTCATGTTGTTACAAATGACAGGATTTCCTCCTTTTTAAATTATTGTTATTATTATTTATTAATATTATTAAAGATAATATAATATATAATTTAACACATATGTACATATATAAAATAGAATATTATCCTTTCATCTATTCGTGGACACTTAATTGTTTATATATTGACTACTGTGAATAAGGTTGTGATATGGGAGTGCAGCTATCTCTTAAGATACTTATTTCATTTCCTTTAGGTATATACCCAGAAGAAGTATTGCTGGGTCACATGGTCGCTCTATTTTTAATGTTTTGAGAAAGCTCTATACTGTTTTCCTTAATGGCTATACCGATTTTCATTTCCATTGTGCAAGAGTTCCTTCTTCTCCATAACCTTGCCAACACTTGTTATCTCTTGTCTTTTTGATAATTAGCCATCCTAACAGGTGTGAGGCTACTATGACCATTATGTAGTTCTTCATAAGCCAGCTCTTTGCAGCTCAGTTAAATAGGACTGTAGGCTTTATAGCTAGAAGGGACGTTGGAGCCCTTCAATTTAAGGTTTGGGAAGCCAAGAGATGACATATGCTATATCTGTGTAGTGCAGGTAATAAATAAAATAAATAAAAAGAAGAGATGACTTGTGCTAGATTACACGCACTGAAAGTAAAGGAGCAGTTAGATCTAGAACTTGAGTCTCCTGATTGTCAGTCCAGTTCTCCCTATAACATTCTTTCCTATTTGTAAAATGAGTATGTTGATAATGTTTATTGCCTAGAACACTCATTCCATCCTCCCTGCTCAGATAATTTGTCATTGTTTGGATATTAGCTCAAGCATCACTCCCTCAGAAGAGCCTTTTCTGCTCTTTTGTCTTGCCCAACTTGTTCAAATCCTTTCTGGATCTCCGTGCTCTTTCACAGCGCTTATCGTAATTGCACTCTTCTATTTTATATGGCAGTAGTTGGTTAACCTAGTTACACCGTCTGGATGTAAACTCCATGTGGTCAGGGACTGGCTCTGGTTTCGCTCTCTGTTGCTTTCCTGGCTTTTAGCACAATGTCAAGCACATAGTGGGCCCTCAGTGATTACTGGACCTGTGAGGGAGTGAATGGATGAAGAGATCTTACAAGCTATAAAGAAAATTCAGATTATTAAAGTTGTTAACACTATTACTGCAGTGGTTAGTACTCATACTCGAGACAATACAGCACTTTTACTAAGCCTGGTGTCTTTGACTTCTCATCAATGTTTGCTCCTCTTTTCTTTCAGCCTCTGCCCTTCACCTGCTATCTACTTGCCACTCACTCTGCTCCCCTCCCCCTGCCCTAAGTCTGTCCAACTGGGAAAGGATGTTACCCTCCATGACAATTACTTCATCCACTTGACAGTCTTAGTTCCTTGGCTAACCATCCAAGAAAATCTACTGGCAAACCACTTCACAGGGCTGGAGTGATGATTAAATGGACAAATGATGTAAAGCTTCACACAGAGTTTAGAATAATCCTCTTACCCTCTTTTCCCTAAGGGAAGAATCGTATTTAAATCCAGCAACTGTTAGCTTGTTGGAATAGAAAATGTTTGGAGATGGAGCAATAAGAATAAATTTCTTAATAGAAAACTTTCAGGCCAGGAGTTAGGGCAGTGGTTAGGTGGAATAGAACAATTTGGGGGACAGCGGGGGCCAATTAATGACCCCTCAGGTCCCACTGTGTGGGTTTCACCAATTTTGTTCTTGTCTGAGGCAATTTGGAGGAGAGTGGCACTATATGAGGGATTCTTCTGTGCAACTGCCTCTTCTAGAAGACCACAGAGCCCAGTTAAAAATAATATAACAAATAGTGATTTTGTGTGGGTGTATGTTGCTTTTTTCCTTTTTTAGTTTTTTTCTTAAAGGAGTGAGGGCGGGCCGGGCGCGGTGGCTCACGCCTGTAATCCCAGCACTTTGGGAGGCCGAGGCGGGTGGATCATGAGGTCAGGAGATCGAGACCATCCTGGCTAACAAGGTGAAACCCCGTCTCTACTAAAAATACAAAAAATTAGCCGGGCGCGGTGGCGGGCGCCTGTAGTCCCAGCTACTTGGGAGGCTGAGGCAGGAGAATGGCGTGAACCCGGGAAGCGGAGCTTGCAGTGAGCCGAGATTGCGCCACTGCAGTCCGCAGTCCGGCCTGGGCGACAGAGCGAGACTCCGTCTCAAAAAAAAAAAAAAAAAAAAAAAAAAAAAAGGAGTGAGGGCATGGAAAACATACAGCACACCAATAAAACAAAATATCAAAAACACAAAAAAACAGAAAATGGAAAAATATATTTACAAGTAGTACATTACTATGATGAGAAAGCACAAGGAAGCCTGCTACTATAATACATGCATTGGCTCAAGAAGAAACTACCAAACACCATGTGAGTGAGAAGCCTATACTCATGCCACTGCGCTCCAGCCTGGACTTGCCCCACGCCCAACACTGTATCAGACATTCCATTTTCAGCTCCTGTTCATGCTCCCTCATAACGTTTTTTTAAAAACATGCTATCCTTATTGAATTCATCTATTCCCATATGTGTCGACATGCCAGCAAATTTCCGAGTCCACGTCTGGAGCTTGTAAGCTCTAGAATTGTGCTCCAATAACTTTTCTCCACTCAGTTGTCCAGCTGGCATCTCAAATTAAAAAAAAAACATAACTCATTATCTTTTTCCAAGGCTGCTCTTTCTCCTCTGTTGCCTATTTCTGCATTGGTTTCACTCTCTACCAGCTGTCTAAGCTAGCAACTCTGGAGCCATCTCAATGTTTCCTTCACTCTCATTCTCACATTCAGAATTTATAGGACTTGGTGATTATCACAGATCTTGTGAGTGTCTCCCCTGTATCCTCTTAGCATTCAGTTCTCCTCTGCATGTTCACTCAAAGCATTTCTACTGCAAGCATCAGAAACTCTTCCTGGGAGATTTCTCTGGCTGCTGATACTCACTCTGTGCACTTATGGGGCAGGTGAGGAGTGTAGAGAGTTAAGTCCCTGGAATCAGTTCTCATTCAATGACTGATGGAAGCTGATGGATATAGATTGGGTAGGGCAACTCTGAAGCATGCTCTATGCTGTCTCCCAGATGCCTCCAGTGAGTCTGAGCCCCAGTTGCCCACAGTGATTGCTGAGACCAGCTCAGTCGGGGAGACCCTAACCTGCTGGCGCTAGAGGAATTAAAGACACACACACAGAAATATAGAAGTGTGAAGTGGAAAATCAGGGGTCTCACAGCCTTCAGAGCTGAGAGCCCCAAACAGAGATTTACCCACGTATTTATTAGCAGCAAGCCAGTCATTAGCATTGTTTCTATAGATGTTAAATTAACTAAAAGTATCCCTTATGGGAAACGAAGGTATGGGCCAAATTAAAGGAATAGGTTGGGCCAGTTAACTGTAGCAGGAGCATGTCCTTAAGTCACAGATCGATATTGTTTGTGGCTTAAGAATGCCTTTAAGTGGTTTTCCGCCCTGGGCGGGCTAGGTGTTCCTTGCCCTCATTCCGGTAAACCCACAACCTTCCAGCATGGGCGTTATGGCCATCATGAACATGTCCCAGTGCTGCAGAGATTTTGTTTATGGCCAGTTTTGGGGCCAGTTTATGACCAGATTTTGGGGGGCTTGTTCCCAACAAGTGATAATCTACTAATTAATGTATCTGAAATAGTTTCCATCCCTTTTCCATCTCCTAGTTACTAGTGCTTCCTTGCATCATTCATCAAATAAACTTCTTACATTCAAATTCTTGTTTCTGGTTATGCTTCTAGAGAATCTAACTAAAGCAGTGGACAGTTAGACATGGGATAAAGAGAGGAGTTGAGAATGGCTACAAAATCTTTCATATAGGCTTTTTAGAGGTGTTATTAACATTAATCATAATGAAAAAAGTATGTATTTTATATTAAGATGTTAGATAACTGAAACTGAGATAACTGTTAGACATATTCAGCAGACAGTTGAAAATATGCAATTGAGACCAGGTGCAGTGGCTTACATCTGTAATCCTACCACATTGGGAGGACAAGGTGAAAGGATTGCTTGAGCTCAGGAGTTCAAGACCAACCTAGGCAACATAGTGCGACCTTGTCTCTACCAAAATAAATTTAAAAATTTGCTGGGTGTGGCGTGTACACTTCTAGTCCCAGCTACATGGGAGGCTGAATCAGGAGGACTACTTGAACCCAGGAGGTTGACGCTGCAGGGAGCTGAGGTCATTCCACTGCACTCCAGATTGGAAAACAGAGTGAGACCATGTCATAAACAAAAACAAAAAAAAGAAGAAGAAAAGAAAAAGAGAGAAAACATGCAATTGGACATCAGGAGAGAAGTAAAGACTGAAGATAAGGGCTAGGTGCAGTGCCTCATGCCTGTAATCCCAGCACTTTGGGAAACGGAGGCAGGAAGATCGCTTGAGGCCAGGAGTTTGAGAGCAGCCTGGACAACAAAACGAGACCCTGTTTCTACAAAACAAAAAAAACAAAAAAAAAACAAATTCTAGAAAGACTGGAGATAAGGATTTAGAAGTTATTAGTGTTATTAGTGTATATAGGCAGGTGCCAAAGCCATGGAAATGGATAAGATGGCCAAAATGCAAATGTACGATGAAAAGACCAGAAAGTTAAGGATAGGTTTTTTCTGAGACAGAGTCTTGCTCTGTTGCCCAGGCCGGAGTGCAGTGGTGCAATCTCGGCTCACTGCAGCCTCTGCCTCCCGGGTTCCAGCAATTCTCCTGTCTCAGCCTCTTAGGTAGCTGGGATTTCAGGCACACGCCACCACGCCCAGCTAATTTTTGTATTTTTAGTAAAGATGGGGTTTTGCCATGTTGGCCAAACTGGTCTCGAACTCCTGACCTCAGGTGATGCACCCACCTCAGCCTCCTAAAGTGCTGGGATTACAGGTGTGAGCCACCGCACCCGGCCAAGGATAGGTTTTTATGAAACATTAACATTTAAGAGGTTAGATGAAGAAGAACCAATGAAGGAGACTGAAAAGGATAGAATCCCCATTTGGCTCTGTCCTTGGATGGAACACTTAATTGTGGGCACTTTGTTGATTATTTAAATTTCTAGTCCATTTGCATTATGAAGGTACATTTTCTTCTAAGACTTACTGAGTCTGTTACACTGGCTCAACAAGGAATTAAGATATAGTTTGATATGAGGAGGAAAGGGCTTGAGAAAGGAACTGATGTTGGTTAAATGCTTACCATGGGCTAGACCTTGTACATATATCATCTACTGAATAATTACAACAACCTGTCGTGTGGGAGCTAGCACCTTGTGTTACCTTTAAAGAAAGTGAAGATTAGAAAAGTTAAGAAATGTTTACAAGTTTCCACATTTATTTATTACATTGAGGAGCAAGAATTCATAAACCTTTTCAACTCCAAAACTCATGCTCTTGTCATTATATTATCAACTGTACCAAAAAACTCGATGAAATGTAGCCTATTGTATTTAATATTTCCTTTTTCTTAAACCAGCAAAAGAAGTGTTTTGAAAAACCATGCTTTTCAAATATTTTGATTGCCTGACTTATTGCATGTATAATGAATAACTCATCTCCATTAACCCACTTAAATTAAGGGGTTTAATGAACCCCTTAAACTGCCAGTTAGAACTTCTGATTCATTTAAGGTAACCACTGTTAAGAATTAAAATAAGTGGGCTGGGTGCGGTGGCTCACACCTGTAATCCCAGCACTTTCGGAGGCCGAGGCGGGTGGATCACGAGGTCAGGAGATGGAGACCATCCTGGCCAACATGGTGAAACCCTGTCTCTACTAAAATACAAAAATTAGCCAGGCGTGGTGGCGGGCACCTGTAATCCCAGCTACTTGGGAGGCTGAGGCAGGTGAATCACTTGAACCTGGGAGGCAGAGGTTGCAGTGAGCTGAGATCGAGCCACTGCACTCCAGCTTGGTGACAGAGCAAGGTTCCGTCAAAAAATAAAATAAAATAAAATAAGTGAGAGACAATATAAATCTTTAAAATATGCTTTGTCTTTGACCTAGCAATTCCACTTCTGGGAATTTACTGCAAGGAAATGATAAAGAATGTGTGCAAAGACTTAGTGATAAGCTAATCACGATATTGAAAAATTGGTAATGGCTTACATATCTAATAATAAAATATAGTTGAATAAATTAGGGTATGTCCCAAAATACTCAGTAGTCATTAGAAGTAGGCTAATATTGAGAGGTGACAGCGTGCTGGCAGCCCTTGCAGCCCTGGCTCCCTCTCGGCGCCCCCTCGGCCTTGGTGCCCACTCTGGCCACGCTTGAGGAGCCCTTCAGCCTGCTGCTGCACTGTGGGAGTCCCTTTCTGGGCTGGCCAAGGCTGGAGCCGGCTCCCTCTGCTTGCGGGGAGGTGTGGAGGGAGAGGCGCGGGTGGGAACTGGGGCTTCGTGCAGCGCTTGCGGGCCAGCTAGAGTTCCGGGTGGGCGTGGGCTTGGTGGGCCCTGCACTCGCAGCGGCTGGCCGGCCCCACTTGCCCCGGGCAGTGAGGGGCTTAGCACCCAGGCCAGCAGCTGCAGAGGGTGCGCCAGGTCCCCCAGCAGTGCTGGCCCACTGGCGCCCAAGGGCTGAGGAGTGCGGGCACACAGCGGGACTGGCGGGCAGCTCCGCCTGCCGCCCCAGCGCAGGATCCACTGGGTGAAGCCAGCTGGGCTCCTGAGTCTAGTGGGGACTTGGAGAACCTTTGTGTCTAGCTAAGGGATTGTGAGTGCACCAATCAGCACTCTGTGTCTTGCTCAAGGCTTGTGAACACACCAATCAGCACCCTGTGTCTAGCTCAGGGTTTGTGGATGCACCAATTGGCACTCTGTATCTAGCTAATGTGGCGGGGACTTGGGGAATCTTTATGTCTAGCTAAGGGATTGTGAATACACCAATCGGCACTCTGTATCTAGCTCAAGGTTTGTAAACACACCAATCAGCACCCTGTGTGTAGCTCAGGGTTTGTGGATGCACCAATCGGCACTCTTTATCTAGCTAATCTGGTGGGGACTTGGAGAATCTTTATGTCTAGCTAAGGGATTGTGAATGCACCAATCGGCACTCTGTGTCTAGCTCAAGGTTTGTAAATGCACCAATTAGCACTCTGTGTCTAGCTAATCTGGTGGGGAATTGGAGAATCTTTACGTCTAGCTAAGGGATTGTGAATGCACCAATCGTCACTCTGTATCTAGCTCAAGGTTTGTAAATGCACCAATCAGCACTCTGTGTCTAGCTCAGAGTTTGAAAATACACCAATCGACACTCTGTATCTAGCTAATCTAGCGGGGACTTGGAGAACTTTTGTGTCTAGCTCAGCCATTGTAAACGCACCAATCAGCACCCTGTCAAAATGGACCAATCAGCTCTCTGTAAAACAGACCAATCAGCTCTCTGTAAAATGGACCAATCAGCAGAATGTGGGTGGGGCCAGATAATAAAAGCAGGCTGCCTGAGCCAGCAGTGGCAACCCGCTTGGGTCCCGTTCCACAGCGTGGAAGCTTTGTTCTTTCACTCTTTGCAATAAATCTTGCTGCTGCTCACTCTTTGGGTCCACACTGCCTTTATGAGCTGTAACACAGCGAAGGTTTGCAGCTTCACTCCTGAAGCCAGTGAGACCACAAACCCACCAGGAGGAATGAACAACTCCAGACGCGCTGCCTTAAGAGCTGTAACGCTCACCGCAAAGGTCTGCAGCTTCACTCCTGATCTAGCGAGACCACGAACCCACCAGAAGGAAGAAAGTCCGAACACATCCAAACGTCAGAAGGAACAAACTCCGGACACGCCGCCTTTAAGAACTGTAACACTCACTGCGAGGGTCCGCAGCTTCATTCTTGAAGTCAGTGAGACCAAGAACCCACCAATTCTGGACACAATATGAATATGGAAAGTTGCTCATGAGATAGTTTTAAGTGAAAAAAATCAAGTTAGCAAAATAAGTGTGGTCCAATTTCTGGTTATATTCCTTAGCTGGAATATAAACACTGCTAGTGTGGGCTGTCCATTGTTGACATCGCTCCCTCCACCTCCCGTGTGTTCGCATTAATTTATATGCGTTGTGGCTTTTGTTCTAGCTGAGAGGAGAAGAGGTATAGTTGGTACAAGAGATGAGGAGGAATGTGGAGAAATATGGTGAGTGCAGTAAGGAATCTATTTCCTGCCTCACTTCTCATACTGGGTTGAGCCCCTAGGCTTTGTGAATGACAGCTGGAAAGGATGGAAGTGTTTCATTTTTTAAAAATAAAAATATGATATTGTAATTTTGGACAAAGGAGTAGGGAACAAAGCCCAAGAAAGTTCAGGAAAGAATTGTGAGATTTTGTGCATATGGAGCAGTAACTCCTAGACCAGATGTCAAAGACTGCCATGAAGCTGGAGAGGAGACAATTCTCCCCATCTGTGTGGTGGAGGCTGCTCAATGTCCCCCAATTTCGCTTCATCTCATCTTGCTTATTAATACAATTTCAGTTAGGCACTCAGCTGACAGGACTATGTTTCACAGATCCCCTTGCAGCTAGGTGTGGCTTTGTAATCAGATGGAATGAGGGGATATGATTGTAGAAACTGGAGCAGCCATCTTGAATGAAAGATGCAAGGCAAGCTCTGATGATGGCAGAGTCACGAGATAAAAGGAGCCTGGGACCCTGTCACAGGACAGAGCTGCCAGCAATACCGTCTCTATAACAAACACTAAATTTAATTATTCATATCTAAATCTGAACATAGGCAGTAATTTCTAACCAGTGTTTAGCCCAGCACAAGGCCTGGGTGGTAGACTTCCAATAAATGTAGAATTAAGTTTATTCACACTATATAGACTTATTGCAAGGCAAGAATGAGACCTTAGACTTTCGTGCTCAATCTTGAAGACAATGTTTTTCAACCCTTTTCAACAGATTCTCTCTCAAAACCTAAAATCTCATCCACCATCCCACTCTCTTTTTACCAGGGAGATGTGTTTCTCAACTAAAGAAATAGAAGAAAGTGTGTTCTCTACGTATTGTCAGTTAGCTAATTAGAGCAGAATGCTGGTGATGCCAAAATCTGTAGCCCCATCCCTTATATGGCATTTGAGAGGAGCGAGTATAAAGCAGTAGATAATACCAAAGGTTTTGGCCTCAGGGCCGCAGTTATCTCTCCTTTGTGAGACCTTGGGGGCACTGTTTAACCTCTCTGGGTCTCATCCAAGAAATGGAAATACTAATAATACTCCATATGGTTGTTGCAAGGATGAAATGAGATGTCTGTAGGAAGTGCCGAGGAATGCCTAGCACAACCAAGAGCTTGTTGAACTTGTCACGCTTTACTGTCGATAATGTGCATTAAGCAAACGCTAGTTTTATTTGTTTATTTCATCTTCTAAGTATAAGAATACATTGTAGCTCGACATTTTGGCACCAGCCCCTAAAGCATTCCCACCACCACCCCCGCTGCGACAAAGCCCTGCGCTCCTTACGACAGCGTACGACGCCGAGCCTGACAGGAACGCCTCGTGCGGTAGAACCGCGCGGGCCAATCGCGCTGCTCCCGGGTGATGACGTAGGCTGCGCCTGTGCATGCGCAGGGAGGGGAGACCTTGGCGGAGCGGCGGAGGCGCCCAGCGGAGGTGAAAGTATTGGCGGAAAGGAAAATACAGCGGAAAAATGCAGAGCTGGAGTCGTGTGTACTGCTCCTTGGCCAAGGTGAGGGCCGAGTAGGTGAGGTCGTGTTGAGCCAGAGGCACGGAAGGTCCCGCTCAGTGGGTCCGGTACGCGGCTTAACCGTGTTGGGCTGGCGGAGGCGGGCGCCTGGGCCGCACCACCCCTGGCCCCGCCTCTGCACTGGCTCAGCCCGGCCCTGGGCTCCGAGGTGGCCGCTCATCCTGCAGCAGGCGAGGGACGGGGCTGGGCCCAGGCTGTGGCGAGTCCTTTCGGGTTGTGTGACGGCCGGCGGTCACACATGCCACACCCCCAAGCCTGGGCCGAGGGCCATCCCGGTCACACATAGGCCTCTACCTTGGAGGAAGTGTAAGCCACCCATGTCCCGTATAGTCTGGCTTTTTATACCATTTGCCTTTTTCTCATCCTAATTCTGATCCCTGAGTGGCCTAAGTTTATGCAGTGGGCAGGTAACCCTGGGGTCACTTCTTGAATGGTTTAGATCCAGTCAGCTCCAACAGATAGCCCTCGGAATTCCCCTAAGGTCTTGTCAGTGTTGGCAGCTTTCAACTGGTGTTCATTGCCATCTCTCACGACTTCCTGGAGGCTTAAATCTTTAATTGCAGCAGGTTATCAGAACAACTCTCCTTTTTAATCTGCTTACCAGATACAGCCAAATTGTGTGTATGTGGCACCGTGGCTGGGTACTATGTTAGTGGAGACCTTAAAAATAATATAGCGATCAAACCCTTTTGTTTCAGAGATGAGGAACCTGAGTTCTCAAAAGTTAATGTAACATTCTGCAAGTCATGCTTTTAGGGAGCGGCGGAGGTGGGACTGAAACTCAGGATTGTCAATCTGCTGCTTTTTGGGTTTGCTGTCCTGACCTCAAATGTTAAGAGTTGCCTTGGAATAGGAAACATCAGTGTAGGTTTTGTCACTGCCGCCCATTTTCCTGCTGTGAGCAGGGGTTATTTGCTTGCTTGCTTTCTGCCTCATTGCCCTTAGGAAATGGTAGCCGTCCACATATAGAGATTAGGGAGATTATGATGCAATTTGTCAAACTGTAGTAGCACCAGAACGTAAGTACATTACTTGGTGCATTTTCCTAAGTTACCTTGTCTAATTTGCTATTCCTAGTTGATGTCTCAGGAACATCTTCATAGATTGTTCTAAGTAAATACGGACTGTATATACACGCTAGCTTAGAGTTAGGAAACAAAAATTACAGGTAAAAAGATTATCATGTATAGATTATTCAAGTATTTAAGTTAGAACTTTCAGAGCTTTATTTATTTATTTATTTATTTATTTATTTTGAGACGGAGTCTCACTCTGACATCCAGGCTAGAGTGCAATGGCACTATCTCAGCTGACTGCAACTTCCGCCTCCCGGGTTCAAGTGATTCTCCTGCCTTGGCCTCCCGAGTAGCTGGGATTACAGGCACCCACCACTACACCCGGCTAATTTTCTTGTATTTTTAGTAGAGTCGGGGCTTCACTATGTTGGCCAGGCTGGTCTCGAACTCCTGACCTCAGGTGATCCGCCCACCTCAGCCTCCCAAAGTGTTGGCATTACAGGCGTGAGCCACCACGGCCGGCTCAGAGCTTTATGACATTAAAATGATCCCTGGCACTAATAATTAGCCATGTTTTCTGAAAATTGAATAAAAATACCATTGAATACGTTTTTAAAATTAAGTTAAATATGAGATGATTTGTTGACTATTGATAATAAAAAGATGGGTGTGGCAAGCTGAGGCTGAAAAATTTAAATGATTAGTTATTGTCAAAGAGGGGATATTGATCTGTAGCTTCTGTGTGGCAATGGAAGAAGATACACTAATAATCCTCGCTTGATACGTTTGCCCAAAATTGTTCTGTTATCATCAACCTTCAGTAGTTCTATGTTTTGAATTCATATCTTACATAATAGGGACATTTTCTTTTTCTAGAGAGGCCATTTCAATCGAATATCTCATGGCCTACAGGGACTTTCTGCAGTGCCTCTGAGAACTTACGCAGATCAGCCGAGTAAGTACTTAAGTAAAACATTTTTTTCATCACATTAGCTGACAGTTCCTTTCTATTTCAATGTAAAAGCAAGTGAATATTGGAATAACTTATGTTAAGTGTCTTATAGTTCATTTGTTCATGTATTTATTCGTTTGAATGTATATTGAGCTAGTGTGTTCCAGGCGGTGAACAAGGTAAAAAAACCCTGCTCTTATGAAACTTGTAATTTGGTGATAAAAGACAAACAATATATAAGTAATGGATAAATATTTTGGGAAGTAACTGAAAATTAAAGCAGGTAATAGGGAGGAAGAGAGATAATTTTAGATACAGTGTCAGGAAAGGCCTTTCTGAGGAGATGATGTCTGGGCAGGGTCCTGAGTGAAGTGGGGGAGTGAGGTTACTTCAGGCAGAGGGAAACAACACTGAGAAAGGCCTGAGGTGGGACTTAGCTTGTGAAGTTTAAGGAGTAATAAGAAGGCTGGTATGACTGGAGCAGAAACCCATGCAATGTAAAGTCGGAGAGGTAGGCAGGAGACAGATCATGGAGTGCCTTGTAAGGCAGGTCTAGTAGTTTGGATTATACTCCAAGTATGATGGGAAACAAAGGTTTTGAGCAGGGCAGCAATTTCATATGTTTACATTTAAAAAGTTAATTTTGTCCGTTGAGTAAGGTTGTATTGGTTATTTTAACACTGTTTAGAATGATGAGATGACTTTCTTGACATCCTGAATGAAAGTCTTCATGGGTTTATCAAAAGCATGTTTTAAAGATTAGCAGGATCTAAAAGGAAGCTATGGGTCATGGAATTTTCTCCTGTGTACTTTTTTTATATTTTTGAAGTTCCCATAAAGGATATGCATTTTATTTTTTTAAGTATTTAAAACAGAAAGTTAATAGGATTATATTGAAGTATTTTGACCTGTCAGTACCAAGGATATTGATTATTTGCAATGTACTGTTTTGACATTTACTGAATTCACCCATATGGATTATAAGTAACATTGGATGTCTTAAAGCTTCAGTTATAGAAATCATTATCTGGGCAAACTGTGACTATCAGTCTCCCTGCATTCTGTGAAGTAATTTAATCCTGTATCCTCAACTGTTATCCAACCATTATCATTTTGGATATTTTATTTCTAGAGGAAGGGTAGGGGGAGGATTCTAGTAACCCATGACTAACAGTGAGTGAGTGATTTATTCTAGCTTTGAACAGGTCAAGAAATCCTTTTAAAAAAATGCTAATATGATGATGAAGGGAAAAGTTGGACCTCTTATACACTTTGTCTCTTGTTAAATAGGAATCTCATTCTTCTCAACTCATATAACAGGAGAAATGTTAGATTTTCATTTCTAAAGGATATTTTTCATGGCTAACTCTATACCTTTGGCATCACTCAGCAGAGATTATTCAGTGCCTTCTATTTGCCAGGCAGACCCTGAGCCAGAACTTAGATTTTAGTGGAATGAGGCTGAGTGTTCCATAATCAGTTTGGTGATCCCTTGACATTGAGTAAATCATAAATCACTTAGTACCCATGTGTGTAAAGTGTGTAAAAGCTTTGAGTGGATGCAGTAACAAGCATTTTACACACATACTTGTATTTTATCTGAGGTACATGCTTACTGTCTTTTCCTCAGGAATGCAAACTTCATCAGGACAGGGACTGTGTGTGACTGTTTTGTTTAGTATCTAAAGTGATACAGTAGGTAATCAGTACATATTTATTGAATGAATGAACACTGGGGCCTGGTCTGTTTTAATTACTGCTCTGTGGCAAAGCATCCAGTATGGTGTCTTGTACAAAGTAAGTAACCAGCTACAACAGCAATAATATTAACTGATGCATTGAGGGCTTCACTCTGTCTCAGGCACAGATTTAATCCTCATGGCCTTTCTACTACCTGTGTGCTGCTGTTCTCCCCATTTTATAGATGGAAGAGTTAGGTTTTTTAACTAGGAAATGACAGAGCTGGGAGAATCCTTTTGACTTCAGAGCCTACACTGTTAATGTTTTATTGAGTTTTCTTCCTTACATGAGTATTGATTGACTCTCCTGAGGAGTTCAAATCTTATTATGATATAGTCTTGGTTACAACATCTGAGAGATGTCTGAATAGCCTTATGAACCAGGTTCATCAGAATTTGCAAAGTTGTGTGTGTTACTGTTGATGTGACGTTTTATTTCATGACAGCACTTAATCAAACTTGTAACACTTAAACTTACAGCACTTATATCACTCACATTCACTACATTCATTCATTCTTTTATTATTTCGACAAATACTAATATCTACTATGTGTTAGTCATTGGGCTAACTACTGGAGTACCGCAGTGAGCAAGACGGACAAGACCCAGCTTTTATAGAGCTTACAATTCAGTTGAGGGAGACAAACATCCAACATATAATTGTGACAGGGGTCCATAGACTTAAGCATAGGGAGTAATGACATCTATATATGGATTGGGAATGGTCACATAATTCTTTCCTAAGGAATTATGTTGATAGCTAAAAAGGTTGAGAGTAACTCTCGTTACAGGTTGGACCTTTTACTGTAATTCTTTTTTTTATTTAGACTGTAAGAAATAGGGCTATGTCATTTATATATACACACACACAGACACAGCATGTGCAGACACACCCCTCCAAGAGCCTAAAGTAGTGTTTGTAATGTGAAATGCCTGCTGTTAGTGTTTATTTCTAGGTAGATGGAACAGATCGTACATAGGTAGACCAGCATAATTCTATGCATGTAGGCTAAGAGTAGTAATTCACCGTTACTGAAGCTTAAACTGCATGGTATTGGTGAGTAAACAGAACGTGGTAGGAGATGAGGCTGGAGAAATAGTTACTGAAGGAATTTGGATGCTGTACTTAGGAACATGGGCTTTATCTAACAAGACACTGGAGAACCAACAGAGCGTAACAACAGAGAGAATAACATCTGAGTTGGGTTTTAGCTTTGCGGTAGCACTGGGTAGGCTAAAATGGAGGATGTGAATGAGGCTAGAGGCTGCTGGACTGAAGTTTGGAGGTGGATCTGAGAAGGGGAGTGACACTGAGTTGCTAGTATGCACCTAGCACCTCCTTAGGATCTTAACATGCGTACTCTCTGATCCTCACAACCCTAGGCTGCAGGTGTCATCCTTACTATTACCCCCATGTTGTATCAAAGCCCAGAGAGATTGAGTAATTTGCCCAAGAACTTAACGGGGTTAGAGTTTGGAACCCAGGTCTGTTTTACTTCAGATCATTTCTTATTTTACTATATTTCTTCTTTAGGGACCAGGAGGTTATGACTAGAAAGTAGAGTATTGATTTCAGAGGCTGAACAGTTTTGGGTGATAACAAGTATAGAGTGTTAACTATGGGAGGAGGTTACTGAAAAAGACTGGATATTAAGGCCATTGACAATGTAAAAACAACTTCCCTTACCCCTCAACAAAATGTCAACAAATAAACCTTATCAAGTAGTTCTTACATTCAGTAAATTTGGTAATTAATGATTATTGCCTTATGACATCTCTTTTCCTGTTCGTTTTTTCTTTTTAAAAATCTGGTTTTGTTTTTGTTTGTTTTTTTTTTTGAGACAAAGTCTCGCTCTTGTCCCCTAGGCTGGAGTGCAGTGGCGTGATCTTGGCTCACTGCAACTCCACCTCCCGGGTTCAAGTGATTCTCCTGCCTCAGCCTCCCGAGTAGCTGGGATTACAGGTGCCTGCCACCAGCCCGGCTAATTTTTGTATTTTTAGTAGAGATGGGGTTTCACCATGTTGGCCATGCTGGTCTCGAACTCCTGACCTCAGGGGATCCACCCACCTCGGCCTCCCAAAGTGTTGGAATTACAGGCATGAGCCACCGCGCCTGGCCAAAAATCTGATTTTACCTTTATTTTGACATGTGCCTCTTTTTTCTCACTGTGTTTTAAGGTTATTGAAGGTACTGATGAGTCATAAATATTTGATTTCATTCTGTAAAGCATATTCTTGTCATTTTAGTTGAAGTTCTTGATTGTCCTGGAGATTATGGGATCATCTGAGTGTTTTGGAAGGCAATAGAACATAATGGTATATAGGAGCACACATTTCAGAATCTAGAGGACCTTGTTTGAATCCTGGCTAGATTACTTACTAGTTGTGTAGCCTTATGCAAATTATTTAGTTGTTTTCAACCTTTTCTTCCTCTGTTAATGGTAGTATTAAACTATGTCATAGAAATGTAATGAGGCTTACATAAGACAGTACACGTGACTGGCTCACTAACTGGCACATTTTAAGCTACCCAAGTGGTAGGTATTATTGTAGACTGACTTTTTTTTTTTTTTTTTTTTTTGAAACTTGGTCTCACTCTATCATGCAAGCTGGGGTGCAATGGTGCGATCTTGGTTCACTGCAACTTCCACCTCCCGGGTTCAGGAGATTCTCATGCCTCAGCCTCCTGAGTAGCTGGGACTACAGGCACGCACCACTATGCCCAGCTAATTTTTGTATTTTTAGTAGAGATAGGGTTTCACCATGTTGGCCTGGCTGGTCTTGAACTCCTGACCTCAAGTGATCCACCCGCATTGGCCTCCCAAAGTGCTGGGATTACACAGACTGACTTCTTGAGATACATCTTGTAATTATATTGATGATTACAATTGATTTGTAACACAATACCTTTATTTCAGTGGTAGCCTGGATAACCAGGTGCCTTATTTTCCTTATAATGATCTAATATGTAACACTTGTAGGAATTTGTAGAGTACTTTTCTTGACTTTTTTCTTTGAGTTAATTTTAATAACATTAATTGCCTTGTTTAAGTCAGTCACCTCTTATTGTACTCCAGTATTTTTAAAGTATCAACCTGATACTTTAAACCTGGTAGGAGCACACATTTCAGAATCTAAAGGACCTTGTTTGAATCACTTCACTGAAACACAGATTGCTATTCACCTGTCATTTGCCACTTTTCCATCAGGTTTGCCTTAAATAAATGTATTTCATTTAACTACTTTTCTGTATCCTTTTTTTTTTTTTTTTTTTTTTTTGAGACAGAGTTTAGCTCTTGTTGCCCAGGCTGGAGTAGTTCAGTGACACGATTTCAGTTCACTGCGACGTCCCCCTCCTGGGTTCAAGCGATTCTCCTGCCTCAGCCTCCCGAGTAGCTGGGGTTACAGGTGCTTGCCACCACGCCTGGCAATATTTTGTATTTTTAGTAGAGACAGGGTTTCACCATGTTAGTCAGGCTGGTCTCAAACTCCTGACCTCAGGTGATCCACCTGCCTCGGCCTCCCAAAGTGCTGGAATTACAGGTGGGAGCCACCACACCTGGCCTGTATCCTGATTTTTTAACTTTTTTTTTGAGACAGAGTCTTGCACTGTCGCCCAGGCTGGAGTGCAGTGGCGTGATCTCGGCTCACTGCAAGCTCTGCCTCCTGGGTTCACGCCATTCTCCTGCCTCAGCCTCCCCAGCAGCTGGGACTACAGGTGCCTGCCACCACGCCCGGCTAATTTTTTTTGTATTTTTAGTAGAGACGGGGTTTGGTCTTGATCTCCTGACCTCGTGATCCGCCTGCCTCGGCCTCCCAAAGTGCTGAGGATTACAGGTGTGAGCCACCACACCCGGCCCTGATTTTTTAACTTTATGTATGGGACTCAACCTGTGAAATTATTCTTGACAAGGAGAGGGTGAGTCAGAATCATGTGTTATCAGCTTTCATTTATATGCATCCTTTGGTACAGGTGAGAGGTAGATGATTTGTTTTTCTGACATTTTATTATGAAAAATTATAAGCATTTAGAAAATTATAAGAATTTTACATTGAACACCCATAGTTTTCTTCCATTAACATTTTCTGTGCTTACAGTACCACATATGTGCTCATTCGTTTATCCATCAGTGCAGACGTGTGTATACTTCCCCTAAATACTGGTTTGTTTTTGAAAGTTTGTTCCTGGCTTATACCCTCCTGTATTCTCAGTTGACAGATCTTTACATAAAGAGTCTGCTTTTTTCTCATTTTTGTGCATCTTAGCACTTTAGTGGTATTGTAATGGAATATTACATCTAGTATGTACAGTGAGAGAGGAGCTCTTGAATTTTTGGTATTTTCTGAAGTTTAAAAAAAAACACCTAAGATTACATAGTGAATAGGGAAGTAAAACCCAAGGTTTTTGGCTATTATCTTTTATCTCTTGTTTACTTCTCCTGACCTTACTAAAACAAGTTCTTTTCCAAACCAAATTTATTTATCATTTTAGTACCATGGACCTACTATAAGAATTGTTACATATCAGTGATTAAAAGTATATGCTCAAAAATACATATACTTAAAATCTAAAATATTTAATTCAGTTTTATTGTCATTAAAAGGGTTTTTGGAGAATTATAGCAGTAATATATGTTATAAATATATATGCTCATGTAAGAGTGAGAAAAGAATATAAAATATGGCAAAAATTGAATTTTATAAAAACTTTCCTAGAAGAAGGATTGGGAGGACCTATAAACAGTTCTCTCTGGGCTGTATGGCAATGTGGATGGGTTGTTTTTTTTTTAATTTTGCTTTAGTGTATTTAAATTTATTCAGTAAACCTAAATTTTTAATCAGAAAAGACATTAAAAATTCAGCAAAGAAACCTGTTTTGTAGCTTGTATTTACATTACTCTGAAATTAAAAATTAGAACCCATTTAAGGGATGTTGTGTAGATCGTCATTTGGTTCAAGATTTGAAAATAAAAATACATTTTATTAGATACTTAATTCTGAACCGAAATCAGTGAACCAAGCAGGGTGGCTAAAAAGCACAGATGGATCAGTAAAAATTGAAGCAATTTTTCATGTATTGAAATGACTATACATATTTTTTCATGTATTATCTCAATTATCATCTGCTATAACCAAAGAGAATCTAGTATTTTCATTTATTCAACAGGAGGGATTCTTAGATTTTGTGGATAATTGGGCTGAGTAACTTAGTTATCCACCAACACAGAGGTTCTGTGATTCTGTTCAGGCCAGCAAAGGTTTTTTGAATGATCCTACTCTAGGGATGTGTGTTTTTGGGGAGAGGGGGTGATGCAAATTAAAATAGTCTTCTTTGTAGGTCAGAATATAGCTACTATGTATAGAATACTTATTATGTATGCTATAGGTACTATGCTAAATTATTTACATACATTATTTTATTCTGTTATCACCCTATGAAGTAGGTTTTTTTTGTGGTCTTTCTTTTGCCAGGTATGGAAACAAAGATGAAGCAGGTTAAATTACTCACCTAAGGTCACATAGGTAGTGATTATAAAGCTTGATTATTGCTCTCTGGAATTTTAGTTTATGATGGTTAAAACTGAGGAATGGAATAGTATTGAATAATGGAAAGACCACCGGAAGTAGAGTCAAAAAGCTTAGTTTGTCTCTGCAACTCACTTGCTGGTTAACCTTAGACAAGTTAATTGACCTCTCTGAACTTCTTGTTTATTCTGTGAAATGTCTTATTTATGACATCTTTATCTTCCTCATAGGAAATTCTGAGACTCAAACATGATAATATATGTGAATATGTGTTATGAATTGCTAAATGCTAGACTAGTTGGGGTTGTCAGGACAGTGGAAGGGGAAGAAAAGGGAGACTGTTTCCTAACTCTTAACAGTCACTGTTACTTTATTTGAAGTTGGATTGAGAAGAATGGGAGTAATTGGACTTACTTGCACATTTGTATTACAATTGTTAAACTCCTAAGGATACTGATCAAAATTAATTTTCAATTTTTTATCTTTATTTGAAAAATGGCCACAATAGTTAATTGAATATTCTGGTTAGCCTATTATCTTAAGGTATGTAAAAATTATCAATATGCAAGTACAAAACATATTTGTTAAATATTACATAGAAGCTGTTTTTTCCCTCATATTTCAGAAGTTAAGGACCTGAAAAAGGTAATAGGTCTTAAATTTATTGGAAATACTAAAGCATTATATAAAATTATCTTATTTAATTCTAACATCAATCATTGAAGGCAGTGTTTTCATCCCCATATTACAGAAAGGTTAAGTCATTGGGTCAAGTTCATACAACTACTCATTGGCCGTGCTGAGATATGAAGCCCAGAATGTCAGATTCCAAAGCTCAGGCTCTTTGCTTCATACATACTTGTCTTCCAGTATCACTAAATTCCGTCAGTTATTAAATCAATAGAATTTAGGAAGGTCAGTGAATACAATGTGAGTGTTACAGAACTCAGTTGTGTTTCTGTATGTTGTAATGAATAGAAAATAATAGAAAATGAAATTTGAGTATTTATGCCATTTTTCAGTAGCATCAAAGAGCATCAAGTAGTAGTAATAAAATAGTGCAGAAACTATGTAGAAAATGCTGATTTGTACTGTAAGAGGTTTAAGTATCGGGTTATTTGTTTGCTCTTCCAAAGAGCTCTTTTTGGTAAATATTAAGCAATTTACTATTTTATATCAATTTGCTTTTATCGTAGTTGATGCTGATGTAACAGTTATAGGTTCTGGTCCTGGAGGATATGTTGCTGCTATTAAAGCTGCCCAGTTAGGCTTCAAGGTAAGGTTTGAACTCAAACTAAGTATTGATTTATTTTAATTTGGGAAGGGTTGATCATATTTATAAAGTACTTTGCAGGCAAAAACATGGTAAATACTTCCTTAACTCTATAAATTACTTGTAAGCCTGAGACTAATAAAGATTAGGTTCATTTGGTTGTAGTATTCTCTTGGAATGGAAAGTGAAATCTATTAGTTTTCTTCTCTTCCCAGTACTTTTCATTTTGGCATCTAATCACACTTTGGAAGATACAGTGATAGAACTAAAAGCATATATTTGGTAATGTTAAGCACACAAAAATATCTTTTAGAATAATTCACTTTTGGGTCAGCCCAAAAGTGTTTATTATTATTCAAATGATAAATTATAAAGGACTATATATTTTAGTCTGTGAAAACATAGCCCGAATAGCTTGTTTTGTAGAAGAATTAAGACATATATTTGGAATTTTAGTGATCTGAAACATTGAGGTTATGTGCAGTTAAATAATGTTTTCTTTGGTTGTAGACAGTCTGCATTGAGAAAAATGAAACACTTGGTGGAACATGCTTGAATGTTGGTTGTATTCCTTCTAAGGTGAGCATGTGTTTTGTACAGCACAGAGATTGTTTTTGGCTAGCAACCAACTAGAAGGATGGATTGAGACTAGATTAGACAAATACACTTGTTAAAAAACAATCCAAGTTGTGGCACATTTCACACAGAGAAAAAAAAGAATGATAAAAAACACACTTCTCTTTTGTAAAACTTAAAGAGTGCTGTCACTAGTCTGCCACACATTCCTGAAATAACTTCCTTGTCTCAGAATGCCTAGCTTTCCATTCAAACAGACTCTGATGTTCTAGTTTTTTCTCTTTATCTTTCCTTCACCAGTGTAACAGATAATAGATAGTAAATTGTTCTTTTAGGTCCTTTTTGTATGTAAACATGACTGCCTTTTTCACCTGCCACCCTGAAGTGTGTACTTATGCCTTTACTTTTAAAGAAAGTAAAAATGTCTTTTTCATTCTTGTTTGTTGAATGTTTTTCACATCATTATTGTTTGTCTTTGATTAATAAGAGAAACTGAATTGGTGTAGTGCCATATACTATTCCATGTAGAGAATGCCATGTCTTTTTTTTAACTTCTTTTTAAATTTTTATTGTAAATTGACAAATTACAATTGTATATATTTATGGCATACAAAGTGGTGTTATGATTTATGACTATAATGTGGAATAATTTAGTCAAGTTAATTAACATATTCATTACCACAGTACTTATCATTTTTGTGATGAGAACATTTGAAAGAGAATATCGGCCGGGCGCGGTGGCTCACGTCTGTAATCCCAGCACTTTGGGAGGCCGAGGCGGGTGGATCACCTGAGGCTGGGAGTTTGGGACCAGCCTGACCAACATGGAGAAACCCCATCTCTACTAAAAATACAAAATTAGCCAGGCGTGGTGATGCATGCCTGTAATCCCAGGGACAATTGCTTGAGCCCGGGAGGCGGAGGTTGCGGTGAGCTGAGATGGCGCCATTGCACTCCAGCTTGGGCAATAAGAACGAAACTCCGTCTCAAAAAATGAAAAGAAAGACTATCATTTCATAAGTGCTTTTTGATTATTTGAAGTCTGTTTATGAATATTTGATAATTTGATCTTTTTAATTTCCTTTAGGCTTTATTGAACAACTCTCATTATTACCATATGGCCCATGGAAAAGATTTTGCATCTAGAGGAATTGAAAGTAAGTATACTTTTCATGCTTAATGATATTACCAGACTGCTTGACTTGGCTCTTCTGTCTAAAGACTTAAATGTGTCTAACGTACGCATAATAGATGTTTAGTGAAGGAAGAGTAAAATAAATAATCTAAAAAATGTGGAGAGATTTACTTAAAAAAGAAGGCCTAAATCCAGATTTCTCCCAGCCAAGTATAACCAAGCCTAACCCTGCAAATCCAGATTTCTACCATTATATCTTCTGTTCCTTTGCCAACTTTTTCCTGAGGTTTGCCTTTATGTGTTTTTGAAGAGTCAGTTTTCATTTCCTAAAATCTGGAAATCACTGAGAAGGCTGGATTCCTGAGTACTATGGGGAGATAGAGGAAGGAAGGAAGGCCCACTTAAGCTGTTGATAGTAGAAAAATTAGAGGAGAGAAAGAGTGAGGCATAGCGGAAAAGGAAGAGGACATTTCATAACGTATCTTGTCTCCTGACATACTTTTTGAGCTGTTTTAATCTTTTGTCTCCAATTATTGTTGTTGTTAGATACTTCCAGAAAGGTAGTCTCTTCTGGGCAGGACCTAGTCATAACCTTGGGTTGTTACTTTTCCTTCATTTGTTTCTTTACAGAGGTAGGTTTGAGGGGCTACTTAAGGCAATCCATTGGGTATAGAGATGATGTATATGCACTAAAGCAAATAGAATATCATACTAGTTGAAAAATGGAATGACGTAAAGAAAGAAGAGCTAGGGGTAGTCAGGAGACCTGCATTGTAGGCAAGGCTTTTACATCCTAGCTCTGTGACCTTGGGTAAATCAGAAATCTCTCAGAGTCTCTTTTTCCTTATCTCTAATATATGTGTTGGTTATATGAGGTACTTTCTAAGATACCCTTCTTACCTCTAAAGTTTAATTGAGTTGAGCATTTTTATCTAATACTGTTGCTTCAGAGTTCTCTTCTGAGTTGAATGAGTGATTAAAACCTAGGTGATTAAACTTTTTAATGTTAAGCTTCTGTATTTGAAATTTTTAAACGTGTATTTTTTATTTGTTTTGTTTCATGAAATCTAGCATTTTCCTTTATTTAAAATTTCAGATGATGTTTTACTTTGTCATTTCTACTTACATATCTTCCAGACTTATAACCATCGTAAAGTGTTCAGAGGATATGTTATCACAGTGGGATATAATGTTTTATTTTGGACTGCCTTTTTACCCAAGGTAGACATTTTATAGTGTTTGATAGGTTCTGTTTCTGTGATACAATGATGTTGGCCTTTTGTCAACTATAATTATAAGTTATTACATTTTGAAACTTTAATACTGCCTTTTATAAGCATTAGGTTGAAATTTTCCAGTTGGTGAGTGAAAAACACTGCATATTGCTTCAAGAATTTAGCTAAGAACTAAAGATTAATTGAACAAATTACAGTGTCCGAAGTTCGCTTGAATTTAGACAAGATGATGGAGCAGAAGAGTACTGCAGTAAAAGCTTTAACAGGTGGAATTGCCCACTTATTCAAACAGAATAAGGTCAGTGTTTAATATTCAGATTTCTGCTTTACTTTGAATACAAATTAAACTTTGCATTATAGAGTGATGATATTTGAACTTGGTTACAGGGGAATATTTATTTAATTTAAAATAGCTTGCTAACCTGAAATAGATTTCCCTGACATATATCACAGATTTTTTTGCTGCACCATGGTGTAGCATTACTAAGTAAGGAAGCATTTTGTTTTAGATAAATTATTTACAGAGTAATTTTTCCTTTGAATGATTTATCAAACAAATTACTTTAAACTTTGTGAATTTATAAAGATTATTTTGTAAAGGTTGTTCATGTCAATGGATATGGAAAGATAACTGGCAAAAATCAAGTCACTGCTACGAAAGCTGATGGCGGCACTCAGGTTATTGATACAAAGAACATTCTTATAGCCACGGGTTCAGAAGTTACTCCTTTTCCTGGAATCACGGTATTTATGCTTCATAATTTACAACCATTACAACTTTTCTTTAGAAATACGTTTTATAAGTTATTTATGCTATTTGTGAACTTTGAGAGATTTCTGACTGAAATACTATATTTTGATGGTCATTCAGCTTTGGGAAGTTACCTGTCTTTATTCTGCAGTGATTCTGACCAGCTATAGAACACTTTATATTAAGATATGTTTGAATACAGTATGAAGTTAAAATTGACCATTGCGTTTGGAATATTGGTGGATAAAATTTAAAGTCAGTGTTTTTAATGGGATTTGATGAAATTAGGTATATAGATACCTCAAAACAAATAAATGACTTAGTATTTTTAGTGATTCTACTGAGATCACAGTTTATAAATACATTTATCTCTTCATATCCTTGGAGGATTGGTTCCAGGACCCCCCTTGGATACCAAAACCCACAGATGCTCAAGTGCCTTACATAAAATGACATAGTATTTGCATATAATCTGCATACTTCCTCCTGTATACTTTAAGTCATCTCTGGATTACTTATAATACCTAATACACTGTAAATGCTATGCAAGTAGTTCCTATGCTGTATTGTTTAGGGAATAATGACAAAAAAACCATGTGTACATGTTCAGTACAGATGCAACCATCAATTTTTTTCCTGAATATTTTCAATTAATGGTTGGTTAAATCTGCAAATTTGGAACCCATGGATATGGAGGGTCGACTGTACTAGGTTTTTTCAAATTATTTTGATTATATCTTTTGTTTTTCTTACAGATAGATGAAGATACAATAGTGTCATCTACAGGTGCTTTATCTTTAAAAAAAGTTCCAGAAAAGATGGTTGTTATTGGTGCAGGAGTAATAGGTGTAGAATTGGTAAGTGTTGTCTTTCTGCCTCTTATTACCTCCTTGGAGTTGGAAGGGACTTAAAGGTCCCCTTTTTGATTTTTTGTATAACATTACAGGCTGATCAGCATTGAGTTTTGCTTAAACACTTCTAGTAATAAAGAGTTTACTTTTGTTTTTTTCAAGACAACCTATTTATGTATTTACTCATTTAGAATGTTCTCCTTTATTTTAGTCTGTTTCCTTGTACCTTCCACCCTTCCATTTCCTAGAACTGGTCGAATTCTTTTTTAATATGACAGCCATTCAGATATTTGAGGACAGCTTTTATCCTGGGCAAATTGCATTCCAAATAAAGATTATTCTCTTTACCATCACATACATGATTTGGCTCTTCCCTTCTCTATCCTCATCTTGATGCCTCTTAACTTAGGTTTTAGAAATGTCAAACTACTTGCATTTCTTTGAACACCATGTTATTTTAGACCTTCTGTCTGCCTTGTTCTCCCTTCTTGTCCATCTGGCAGCTTTCCACACATTTCCAATGACCTCCCTCCATTTTAGAGTCACTGTGCCTTGTAAACACCAGGAATTGCTCTACTTCTGAAATAATAAATTCAGATATTTTATTATGTAACCATGACCTCCTTTCCTCTTTTACTCAGTTATTCATAGTGTACTTTGTACCCTTTTTTAGGTTTTCTAGTCCATAGATCTACTTTTTTGCAATCTTCCCTTTCCAATCTTGACTGCGTTCCTGATCAGCTTAGATGCCATAGTCCATCACTTTAACCACACTCTTACAGATGTCCTTGAGTTGCTTGTCTCACTGTTCTGTCATATCTGCTTGGCAAAACTCTAGTTCGGTTTGAATGCAGCAGTCTGCCTTTTTTATGCTATTTCCAGGCTGTTGACTACACCTGGAGAAAAACACACCCTACTCATTGGTACTTGTATTAATTCTTGGCACAAACCTTAACAAGAACCTCAGCCTTGCTGACAGTTTATTATTTCCTAAGATGGTACACTGCCCTGGTCTCTGCAATGGCCATTTTCATTTTCTACTCTTCTCAAATCTCTGCTTGTATACTGTCTGCTCTGCCTGTGGATGACCTTGTCTTTTAAATATTACATAAAAGAGAAATCAGATGAGAACTCCCTCAAGTTGATGTCCTAAATTTGATAATGCTTTTACCTGTTGTTACACCTATCCTTTTGATTACCTCTCCTATTACTGTGGAAATGCCATTTTCCCTAAGACTAATCCCTTTACTTGTGCTTGGTAGCACATCATCTGCCTTTTCAGAGACTTGGTTTTGTGATTTTTATTCTTGTATTTTTCAGTCTTCAAACTCCTTCCTTTTATTTACAATTTCATGTGCTTCTATGTGTGTACCTGTGATGCATTTGCACTCATTAACACAGGTTTGTGTGCACATAAATGCTCCTTATCTTGGTCCCATGTCCTTCTTGAGTTACCAATTTTGTTCGCACTTTTCCTTCAAAACCCAGCTTCTCAAAAGAGTTGTCCATGCTTTATTTCATCAACTTCCACTCACTCAGTCTATGGCTTGTGCCAATAAATTGCTCTTAGGGCATGAATCTATTTATTGCTCAATCTGTTGGACTAATTTCTTCACTGCTTTATTTGGCAGTAATTAGCATTGCTGATTTTCTTGCCTTTGAAACACTTTGCCTAACTTCTGTGATTTCATATTCTTCCATTTTTACATCTGCTCTTTGGGCTGAATTCTCCATATTATGCAAGTTCCCCTTTCTTAGGCTTCCCTTTAATTGTTAGTATTTTTGTTTTTCTTTTTTTTTTTTTTTGAGTCCGAGTCTTGCTGTGTCGCCCAGGCTGGAGTGCAGTGGCGCGATCTCGGCTCACTGCAACTTCTGCCTCCCGGGTTCAAGTGATTCTCCTGCCTCAGCCTCCCAAGTAGCTGAGACTACAGGCGCCCGCCAGCACGCCCGGCTAATTTTTGTATTTTTAGTAGAGACGGGGTTTCACCATATTGGTCAGGCTGGTCTCGAACTCCTGACCTTGTGATGCGCATGATGGTTCATGTCTATAATCCCAGCACTTTGGGAGGCTGAGGCAGGCAGATTGCTTAAGCCCAAGAGTTTGAGACTAGCCTGGGCAACAATGTGAGAACTTATCTCTAAAAAAATGTAAAAAATTAGTTGGGCATGGTGGTGTGTGCCTGTAGTCCCAGCTACTCAGGAGGTTGAGATGGGAGAATCACCTGAGCCTGGGAGTTTGAGGCTGTAGTGAGCTGGGTCATGCCAGTGCACTCCATCCTGGGCAAAAGAGTGAGACCCTGTCTCAAAAAAAAAAAAAAACCCCAAAACAAAAATCAGCTTTTAAGTTATCTTTTTAGTGAATAATTCTTTCTTCTAAGAAAGCTCAAGTCTTTCATTTTTTGAGTCCTTAGTATAATATATCTACATTTCCATAGTACCCACTAATAATAATACATTGCATTTGTTTGTCTATGGCTGACTTTCCTATAAGACCAAAGCTCCTTGAAGGCAGGACCGAATTTTTAATTCCTATTTGAATCTCCATTGTTTTTCTTAATGTTTAGTACTTAGGTCTCCTAGACAGCAGGTCTGTTATTTTGTCATCAACCTTTGGATCCTGTCTAGTCCGTTAAGAAAACTTGTAATCTAAACATAATGTTCTGGGTTGTAGAGAGTACTTCTTTTGATATGCATAGTATACTTCTTGTAATGTAATGCTTTGAAATCAGTTTAGTTGTTTTTATAAAGCAGACATTGAGCTTATGTTCAGATAAAAACCACATTTTTTTCGCATTTGGAATTCTGATTTTTTAAACCTAAGTGACTTTGAACCTTTATTCTTGCTTTAATTTAATCTTGTTCACTCATACTCATTATTCCAATCTATATCTTAGTCTTGATTCTGTCACTCTTATACTTAACTGCTTTTACTTTTCATAGTTCGTAAATTTTGGAAGTATGACAATTAAGGCATGCAGTCCCATCATCTGATCTGATCTTGGTTAAGCAAACTTCTGTTGTCATTCACGTCATTAGTACAAATTTTTGACCAGGATGAAACATCGAAAGCCATCTGACAGTACAGTCTTTCACCAGTTATAAACACCTTTGATGTTTATTCATCTTCGTTTCTCCATCTCATCTACAAGGATATCATGAGATTTTCTTAAAATTTTTTTTAACACCTTGCTGATATCAAAATATACTACATTCACCAGTCCAGAAACCCTTCAGAAAGTAAGAGTGGTTTATGTGACCTGTTTGGAACACTTGTGGTAGTGTCTACTGATTGTGAAACCAGCTGATTAATAATGTCTTCTAGTATTTAGCAGAATCTCTTCTTTTCCATTTTTGAAAATTTAGGCATATTTGCCTGTCTGCCACCTTTTGGCAGTTCCCTTGTGCTAAGTAAGTTCCCAGAGTTCACTGAGAGTGCCTGTTTTGTCATACTCTAATTGGGTTGATGGGAGAATTAACTTTTTTTTTTTTTTTTTTTTTTTTTGAGATGGAGTCTCGCTCTGTAGCCCCGGCTGGAATACAGTGGCATGATCTCGGCTCACTGCAGCCTCCACCTCCCAGGTCCCAGTTCAAGCAATTCTCCTGCCTCAGCCTCCTGAGTAGCTGGGATTACAGGCACGCACCACCATACCCAGATAATTTTTCTTTGTATTTTTAGTAGGGACGGGGTTTCACCATGTTGGCCAGGCTGGTCTTGAACTCCTGACCTCATGATCCGTCTGCCTCGGCCTCCCAAAGTGCTGGGATTACAGGCATGAGCCACCACACCCAGCCGGGAATTAACTCTTTAAAAATGACCAGTTGTTCTTAATCTTGGGCGTTGCCTCTTGGTTAATAATATTTCTTCTGTTCATTCTACTTTGTTCTCATAGTTGGATAAAACAAGAAAAAAGGAATAACATTTACTTTCTTTTGTTGGTCATTATAATATCTCGAAGCAATAATTCTATTTCTTCATCTCAGCAGTTTTGCTTTAGGTTTTTTATAAGCCTTGAGTCTTTTGACACAATGATTTAGATACCTGTTACTGTATTGAATTAGTTTTTACATGTCTTTTTAAAAACTTATTAGAGAATTTACTGTGTAGTCATGATATCTATTTATTTTCTTGTAAAGATTATTCACATAACTGTATTTTCATTTTTTATATTTTGCCTTTCTTCCATTCCAGTTTAGTGTAGTGTTAAAAAACATCTTTTTTGGAATTGAACAGATTTAAATTTGAATTTCAACTCTGCCTCTTACTGACTTATGTTCTTGTTAATGAGCCACTCTGAACCAGTTGGTTTGTCATCAAAAAGGGGATAAAAATAACTAACTTACAGGAGTATTGCTGGGATTTAATACATTTAAAACACTTAATGCAGTGCCTGGCATTTAGTAAGCTCTAAGTAAGTGGTAGATGCTATTGAGTTTTCCTATCTATAAGTATTTTGAAATCAGTTTTCCTAAAGAGTAGGGCACTTGTCTATGCTCATCACTCCCTACTTTGAATTAGACTCCAAGATGATGTTTCTTATTTCCACACTCCCATTATTTCCCCTCTATTTACTTCTATCCCAGTTTCCAAGAATGGTCCTTTCTTTTGTCTTGTTTGCTTTTTAAACAGCTTTATTGAGATATAGTTCACATATCAGTTCACCCATTTAAAATGTACAATTCAAAGGTTTTTAGTATATTCATAGAGTTGTAGAGCTGTTACCATTGTCTAACTCTAGAACATTTTCATCACCCTAAAAGAAACTTGCTACCCATTAGCAGTCATTCTCCATTTCTCCCTTTGCTCAGCCCCTGGAAACCACTAATTCTACTGTGTCTATGAATTTGCATATTGTGGACATTTCATATAAATGAAATCATACAATATTATTTTGTGTGTGCTCTCTTTACATAGCATAATGTTCTTATGGTTCATCCAAGTTGTAGCATGTATCTATACTTCATTTCTTTATCTGGCTAAATATCTCATTCTATGGATATGGCACATTTTGTTTATCCATTCATCATGGGTGGACATTTGGGTTGTTTCTACTTTCAGACTATTATGAATGACACTGCTATGTCTATTTGTGTACAAGTTTTTGTGTGGTTATCTGTTTTCATTTCTCTTGGGTATATAACTGGATGTGTAATTGTTGGGTCATATGGTAATTATTTTAACTTCTCAAGGAACACCGTTACACTTTTCCATACAATCCCACCAGCAACGTAAATTTTTGTTGCTCTGCTTTTCCACTGACACTTGGTATTGTCATTTTTTTTTAAAAATTGAGCTATTCTAGTGGTTGTGTAGTAGTAACTCACTGTGGGGTTTTTTTTTCTATTTTTATTTTTTAAATTGCTATGTAATAGATGTACTTTTTTCAAGGTACATGTGATAATTTGATATATTCATATAATTAAATCAGGGTAATTAGGCTATCCATCACCTCGAACATTTTTTTAAATGCTAGGAATATTGAATTATTCTCTTCTAGCTATTTTGAAATGTGTAATTGATTGTTACCTATAGTCAACCCTGCATTAACACCAGCTCTTATTTATTCTGTCTAATTGTATATTTGTACTGATGAATCAACCTCTCTTCATTCCTCTTCTCCCCCTAGCCTTCCCAGCCTCTGGTAACCATCATTTTGCTCTCTATCTCCATGAGTTCAGTTTGTTTGTTTTTTTTTTTAGCTCCCACATGTTAGAACATGCGATATTTGTCTTCCTGTGCTTAGCTTATTTTGCTTAACATGCTGTCTTCCAGTTCCATCTGTTCTGTTGCAAATGACAGAATTTCATTCTTTTTTATGGCTGAATAATATTCCATTGTGTATATGTACCACATTTTCTTTGTTTGTCTGCTGATGGACACTTGAGTTAATTCTGTGTCTTGGCTATTGTGAATAGTGCTGCAGTAAACATAAAGCGCAGATACCTCTTCAATATATTGATTTCCTTTCTTTTGGATATATACCCAGTAGTGGAATTGCTGGCTCATATTGTAGTTTTATTTTTAGTTTTTTGAGGAACCTTCATACTGTTTTCCACAGTGGCTGTACTAACTTACATTCCCACTAACAGTGTATGAGGGTTCTCCTTTCTCCACATCCTTGTCAGCATTTGTTATTGCGATCTTTTTGATAAAAGCCATTTTAACTGGGGTGAGATGATAGCTCATTGTGATTTTGACTTGCATTTCTCTGGTGATTAATAATGTTGAACATTTTTTCATACATGTATTGGCTATTTGAATGTTTTCTTTTGAGAAATGTCTATTCGGATCTGGTGCTCATTTTAAAATTGAATTTTTTTGAGCTCCTTATGTATTCTGATTATTAATCCTTTGTCGGATAGTTTGCAAATATTTTCTTCCTTTCTGTGGGTTGTCTCTTTGTGGACTGTTTCCTTGGCTGTGCAAAAGTTTTTTAACTTAATGTAATCCCATTTGTCTGTTTTTGCTTTAGTTGCCTATGCTTTTGAGGTCTTACACAGTAAGTCTTTGCCCAGACCAGTGTCCTGGAGCATTTCTCCAATGTTTTCTTACAGTAATTTCATAGTTTCAGATTTTAGATTTAAGTCTTTAATCCATTTTGATTTGACTTTTGTATATGGTAAGAGATAGGGGTCTAGTTTCATTCTTCCGCATACGGTTATCCAGTTTTCCCAGCACCATTTATCGATGAGACTGCCTTTTCCTCACTGTGTTTGTGGTACCTTTGTTGAAAATGAGTTAGCCGAAAATGTGTGGATTTATATTTGGGTTTTTTATTTTGTTCCATTGGTCTGTGTGTCTTTTTATGCCAGTACTATGCTATTTTGGTTACTATAGCTTTTTAGTAAATTTTGAAGCCGGTTAATATGATGTTTCCAGCTTTCTTCTTTTTATTCAGGATTACTTTGGCAGTTGAATATCATTGGTAGTTTAGTAGGGATTGCATTGAATCTGTAAATTACCTTGGGTAGTATTGTCATTTTAACGATATTAATTTTTCCAGTCCATGAACATGAACTATTTTTTGTGTCCTCTTCAATTTGTTTCATCAGTGTTTTTTAGTTTTTTATTGTATAGATCTTTCACATCTTTGGCTAAATTGATTCTTAGGTATTTTATATTCATTATAGCTATTGCAAATGGGATTGCTTTTTTTTTTTCTTTTTTAGATTGTCCACTGTTGGTGTATATAAATGCTACTGATTTTTGTATGTTGATTTTGTATCCTGCAACTTTACTGAATTAGTTTGTAAGTTTAATAGTTTTTTGGTGGAGTCTTTAGGTTTTTCTAAATATAAGATCATGTAGTCTGCACAAAAGATTAATTTGACTTCTTCCTTTTCAATTCGAATGCCCTTTGTTTCTTTCTCCTCTACAATTGCTGAGGCCAGGACTTCCAGTACTATGTTGAATAAAAGTGGTGAAAAATGGGCATTCTTGTATTGTTCCAGATATTAGAGGAAAGGCTTTCAATTTTTTCCCATTCAGTATGATGTTGGCCATGAGTTTGTCTTATTATTTTGAGGTGTGTCCCTCCTATATCCAGTTTTTTGAGGGTTTTTATCATGAAGGGATATTGAATTTTTATTAAAGGCTTTTTCAGCATCTGTTGAAGTGATCATATGGTTTTTGTTCTTGGTTCTGTTAATGTGATGAATCATGTTTATTGATTTACATATGTTGAATCATCCTTGCATCTCTGGGATGAATCCTGCTTGATCATGGTGAATGATCTTTTTATGTGTTGTTGAATTCAATTCATTGTGGTTTTAACTTAGATTTCTCTAATGACTTACGGGGTTGAGCATTTTTTAATGTACTTACGTGCCATCTCTATATCTTCCCTCTTCAGACATTTGTCCATTTTTTATTGAATTTTTCTTATTGAATTTGGAGAATTCTTTATATATTCTGGATATAAATCCCTTATCAGATAGAAGTTTTGTAATTTTTTTCCCCAGTCTGTGGCTTCTGTTTTTGTGTTCTCAATGTTATCTAAGACTTTCTAATTTTGACAAAGTCCAATTTATCATTTTTCTTTTATGGATTGTGCTGTTGGTGTTACATCAAAGAAATCTTCGCCTAACTCAAGGTCACTTCTAGGATTTCTTCTCCTAGGTGTTCTTCTGGAAGTTTCATAGTATTGGATTTTACATTTAGGTCCATGATCCATTTTGAGTTAACTTTTATATATACGTATTGTTAGATTTTTAGTGTCACTATATTGCCTCTAGTTAACTCAGTCTTCATACTAGAAATTAATGAGATTTTTTAAATGAACGCCCACACCTAATTTAGGGAAGGTAAACTTTTATAGTTCATTTGAATTACCAGATGATTTTAATATACATTCTTGCAAAGGATATGTTCATGGTTTTTCATATTTAATGCTGTGAAATTATGTTCATCTTGCCAGTTATGTATTGTTTAATATATAATTATTTAGAAGTTATACTAATTGTCAAAATGTTAAAATAAACTAGCATTCAGTTTAAATTATAATTTGAATGAAAAAGTAAACATTTGTCCTTTGTTGAGAAAAGAAAATAGGAAGCCAGTTTAATATTCTGCAAACATCAGTGATTTAGTAACCTGTTTCCTTTTCCTCAAGACTTTTGTACTTGCTGTTTCCCTCTGCCTAGAGCAACACTCTTGCCCCAGTTAACTGGGTAGTTCATTGCCTCACTCCTTCAAGTTTTGTGCAAATGTCACTCCCAGTGAGGCTTTCCCCAAACGTGCTATTTAAAATTGTAATCCCAGTAATCAGTGGTCCTAGTTCTACTTCCTGTTTTATTTTTCCTGTAGCACTTTATTCTCTGTTATGAATTTTACATATTTGTCTATGTCCCCTGCCAGAATATAAGATCCCTGAGAACAGAGATTTTTGCTTTGTTTACTAATGTATGCCTAGAAGCTAAAATATTGCCTACCATGTAGTAGATGTTCAACAAATGTTGAATGAGTAAGTTAATAAATGTATGAAGTTATACATATTTAACACAGGGTCAATTTTAAACCTCGGAGCTTCTCATAGGAACATACTAGCGAAAGAAGAAAATGTTTTACAATAAATTATTAAGATGATTTCGTAAACATTTGCTATAGAAACTTTTATGATTATTGGGTTTTTTTAATTTATTTGCAGGGTTCAGTTTGGCAAAGACTTGGTGCAGATGTGACAGCAGTTGAATTTTTAGGTCATGTAGGTGGAGTTGGAATTGATATGGAGATATCTAAAAACTTTCAACGCATCCTTCAAAAACAGGGGTTTAAATTTAAATTGAATACAAAGGTTACTGGTGCTACCAAGAAGTCAGATGGAAAAATTGATGTTTCGTAAGTATACATCATTTGTTTTTGATGTATCATCCCTGTCTCTTTAAGCAAAACACTCAAGTTTCAAAATCAGTTTAGCAAATATAGGGTTTTTTCTAACTTAAGGTCATTTTATTACTTAATATAACTCAGTTGCTTATCAAATTATTGCATTAGCACATTGAAATTTATGATTAGGTTAATGCTAGAAAGAGAATCCAATATTCTCATTGTTGTGCCTTCTTATAGTACATTCAGAAAAATTTAAATTCCCAATAATAAGTAAAATTGAATCAATATTTTTAGGCAGATACATGGGGAAATCAATAATAAAAGATTGCTTACTATATGTCTGGTACTCTACTGATTAAATACTTTAATGGCATTTAACTTATTGAATTAGTTTTTAAATAAATATTTAAATTAAATAGTTAATAGTATTTAAATAGTTTAATGACTTTTACTCAAAGATAAGAAGCTGAATTCATTGACTAATTAATGACTAACTTGTCACACAGCTAGTGGGTGGCAGTCAGTAGTTGAATTTGGATTTCTGTGACTCAAAGACCTGTATTCTTAACTGCTGTTTTATTATACTGTGGTTTTTGTGAGATTTTAATAACAGACCTCTAGATTTTAATGATAGATCTCTTTCATTGTCTGACTCTTATGTTTATATTCAAATAAACTTATATTGTTAAAAATGTCATCAGTGCCGGCTGGGCATGGTGGCTCACACCTGTAATCCCAGCATTTTGGGAGGCTGAGATGGGCAGATCATGAAGTCAAGAGATCAAGACCAGCCTGGCAACATGGTGAAACCCCGTCTCTACTAAAAATACAAAAATTAGCTGGGCGTGGTGGCGCGTGCCTGTAGTCCCAGCTACTAGGGAGGCTGAGGCAGGAGAATCTCTGGAACCTGGGAGGTGGAGGTTGCAGTGAGCCGAGATTGCACCACTGTACTCCAGTCTGGCGACAGAGCAAGACTCTGTCTCAAAAACAAAACAAAACAAAAATGAAAATGTCATCAACACTTGAGAAATTGCTGGCCTTAAATTTCTAAGCCTATCAATTTATGTAGGTGTGTATTTAACATTTATACACTGTTTGTTATCTAGTATTGAAGCTGCTTCTGGTGGTAAAGCTGAAGTTATCACTTGTGATGTACTCTTGGTTTGCATTGGCCGACGACCCTTTACTAAGAATTTGGGACTAGAAGAGCTGGGAATTGAACTAGATCCCAGAGGTAGAATTCCAGTCAATACCAGATTTCAAACTAAAATTCCAAAGTAAGTTGGATAATTGTCTGCATTTTCAGTAATTTTAAAATTGATTTCAAACAGTATTTTGAAAAGTAAGATTTTTATGCTTAAAATATGTATTGGCTTTGGGGAAGAATAGTAAACTTACAAAATGTAAAATAAAAAATAACTGAATTTTACTCAAAGATAAGCTGAATTCATAGATTTTTGAAGAGCTGCATTTGATGTATTTTTTGGTGACTTGTTTACTGGAAACTTTTGTTACCATAATGTAACTGAAGGTAAGTAGCTGTGATTTCAGAAATTCATTGTGTTTCTTTTGATTTCTGTGGTAGTATCTATGCCATTGGTGATGTAGTTGCTGGTCCAATGCTGGCTCACAAAGCAGAGGATGAAGGCATTATCTGTGTTGAAGGAATGGCTGGTGGTGCTGTGCACATTGACTACAATTGTGTGCCATCAGTGATTTACACACACCCTGAAGTTGCTTGGGTTGGCAAATCAGAAGAGCAGTTGAAAGAAGAGGTAAGTCTGAACATGGGTGGTTTTAAGCCAATGTGTGAGTTGTGCCAATGACATTGGTGGTTGAGAAACAGCATTTTATCATTATGCTAATATATTTAACAGCTGTGAAATATTGTTTAGCTTATATATTTTTCCCTTGTTAGCATTATAAAGAGATCATTCACAGATTTATCAGCAGTAATTGAGAGGAAGAGAAGTTGCCTATATTAAAAAACTAGTAATTCCAGATCTTTTATATTTGGCTTTGAAATATAACCAGATGGACAGACATTTGTATTTGCTTGTATTCGTGCCTGAGATATAGTTCATTAACCAGTCTTCTGGTCTTTCCTTTCCTTCTATGTGCTTTGCGAACAATTCCCTTCTTGGGATTTATTTTCTGAACAAATGGTAGATGATTTTACAAATTGGAAAGAACTTTTCTGGCAGTTACGTAGATTCTTTTTTTCTGACTGTCACAGGGTATTGAGTACAAAGTTGGGAAATTCCCATTTGCTGCTAACAGCAGAGCTAAGACAAATGCTGACACAGATGGCATGGTGAAGATCCTTGGGCAGAAATCGACAGACAGAGTACTGGGAGCACATATTCTTGGACCAGTGAGTATTGTAAAACCAGAGAAATCCCATTAAGATTTCTAGAAAGCATTGCTGTTTATTAATTATAAACCACCTGGTGTTAGTCTGAGGTTGCTCATTTCCAGCAAAACTTTGAATATGGCTCTCTGTGCATCATTTCTAGAAGGATACCAGCAGCACTCTCACAGTCTTGCCCACTGTATCATCTACTTTGTCCTGCAGCCAAGATTCTCTCTTTAAAACATACACCAGATTATGCCCCTTAAAATCCTCCAGTGGTGCTTTTCAACTTCAGATTGTTACATCCAAGGCCTCACTGAATCTGTTTGTGCCTACTTCTCTGACCTCTTCTTTTTCTGCTCTCTTTTACTCATTAATGCCATGTCACATGGGCCTTCTCTCATTTTCACAACAGACCAAATATTTGCATTTTAGGGCCTTTGTGCTTAAGATACCCTCTGCTTAGACTGTTCTGCCTCCAGATCTTTGAATGGCTGGCTCCTTATTATTCAGGTCTCAGCTCAAATGTTACCTCCTAAGGGAAGCCTTTCCTACCACTGAGCCTAAAGTATGTATCTTTCTTGTAGATATCTCTTGTATCTGATGTAACAATAATGAGAATAGAATATTTGAGTGCTGTGTCACTTTAGTATACATTTTGTTATTTTTACATCAGCTTTTTGAAATAGGTGCTGTTATTTTTGAGGTGAAGAAACTGAATGAAGCACAAAGAACCAATGAATGGTTAAGGTAGTAAGTGGTAGATATGAATTGAAGGCCCTTTGGCTCCAGAGCCCAAGCTCTTCTGTGTCACCTTTTCTATTAAGCTTTTCCTGACTTTTCTTCAACTGATAAAGAAACAGATTTAAGGCGTTTTTAAGATCTAAAAGCTTCCCCTCAACAATTGCTATCCTATTAGCATGTAGTTTTTGCCTTGGAAGCAAATTTACTTGGCTTGTTATTTTAAAGGGTGCTGGAGAAATGGTAAATGAAGCTGCTCTTGCTTTGGAATATGGAGCATCCTGTGAAGATATAGCTAGAGTCTGTCATGCACATCCGGTAATTATTAACAACATATAGAATTGATGGTTGCCTAAATTTTCTTCTGACCCACAAATATTTGGATTTTAATTTTAAATTTCTTCCCTTGCAGACCTTATCAGAAGCTTTTAGAGAAGCAAATCTTGCTGCGTCATTTGGCAAATCAATCAACTTTTGAATTAGAAGATTATATATATTTTTTTCTGAAATTTCCTGGGAGCTTTTGTAGAAGTCACATTCCTGAACAGGATATTCTCACAGCTCCAAGAATTTCTAGGACTGAATTATGAAACTTTTGGAAGGTATTTAATAGGTTTGGACAAAATGGAATACTCTTATATCTATATTTTACATAAATTTAGTATTTTGTTTCAGTGCACTAATGTGTAAGACAAAAAGCTACTTATTGTAGCATCCTGGAATATCTCCGTCAACTCATATTTTCATGCTGTTCATGAAAGATTCAATGCCCCTGAATTTAAATAGCTTTTTTCTCTGATACAGAAAAGTTGAATTTTACATGGCTGGAGCTAGAATTTGATATGTGAACAGTTGTGTTTGAAGCACAGTGATCAAGTTATTTTTAATTTGGTTTTCACATTGGAAACAAGTCAGTCATTCAGATATGATTCAAATGTCTATAAACCGAACTGATGTAAGTAAACGGTCTCTCACTTGTTTTATTTAACCTCTAAATTCTTTCATTTTAGGGGTAGCATTTGTGTTGAAGAGGTTTTAAAGCTTCCATTGTTGTCTGCAACTCTGAAGGGTAATTATATAGTTACCCAAATTAAGAGAGTCTATTTACGGAACTCAAATACGTGGGCATTCAAATGTATTACAGTGGGGAATGAAGATACTGAAATAAACGTCTTAAATATTCATTTACTGGTTATCATGAGTACGTGTTGAGATGGTCATAGTTTTTTTTATGACTACTTCTAGTGTATATTCTAATTTCTTTTCTAGGCCTGAATGTATCTTTATTTTCATGTTATAGGACAATATTAAGGCATTTTAAAGGTCATCATCCTTTCATCTATTTTAGATACACCTACTAAATGTTTAATATATACTTTTGGAGAAGTACAACATAAGGGAGTCTTTAATCTGTGTTTTCCTTGGCTGGGTTAATGACTGTTTATTTAAAGAGTGTTGTAAAATTGGATGTGTGGTGTTTAAAATGGCCATGTCCTGAGGAAACTTAAGTAACAAAGTACTAAATGCTAAGTAGGCTTTTGCATATTGTAACTAAATTTAAGAATAATTCAGATTAAGTAGTTCTGAAATTTGGTATAGATAGCATAGATTGTCTCATGCTCATGAGTGACATAATGACCCTGGATTCTGTTACATACTTCTAAAGAAAATTGATTGTTGTCTTAGGAGGCAGTTAACTTGGCTGAACACCAACTCCACACTCTGTCTTGTTTGTAGGTGGCAGCAGCTGAAATCTCTTCTCAGTTGTTTTAGCTTTAGCTATGCTGCTGGAAGTCTTTCCCATGCAAGTGTGTAGTTCAGGGGTCAACCAGAGTTTGGGCAGAAGGAAGTCTGCCCCTTCTGTGCCTCCTGTTTTTTGGGGGTTTCCCCTTTATGTTCCAGCTGTTGTGGTTGCCCCATATTCTGCCTTCTGATCCTTAACCAATAAAACTTGGCTTTTGTTTCCCCCTCAAGTGAGAACCCGTTAAAAATGAGACATTGAGCCAGTGCTGTTCACTTTTTAAGTGCCAACTTCCCTCTACTTTCCACTTGTTTATAGTTGTTTCCAGTGCCTTTAGTTTTTTCTAAAATATATTTGTTCAGAGTTTGCAGTTGCTATCAGCAGGAGGGTTGGTCTGATATCTGTGTGCTACTTTGCCATTATTGGAAGTGAACTCTGCATCTTTTTAAAAATTTGAAATCCCGGTATCATGTGAAGTGCTGTTTATGTAAATCTCAACATATCCCTTACTCAGGGAAAAAAAAGTTTTTAGTTAGGGAATAGTGAAATATAATTTAATATGGAATTCTAGCTGTAGAGTTAAATCCATCTTTAAGTGTTTACATTCAGTATGAGAATGCAAATTTATCTGTATGGGGAATAAAGTCCTAGGAATAAAACAAGTTTTAAGTGTTCACTTACTGTTATCTACTAAGCTGTCAATATTTTTGTGGCTTGTGAAGAGTGAAATTAATTGTCCACTTCATTGAACTGATTAAAATTAGTAATTTCAACTGGCTGGGAGCGGTGGCTCACTCCTGTAATCCCAGCACTTTGGGAGGCCGGGGCGGGCAGATCACCTGCGGTCAGGAGTTTGAGACCAACCTGACCAATGTGGTAAAACCCCATCTCTACTAAAAATATAAAAATTAGCCAGGTGTGGTGGCAGGCCCCTGTAATCCCAACTACTCAGGAGGCTGAGGCAGAATCACTTGAACCCAGGAGGCGGTGAGCTGAGATCATGCCACTGCATTCTAGCCTGGCGACAGAGCGAAACTCCGTCTCAAAAAAAAAAAAAAAGTAATTTCAAAGTGAGATCTTTAGTTGTTTAGCTGAAAAGGAATGGAGAGTGTTTCTACTGTTCTAAGTAAAATACTACATAATTGCTCTAGTAGATGATGGGGTATGACCATTTTTGCTAGTTATTGGGATTTTTTTTTTTAATTAAGTTCTGGGGTACATGTGCAGAACATGCAGGTTTGTTACATAGGTATACATGTGCCATGGTGGTTTGCTGCACCCATCAACCCATCATCTACATTAGGTATTTCTCTTAATGCTATCCCTCCCCCACCCCCATCCCCTTGTCCATGTGTTTTCATTGTTCACCTCCCACTTACAAGTGAGAACATGTGGTGTTTGGTTTTCTATTTTTGTGTTAGTTTGCTGAGAACGATGGTTTCCAGCTTCATCCATGTCCCTGCAAAGGATGTGAACTCATCCTTTATTATGGCTGCATAGTATTCCATGGTGTATATGTGCCACATTTTCTTTATCCATTCTGTCATAGATGGGCATTTGGGTTGGTTCCAAGTCTTTGCTATTGTGAACAGTGCCTCAATAAACATACATGTGCATGTGTCTTTATAGTAGAATGATTTATAATCCTTCGGGTATATACCCAGTAATAGCATTGCTGGGTCAAATGGTATTTCTAGTTCTAGATCCTTGAGGAATTGCCACACTGTCTTCCACAATGGTTGAACTAATTTACACTCCCACTAACAGTGTAAAAGTGTTCCTATTTCTCCACAGCCTCTCCAGCATCTGTTGTTTGCTGACTTTTTAATGATTGTCATTCTAACTGGCATGAGATGGTATCTCATTGTGGTTTTGATTTGCATTTCTCTATTGAACAGTGATGATGAGCTTTTTTTCATGTTTGTTGGCTGCATGCATGTCTTCTTTTGAGAAGTGTCTGTTCATATCCTTCACCAACTTTTTGATGGGTTTGAAGTTCTTTGCAAAAATTTTCTCCCATTCTCTAGGTTGCCTGTTCACTCTGATGATAGTTTCTTTTGCTGTGCAGAAGCTCTTTAATTAGATCCCGTTTGTCAATTTTGGCTTTTGTTGCCATTGCTTTTGGTGTTTCAGTCATGAAGTCTTTGCCCATGCCTATGTCCTGAATGGTAATTGCCTAGGGTTTTTATGGTTTTAGGTCTTACGTTTAAGTCTTCAATCCATCTTGAGTTAATGTTTGTATAAGGTGTAAGGAAGGGATCCAGTTTCAGCTTTCTGCATATGGCTAGCCAGTTTTCCCAACACCATTTATTAAATAGGGAATCCTTTCCCTACTGCTTGTGTCAGGTTTGTCAAAGATCAGATTGTTGTAGATGTGTGGTGTTATTTCTGAGACCTCTGTTCTGTTCCATTGGTCTATATATCTGTTTTGGTAACAGTACCATAAAAGTGACAAATTATTGCTTTGGGCCAGAGGAAAGTTATTAACTTACAGCTGTTTACATAACTGTTGTCCAGGCCCAGCTTCAGATGCAGCTGTGTTGGATGTGTGGGTGGTTGTTAAGCAGTCCACAGAATAGTCTTGCTCTAAGAATGTGTGAAAAAAACACATAGGGGCTAGCCTTTTATACAGCTAGTTAGGCAATAAAGTTGACATGGGCCTGGCAATTACTTTCGTTAGATTAGTTGCAAAATCACATAAAATACAATACAAAAGCTGAGAAATTAGAGCATCATTCTGTGCTCTGTAGTATAAAATACAATACAAAAGCTGAGAAATTAGAGCATCATTCCGTGCTCTGTAGTAGCATTGCTCAATTGGCAGGAGCAGTATCCATAAACTCTGGCCTGATTTAACTGAAACCTTCCCCTCAGTAACCCTAGTCCTTTTCTAGGTGGTAATGACTACAAACCCTAGTACATCCTGCTGATTTTCTAAAATGTTGCTTTTTCTCATTCCTAGAGCAAGGAATACTTACTTACAGGAGTTTTGATGGCTGGAGCAACTCAGCAACCATTGAAATAGTGATGGTAGCATAGACTATATTTGTCCTCCTTAACCTCAACCTGGGAATCCCACTGGGAGGTGATTGGGAGGAGGGGAGTCAAGGGTGTGGAGTTTTGGAGGATGTTTACCTGTCAAATAAATATAATAGCTTGTTTATAGACAACATAAATTAGGGTCTTCATGGACGCAGTAAACTTGTTTATAAATCCACGTTTACAGTGAAAAAAGGGATTCATCAACAATCAGTGAAAGTAACAAGTACACCAAAATATATACAAAAGCACTGTACTTTATTTAACTCCATACAAAATGTGATTAAAAACATTAAATAGGTGATGTTTTATTTTGAAGAGCATTAAGTCAGTTTTTAAAATGTAGTTGTTTTACCTTGTTCACCTCAGCCATTTTTTATTCTCCTCTGTTACAAGCATGTGCTATACACAGCAACTTTCTGGCTTATATCCTTTAGGAGTGAACGGACTTCTCCTTCCAGTCTTGCTAATTCTTGAGCTTTATCTTCTAAGTATCTTTGATTGTCTTCATATTTTCTTTCTAAATCTGTGGGGAGATATATATATATAAAGTCTGAGCAATTTATACTATGATGATCTCAAGACAAAGTGAATATATTTTTCACTTTTAAATAAACTATGGATGCCTTAAAGTAATTTAAAAAATAAGCCTGTGTGAAAAGACCCACCTTTGAGCAGTTGCAGCTTGCTATTTGCTTGAGCTAAAAGAGTTTTTGCTTCATTTTGTAGCATTTCGGCTTTCCTTCTGGCATCAGCTGACTCTTCAGTTTTTTTGGCAATTAAATTTTCTACTTTTTTATACTTTTCATCAAGTTCACCATCTAAAGTCTATAGTTCCACATTTAGACAGAAAGAAGTGGTAATGTTAGTGTCAGTAATTACATTTAAGAGCAATAGTGTAATCATGGCATGCATTCTGGATTAAGGGCCACCAAGGATATTCACTGGTAAGTAATTTAAAATTTTATCTTCAAACAGTGGAATTGAATGCAAAATTGACATGATTTTAAAGAACATTTCAAAAAATTCTGGAGTTGCAGCAAATCCTTAGGGCTAAGTCCTCATTCTCCTGATTATTACTTTTCTATAGAAAAGTTGTAGCATAATTGTATTGCAAATTACATAGAGAAGCGCAGATTTTTCAAAAGTAGATTAGACATTAGAGAAGCCCATATTGAAGAAGTGGAGGCTCTTTGGATCTTGACTAAATTAGGATTTGTGAAGACTTGCTTATAAGGAAATCAGAGGAAAAAGATTAAACAAAAGATACAGGAAGGAAAGGTGAGATTGTAGCATATGCAAGAAGTGAGTGAGGAGAAGAGAAATGGGGTGTGGGGTTGGAATGCAAATGATTCTTTTTAGAAACTGTTCAAATAGCCATTTATGGAAATTTCATTTCAAGAGATTTTGTTCCTTTCTCTTGTGATAAAATGTCATTATGCAAAATGCCCTGAAGCAGAGTACTTGAGAAATTTGTGTCCTCAGTACTGCAGGAAACCACACAAACCAAAACAGAAAAGACAGCTGTCTGATATTGTGGCAGTGAACTTTTCTCATTGTTTTGTTCTCTTTCCCAACCTAGAGAGAGGTAGGGAAAGTTACTCTTACGTAATGCCCGAAAAGCTACAGTAACTTCCAGAAAATTTTTGAATAGTAGGGAGTTAAATACTGAAATTAGGTCAGTAAATGCAGGTGCCCCCAGGCCTACGGACCAGTTAGGAACTGGGTGGGCAGGCAAGTATTATTGCCTGAGCTCCACCTTCTGTCAGATCAGTGGTGACATTAGATTCTCATAGGAGCACGAATCCTATTGGGAACTGTGCATGCAAGGGATCTAGGTTGTGCACTCCTTATGGAATCTAATGCCTGATCTGAGCTGGAACAGTTTCATCCTGAAACCATCCCCACCCCCGAGTCTGGAAAAATTGTCTTCCAGGAAACTGGTCCTTGGTGCCAAAAAAGTTGGGGACCAGTGATTCAATGGTTTTAAGCCCCACCCCGGCGCCACCAAGTTTTTAATGTTCTCTTTAGAAATAAGCATTATTGAGAAACTGAACATGTGTTTCAGTTATTACATGGCTTCTGATTAAACATTTGGGTTGTGTGAGTTTTTCTCTGCAAAATATAGTGCCTTCGAATGAGAGGTGAGGGGTAGTTAATTCAAAATGAGTCTCAAAGAGATAAGATTTGGTTTCCTACTACCTGTTCTCTGTTCCAACCTGCTTGTAAAATATTCTCAAATGGCCTGATAATTACTATATGCCATGAAGAATTTAACTGACTACCGCACAGAAATAAAAGTTCAATATGACTGGTTTTTGTCAATATAGTTGGTTTAAAAAAAAAAAAAAAGCCTGTTTTGAGACTTCTACCCCTAAGTTAATTCCGTTCTTCTAAACTCTTGTCCAAATTTGGATTTGAGGACATAGGTCATACTTATTAGATATTTCCATATTCTTTCCCATCCACACTTCTAAAGACGGCTGTTGCAAAACAGGTCATTTGATATTTCTGATGAATTCTGTTTCTGTTAGGTCCATGTCCCTTACTCTAAGGCAGGCAAGGAGGAGACTGGTGGCTCCTTTAACAACATAGCTCTGAAATTACAAAGATTTACGTACCTTCTTAACATCTTCTGCACTTTGCTTCACAGTATATACTACTTTTTCAATATATTCTGCCTCCCCGGAGTTTTGGGCAGCTTTCCGCTTAAGTTCTTCCACATTCCTCTCTAACTCGCTGATGCGCTGGGACGCGTTGAACAAGGTTTCCTCAGAAGCTGCTGTTTCAGACTCAATCTAAAAGCATGTCAATTTTCCAGCAAGACATTAGTTTAAGAAATGGAATTACTATGAGTACAAGTTTGGAGGAAGATTTAAAAGTCTGCTGTGCCATTTTGCTCTAGACCAAAAGAAGTAATTACTAAAAAGAATATTTCAGGAAAAGTTACATGAAGTATCTAACTTTAGTCTTTGCTACATTTCATATATTCACTTCATTCTTTCAGTACTTCTGATGATCTAAGCTGAGATTGATGTAAAATTTTTTCTGACAGTAAAAAAAAACAAAAAACCCCACCTCCCCAAGGAGCATGATGTGTTGAGAAAGCATTTTAAGGACACCTGCAAACTTTGGCTAAAGAACATTCACAAATAAGCAGCTGTGCGAAGAGGGATTTCCACATAAATTTCCAACTTAATGTGAGTGGGAAAATAAATGTTAAACTCTAGTAGTGGAGATTTCAGCTAATTACTGAAGACATGGAGACTAGGGATGTTCTTTGAATTTCTATAGAATTGTGAGATGATGTATGGTCTGGGAACGTTACAGCTGTAAACTCTAAATACACAAAGTTATTTAGGGAAAAAAAAATATCTGGGCAACTGGTGAGGATCCACATCTGATCTCCTTTCAAAGTAGAATCAATAAACATTGACTTTTAAAAGCTAGCCAAAGTAAGCAGTTGAGCCCATGACAAAAGAATCAATTTCACTGAGCACTCAATTTTTCTTTAAAATGATCTTCAAGGATGGGTCTAATTACATAGAATTAACTGAATAACAGTACTGCTATAATGAAGTTAATAAGGGTCAGTATAAGACATAGGCTAAAATTTGTAAATATTTCAAACCTAAGGACCCTTTAATTAGAATAAAATTCTTAGAAATTATAATTCTTAGAAGATAAAGTTTGAGTGAATTGTTTCTGATAAGCTTTCATGAACACAGTTTAGTTAGAGGTTCTCTTTGTTTCTTATTGTTACTAACCTAAAACACTTCCTGCCCCCTAGGGCCCCTGAAAAACAGAACCCCAATTATTAACTTGCATCATCAAGCCACATCTCACCTATAATTCAGTATTTTCTAATTTGCTTTTCAGAACAATTTTTTTCAAGAAACAGGGTCTTGCTATATTTCCCAGGCTGGAGTGCAGTGACTGTTTGTTTACAGGCATGATCATAGTGCACTATAGTCTCAAACTCTTGGCCTTAAGTGATCCTCTCACCTCCACCTCCCAAGTGGCTGGGACTACAGGCACACACTGCTGCACCTGGCTTTCAAAACAATAATTTCTACAGTCACTGACATAATATTCACTAAAATATTAACAGCAAACTGAGAAAATGGAAAAACCTAGAGATCGAAACATCAAAATATTTATAGTCTGGTGGGAAAACATAATTTTTCTAAACTTGAACAAATAGCCTGAAGAAAAAGTCTTATTGATACTCGAAATTTAAGGAGGAAAATGGACAGAATTATTGGCCTTCATTTAACTGACAGCAATAGAATAGGGGAACACAGGTTTTTACCAACTAATGGTAAGAAAAGCATGTTGAAAATTCATCTTCCCAGGTTTTAAACACATGGAGGATTGGCCTGAGAAGGCTGACAATGCTGGGTATGGGAGCATTTAATTTCAAAGTATATTCTGAGAACCTGTATAGGGATTAGATAACTCATCAATTTTCTTCATTTTTTAAAAACTCGTAAAATTGGAACGAAAACATTAACTTTCTGAGAAACAAAAGAATTTAATGGAATTATGTTTGCATTACTTCTTTTAAGAGATAAAGAGGATTTTTAGAGCAAGGTGCTAGATCCCTATGAAAAATTCGTAATGAGTACTTTTAATATCTGGTAGTCACAGTATATTTCTTATAAAAAACATTAAGTTTTCCATGCATTCTAAACAGAACAGATTGTTTAGCTATAAGTGCTCTATTAGGTTTCTCTAGAATTGGGTATTGAAAGCAGACTGACTGTTCTCCCATAGTTTCCAAAACTACTATATAGTAAAATGTTTGATGACCAAAATCTTGAGACATTGGCCTTCTTAACCAGATAAGCTGCTTTATAACATCAGGACAGTTTTCTAAAATTATTATACTTCATACTACTGAACAGAGTATATGCTGTTTCCTCAATGAATAGGAGTGCTTTTTTTTTTTTTGAGATGGAGTCTCTGTTGCCCAGACTGGAGTACAGTGGTGTGATCTCAGCTCATTGCAACCTCGACCTCCCCGGTTCAAGCAATTCTCCTGCCTTAGCCTCCCAGGTAGCTGGGACTACAGGCACACACCACTATGCCCAGCTAACTTTTGTATCTTTAGTAGAGAAGGGGTTTTGCCATGTTGGCCACGCTGGTCTTGAACTACTGACCTCAAATGACCCACCCACCTCGGCCTCCCAAAATGCTGGAATTACAGGCGTGAGCCACCATGCCCGCCCAAGAATAGAAGTTTTTATCTTTCTCAGACTTTGTGGGGGAGAAAATGAGATGGGACGTAATGGTCCAGTGTCTGAATCAGAGTCCTTTTATTCCTTGAAAACCTATCTCCACTTATTTTTAGCATCCATGCTAACGGAGTAGTTTAGATTTATTAAAGGAATCCTTTAATGTTGAGTTGTAAGAATTTCTGTTCATAGATAACAAATGTACTTTTCTGGTAAGTGTATATGTAGGTGTGTTCCCATTCATGTAATGATTGTGTATGCCTACCGAAGTTAACAGGTTCTGGGTTCCTTGAATGTCTTCATCTGCTTGTTTAATTGCCTTCTCTGCTGCGACCTGGGCCTTTTCTGCTTCTTCCAGAGCTTCCTTTACCATATCTGCAGTGACTTTAACATCTGTTGCACTTTTGCTGAGTAAAAAATAATGAGACAGTATATTGTTGCTGAACATGAAAAAAGTACTCTCAGTGTTCTTTTCTTTAAAGAATAGCCTTCCTGAAATGACCCAGAGAGACTCGCATAGGTCCTTCTTAGAAGTTTCATTGGTTAAAGAGATACTTTTTACTCCATGATAGATACACAAAATAAGCCCCTTAGATGCCATGTCTTTAGATACCTTGCTCTTTTAGCTTCTTCTAACAACATCTCAGCTCTGGCAATGTCAGCAGCACTATGCTGAAGAATAACCTCTACTTGAGAAAGGCTTTCAACTCGTTCACGTATATCTTCTGTCAAGTTCTGTAACTGCTGTGGGGTGCTAGGCATCTCCATTTTCAATACTTCATTAGCAACTGCTTCAATGCTGTCCAAATCAGCACTATCCTCTGTGAAAAGCAAAGATGTCCCCAAAAAGAGGTGAAAAGAATAGATGGTTCATTCATTCAACCACTTACTGGTCATCTACTATGGACTAGCATGGTGGGGTTACACACCAAGAGACACTAACTTCCTGTTTAAGAGTTTATAATCTATCTGGGATTTTGAGGGGAGATGAGACCTACACACACAAAAAAGTAACTGCAGACAATTGAGTACTACTAGAATTTGTTTTAGGCTGGGTAGTGAGGGAAACCTTCGTGGAAGATGAGGAGCTGATCAGATTTTAAGGGATAATAGAATTTGAAAGAAGAAAGGACAATTCCAGATGGGGAGACAGGAACGGCAGAGTATGTTACGGGAAAGTATAGCAGAGTGAATCTGAACATTGTGGAAAACCATAGAGGGCCAGAGCTTAAAGCTGAGACTTAAAGGCAATGAAATCTTTTAATTGAGGTTGGACGAATAGCTCAGAAACTTGTGAATGCAGATATGGAGATTTGATATTTCCTACAAATGATCTAGATTCAGGAAATTATAGAAAGGGAGAAAATTATAGAAGCAGGAGAACCGGAATAATGGGTTGTCAACAAAGCCAAGGAGTTTCAAATGTAAAATGTGGAAGATGGTGAAAAAAAAAGTTTATGAAGTTAAGCTTCAAATACGTCAGATCCTCATTTACTTTCAAGCTTTGCTTATGTTTTAAACTATTGAACATAAAAATGGACCCCAGAGGATTTATTCAAATAAAATATGTACTTGAATGATGGCTTCCATAAAATATTACCTAAGATATCCTTAGCAAATACTGTTGACTCCTTATTAGCCATGCCTTTTTTCTTGCTAACAGAATACTGATTTTTTTTCAGGTACCTGCCTCTAAGTCAGGTAAAATTATCAACCCAGCATTAAATATTAGTTTGTGAATTACTGTAATCGCATTTCCATTTTCCAGTGACATTTATGCATTGGCATGTGACTTATTGCTGGCCAGTGAGGTTTATAAGGATGACTGCTTAAAGGCTTCTAGGGAAGACTTCCTCCTTTTTAAAAAGATGCAAGGAATAGGTGGTCTCTTCTTCCATTATTAATCTTTATATGATGTCTGGAACTTTGGCAGCTACCTTGTAACCATGAGGAGCTAGAGGACAAAGCTGATATGCTTAAGATGGTAGAGTAGAAAGATGAAAAGTATGTGGGTCGCAGACCCAGGAAGCTATCCTGCTACTGGATATCTTATTAAGATGTGAGATAATAAACATCCTTTTTGATTAAGTCCCTTTCACTTGAGAGTTTTCTGTAATTTGCAGCCAAAACCATCTTTACTGGTAACACTTGAACTGTGACTAGCAACACTCTTAACTAACTATAGGTATAATATCCTGTAAATAATAGAATTACAAAGCTTTGGGGGCAATGCCAAAATAACAAACTCCACTTCTTTAAGGTTAGAAATTACTATACGTAATTTCTAACAAATTCCACGTTCAATTTTCAATGTAAATATTTGACTTTTGATTGGCTACCTGAGTATCCCATCAGGTGTGTCTGTATCTGCGTAACATTGGAGAAAGTTATTTGATACACATATATAAGTTTAAGAAGTGGAAACATTTAATATACGGACGTTTTTCTTATTTGGAAATGTCACTTAGTACCCTGACAGAAATGGATTTTATCTAAAATGTAAACAGAGAATCACACAGAAACAAATGTCTAAAAGTAAAATGAAAAAATTTCTTACGGGTCAAAAAGTTTCTGATTTGCTTGATTAGATTTCTCAGCTCCTCATTGCTCTTGTCCATTTTTTCTTTGGTAGCATTTGTCTTCAACAGAATGTCTTCAGCACTTTGTTTTGCCTCATCTGCCCTCAGTTTTGCTTCAGAGACCTAAATATGAAGAATAAATTACCCAGGGAAGACTTTCATTCTTTCTAAAGGAGACCAGAATATTGGAAATGGCTCAAAAATGATGTTGAAAAACTATGTACTTGGAATCATATGTCTGGGAAACAACTTTCTCCCATTCAACAAAGTATTGTATCTTACAGACTGCAAGTATTCAGTATAGAGATTCCTAAACAGTATTCTGATATAAATAGAACTAGCATTTAAAATTTTTCAAGTTGTTTTTTAACTCCTGGCCTATAAAATAGTCCTGAGTCTTTTTCTCAGGTGCCCACATAAATACTTAAAAAGTGTGTGTCACTTTAGAAGAATAAATGCTCAATTGCTTAGTATAGAGTTTTTGTCATACAGCTGGATGTATTTATAACCCTGGAGTCAGAAAAGTAAGATGGCTATCTCAAATTATCCAGTATAAGATTTAAACATCTTGCTCTAAAGCATGTGTTGAGTGAGGAGAAAGCAAATTCTTTATCTGTGAAGAAAATCTCCCCATCTCTTTCTCTGACCTCACAGAAACATGAACTTTCATATTTGATTGTGATATGCCCTTTTCATTTCAGTTAGCATTTAGAATTGATTTCTCCCTTTCAGATCCTTTAGTCCACAGCTGAAAGCAAACATACATAACAAAAACTGAGGCCATCCACTGAGTTACCATCTTGGAGAGCTGTTCCACTTCAGCCAGGGCACTCAGGACATCTTGGTCCAAGTCCATGGCTTTCTGCCAGGCGTTGTGTGCAACAGTAACCAGACCACCACAGCCAGGCCCCCCACACTTCCTCTCTCCTTCGTCAGTTCTGCAGTTTGGCCCGCCACATTCAGTCTCGGAACAGGAGGCCCCTGGGGGTGTTCCACAGGTCTGCAACAAGCCAAGGATCAGGCACAATACTTCGGATAGTGAATCTGCTGCAGCAAAACAGCTGTGCAGGGCCTGGGTGGCCCCAGAGAATGTGTAGGTGGTCCTCAGCAAGGGTGCTTGAAAACAGTGTTTGGGAGACAGAATGGAGAGAGGAGCAGAGAGTTTAGGAGTAAACTAACCTGCTTATTTCCAAGGAAACAATGGAAGTTTACAACTCATCAATATCTTCTGCCCAAATGAGTTAAAATACTATATGAGCTCTGCCCAGGATGCAAACATCTGCTATATCAAGTTGAATTCTGCCAGTGCAAGGGCCAAGGAATGCCTTCCTTTTTTTCTAACCAGTTAGAGTTTAAAAAAAAAACCTATTGTGAACCATCTTTGGGACCAGCACCAGCACCATGTTAACTCCTCCAGTAAATATGGTGACATAAAAGATCTATTACCTAGCGTTTTAGTAACTTCCCATCTAGTTAGGACTGGATCATTCCACATAAAATAGCCAAGAATAGGTCAGATGCAGTCACTATGAAAGAAAGTAGACAAAGGAGAGACTGCAGAGGAATGCTACAGTTGTAGCTGAAGAAGCTGTTGGCTGGTGGGATTTGAGCAGGGGAAGTGGGAAAACATTCCACAGGTTAAAGAAAACAGTACAAACAAAGGAACAAAGGTAGATGAAGTGTTCCCAAATTACCACCCCCGACTGCCATCACACATGCATAGAGTCCTCCTTTCTTACCTACCAAAACCTCTCAAAGATCACCACTTGGTCATGGCATACAAATGCAAATTGATAAATTATAATACAAGTGTGCTATATGATAGAAAAGGCTGAGCAGGGAGAAAATTGCATTTAGAGCTGTTTGTGGAAATTCTCATACTGAAAAGAAGACAAAGATTTACTGCAGTGAAAAGGAGTTAACAGAATATTCCCAAACAAGTATTGTTATTAAAAAGTACAAAAAAGTAGTTTTTAAATAAATACAATCAACTATTTAGCCTAATAATTTTAAGATAATTATAATTCCATTATATCTCAAATTACAACTAAATAAGTCATTTATCTGGCTTACAAAAACAAAAAGCTTCAGAAAATAAAGTGTATTCTGCATGCTGTAAAACATGAGTCTTAAGAACATAAGTGTAAAACCTCGGTTGCTTTCTAAAAACAATCTGACAGCACACATAGAAGATCTGTTTTGTTTCAACAGATGGGGCAGACATGGAAAAAAAAAAACACAGTATGGCTCTAGCTAAACATCCACAAAGATACAGAACTAGAAGTACCTGAAAAACAAAAGGACAAAACTCTCTCTACACAAGGAAATGGCAGTAAAGAACTTACAGAAAGAATTCTCACAGGATCATTAACAAAGACAAAAACACAGTAAGAGAACTGAAGCAGCTGCTAATCCCTAGGTAGTTTACCAGGTGGAAAAGCAAGCACAGGGAAGGGCACACATTTGAAAGGCCAGAGGAACCCCGAACCCCACCCACCGCCCATGCATCTCCCTGCCGCCCACGGAGATGCCTCCGGTTCAAGACAAAAATCCTTTAGCATGCTTAGCTGTTTCTTGTAGGTCACACAGAACTTGTTTGTGATAACTGATTTTTTTTTTTTAACTACAATATGTAAGGAAGGAATCAATGCTGAAGGGAAAGATGGAGAGAATTGGCATTTCATGCTTCATAACTTTGTCTCCTGTTAGCTGCAATTTACACATTGCTCTAAGCCTTCATTTTTCTTTTTTCTTCATCTTTTATTTTTCCATTTAATAAATGACAGATTATTTGCTCCCTATTTGCTATAAAGTTTCAGAAGATAATGAGTATGAAACCTAGCAGGCATCAATAAACACTGTCTTATATTGTGACCAATTTTGTCTATTTCAGAGAAAGTGATGAGAGGAGGGAGGAAGCATCACTAAGACAAAGCTGTAATGAAGTTTGAACTCTTCTGCGCCTATGTACCTTCCATCTTTAACTTTCTCTGTGTCTCTGGGCTAAGAGAACACAAACCTTAGTCTATAAAAAATACCCTCCAAATTATTTCACATAGGTATCCTTCCTTGAAAACACAGGAAGGAAGAGGAAGAAACAGGCTCAGTTAGGCTTTTTTGGGGCCTTCTGCCTGATTTTCATTAAACTCACAACCCAATTTCATTTGGCTCCAGAGTTCCTTTTTAAAAGCTTCTGGGAAATGAATCTACTTTCTAGGCTGGTTTCAGGGTTAATCTTCACCAGGTAAAGTTACTGGAACAAAGGAACATAATAGCTAATACCCGTGAAAAAATTCTTTTGCTCCCTTTAATTTTTAATGGAAGCCCCTTCTAGAATGACTCTGAATTCCTACACTGAGATGGGTTTTATAATTCAAATCAGAACAAACTAAAAAAGGAATGTCCAAGCTGGGTGTGGTGGCACATGCCTGTCATCTCAGCTACTCAGGAGGGTGAGGTGGGAAGATCGCTTCAGCCTAGGAGTTTGAGGTCAGCCTGGGCAACGTAGTGAGACTCCATCTCTTTAAAAAAAAAAAAAAAAAAGCGGGGGTGGGGGTGGGCTGGGGTGTTAGCCTGTAATCCCAGCACTTTGGGAGGAGGCTGAGGTGAGAGGAGGATTGCTGGAGACCCGGAGTTCAAGACTAGCCTGAGCAATGTAGTGAGACCCTGTCTCTACTTAGGAAAAAAAATATTAAAGAAATGTCCACAGTGTAAAAAGGATCAAGTTTCAGTGCGGTGTCACTGAGTAGCTAAAACAGTATGGGAGAATAGTCATGATTCATTCTTTAGTTGAGGACCACAGAGAAACAGAAGAGGGGAAGGCTGGAAACCCATATGCTGCTGCTTTTAATCTGTCTTGGTTACAGATACCCCATTCCAGGATCCAGAGACCTCAGCCTAGGAGTTTCAGTCCTGCTGATTCATTTGCAAATTATTGTAATAATGACAAAAGATGGTTTGTTTTTCTTTGTTTTTTTTTTTTTTTTTTTTTTTTTTGCTTGGCACCATAGCAGTAAGGCCACATCCCCAAACCTTACCATTTCGGCAGCGGCTGAAAGGTCTAGGCTTTGTAGCTTGCCTGCCAGTTCATCAAGGAGGCGAGCCTGCTCCTCTTGTTTTTCCTTGAACTGGGATTCTCGCTCCATCATCACGTCTTCTACTCTGTCTCTCATGAGGGCTGACTGCTCCACAGTGCTGTTGGGTTCTGTGGTGGAGGCATTCACCCTCTCCTCTGCCTCAAGAGACATCTGGAAATACTTGGTAATGCTATCCAAGGCACCTAGGGTAGGAAATGAAATTGCCCACAGTTAACCTCATCATACTAGGCTTCCTCCCCAAGCAGTGTCTATATTTGGTGTCTTCGGGTCCTAAATTTACTGTAAAGTTTTAAAATTCAAGAAAAAATATTTATGAAGTACAGTTTTCATGAGCAATGAATATGTTTTGTCCCATTAGCACCTACTCCAGCTCGAGTATGGCAAACATCTGGGTGAAAAATGAAAAATTAAGAAAATCATGCAATCTTGTTTCTATACACAAGCAAACATCCAGTTCTTTATAAATAGCTGGTTTCAGGCAGCCTGAAGATTATATGACTAGATGACTTTTCTCAATCCTTTATTCGGATCCACTCAAATGACTAATATAGTAGCCCTCCATATTTGTAGGTTCCACATATGTGGATTCAACCAACTGTGGATGGAAAGCATTTGGAAAAAATGGTTGTATCTGTACTGAATGTGTACAGACTTTTTTCTTGCCATTATTTCCTAAACAATAAAGTATAACAACTATTTACATAGCATTTACATTGTATTAGGTATTGTAAGTAATCTACAGATTACTTTTAAATATACTGAAGGGAAAAAAAGAAAAAAGTAAAGCTGGGTGTGGTGGTTCACCTCTATAATCTCAGCTATTCAGAAGTCTGAGACGGGAGGATCACTTGAGTCCAGGAGTTCAAGACCAGCCTGAGCAGCATAGCAAGAGCCCATCTCTTAAAGAAAGAAAGAAAGAGAGAGAGAGAAAAAGAAAGAAGTATATAGGAGGATATGCATAGGTTATATGCAAGTGCCATTTTATATAACGGACTTGACCACCTGTGGATTTTGGTTTCTGCAGTGGGTCCTGGAACCAATCCCCCATGGATACCAAGGGATGACGGTATTATATATAACAGCATGACATGTTTTTAGCTTTAGTCCAAAAGCAATCATGCATAAAACAGTATGGATAGTTGGACAGTATGATGTAACATATTTCTACATTCACTTTTTGCTGAGGATCCTTTACAGTCTATGATATAAATAATGATTTGCAAAAGTTTTTTTCTGACCAAGCAGCATTCTTGAATGTGAAAGGATTTGCAGAAGTATTAATACCTTAACTATTCAAAAGAACCCCCTTCCAAGAAAAGGCCAGGGGATTAAACTACTAACTGGAGGGAAAAAAAAAAAATCAGGAAATGGATACCATTCTGATACAACTACTGCCATTCACTCTGTGGGACCTTTGCTATGTCTCTTAGGTTCTCTGTGCCCAAGTCCCACATTTGTAAAATGGGGACTTTGATCCTCATTTGTGCCAGAAACTGGATGAGCAAAAGTTTTAAAATTTATTAGAAAACTTTTTTTTTTCCCCAAAAGTGCTATATTAAAACGTTAGACATATCGTTAAATCCATTGTCTGGGACTATTTGCACCAAAAAATGCTCACCCCGAATATCTGAGTTTTTGATAAATTCCAGTTGTTCAGCAAGTTCTTTCACAGTGTTGTCTAGGCTTTCGGCTTCTGTCTGTAGAGAATCCAGTTCTTTGGCTGTGCTGTTGCTTTGGGAAGTTGTGTCAGATAATTTCACTTCTACTTGAGCCATCATTTCTGTAACATCTTTAATCAGTTTCCTGTAAAGAGAAAGTTAAGCTTACTTACATAAAATAAACCCAAGGGAGAACTTTCACGTTTCATATTTTCTACTAGTACTGTATCCATTACTAATTTCAAACCAATTCAGTAATTTGTAACATTTCATCCCTAAGTGCTAGTTTTATTTTCCTTATAACAGATAGTATTAAATCTAACAATTTTTCTTTGTTCAATGACTTTTGAGAGAAACACAGAAGTACCACTCAGCTGAGTTGTGGCAGACAAGCCATTTAAGGGATTCCAAATTTCTGCTGTAAGATGAGCACAGGTCAGAGTGTGGAGTTCTGGCTCTATTCACAGGCAGCTTCAAGCCCTTACAATTGTGAAAACTGAAGACATAAATGACTCCAGTTATACAATTAGGCCTCCCAGCCACAAGCCCAAAACATTCTTCCCTAAGCCTCAGGGATCTCCTTCAAGATGGAACATGCAGAGGGGAAGCCCTATAGCCTGCCACAAAGACAACAGGAGCCACCAGTATCAGCTTTCATACACTCCTCTCTTCCGTCAGAGGGGCCTCCTTCTACCAACAGCCTTTTTATTTTTTATAAGAAAATAGCATCTACTAAGAATGAAATAAGAAGATTTAGCTTTCACAGTATTTAATTTGGAATCTAAACTGCATTTTGTTCTGTACTTTCAAACCTACAAAGCCGTACTTTTGACATCTATTTGTATATTATTGTGTACATAGTGTGGATATGGGTGTGTGTGTGCACATGCGAGTGTGCTCCAGGTGGGTGTGGGTAGGGTTGTATGTGTATTGTAAAGAAAGTAATATTTGAGCAGATTTTACCTCTGGGTATTACTGGTTCACCTAATTGAATGTAATTGTCTTCTTGGCGATATAATAGTATAAAAAACCAGGAAAATGTAAAGATGCTGAAAGGTTGGGAGCCATTAGAAAAATGATATGTAAGGCTGAGATAAAACTATAACCCAACTCAAAGAAAAAGTACTTAAAGGGATGGTTTAAAATGGTAGATTAAATTACATTTCAGTGCCTTTTTTTCCTGAGGCTAATATACATAGTTTCTTTTTTCAGTGCTTTGCTTTTATTAATTATATGACTCACAGAAGGCTTTCATTTCTTCTCAGGTCTCATAAAATGATACAATTTTTTTTAAAACAAGCAAATCTAACATCGTATTTTAAAATAAGGCCACTTTGGTTCCTAAAACATGTATCCTTGGATAGTATGTTGAAAAAAAAGAGTAATGGAACTAGTTTTCCTGTGATTATTACAATCTGTCTAGTTAAATGAATAGTGACGGTAGAAACAGAGCTGTTTTGGGAATGTAATCTCTCTTCTGGCAGGCTCTCAAAGGACACCAGATTTTTTTCTTCCTCCCAGAGATGCCTAAGACCCAGGCCAAGGATCATTTCCTAAATGGGCTTGCATTCGGACCACGGCCTGCCAAAACTGTGATCTCTGCACATTAGGAGGCTTAGTCTTTTCAGTGAGGTAAAATGCCTCACTAAATGCATTGTCACTCTACATCAGACGTTTCCTAACACTCTGGCCAGCTACATGGTCTTGGGCATAAAACCCAAGGCTTGACATCAAGGTCCAGTTACTTTAAATCTAGGTCTAGGAAGGACCTCCTTCAAGTCGCTTGAGCTAATGTCAGCTGTCCTCTGCTACTCATGCCTGGTATGAGATGAAAAGTCCCTCTGGCTTCTTAAAGGTGCTGATTAAAGTCTCATCACACACAAAAAATGTTACTGTCATTTCGTCATATAAACACCTCAGTGTGCAGGATTTAACTGTGAAGCAGTCCCCTCAGGCCTAGATGGTGAGTCTGCAGTGAAAAAACCATAGCATCTAGGGAAGCACAGATGCCTCATACCCTTTTCTATTTTTGTCCTTTAGCACTTAGGTCTTATTGTGCTGTTTTGGGGGTTCCTTTTTGGCAAAAGGAGTTGGGAAGTTTAGGGGCAAGAGAGGGGAGGTAGGAGAAAGGGTAGATAAATGATCCTTGAGAAGGTCAATTCTCTAGGCTTCCACTAACAAACACTGTCCAATCAGAGGGAAGATTACCTAGAGAAGGGGTGGGATGAGGACTTTTCAGCATAGAGCAGCTGTTATAACTAGATGAATGAAGCACTGGTCTGGTGGACTAATGGCGGAGAAGCAGAAAAAACTTGAAGTAAGCAGTCTTATTTTGAGGTAATGGAATTTCCCCCATAGTAGCAATACTTAATTTATAATTTTCTGCAATCCTGTTGTTATTTTATATATAAATCCTTTCATTACTTCATAAGGTAATGGCATATATTATCCTACCCCTTCTCCACAGGAGAGAAAATACAGGCTCAGGAATTGAGTCATCCAAGTTCACAAGCCTAGCATCAGAGCCAAGACTCAATTATGGATCTTTGTCTTCTAAATCCAGCATTCCTCCCATTTTACTGACTTAGAACATGATTTGCAAGGAGGAGCACTGAATATAATGCTTGCATATTCTGTACTGCAGCCTCCAGAAGGCTGGTCCCCACTGATGTGCCAACGTTCACTCACCCAAATGCCCAGTCAAGACTGCTGGAAAATAAATGGCTCAGAATCTGTTCTCACCCACAGGACTAACAAAACCTCCTGATGGAAGCACCATGCCAGGAAATCTTTGCTGTTAACTCACAATATTTTTTCAGCTTTATGAGTAATTCCTCTGGCTCATTAACTACTTACTCTGCTTCCTCAAAGAGATTCCCAATGTTTTTCAGTGGCTCTGCTGCGGGGCTCTGCGCCAGGATGTCTTTTATCTCGCTGACTTTCCTCTCCACCGAGTCCACAGTCTCACGGTAAGGCCCGATCACACCACTGATCTTCAAGGCCTTGGCTTTCTCCAGGAATCTGTGTGTCCTGTTGGTCAGCTCGGCAATGATCACATCCCAGAGAGCAAAGCACTGGTGGCAGGGTGTGCAGTCAGGGAAGACCCCCGAGTACCCTCGCGTGCACTTGTCACAGCGTGGACCCTCAACACCCTCAACGCAGACACACTGGCCCGTGGACTGGTCACACTGTGGCGTCTCAATGCCCCTGGGGTCACAGTCACAGGCTAGAAGGGAATAAGCAATGCTAGCTGATCTACTTAATCATGAACCTCAGTGACAAGATGTGGCATTTAGAATACTCACTTCACTGTGAAAATGGGAAGGTGTCAACCATCGACAACAATTGACCAATGGCTCAGGTAGAGACTGTAGCAGCTTCCTCTAGCACATGCGTGACTTCAGTGGTTGCTAACCCCTTCTTAGCAGTAATAATACTTTAAACAGAAATGTTTTATATGAATGATCCCATTTAACTCTCACAATAACCCTATGGGATACGTGTTATAATAATCACTATTTCACAGATGTGGGAACTCAGAGATCAGAGAGATTATGTAACATGCCCCAAGTCTCACTGCAAGGAAAAGGCCACGCCAGAATTCTGATTCAGTTCTTTGCAACTCCGGAGTCTATACTCTTCACCTCCGTCCTGCCTTTGCCTCCCCCTTACTTAGGATTTCCCCACAGACCATGTCTGTACAAACAATCCAGGTTACATCCTGATAATGTGCCACCTGGCATCGGATACATCACAAATGAGAAGCTCTTTACGTACCTGACTCTATCTCACAACAAAACATACTTGATGAAATGCAATAAACATGATCAAAACAAAACAAAACCCAAAGGAATTCTAAGTATCCAGTTTAAAGGCTTTCAACTAAGTATAATCTAACTTGGGGGTGTCTGCCATTGTGATGACCACTGCCAGTACTACAAGCAGGGATCTTGGGAGCCATTCAGTCTCAGCGTCTCACAGGCCCAATAGGGTTGGCACCTCATGCAAAGCCAAATGGCACAGGAAAATCACGTGCCGTACAGGACAAAATGTGTTCTTGGCCAGTAGCTGTGGCTGAGATTACTTAGCACAGTGGCTGTGCCCTTGAACCCTGGCTTAGATTCCCAAATTTCAGGTGACCAAATCATTTTTATATCAACATCTGACATTTGAAAGTATTTATACAGGGTTTGAATTACGAAAGGCCTTATGCTAACATCTTATCGCTGGGCTTCCACCCATTCTGAGGAAAGACAGGAATAAATAAAGAATATACTATCTTATTTCCCTAACTGGATTGTGGACTCCAAGGGCAGGGGCACATCTTAAACCATTTTTCGTTTTTCAGCATCGGACTCAGGGTTAACTTGCAATCAGAATCCAAACGTCTTTGCCAAATGAAGCCCTAACCTCATTTTAGTCTAGGCATGCAAGGACACTTACATACCTTCATAAAAGAAAATAATCCTCCTGAAGTGCAATGTCAACTGTGGCAAAGCACAACAGATTCATGCTTTCTCGGATTTTTTTTTTTTTTTGAGACGGAGGTTTTGCTCTTGTTGCTCAGGCTGGAGTACAATGGCGCGATCTCGGCTCACTGCAACCTCTGCCTCCTGGCTGGGTTCAAGCAATTCCCCTGCCTCAGCCTCCCGAGTAGCTGGGATTACAGGCATGCGCCACCACACCCGGCTTTTTTTTTTTTTTTTTTTTTTTTTTTTTTTTTTTTAAGAGACGGTGTTTCTCCATGTTGGTCAGGCTGGTCTGGAACTCCCGACCTCAGGTGATCTGCCTGCCTTGGCCTCCCAAAGTGCTGAGATTACAGGTGTGAGCCACTCTTGGGTCAATAGCTGTGATTTGCCTCTGAAAAACTTTTTTTTTTTTTGGAAGAGTCTCACTCTGTCTCCCAGGCTGGAGTGCAGTGGCATGATCTCGGCTCACTGCAACCTCCACTTCCCGGGTTCAAGCTATTCTGCCTCTGCCTCCTAAATAGCTGGGACTACAGGCATGCACCACCATGCCCAGCTAATTTTTGTATTTTTAGTAGAGACGGGGTTTCACCATGTTGGCCAGCATGGTCTCCATCTCTTCACCTTGTGATCCGCCCACCTTGGCCTCCCGAAGTGCTGGGATTACAGGCGTGAGCCACCGCGCCCGGCCTTCCTCTGAAAAACTTTCTAATGGAACATCTCCCAGAACCAGTTATACTGAGGGTCCTGAGATCTGCTATAACATCACCATCCTTTCAACCCAGAGGTGTGTGTTTGTGGCCCATTCATTTGGCCCTCACCACATCCTGCCTTGTATTGCTAGTTTATCTTTTTATTGTCTTTGTTCTCCCCCTACATTCCAAGCTCTCGAGTGGCAGGTTTGAGGAGTACAGCATTATGGTTAAGAGCATGAACTGCGGACTGAGGTGGTAAATCCTGCCTTCTCCACACATGTTATGTGACCCTGGGTAATCAGGAAACTGAGTCACGTCTTCCACATCTGTAAGAAGAGGTAATGATTATAAATACAGGACTGCTTTCAAGATAAAATAATTACAAAGTGCTTAGAAGAGCATCTGGTCTATAGCAAGCATTCAATAAATAAATTGTTTTTATTATCACTTTTCGTGTCCCTACAAGTGTCTGGTAGTCTTCTGCTAAGAGTGATGCTTGATCGTATTTCCATTGGATAAAGGGGAAAAACGTGTTCCGGTTATATGTTTATTTATATGTATTTGCCAATAACGTCATGATTATTCAAAAATTTGAAGTTTAGAATATTAATTCCTCAACCTTTAGGATTTTAAAACATGTAATTTCCTTAGCGCCTGGGGTTTTCAAAACCAAGACCTTAGGATTTCAAAAGTAAAACTTGGGTGTATGCTTTTCAAAAAACAGATCCTTTCCAGGTACTTAAAGTATGTTTCATTTTTCTTGTTTGGGGAATATTCTCGTAATGAATCAGGAAGCTGTTTAGGCAAACCATGGATAACTTTAATGGTGATCCGTAGACCATACGTTCTATGATGTGTTCCTTGAAAAAACTATCCCATGATGAAAAGTTCTGTATCCTTATCTTGAAGATTAAAAACAAGTGTCAGCATATTACAGACTCAGAAGAGTTCTGCAGGAAAAACTGTTTTATATTGTTTTTATCCAGTTGTATGTATGCCAAAGTCATTTGACCATGGGATCTTTTTTTAGTGGAAGTCAATGCCAGTGACACCCAAGAGAAATAATGAGAAAGGCTTGGGAAAACCACTACATTAATCGATTTCTGAGATTAGGAAGAACTTAGATAACTTACAAATAACTTAAATAACTTAGTACCTTAAGAGTTTATGTTGTTTAGATTTTAGGAATACATTTCCATTATCATTTGGTAAAATTTAGTCATCTTCCAGAAAGCTAAAAGTTACCCCCGAGTCACCTGGGTCCTCACCTCTCAAACTTGGGTAGGTATCAGAATCACCTGGAAGGTTCATAAAAAACAGATTGCTTCTCTACTCTCCTCCCATCCCCAGATTCTGATTCAGTAGGTCTGGGTGGGGCCCAGAACTATTTTTATTTCTATCACGTTCCCAGGAGATACTGATGTTCACAGTCACGCGACCCCGTTTTGTGGAGCACTGACTGTTACTTTCCCAGCTGTTTCTGCCCGCCTTCTGTATATTAGAGAAAAAAAGAGAGCATGTGCGTGTGTGTGTATCTGTGTGTCTGTGTGAGAGATGGAGAAAGAGATACCCTTCAAAAGGTGGAGCTGGAGCAGAATCACGACTTCGGAAGTTCAGCAATGTAGGCTGATGCACAAATCTCAGGACTTACGTAACAGAGGAAGAAGTGATGCCATTTGTAATAAAACTTACCTTGTCTACCAGCCAGTGGTCAGGGTGAGGCAGCCCTCTGGGGCCTACTCACCCATCTCCCTTAGACTTGACACAACTGAGGCAGAGTTGCATATGCTTATAGTTTGCTTAGACAATTATTTCTTTCCCATAGATGATGCAAAGGTATACCTTTGTTCAGTCCTAAACATTAGGTTTTTGCTGGATTCATGCTTGGGGCAAGGGATGCATGCATACGTTGATTTATTTTTAATTTCTGTGATCATTTTTCATTTATTTCGTTGCCAAAGACATGTCTTGCTCCCATTCTGTCATAGGCATCTTTAAGGGGAAAACAGCCCAACCCTGAAAGACTTAAAAGGCAGATAAGGCTTCCCTCTTTATCTGGCCGAGGGAAATTAGCCTGGGTAAGAGTTCCAATGAGCTAGCAGAGCTTCGGCTCTCTCCAGAAGTCAACAACCAGTTCAGCCAAACTGACCAACATTCCTTTCTCCCACCTGAAAAGTAAACCATCAAATCTCACAGATGACCGGATTGCAGTGTCATTATTGAAAAAGTTGGGCCTGACTCTCCGGGAGGGCACCAAATAACTAGTCTCAAATGTACCAGGTTTTGATTTCAAGCTGAAGCCCCTGGTCATGTGCTTCCTTCCCTGGCTATTGAATTTCCAGAATTGCTTCTCTTGGAGTCACCTAAGAGGCAGGCACCAGAAGGCCCACATTTTACAACCTTGTAAAAAGACCCCCTCCACTTCAAGAATATTTTCAGTGAAACTCCCACACTCACGTGGCTGAAGCAGAAAGGTCAGTTCACACTTGACAAGTTAGTAAAACTTCATGGACACTAATGTATGGAGGAGATTCTCCCATCATCTCACACACCCACCAGGATCTGAAAAACTGTGAACTGACTATTCAGGCTGCAGCTGATGAGGTCCAGTGGGCTCCTTCTCTCTTAAGAGAAAGGAATCAGAATCCAAATGACCTAGATAAAGCAGTCTTATTTTAAGAAATGGGATTACTTGGCAGAGAATCAGAAACTTTCTCTTGGAAAGGAGAGCATACATAGCAAAAGTTGTTGCCTAATCTTTAAGATGAACAAATCATGAAGATGAAGAATAGTATTTTTTAAATGAGATACTCATTTTAACAAGCCATAATAATTTGACTTTCATCTGTAAACACACTCTCTGTTCTGTGGCCAGTAGGCTTCCTCTATTTTTACTAAGTTTTCTTATCATTTCAAACATAATTGTTAAGAAGTAGGTAAATGAAAGCTATTGTACCGATTTTAAAGATACTAAGGTCCAGAGGAAAACACTAGCAAGTCAATGCCACAATGGGAAATAGTCTATGTACCCATTTATCACATAGACCTAACTTGCCTGCTTCCTTTACATCCTTCCCTCTCCTCCTCCAGACCTTCCTGTGCCCACTGAACAAAGTCTACCCTTAATGGCCCAGCACCGAAGGCTTCACACAATCTGGTGAAACCAAATCTCTCCATGACTCTCCAGCTGAGACTGTTTCCCGAGGGCACCTCCCAGAGCCATGCTGCTTCATGTTGTCTGTGTTGTCCTTTAGCTTGGATGATAATTTCCTCTCTAAATACCAGCTGTCAATGAGGAGCCCCCAGGCTTGTGGAAACAGCTGGGACACAGGGCCACATAGGCCTGGCTTCAGATCCCAGTTCTTTCCTCACTTTGGGCAAGTCCCTTAACCTCTCTGAGTCTGAGATTAGTCAAGTGTGAAATGGAGATGATACTTACCCCCATAGGTTCTTTGTTGCAAGGATAAAATTAAGAATACTTATATAATATGCCTAAAAGTGCTTGGCACTCAGCACGTTCTCTGTAGATGGCCACTAGAGCTAATCTTTTCTGCAAACCCTTCCCTAATGACTCCATTTCCTACTGATCTTGCCCTCTTCTGACAACTGAAAAGTTTGTGCCACTTACTTTCTGCTATCTTGTTACTTCATTTTATGTACCCCATGTCCCCAAATAGCCTGCAAGTGGCAGAACAGTATCAGCTGTTCTCTCTGTGTCCACTCCCCACTCTATACCATTGGTCACTCAGTACTGGGCTGATTATCCTCCTTTTTGTTGGAAACTTAAATTTGCCTTGGGACAGAGAAACTGCTACACCCTAAGATTCAGGTAATGGGGTTTTCTTCTGCCGTGGACCTTGCCTCAAAGCAACGTGGGACTCCAGGATCTGCTGCAATGCCAAGAATTTTACTGATACTTTACTTAGGCATTTCTATTTACTAAAAGCAAGGGCAATTTAAATAATTTTTATTTCTTACATGGGATTTTCTTTTTTCTGACATTCTCTTTTATCCTTTTCCCTTTTTGGCCTCAGTAATATAGGTTCAATTTTGGAATGAAAGTTGGGAGATGAATATAATTTTACCTGCAGAAATGAGCTGCCTGTCTAGCACAGGGGTCATCAAGTTTTAATGTAAAAGTTGAAATAGTAAATCCAGCTTTCAGGCCATTCTGTCTCTGTTATGATGACTTGACTCTGGCATTGCTGCCCACAAGTAGCCAGGGAAAATACATGAACAAGTGGGTGTAAAACTTATATTAGCTACTATCGGCAGGGGGCTGGATTTGGCCTCTGCCTGTGGTCTGCCCAGCTCTGGTCTAGCCTACCTCTTCTGAGAACACATTCTGTAATTAGGATTACATAAGACAAGACTTCACTCTACTGACAACAGTATTTATAGTTCTCTAAAGAATCGAATGAAGTCTGATTTTCTGAGTCACAATGGAAATATTAAGGTGGGTGGTTGTGAAAGAAATCCCAACATTAGAAAATACAGGCATTCTAAAGATTAATGTCTGGGCAAAAGAACACACTGTGTTTTTCTACTAAAAAACACAAAATGAGAAACGAGCATGATGGGGAAGTGGCCACTACCCGGACCCTCTTGCCTATGCCCCACATTTACCGTTTGCCTGGGTTTAGAGACACTGCCCTTTTCCAAGAGCCAGAGGCCCCAAATGGAAACTTTACCCTTCCTTTTTGCTATCTATGAATCAACAGAAAGATTCCTCCTGTGACTCTTTGACTCCTGAGGAGGACAATGCAGCGCTCCAGGCTGTTTTCTCCAGCACGTTCATGGTGGGTGGATGAGATTCCCTCTCCATCCCAGCACAGTGGTGGGCTTGTTCAGGCTTGGCACCATCGACCAACAGCCCCAACCCGCCTGGACAATAGGAACATTCAACAATCTGTAAGTTGGAGGCTCAACTCATTTGTCTTTTACATAACTACATTCTTTTTTTCCATAAGGAGAATACTTAGCTAGGACTTAAATCTTTCTATAAGCATATTGTTAGCTAGTTGGCATCAGAAAGTCTAAATTTATGCCCTCTAACAACCAATTCAACTGAAAACATATTTGTCAAGCAATTACATAACTGGAGAAAAGAGCTGATGTTCTTTTTGCATAGTTCCATCTAATTTTGAATGACACCTCTTCTTGTCCCTGCTGATCTCTGGGCCCATCCCTTCAGAAAGCCCCTGTGCTCCTGTTTCTAATCGTGAATGCATTCCAGCACAAACATAACCAAGAGCCTTGTCTGCCTCTGCATCTTGGCCCCTGCCTTCACAGGCCACACTGGTCCTACTCCTGTTGCCACCCTGTCTGCACCAGACCCCATAGCTGGCCATGAATCAATCCCCCATTGTCCACTCAAATCAATTCTCACTCTCTCTGGGTGCTTTGTAGGTTATGAGCTTTCTCCAAAGAGTGCTAAAAGCATTGAGGATCCGACACATTCTCTGTTTGACAGACTGCCTTAAGCACTGTGGGACATTTATTATTATTGGCTCCTGCATACCAAGTGCCTATAGCAATGACCCCATTATGGTGATGACCCAAAATACTCCCCTCCTCCCAAATTTCCAAATGTCCCCACCCCAGCTCAGCCACTGTGGGCACAAAGGAGAGACAGTATCTACTTTAACACCCCAAATAAAGATGCCCCAACATTTTATATCTTCTTCTTCTTTTTTTTTTTTTTTTTTTGAGACAGTCTTGCTCTGTCACCCAGGCTGGAGGGCAGTGGCACGATCTCTGCTCACTCACTGCAACCTCTGCCTCCTGGGTTCAAGCGATTCTCATGCCTCAGCCTCCCAAGTAGCTGGGATTATAGGTGTGCGCCATCTCACCTGATTAATTTTCGTATTTTTAGTAGAGATGGGGTTTCACCATGTTGGTCCGGCTGGTGTCGGACTCCTGACCTCAAGTGATCCGCCCGCCTTGGCCTCCCAAAGTGTTGGGATTACAGGCGTGAACCACCGTGCCCGGCTAACATTTTATAACTTTGAATTGCCAAAGTATGCAATGAGGTCAGTTGCCTTCACCCCAGATTTTAACACTTTGGGGAAAGGGGCTTTCTGGTCTTCCATGAAAAAAACAAAACTAAAGATAAGGTTGGAGAGATGACAATGTAGTGGGAAAACAAGGGGAAAATGAAACACCTGGATCTAGAACCTGGAAGTATCTCTTAGGGTATTTTCACTTATGCTCACTTGGAGCTTCCAATGCTTCCAGAGGGCTTGAAAAATACTTTTTCTTGCTGGTGTGAGCTGACTGGGTATCATTATTAGGGTCACGAATACGAATGATGTATACATATAAATGCAGAGAGGACTGGAAAGATTCCTATCAAGCTGAGTAAAAAGAGGAGTATACTGGGTGAGGAGATGAGAAGGGACTTTGTTTTCTTCTAATACAGGAGTACCAATTGCTTGAAGTGAATGTGGGCAGTCTGGCTCCAGGACCTACACTCTTGGCTATGGGACCTCTTCATCTGTCTGCATCCCTGCTGCCCTCGTGCCACCGGGATTGGCCAGCATAATAGGCAAACCATAAAGCCATGTGATCTTTGTAGTTCCTCCATTAACTAAATTTCTATGATTATCTTACAGAAAAAAAAAGGAAATGCCAAAGGGAGGAGTAAAAAGGAACAGACATATCCAGTTTCAATACATTCTCCTTAAACCAGGTTTCCTTGCAGAATACTTAGTTTCTGTTTTTTATCGGTTGTTTGCTTTTCCTGATGAAAAGTTTCTTACGTAATGAGCTGACCTTTCTTCTGGATGAAAGGAACAAAGAAGTTGGCGAACAATGATGCCATGAATCTCACTCTTTGCAGAGTTTCTAAAACAGGATCTAACTTTTGACCCAAACAAGTTGACAAGGTTTCTATAAGTCACAATTTCCCTGGCAGATTTAGAGGCGAAAGTTTAAAGAAAAGATAAAAGGGTAAGGAGTAAAGTTCTAAGGACCACATGAACAATTCTCTGATTGACTCTGACTCTGGGTAGCAGGCCTTTCCTGCTAACAAAGCTAAGATGGAGCCAAAGGTCAGAAAGCTTTGGCAGAGAAAGCTATTTTGCCAATGACACATGCTGACAGAATCAGGGTATGTGCAACGATAGAGCCATTATCTGGAAAAAATCAAGCCTTGGGGCATTACAAGTTTGAGGAATTTAACAGAGTAGTGATTAGAGCCCTGGAAAAAACAGATTTTAAGCAGAGTTTTACTTTCAAGAGACATCTTGGAGAAACTGGTCCACTGGATTTCAATACCTTCTAATGGAAGAGGGGATGTCAGATCTCATTAAGAACCAAATTTGGAGAATGATGAAAGAAAAGTACCTGTTTATTGACATAGCAAACATTATCCCCACTGTGAAACAAACCTTAATCTAAGAGGTCCATACAAACCCTTCTGGCTAAGCCTCAACTTAAAAAACAAATCATATCTAATTTGTTCTGGTCTTGCCCACTGACCTTTTTCTGCTGTTAAGGAACACATGGGTTTGCACCCTGAAGGAACACAGTTTCTAGGTTCCTGACCTTCTGTAGGAGATATTGAATGAGTTGCCAACTTGAAGATCTGTATTATTTCTTGCTGTAGTTGTGTCCAAAAAAAGAAAACGGTCATTTTAAAAATTTAAGAGTCCTGGCCAGGCACAGTGGCTCACACCTGTAATTCTAGAACTTTGGGAGGCCGAGGCGGGTGAATCATGAGGTCAGGAGTTTGAGACCAGCCTGACCAATATGGTGAAACCCCATCTCTACTAAAAATACAAAAATTAGCCGGGCGTGGTGGCGCTTGCCTGTAACTCCAGTTATTTGGGAGGCTGAGGCAGGAGAATCGCTTGAACCCAGGAGGTGGAGGTTGCAGTAAGCCGAGATTATGCCACTGCATTCCGGCCTAGGTGACAGAGCGAGACTCCGTCTCAAAAAAAAAAAAAATTCAAGAGTCCAACAGAGACCTATAATTTCAGATGTGCAACAAATATACGAAAGAGCACTTAAGAAACTACAGAAAATTTTTATCCATAATGATCAATTAAAAACAGGGAAGAAAATCAAGTAGGAAAGAAAGAATATAAAAACAGAGTTGCAACAGCCTATTCAGTCTTTTCCATATTTTGACTTTAAGATCTGAAAAATAATTTTCCAGGTCAAAAAAACTGCAATACCATAAAAATCAAGCAATCCTGATGATTCACATAATTTTAACAAGTTTTTGTTTGTAAGAAAATGTCATTTCCATCTTTTTTTGTTTGTTTGTTTAATCATAAGCTTAGGTGAAAATCTGGGTTTTATTCACATTAAACTGACTTGGAGCCCCTGACCTTGGAGCCCTTTGTTGTGCACGAAGTCTCCATGACATTGCCCTCCAGTTTTCACTGGTGGGGATGTTATCTTACACACATACGCCAAGAGCTTAAACTGTCAACAGAGTCTAGTTGATCCACTGAATCCAGTGATCTTACTAGGATAACCATTTACCTCTTCTTGTGCCATCAAGGAAGTTGGCCACAAAATACTGTTCAGAGGGGATAAAAAGTCACTTTGCCAAACATAGGGTTCACATGGTCCCACCTTGGTTAAAAGTATTTTAAAAAGCAGCTCTGTGTGTATTTGTGGTGTGTGTGTGTGTGTGTGTGTGTGTGTGTGTGTGTGTGCTTACACACAGAAACAAACTTTACCCCAGGGTGTGAGGCCGGGAGAGTATGCACATCCACTCTTGACTACCTATACTTATGGGCAGGGCTAGATTTGTTAGATTGTTTTTTAAACAATCAGTGTTAATTTATTTTGCAATTAAATACAGGTTCTTATAGACACGTTAATTTGTACTGTGTTTTATAATTTACAGAAGGCTCTTGTAGAACCCCAGTTCCCTCCACTCTCTGATCAAGTCAATGCGAGAACGCCCACAACTCACCTCGGCACTCCACGTCGGGGTCTCCCCAGAAGAGTTCCTGGCACTCGCTGCAGGTGCGGCCTCCAAACCCAGGCATGCACTGGCACTGCCCCGTGAACTGCGGCCAGAACACAGACCTTGGTCAAGCAGGCTTCAGGCCAGAAGCCAGTTGTCATCTTTTTTTTCTAGCTGCCACTTAGAAGTAGGAATGAACTGTTTACCTGAGAAGGTCTCCATTGACTAGGAAAAGGGACTCCCACTTCAATCGTAGGTGTCGAGAGCCCCATGCCAGCATCTAAGTGCTCTTTTGCAACAGGGCTTGGAAAGGTCTGTGGCATGTTATTATTTATTTACATATTTCCTCACTTTTATCCTCACAGATCAGCCACAATCCTGGGCCACCTTTGACTCGCCTGACTTAGGGAGTATGCCCTCCTTAGCATGTGTCAGGAAACAACAGCACTTTTTACAATGCTGGGTATGGCTAATTGGTTCCTTTCGAGAAGCTAAGAAAAGAGTCTGCTTCAGCGCCCAGGTACTGAAGAGAAATAGCACACCCTTGTCTATTGTTAAGTGAGTCTGCATCTGCAGCTGGGACCCTCTACTGAAATGCTATGGATGTGTCTGATGGGGACTCTGTGCACAGTTATGTAGACCCAGCCAAGGGGTACAAATGAGGGCTAAGATCCAGGCCACGCTGTGTTTCAAGCTGTGTGCCCTGGTGCCTTGCTCTAACTGGGGCAAAGTCACCATGGGCTGACACCTGAGCTCATAAAGGCATCATCCCCAGCAGCAGCCCCTCACCTCATTGCAAGATGGCCCGAAGGAATGAGCAGCATTGCAGTTGCATGGGTCACAGCCAGTGCCACTGGCCAGCTGCCAGGTATTGGGCGCACAGCGGTCACAGTTCTGCCCGATCACATTAGGAAGACACAAGCACTGACCAGTGGCTTTGTCGCACTGGCAGTCAGAGCCGTTACAGTGCTCTTGCACGGTGCCCAGGTAATTACAGACACACTCTGCAAAAGAACATCACATTTACTTATTGTCACACTCCCAAATACACAGGCATGCGGATGTTAGCCACATCTAAATGCTAAGATGTTCCCACTTCACATCTTGACCTTGAAATGCAAAGAAGGAAAGAAATGGAGGTGATTCAAAAATAAAGCTAAAATTACTGTTTAGAAGTTCTCGTGATTTCTTACACAGTTCTGACATTTCCCAGATACACACAATGACACATTTCACCTAAAAGTATGTTCAAAATACACAGATTTGACAAGATGCTGGTGAGTCATTTTAAAATTGAAGGCTTAACTGGAAATAATTTTAAAAAATGCCAGTGGGAATTGAGATATCTAATAATTTCAAACTCTTGGCAGAGAACAGCCGTAATAAACGTGTTGGACATAGCAGGTAAAAGCCCTTTAAGCTACTAAGGCTTTTAAGGAATCCAGTCCTGCTGGTCCCTAGCATTCCACACATGTTTGTATAAACAAAGCCAGGAGCCTGGGGGCTGTGCAGCTGCAGCAAGAGGAAATGCTAGTTGATCTCGGTAAGAGAGAAATAAAGAGGTCCAAAAGAGAGATGTTAGAGATGCTACTTCTTTCTCTTCCTTAAGCTGGAAGGCTCTATTCCATCAATGCCACTAGAAAAGGTGGGACCACAGTGGGTATTTAGGATTTCGAAGTCCATCCAACCAGCAAGTTCATGGGCAGAGCATACCATCAGTACCCTCTACTGGATGCCATTTATCATGGGGACAGCTACATGGTTTTTCTTTCCTGTTATCTCTCCCAGGCACTGAGTCACATCTTGAGACCTCACTCCTGCCAGAAAATGTGGATGTAAAGAAAAAAATAAAAATGACCAGGTGCAACGGCTCACGCCTGTAATCCCAGCACTTTGGAAGGCCGAGGCGGGTGGATCACCTGAGGTCAGGAGTTCGAGACCAACCTGACCAACATGGTGAAACCCCGTCTCTATTAAAAATACAAAAATTACCTGGGCATGGTGGGGGGTGCCTGCAATCCCACCTACTCGGGAGGCTGAGGCATGAGAATCACTTGAACTCTGGAGGCAGAGGTTATAGTGAGCTGAGATCATGCCACTGCACTCCAGCCTGGGTGATAGAGTGAGACTCTGTCTCATTAAAAAAAAAAAAAAAATTGGTCTCATCTTTCCTTAGTTGAAAGTGAAATTTTACCTCTCTGAACAAGTGTTTTCCCAAGTGAAATAAATACAGGAAGAATAAAATCTGCTGATAATGAAAAAAAGGTGGAAGTCATTCTAAGAAGTGGGCAGAATAAATGTGCATCTTACTTCGACAGTCCTGCTGGAGGGCATCACCATAGTATCCAAACCGGCAGAACTGACAGTGTTCCCCTTCCGTGTGGTACAGGCACTTGAGACACCTCCCAGTCTCCTTGTCACAGGCTTCTGGGTCTGTCGTGTCAATGTTGTTGTGACACTGGCAAGGCTGACACGACCCCCCAACTTCTGATGGATTGCCAAAGTATCCTGAGGCACAGTCGTCACATCTGGAACCTGTCACCCGATAAAACCAAACACAAGATGTTTAGCTTATTGACTGAAAGCTCACCAGTGCACCGACACTCATGCCTAGAGAGAGCTGATCGTGGCGGTGCTTCATCTTCACTGCACTGTTTAAAGAGCCCAGGGTGATCACATCTGAAGGGGAAAGAATAGGCTTTGAGTTGTGAGAGGAAGGCAGTATTACTTTCAGTGGCAAAAACCATAGTAACTTTTTGCACCAATCTAATGTTTTGTAGTCTCTAACAGTGTTGCAACTGCCCCAGAGGCCACAGCGGCTGTGGACAGTTAGGTCCTAGCACATGAGACTTTAGCTTCTGAGCACATGGGGGTGGAGCATGTTGGGAGCAAACTAACAATGTAAAGCATAGCTTCATGTAGAAATCCTAATCCAAGGATTACATTTTTTTAAGACATGGGGCCTTGCTTTATCACCCAGGTTGGAATGCAGTGACATGATAATAGCTCACTGCAGCCCTGAATTTCCGGGCTCAAGGAATTCTCCCACTTCAGCTTTCCCAGCAGCTGGGACTACAGGTTTGCGGCACTACACCTGACTAATTTTGTAAAATTTTTTTTTTTTTTTTTTTGGAGAGATGGTGTCTCGCCATCTTGCCCACGCTGGTCTCTTACTCCTGGGCTCAAGCAATCCTCCTGCCTCAGCCTCCCAAAGTGCTGGAACTACAAGCATGAGCCACCACACCCAGCCTAATTCAAGAATTACAGAAAGTGGGCTGGGCGCAGTGGCTCACGCCTGTAATCCCAGCACTTTGGGAGGCCGAGGTGGGTGGATCACGAAGTCAGGAGATCGAGACCATCCTGGCTAACATGGTGAAACCCCATCTCTACCAAAAATACAAAAACAAAATTAGCCAGGCGTGGTGGTGGGGCATGGTGGCAGGTGCCTGTAGCCCCAGCTACTCGGGAGGCTGAGGCTGGAGAATGGCGTGAACCTGGGAGGCGGAGCTTGCAGTGAGCCCAGATTGTGCCACTGCACTCCAGCCTGGGTGACAGAGTGAGACCCCGTCTCAAAAACAAAACAAAACAAAGAATTACAGAAACTGAAAAGTTACCACTCCTCTGTGAGCAACCTGAAAAATGGGATCTTTAATGATGACCAATTTCCCTAAGAAATTCTGAAATTATATGCAAAAAAATTTTACTGAGTTACATATAAACATAATCAGTATTTGTAACAGTGGCTTCAAGGATGAAATAAGAGGGAGTTTTTAACAACCCAGCTAGATTAATTGAATCTTGATAGATAATGTGAGTATCATTAACAGTGAAGAATATATTCGGCCATCTTGTGATTCCCTGGATGATATTATTTCTTTCTTCTGACTACTATTTGGTAACCTCACAGCTTTGAGATACTTTTGCTAGGAGTTGGATAAAGAAAGGCAGGAGTAAAACTTAAGTTAATCTTTCTAATGTTTAATAACAGAAAAGTGTTCCACAGGGTTTCTAGATTTCCACGAGCTTACTTTCCTGCTTTGTGTTATAACGTTCTTATCAGAGACTCAATATGAATTGACTCCACTCCATGTGCCAAATAGGAAAAGAGCATCTTTTCTAATTTTTAATTAAAAATTATAAAAGTAGACTTAATTGGTTCACTTTGCATCTTTTTTTCTCATTAACAATGAACTCATAAAGACATCTTTTTCTCTCTCTTTGCCTCCCAAAGTATGCACACGACTTACCAATGTATCCAGGATCACAAACACAGGCAAGCTGTAAAGTAACAGGATCTTGGTAGCAGCTCCTGGCAAACTGGCGTCCACTGTCGGGACCATCTGGGCAAGGGCAAGGGCGGCAGTGATCTCCTGACCCAATGATGGGGTCGCCATAGTAACCAGCCAAGCACCTGCATCAGTCACAGAAGAGAACAGGCCATGACCCCACAGTTCTAAGAAACCTGTTCCAAGGAAAGTCTTGAAAACTGTTCTGTTTGGGCACACTCTTCTCCACTCCTCATGTTTTCTTTGAGACAGAATCTTGCTCTGTCACCCAGGCTGGAGTGCAGTGGCACTATCTCAGCTCACTGTAACCTCTGTTTTTTGGGTTCAAGTGATTCTCCTGCCTCAGCCTCCCAAGTAGCTGGGACTACAGGCACACACCACCACACCTGGCTGTTTTTTTGTTTGTTTTTGAGATGGAGTCGCGCTCTGTTGCGCAGGCTGGAGTGCAGTGGCACGATCTCAGCACGCTGCAACCTCCACCTCCTGGTTCAAACAATTCTCCTGCCTCAGCCTCCCAGGTAGCTGGGATTATAGGCATGCACCACCATGCCCGGCTAATTTTTGTATTTTTAGTAGAGACAGGGTTTCACCATGTTGGCCAGGCTGGTCTTGAACTCCTGATCTCAGGTGATCCACCCACCTCAGCCTCCCAAAGTGCTGGGATTACAGGTGTGAGCCACCATACCCAGCCTAATTTTTATATTTTTAGTAGAGATGGGGTTTCACCATGTTGGTCAAGCTGGTCTCAAACTCCTGACCTCAGGTGATCTGCCCACCTCTCTTTATGTTTTCATGTGGAAGATTTACTATGGGAACAGTGGTTCTCAAACTTTAGCTTCAATCACAATCACCTGAAACAGATGACTGGGCTCCTCCCACCGAGTTTCTGATTCAGTAGGTCCCCGATAATATTGATGCTGCTGATCTAGGGATCCTACTTGCAGGACCACTGCGTTCGAGTGACACCCATGGCTTCATCTGGCCCCTCACTCACTGCTCCCCAGAGGAAGAGCCACCTCTCCCCATGTGCACTTGATTGTTCTATCAGCTGCCTGCCTGTCCTGACCATTCAGTTCTGCTCCCTCCTTGTATTACAGAGTCTGTCCTCCTAGGCGGGGCTTATACCTGTCAGCCTCTGCCTATGCCTGAGAGGGGTGATGTGTTGGCAAGCCCACGGTGGCCACAGGTCTAAAGCCATGTGCTATAACCCAGCTTTTCCCAGTACTGGAGCTGAGGGGGTGACAGGGGTGCTCTCCAGCTGTGTAGCCCCTGTGTTTGTCTCTCAGGTGGTTCCAAACTCAGGCAGGGATGGGTCATGTTACTTATTAATTCCCATATCCAACATGTCAATCCCACTCTTTAAAGATAACAAATACAGGGAGGTCAAAGGATTCTCAAAGTTTATACAACTAGTTAAATAATGAGCCAGAATTTGAATTTGGGGTCCTTAAAGCAATACATTCTTTTACTATGTTAGCCTGCTTGTCAAGGTGAATGGTAATTATGTTACTTTTTTATGTCCTACAACATAACATCTTGAAGGAACTTTGGAGACAATCTCATCCAACCTAGTTATTCTACTTATGAAAAGCTGGATATTCCGGCCAGGTGCGGTGGCTCACCCCTGTAATCCCAGCATTTTGGGAGGCTGCAGCGGGTGGATCACCTGAGGTTGGGAGTTTGAGACCAGCCTGGCCAACATGGTGAAACCCCATCTCCCTTAAAAATACAAAAGATTAGCCAGGCATGGTGGCCTGTGCCTGTAATCCCAGCTACTTGGGAGGCTGAGACAGGAGAATCACCTGAACCCAGGAGGCAGAGGTTGCAGTGAGCCAAGATCGCACCATTGCACTCCAGCCTGAGCAACAGAATGAGACTCCATCTCAAAACAAACAAACAACAACAACAACAAAAAGCCTGTAATCCCAGCTACTTGGGAGGCTGAGGCAGGAGAATTGCTTGAACCTGCGAGTCAGAGGTTGCAGTGAGCTGAGATTGCACCACTGTACTTCAGCCTGGGCAACAAGAGCAAAACTCCGTCTCAAAAAAATTTTCTAGAAGCTGGATATCCTAACTCACCCAAGGTTAGAAAGCAAGTTAGAAGCAGAATTGGGCCAGGAACTGAGGTCCAAGGATTTCCAATTCAATTTGTTTCTCAAGTCTTTTGGAGGCAATCCAAATACATCATGATAGAAACTGAGTGTTCATTTCTTGCCTCCCCTTGGGGACAATCTAAGTGTAGAGTTTTTTTGTAAATTCACAGGATTGAAACTCTGGTTATCTTGGAATGAGAAAAAAGAATGATGAGAAACTGGCTCAAACTAGATAGTAGAATTCCAAATACTTAAAATCAAGTGTTTGCCACCCAAACCTATTGTTAAAAATCTTCCTTCTCCCATACCCTTTCTCATTCTCAAAACCCTTTACAAATAAAATCCAAAGCTGGTCACAGATATCAACTATGCCATTCTGACATGATGTTCGTTCAAATGCATTCTACAGTGTGAGTGCTGATTCTGAATCAGCATTGTGGCAGCTCCCTTTGCTGTTTGCTTCTGTTCCCCCTCCTCTCTCTGCTCCCTGTTAATCTTTTTCTCATGTCTTTCTCTGTTTTCTCATATCTTTCTCTCGTACTTATTCTCCATCTCTCTTTGAAAAAACAATAATGGAAAACGGCTGAAAAGAAAAAGATGACCCCAAAATATTAATTTCCTCCTTTCACTGTTGTATAACTGTGTCCTTGCTATCTTTCTACAACACAATTTTAAGGTTGGAAGGGATAATTTTTATTCAAAGGGTAGTCCGTGGGACCTCCAAATTCTTGAGTACCGTTCTAGCATTGAGCCGAGAGCCACGTGTTTGCCTCCATGAACATCTTCATGCCAAAAGTTAATCACATACTCAGTTTTTCACTAACAATTTCTCTTTCACCTGATGAGTAACTTCACCACTGACTGAAGCACTTGCTGCAATGTTTCACAAGTGACTTTTAAAAACAAATATCTTCGATAGGGCGAATGGATGTTGGAAGAGAGAAAAATTATCACAGTGAAAAGGTGGAGACTATTACGCCCAAAAAGCCAGTTCTAACAGTACTGTCTGCATTTCTTAATTAGTAATAAACAGTGTAAGTCAGCAGGTAACTTTTTCATACGGAGTATTTTTTATCTATTGAGCTATCCTATTAATGTTATGGAGGTATATTCTCTCTCCTATTCTTACTCTACATCTAGCACATCCATAATGATTATTCAACTGACATTTGCTAACTGGAGAACAGATCTACTTAGGCATGTTTTATAGAGTCTCCTGGAAACTGTAGTTGCATAAAACGTTCTGAAAAACAAAGCTATTTAAAATGACTAATCCCATTTGGATTAGTTTCTCCTTTCGCCTAAATTAGGCAGGAGCATTTCACAACTCTTATCCTCCGCCAGAATCTGCTGAGACAGACAGAATTTCTATACAGCCCTATGGTAAGCTCTAGGGTGACTCGCCAAGAGGACGGATTCATGTCAGTTTTGTTCTCTGCGGTATCTCCAGCACCAGAACGGTGCCTGGCACATAGAGGATGTCAACTCAATATGTACTGGATAAACAAACAAGATCCTAGAAAATAGTGAGGTGGTCAGAAATGAATGAGCGAGCTGAAGCCTGGTGGAGATGAATTCTGTGGTTGGTCTAAGATGCTGTCTGCTCAGCCAGAGATCACTACATTCTCCTTACTTTCAGCATCTGCATACCTTTCACAGTTATGACCCATGGTGTAGTCCTGGCAGTTCAAGCACTCCCCAGTCACTGGGTCGCAGTCATCGGCGTGGCCATTGCACTGGCAGGGCTGGCAACTTGGAAAGCCCCAGTGCCCAGGTAAGCACCGATCACACTGCCGAGCATACACTCCCTGGAAACAGTGGCACTGGCCAGTGACGGGATTGCAGAAGGCATTGACAGATCCTTGCAGATGGCACTCACAAGCTAAAGAAACAGGCAAACAAGGAACTGCCTTGAGAAACTCATTCAATGGAAACATGCTCCTTTTATAAGCACCCTGTCCCCAATTCAGAATGCTCATGGGTTGGTGTGATCAACTTCAGGAGGGAAGCATCGGCTCTGCAGCAATGGAACCCTGCCACAATGGCTGAGTTAATCTGAATGAATGCATAACAATGCTTTTGAGGAACCTACGTTTGCATCCACTGGGGCCAAAGCCAAAAGTTCCAGGTGCACATCTGTTGCAGGTTCTTCCAACCACGTTGGGCCGGCACTGGCACTGGCCTCCGTTGGGATCACACACGGAACTTAACGAACCCTGAGGGTCGCATTCACAAGCTGTGGGTAAAGAGAGGCCAGAACCCATGACACGGAGCAGCACATCATCGGGCTCTCCCTGATCCTTTCTCCTTTAACTACTTTGGATTATTCAGAGTTCTGGTTTAAAACAGTATCATCCCTATGATGAGCGGAAGGGAAGAAAGGGGAGGCAGAGTTGGCAGATCAAAACAGTTTTTCTAGGCAGGAGGTCATTAATGTTTTCTCCCCTTGCCTTCAAAGCTCAAATATCACAGGACATTAGACCAAAGCCCAGTGACCTTCAGAGGATGGTCTGACGTTTCAAAGAGAAAAACATACATTTCAGGTATTTGATGCTTCTCTGATTCCATTCCCCTCTCCCTACCCTGCTTATGGAAATGCTTTATCCTCATGGACTTTTCCCCTGGTCACCTGTTATTTGCATATTTCTTGAATATCAATTCCATCTTCAGTGGTGCTCTTTCACTGAAATATTACTTAAAAAGATAAAGACAAACTGTAACTGAGACACTATTTCCCTTGTGCTGCCTAACACAGGGCTAGGGGGTGGGCACTCCACTGTACTTCATGTGCCAGATATACTCAGAGCCAGAAACAGCAGCTGCTGCAGCTGCCCAGCAATACCTACCCAGGCCTGTCTGGTGTAACAGGGCAGAAATGCTAAAGATGATGTTTCTGCAAACATCTGTCATCGGTGTTTTCACAACGCTTCTGCTGTTCTCTAGACATCGGTATCTCTGAAAGGTTTCCCAGGCACTGTTGGTGACCACCCCATCTCCTGAACCTCCCACGGTGAAGATGTCCAGTGATTTACAGTATGGCATGAGAACAAGCTGTGAAGAAATGAGAACGGCCAAACATCCTTACAGTGGTGCCCCATGGCATGGGTTTAAGCAAGCAAACGTGTAGAAAACCCAAATGCTTCTTTGACCCTTGAACAGAAATCATTAGACTCATTAAATAAAGTATAAACCTCCCTATTCCTAAATACTCTTGGCAGGAAATTTTAGATATGTTTTACACAGCTTGATGGCTTTTAAATGCTATTTATTTTTATTTTAGAGATGGGGTCTTGCTTTGTCGCCCAGGCTGGTCTTGAACTCCTGGCCTCAAATGATCCTCCTGCCTCAGCATCCCAAAGTGTTGGGATTACAGGTGTGAGTCACTACGCCTAGTGAAATGCTGTTTTTTTTAAAAGACATTTTATATTTTTAGAAGGAATAAATCCTTTCCATGGGGTGGAGTATAAGCAAAGTAACCGTGGAGGCAAGAAAGAATGATTCTGCTTACGCTGGCCTCAGCATTACCCCTCAACAAAACACCCTGAGAGCAGCTGGGCACTTTCCGCCCAGGCTTTCCTGCATATGCCAGAAGCAATCTCGCACTTACAGAATCGATCAGCGTGTAGGGGCTCTCCACGTCGCTATCAGAGGAGGTGTACTGAGGCAGCTCCAACCTCACCGTGTAGTTTGTTCCCTTCTCAAAGCACACCGGCCGAGGAAGGACGACATATCTGCCCCCAAACAAAAAAGAAAGACAACAACGAAAGTCAACCTTCATGCATCCAAAAAATAAAAATTAAAAACAAAGCTCTGCATCGATAATTCCAAAGGAAAAAAGTCAGCAGTCAACGTCTGGCTCTGAAATGGTGACTTGAAAACTCGCAAAATATTAGAAAAATACTAATTTGCATATGAAGCCCGTTGAGCTGCCAAACCACCGTCACACTGACCTTGAGCCTGGTGATAATGACACCACCTGGTTGTCATCATCGGGGATGGTATTACCACATCGGCTGCTGGTTGGAATCCTTCCAGGTCGCTGCACTGTGATGACAGCTTTTTCCCAGTGGTCGGGTAGCTAGAATAAGAAACAAACAATGAAAAGATAGTTAGCCCACCACTGCCTGTTTATAAAAAGACCTCTCTGAATCAATCAATTGCCAAGTTGAAATGGAAAACAAACAGTTGCTCTTCACTTTTCTCTTTACTACTACCTCTGCTACTCCCCTGGTTCCAGCCCAAATCCCTTCTGCCCTGGATGCTGAAACACCTCTCAACTGTTTTCTGCCTCTTCCCAATGTCCCTTTCAGTCCACTTTAAAGCAGCTCAGATAATGACAATCCCCTGCTTGAAATGCTTCAATAGCTTCCTGTGAATATTATAGTCCAAATTCCTTTACTAATCCTAGTATTTTTGCCAACAGCATCTCCAACCATATCTCTCATCAAGCTATGTGGAATGATTCTCAATAAAAACAAAACCCTCTCTTCTCTCTTCCACTCACACTATTTCTTACTTTTGTGCCAACTTTCCACAATTCCATTCACACTTTAAGGCCTAGCTCTGATTCTCTAGGAAAACGTTTTGGTAGCCCTGGCTCGGGCTGGCTGGTGCATGCCCATCTTCTAGGATCATGCATCTCTCTGCTGTTACACCGTCACCTTCAGTCTTTCGTTACAGTTCGGGGCTTCAGTCTGTCACTGCACAGCCAGGTTGTGAGGGAAGGAGAGGATCTCATACATCCTCATCACCACCTCAGTCGTCAGCAAGGTTGAGTGCCTCACAAAAGATCACTACGTTTGAGAAACTGGATTCAAGAAAATGGTACGTTTTGACTGGGTGTGGTGGCTCACGCCTGTAATCCCAGCACTTTGGGAGGCTGAGGCGGGCGAATCACCTGAGGTCAGGAGTTCAAGATCAGCCTGGCCAACATGGCGAAACCCCGTCTCTATTAAAAATACAAAAATTAGCTGGGCATGGTGGCGCATGCCTGTAATCCCAGCTACTCAGGAGGCTGAGGCAGGAGAATCGCTTGAACCCGGGAGGCGGAGATTGCAGTGAGCCGAGATGGCACCACTGCACTCCAGCCTGGACAACAGAGCGAGACTCAAAAAAAAAAAAAAAAAAGAAAGAAAGAAAATGGTACATTTATTTTAACTTCCATGGAGGAGGTGAGACTATAGGAATCTGATCTGTTCTAATGCAACCTCCATATTTCATAACTATATATAATACCCATTAGAAGTACTATTTTTCTACTGATTCTCCCCTCCCTCCTCCACCAGTCCACTAAGTGGTTTCTTTACCTGTGGCTCGTAGCGAATTAGGATGTCGTACTCCATGGAATATGGTATGTTGTCAATGAAAAACTCCAAATAAGCCCCTTCAGGCACTCGGACGAAGCCGGCTCCAGTCCAGGAGGGAATCCGGTCCTGGATATATTGCCGCTCCACTATGCTAACCCCCTGAGGGCATGGCAAACAATGGTTATTCTGTATTTGAAATGGAATTCAATAATTTTCAATAGTCAAAGTAATCCGAAGTCACCCAAAGATTCAAAAAGGGTGGCTACCTTATGTCTATTTTTTATAGTCAAATCTCCCCTAATAGATTGTAAAAAGTTTCTGATATCCAAACAGGAAACTGGTTTCTTTTTAGTTTTGTGGTTGGAGCAGTCTTGGGACACTGGATATAGCACTCAAAGGCTTGGGATATACCTTATTTGATATGACCAGGAGAGTAAGCATAAAAGAAAAAAGAGAACATCCCACATGCCGTTATAAGCAAGTCTAGGAATCATAAGGTGCTTCCCAGATTCTCCATAAGGTTAGTCCAGTATCTAGTGGATTTCTGTCTCTCATACTGGCATTAGTTTCAGGCTCCATTTTCAAGTGAAGAAACTTGATATAATGAATGTTCACAACTGATGAGTTAATTCTGATTAATTGTTTACAGGGTTATTTTTTAATACCTGTGGTTGGTCATATCCAAAAATGGCTGGGATCAACTCTTTCATTCCCTGTATGTATCTGTATGTACCCGTGTGTGGCCTTACCCATCAAGAGGTGCAAACTATGTTATCCTTTCCATGAATCCTTGTGACTTGTGACCAACAGAACCTGAGGAACTTTCTAGGACTTCTGAGTCCAAGCTTTCAGAGAGCTGGCAGCTTGTTTCCTCTTTTTGGAAGCTGGAAGCCATCTAAGAAATCTCACTATCGCCAGGCACAGTGGCTCACGCCTGTAATCCCAACACTTTGGGAGGCCAAGGCGGGCGGATCACCTGAGGTCGGGAGTTCGAGACCAGCCTGACCAACATGATGAAACCCCATCCCTACTAAAAATACAAAATTAGCCAGGCGTGGTGGCACATGCCTATAATCGAGCTACTCGGGAAGCTGAAGCAGGAGAATCGCTTCAACCCAGCAGGCGGAGGTTGTGGTGAGCTGAGATAGTGCCACTGCACTCCAGCCTGGGCAATAAGAGCGAAACTCAGTCTCGAAAAAAAGAAAAAAGAAAGGTCGTGTTCGTGTGGAGAGAAATGCCCAGCCAGCCTCCAGCTGTTTCAGCCACCCCAGCTCAAGAGCCAGGCATACATTTAAAGTCACTAAATTTGGGGATGAATAGATGAAAAAATATCCTTGCCTCAGTATTTACCATGCTAGGTTGATAACTTTGGAGCATAAGTAGAGAGAAGAAAAGTTTCTTGTAAAGACACATTTCTTAAACCAACCAAAAGCCTTATCAGTGAATGCTCCAAAGCCAATTTGTGAGTTATAGAATTACTTAGCTTTAAATATGACTCTTCTCAGGAAGGCATGGTCCTGATCCTTATTTTGTGCTCACTGACAAAGCTATAAAAATGCTTCTGAAATGGGGTCTTTACAAAGCATGTATGTTCCACTACACCCCAAAACACTGCTTTACCGACCTGCCACACACTCCCCTACTCACAGGCCCCAAGTTGGCTTCCTCCGCTTCATAGAGGTAGTGATCCAGGGTGGCAAAGTAGTAACCAGGTTCCACTTCGTTGCACTGACGTCCAATCATGTGAGGCCGGCATGAGCACTGGCCTGACTCCGCAAAGCAACTGGAAGGGAGGAGGAGCCACATCAGCTGAGTTCATGGTCACGCGAGTCAACCCGCCAGAAGCAGCTCTACAGCTGCCATTACTCAGTACACAGGACCAAATACATAGCATGTTCTTGTTTTCTTCAGAAAATACATATGTGGAAAAAAGTAGTGCCTATGGATTAATCCCAAACTCCAGAAGCGTGGCTGAGAACCTGGTCTTCTCGGTTTTACCTCCCTTGCCCTCTCTTGACTAACACGCCGTCCGCATCACATGAAGGTTTTCCACATCCCAAACCTTCTTGCTTTGGCATGTTACATCTTTTGCTTATTTCCTGAGATTTAGGCTCAAATATCCAGCTCCCTGAAGAACATCTCCAGCTTGGCTGTCCCAGAGCATCCCAAACCAACGGATCTAAGACAGAAGCCCTCAATCCCTCGGATGGTCTCTATCAGGGTGAAGGCACTACCACCTGCTGAGTCAACCAAGTCAGAAATTTAGTCCCCGTTCTTCTCCAGATTCTTTCTTCACACTCCATCAGGAACCAAATTCTGTGATTTTTACTTCTGCATCTTGTGTCTCTCTTCCCCCTTTCCATTGGCTATGCTATGCTAAATATAAGAAATGCGGCTGGGCACGGTGGCTCACGCCTGTAATCTCAGCACTTTGGGAGGCCGAGACAGGCGGATCACCTGAGGTTGGGAGTTCGAGACCAGCCTCACCAACATGGAGAAACCCCATCTCTACTAAAAATACAAAATTAGCTGGGCGTGGTGGCGCAGGCCTGTAATCCCAGATACTTGGGAGGCTGAGGCACGAGAATCGCTTGAACCCGGGAGGCAGAGGTTGAGGTGAGCTGAGATCACGCCATTGCACTCCAGCCTGGGCAACAAGAGTGAAACTTCTGTTCTCAGCTTATGTCCCTTTTATTAGTATCATAATTTTGTATACAATACAAAACTCAAATTACATGTATCCATTTTTACTTCACTTAAAGAAGAGCTGTGGTTTGGAATTGTTACTTTCAACTCATTCTCAAGGTTTGTTCTTTCTTTTTTTCTCATCCCAAAGTTTTAAACAAGGTACCTAAGGCAAGTTGCAACTCACAGGAACACTTTGCACTCACAGGCTTATTAAAAATGTCCCAAGGCCGGGTGCGCAGTGGCTCACGTCTATAATCCCACACTTTGGGAGGCCAAGGCAGGTGGATCACTTGCAGGAGTTTGAGACCAGCCTGGCCAACATGGTGAAACCCCGTCTCTACTGAAAATACAAAAAATTAGCCAGGTGTAGGGGCACACACCTGTAATCTCAGCTACTCGGGAGGCTGAGACAGGAGAATCACTTGAAACCAGGAGGTGGAAGTTGCAGTGAGCCGAGATCATGCCATTGCACTCCAGCCTGGGTGACAGAGTGAGACTTCATCTCAAAATAAATAAATAAATAAATAAAATCCTAAACGACCCTGCCGCAGCATAGCTGAAGTCCTCTTTTTGTGTATCATGTTGTTATCCTACAGGAATAGGAACTCTTTTTATTATTATTATTTTTTTATTTTTGAGATGGAGTCTCGCACTGTCGCCCACGCTGGAGTACAGTGGAACGATCTCGGTTCACTGCAACCTCCGCCTCTTGGGTTCAAGCGATTCTCCCACCTCAGCCTCCTGAGTAGCTGGGACTATAGGCGACTGCCACCATGCCTGGCTAATTTTTGTATTTTTAGTAGAGACAGGGTTTCACCATATTGGCCAGGCTGGTCTCAATCTCCTGACCTCGTGATCCATCTGCTTCGGTCTCCCAAAGTGCTGGGATTACAGGTGTAAGCCACCACGCCCAGCCAGGAATAGGAATTCTTAACGTCCCATAGCCAATTCCCAAGAAAGGAAAGCTTGTTCCAATTAGGACCTAGCCTTCTTTTGGCACAGTCCATGAACAAAAGCTATTTTCAGAAATTCAGGCATCAGACATTACATCATATGGACAAAAGAAAATTCTTTCCTCCCCAGATGTTTACTGAGACAACAAATATCCAAAACATGAACCACCAAAGAAGAAAACAACTAGACCTTCACATGCAACCATTAGAGAACGAGCAAATGAAGGTGAGGACAAAGGCGCCAGCAGGCTCCCGGTGCTGCCTCTATCTGCAGCACAATTCTAAACAAGGAATGGCTCCATGAGAGCTGATCATGTGAAAGGAATTCCCTTAACAGCGGCCCTGCCAATCACAAGTCTGTGTCCACAGGCTTGAATTGTCATCACAGATAGGCATGGCTCTGATTCAACACTGGCTCCTTCAGTGAACTCATTCTTGTGGCTTTCCTATGCAGATGGCCCTCACCCTACAGCTCTCAGCACCCAGCAGGTGGCTGGGCTCTGCTTCTCTATTTCCAGCCATCAATGGGACATTTCCATGGACTGGCCAGCTGTCATCTCTAATTCATCTTGTCCCAAACAGATCATCACCACCCACACTGACTTCTTATCCTCAGCTCTGCTGTTTCTGCCAGTAGATTTAAAATTCTTCTCATGGTATAGGTGAGACATCACCTTCTCTTTCCTTTATCCCAATACTCAGCTTTTACTTCAAAATGTTTCTCAACTTAGCAGCTTCCTCTCATTGTCACTGCCACTGCCACTGCGTCAGTCCAGGATGGCATCACCCCATACCTGTTACTCTAACAATCTCCTAAACTGACCTCTCAAATTCTTCTTCCTCTTCTGCCTAGTCCATCCTGTCTACCACGGGCCAACCGATCTTCCTACAGTGCTGCTTTCATTGTTTCACGAAAACCCACAATTGTTTCTTATGATATCAAGCCATGATGCCTCTGCCTGGCTTTCTGCAGCCTCCATAACCCATCCTCTGAAAACGGCTTCTCTTTCTGGTGCCGACTCTTTGCTTTCCAATGAGCCACACTCCTCATACTCTTCAGCAAATATTTACTGATCAAATATTGGCCCTAGCAGCCTTGCTTCCCAGTGCAGGTATTCTCACATTTTAGTCCATTGTGAACTTTGTTCTGAATGAATCCTTACTTCCTCACTAAGTCTATTATTTCTGGCTAAATGATATACAGAAAGAGAAATAGAAAAAAAAATAGTCCCTGTCTTCAAGAACTTACAGTCTAATTGGGGATAAACAATAAAGAAATTAACCAATGCAACAAATCAAAATGCAGTAAGAACCTATGCATTGATAGAGTTACAAGCAAAGCACTAAGGGAGAAGAAGATATGATTCATCTGATTGAGAAGACTGAGGGAGGCGTCATGAAAGAGGTGTCCTTAAAGCCTGGAGAGGACTTGACAGGCAGAGAGAGGACAGGAATAACAGGAGCAAAGAGGGTGATGGGGGAATGTGGGCAGAGATGGTCAAGATCAGACCAGATCTCGACCTTGCTACAGTCATTCCCATCTCTGTGCCTTTACCCATCTTTTCCCTCCCAGCTCGGAGGCCCTCCCCTGCTCACTAATCGCACCTTTCAAATCTCAGCTTTCAAAACTCAAGCACAAATCCTGGCTTCTTCACAGTGATACCAATGATTTATTACATGTAATTACTCTCTCCTGTGTTCAAGTAAAAATCAAATCTGATAGAAATGGCACATCTTAGATTCTTATGTATTCTCTACAAATTTCTCTGTAAACTAGAGATTCAATTTCATTAAATCAGTAAGGGAGAATAAGGACATAAAATAAATAAGGCCTGTGTGAGGCAGAATAATGGCCCCCAAAGATGTCCACATCCTCATCCCTGTTATCTGTGGGATGTTACCTCATATGGCAAAAGGAACTTTGCAGATGTGATTAAGGGTAAGGACATCAAGATGGAGCGATTATTGGATGATCTGGGTGGGTCCAATCTAATCACATAAATTCTTAAAAGTGGGAGAGGCAGGCAGGGAAGTAAGTAGGTCAGAGAGCTGTGACATAAGAAGGATTTGACCCAGTGGTACCTTTGAAGATGGAGAGAGGGGACCATGAGTCAAGGAATGTGGGCAGCTCTAGAGGACAAGAATAGCCCTTAGATGACAGCCAGCAAAAGAAGGGGAACCTCAGCCTACGACTGCAAGGAGCAGAATCCTGCCAACAACCCAAATTAGCTGGAAACAGATTCTCCTTTAGAGCCTTAGAAAACAATGCAGCCCTACCAACATCGTGATTTTGGTCCACTGAGACTGTATTTGACACATAGAACTGGAAAATAATAAACTTATATTGTTTTAAACAACCAAATTGTGGTAATTTGTTATGGCAGCAATAGAAAACTGATACAGGCTCTATGTTTTCTCAGTGGGTGAAGGCCAAGATTATTTCTTAAAAAAATACATTTATGGCTGGGTGTGGTGGCTCACGCCTGTAATCCCAGCACTTTGGGAGTCCGAGGCGAGCGGATCAAGAGGTCAGGAGATTGAGACCATCCTGGCTAACACGGTGAAACCCCATCTCCACTAAAAATACAAAAAATTAGCCGGGCATGGTGGCAGGTGCCTGTAGTCCCAGCTACTTGGGAGGCTGAGGCGGGAGAATGGCATGAACCTGGGATGCGGAGCTTGCAGTGAGCCAAGATCGCGCCACTGCACTCCAGCCTGGGCGACAGAGCGAGACTCCGTCTCAAAAAAAAAAAAAAAAAATCATAAATATAGAAATTGGCAACATTTAAAAATTCCATTTCATTTAAATGGTGGTGAATAAAGAAAATGGAATTTTAACATTTCCCTATTACTAAGGAATTAGGCAGAAAAATATTAAAGCATAAAAAACATCATTCATAATAACCAACCACAGTGTTCCGTCAGCACCATTCATTTTCTCAGGGTGGCATTCCTCCCCACCCCCAACTAGGACACTTTCTTTTTGGTAAGACCTACGTCCTATAATCCTGTTCTATCACAGTATAGTCATGTGTCACTTAATGACTGGGATATGTTCTGAGAAATGTGTTGTTCGCCAATTTTGTTGTTGTGTGACCATCATAGTGTACTTACACAAACCTAGATGGTATAGCTTACTACACACCCAGGCTGTAGAGTATAGCCTATTGCTCCTAAGCTACAAACCTGTACAGCATATTACTGTATTGAATACCATAGGCAATTGTAACACAATGACAAGAACTTGTGTATTCAACCATATCAAAATGTAGAAAAGCTACAGTAAAAATACAGTATCTTATGGGACCACCGTTGTATGTGTGGTCCATCCTTGACTGAAATGTTATTATGCAGTACATGATTATAATTAACAAAGGGTTAGCTACACCATAGTCATTCAATACAATGATAAAAATATCTACTAACTTCCGTTCTGGATTCGAAGTACAATAAATTTTAGTCCCTCATTTATTGAGTACCTGCCAGGTCCACCGTGCTGGGTGCCAAGTGAGATGCAAAAACAAAGATGACATAATCTCTGTCCAAAGAGACCTTTTTAACACAACTATAAGAGCAAAATAAATGCTAAAAGAGATGCAGAAGCAATGCATCAAGGGAGGGTTCGGGGCTTCACCACGGTGAGTTCAAAAAAGAGGTGGGGCCAGGCATGGTGGCTCATGCCTATAATCCCAGCACATTGGGAGCCTGAGGCAGACAGATCACTTGAGGGTCAGAAGTTCAAGACCAGCCTGACCAACATGGTGAAACCCCGTCTCTACTAAAAATACAAAAATTAGCTGAGTGTGGTAGCTGGTGCCTGTAGTCCCAACTACTCGGGAGGCTGAGGTGGGAGAATCGCTTGAACCCAGGAGGCGGAGGTTGCAGTGAGCCAAGATCAATGCCACTGCACTCCAGTCTAGGTGACAAAGCGAAACTCTGTCTCAAAAAAAAAAAAAAAAAGGGGGGGGTGGGCTTCAAGCCAGATATGAAAACTCTACATTTCATTGTTAAAATAATCTTGAAGGATGCTGTAAAAATGTTTATATTTTTCAATGTTATTAAACATTTACAAGTAGCATTTACCTAGCAACCAATGCCAATTCTTTTTCATTAAAACAGGTAATCTACTAGGCAAAACTTCATTAACTTGGCTTCAGTTAGATTATTTAAATTAATTAGGTCTTATTATTTTTTTTTTTTCTTTGAGACAGAGTCTTGCTCTGTTGCCTAGGCTGGAGTGCAATGGCGTGATCTTGGTTCACTGCAACCTCTGTTTTCTAGGTTCAAGCGATTCTCCCTGCCTCAGCCTCCCAAGTAGCTGAGATTACAGGTAGGTGCCACCACGCCTGGCTAATTTTTGTATTTTTAGTAGAGACAGGGTTTCACCATGTTGGCCTGGTTGGTCTTGAACTCCTGACCTCAGGTGATCTGGCGCGCCGGCCTCCCAAAGTGCTAGGATTACAGGCATGAGCCAACGCGCCTGGCCACTTCTTTAATTATTCCAAAGTTCAGGTTAGTTGTCAATATAATAGACATGGATTATTAAACTTTTGTTGTACTACCAAAAATCCATTTAGCTCACTATACAAAACATCTTAAAGCTTTTACCACTTCCAGTGATTTTTATGGTTAATTCTGTCCCTCAACAAAGTAACTAAGGAGTGTCTGGGATCACATTTAGAGATTGCCTCTCTAAGGAGTACATATCTAGTTTTTAACATCTTAGAAATCTTTTATTTTTAAATTCTACTCAATCAGCATTTATTCAGTACCTACAACGTATTTCTTTTACTACGTAAAAAGAAATATCAGGTAAAAGGTTTTGATGAGTGATTGCAACAAACCAATCATCCAGTAAACATTTCCCAAGCGGCATCTGTGCACATCTCCCAGTAGAATCAGTGCTTCAGTTGACCCTGCCTAAGGGGCTCCTGGGGAAATTCCTCTTGAGGGACAACAACTTTGAAAAGGCTCACCATAAAACACTCTAGAGTCACCAGACTACAAGGCATCTTTAAATGTTCTTTTTTTCCCCTCCACCAATGATTCTCAAAGATAGGGCATCCCATCAATCATGCTAGAAAGATCAGATGATTACCTGCTTTAAAAATCTTTACTAGACAATTTTGCTTCCCAAACTCTCTTGGTGAATACATTCTGGTTTTTATAAATTTTTGCACAAGAGATTAGAGGGCAGGCTAGGGCCTGTGCGTGGGTGGAGACAGACAGGAAGTGTGTATGGAATAGAGAAAAAGAGGAAGGGAGTGTAGGAACAAAACTTACTTAGGGTTAAGAATCATAGGACATTCCTGAGTTTATGACATAATTTGGGGAATTGCATATGCCACTTTTATCTCATCAAGAAGGACTTTAGGAGTGATGACAGCTTTGAACTGAGGAGTCATTTACTAAAGGATTCAACATGTGTTCTGGGAGTCACAAAGGAAAAGTCAGAAAAGTGATTCCACAAGCAGACAGCATTCTGTCTTTCTTCCCTGCTTTTATGGAATTATCCTAGCTTCCTCCTCTCTGGAGGTTTTCTAAGAACAGATATTCACACCGGATTTCAGAGGCTACATGCTGTACTGGGTCTATGGCACGACCTCGAACAGAACAAACCCAAATAAAGAGGACAAACACAACATGTTCTTGCTGCTGAATACCTCATTCCTTCCCAGCAGACTACTATGGTGTTGGGAAATAATTGGGAAAGAAAGTCCATTTTTGAGTACATGAAGCTTGCTCAATGAATTCAGAGTGTTCTCTCTGGGAAGACTCAAGGCCACAGGGAAACATCTGTCTATTCTCTCAGCAGTCACTTACACTATCTGTTCCAGATGTTCTGACTCTGAGCCAGGAACAGAGACCAACATTCTCTTTGACTCGAAGGTGGTTAAACTCCCACAGATTTAACATCTTGCCAAATGTGTGTTCTGATAGCTTCTGGTGGAGCTTTATGCTTCATTTATTCAAGGAATACTAGCATATTTAAGTAGCTCAACATTATCTCATGTGATTTTCATTAATGGACTTGGAAGTCACAAAAAAAAAAAAGAAAAAAAGAAAATGAAAAGATTCTCTACACAAATCAAAACAGGAGTCCATTTTCCATGTGCTTAGATTGTTGAAAAATAAAATGGTTGATGATACCAACTGTTGCTGGGGATGGGGGAAAAGGTACTTTTGTAACTGATAGGAAAATAAACTAGTTCAATATGTCTGGAACAACCTAACATTCTCTATTAAAATTAAAAATACATATGTACTTTGACTTAGCAGTTCCATCACTGGGAATCTAGTCCATAGAGGTACCTACACACATTTATCAAGACATACAAAAAATATTTTGCATGTCTTTTTGAGAAACAACTGAATGTCACCCATTCCTGTAAGTCATGACTTTCCTGGAAGACTGAGGACAAGAGCATACGTAGAGCTCCATTTACCTGTTGTTTAAGGCTCCCCCAAGGTCACAGTCACATGGTCGACATCCATCCAAATCATTGCTTAAGCCCCAGTGCTCTGGCTGCAGAACAAAACGTGAAACATGTAACGGTAGGTTTCTGTAATTATGCAACAGACTCAGCAACAAGCAAGTTAAAGCTTGTTTCGGCTGTTCCACCAAATGCTCATTTTCATCATTAAAGCAGAAAGCCAACAAAAGGAAGGAGTATTCTGAAATCAAGAAACCTGAGCTGTAGGCACTGGCGTAAGAGAGCCGTTCACAATCACAGGATCGTGCCAGGTCAAAGACTAGCTGCTCTGCCCTATAGATAACCTCCATCCAACAACTAAGAAGAGCAAGCAGTAAAGATACCAATTTTCCTCATTATAATTACTCTGGCTGTAAGAGAATTATGGCAAGGATTTGGCAGGCCTTTAAATCTGCCCTCAGTTCAGTCTGTCATCAATCCCATACAGAAAGCCCTCCAAGAATTTATGTGGAAATGTAGCATACAGCTACGACTATTCTCACCACTGAGCCACGAGGAAATCAGATCTTTAGAGCACCAGAGATGGAAATAAAGAGAAATGGAACAGTAGGGAAGAGGAGCTCTGTGCACTTCAAAAATGAGTATATAAAAACAGGTTCACCAATTTATTTTATTTATTTTTTTGAGATGAAGTCTTGCTCTGTTGCCCAGGCTGGAGTGCAGTGGTGTGATCCCAGCTCACTACAACCTCCGCCTCCTGGTTTCAAGCAATTTTCCTGCCTTAGCCTCCCGAGTAGCTGGGATTACAGGCATGTGCCACCACACCCAGCTAATTTTTCTATTATTTTTAGTAGAGATGGCGTTTCATCATGTTGGCCAGGCTAGTCTTGAACTCCTGACAAGTGATCCACCTGCCTCAGCCTCCCAAAGTGGTGGGATTACAGGTGTGAGCCATTGTGCCCAGCCTATTTTATTTATGATTTTAAAAAATTTTAGAGATGGGGTCTTGCTGGTCTCAAACTCATGATCTCAAGCATTCCTCCTGCCTTGGCCACCCAAAGCACTGAGATTACAAGTATGAGTCATCACACCTGACCAGGCTCATCAATTTAGACTTCCAGAAATCTCCTTTAAGAATATATTAAGATTATATATAAATATACATATTTAATGGTAATAATTTGGGGGTAGTGAATCCTCCCTAAATTAGAAAGTATAACAATGTTATTAAAAATACAGATTTTTAAAAACTTATCTCATAATTATCCTACTTGGAATTATTACAGTGAACTTTTTGGTGTATTTCCTTCCAGATTTTGTTTTCCTTGATGAATTTTATTTCCTACTTAATCAAGATACTATTCATATCCTGTGTGTGTTTTTTTTTTTAAATATAGCAAGCAGCATGAGCATTTCCTGATGTTATTGTCATTTTCAGTGGCAACCAAATATTACATTGTATAGAAGTCCCCACACTTAACTATTTTTCCACTGTTGTTTCCAAGTCTTCTGCTATGATTAATAAAAGATGCAATGAGTCTTCTGGAGAATAAATCTTTGTCCAATTTTCTGATTATTTCATTAGAATAGATTCCCAGAGGTGGGGTTACTGGGTCAAAGGGTATGCCCATTTCTACAAGCTACTGATATGTATCTCCAAAATGCTTTTCACAAAAGTACAAACCAATATGGATGCCCACCAGCAGCCAAGAAGTAGCAGTACCTCATGATATCCTAATAGTAAACATTCCCATTTTTAAAAACTTGTGTTAATTGTGTCTATAAAAGTGGTATTTTATTGTGGCTTTCCTTTACACTTCTAACAGGGATGGTGAACATCTTGTGAAATCATCCATTAGTAATTCCTATTGTGTGCATTGTCTACTCATGTCTTTTAACACGTACACGTGAGGGTGATCGCAGACTCTACAATGGCGAAAAGGCTTCTCTATTAAAACATGTCATCCTCACCAACCACCCATCCCACGTAATGAGGATTTACTTACCAGGCACTGGTCACAATGCTGTCCTGTCACCAGACGCTTGCAGTAGCAGTGACCTGTCTCGGAATCACAAGGATTCCCTCCAGGAATTGTTCCCAGAGGATTGCAAGCACAAGCTGTATTAAAACAAAATGAAGTGGAGAAACACAGACCACGTGAGTTTCAAATAATAATCTGGCTTTGGAATTACAAAGTAAAATGGGAATTTCAAACACAAGAAAACTCCCAAACTTTTTAGCAAACAGACCTACATTTACAACCAAATGGATCTTCACTGCTTAAATCATAGAAGCCTTCTTTGCAAACATCACAATGTTCTCCTTCCACATTTAATTTACACCGACACTGGCCAGCAATGAGACCAGTAGAAAAATCAGTATAGCTGTCACAAATTCCCTCATTTTGAGAGCCAGCTGGGTCACACGTACATCCTGAGAAGAATGCAAAGCACCAGGTTAAAATCAGGAGGAAACTCAATGTATCTTTGTATAAATACATATATTCCCTTCCTCCCTCTAAATCTCACAAAAGTCGACTAAAAGCAGCACAACTACCAAGTAAATTCCACTCCCAGCGTCTTCAACTGCAATTACAATAACAATGCTGGCTTTACTGCTCATACTATGAGCTCTGAGACTACTGACTATTCAGTTTGGAAGGCAATCTGAAGTAGGTCCCACACAGTGAGTGACATTTCTCAACATACGTTCACAGAAATTAGGATCTCGGATGTCCCTCTCTGGGTGCTGGTAGTAAAACGGCTTGCACTGCTCACAGTTGCGCCCCATGGTGTTGTGCTGACAGTCATCACACACGCCTCCGCTGACGTTCCCCGTGGCCAGGTAAACAGCCATGTCAAAGTGACAAGAGATGGAATGTTCATTGCAGTTACATTCTGCGTGACAAGAGCAACGTCAAGAAAAGCTTTTTAAATCTATGGACCAATGGAGGATGGGGGTGGCAGGAAGATCCTTTAGGAAACCAGGGACTAAGTTCAGACAAAATGGCAGTCAACAAGCAGGACTCCTGGGGAAAAAGGACGCATCCACCGATGACACTGTTTAAACCCTAAAGTAGATGAGAAATCTCAAAAATGTGAACTTTATAAAATAAACAGTTATCTGACCTCTGTGGAAGAGAATGGGCTATGAAAAATGGAAAACTCTAAGGGAAAGTCCCTTTGGAAGTGTATGACAGAGGATGGCTGCCATCCCACTGAGGGCGCTTTCTGGTCCACTCGAGGTGGGACTGGATGGAAGAACACTGTAGCGAGGGACCTTCCAGATGATGTGCTGCTAGGAAAGCCTGTCCACGGGCTCCCTGCTTCAAGGACCGTGAGGCCTGAAGGATGGATTCCCTTCTCCGTATTCCCATATTCCCACCACCACACCAGGCCAGGCCATAGTAAGGAAGGTAGGTCTGTTTAACAGCCAGCTAGCTGACCCCCTTGGGTGCAGCGCTTCCTTCTGCGAGCCCATTCGGCGGTCATCTTGGTGCCACCCAGCTTTAATCATCTCGCTCTCGGGCTTAACAATCCCATTCTTGTCTTTGCACAGGGAAGCTTGACTCAGCCTGGCCCTCCTGAGCCTCTGCACTCCAGCCTCCCACCTTGCCTGTCTCCCCCTGCAACACAACAGCCTGCAGAAGAGGGACTGTGTCTTATCTACTCACATCCTTGGTGCCCAACAGAGTACTGCTCTCAATACACTGGTTGAAGTGAACCTTGGAGTAATCCTTCCCAGCATGGACTCTGTGATGGTTTCAAGAACATCCTTGCGGCCTTGTGCTTCACATTGTTGTTCTTACCTGAACTCCCTCCCATCTTCCTTCCTCTCTTTTCCTTTTCTTTCCTCTCTCTCCTTCCTTCCTTTCCTCTCCTTCCTTCCTTCCTTTCCTCTTGCTCCTTCCTTCCTTTCCTCTTGCTCCTTCCTTCCTTTCCTCTCTCTCCTTCCTTCCTTTCCTCTCCCTCCTTCCTTCCTTTCCTCTCCCTCCTTCCTTCCTTTCCTCTTCCTCCTTCCTTCCTTTCCTCTCTCTCCTTCCTTCCTTTCCTCTCCCTCCTTCCTTCCTTTCCTCTCCCTCCTTCCTTCCTTTCCTCTCTCTCCTTCCTTCCTTTCCTCCCCTTCCCTTCCTCCCTCCCTCCCTTCCTTCTCCATGTTAAGTATCCATCAAGGGCCATCTGGTTTTTACCTACAAAGCAAGCCTTGACCACTCCAGCTCTCACTGGCTGCTGAACTTCTATAATAGTCCTTCTCAGTGGGGGCAGAGGCGGAGCTGCTCTTCAAGGGGAGGACATGCATCAGAATCACTGTTTGTGGAGTGGGGAGGGGCAGTGGTGTTGCCGGCTACATCTCCACCCGGAGAAAACCCCTGAGATGGATGGAGGGAGGTATGCCAGAGGCCGCAGCTGGACTGGCACAGAAACAAGGCCAAAAATGCTACTCCATATCTCTTAGACCTTCATCAGCTACCCTGCCATATAGTTCTTTCATTTTTCTCTCACGGTCATCTTGCCTTAAAAACAGCCCTGGCGCGGTGGCTCACATCTGTAAACTCCCAGCACTTTGGGAGGCCAAGGTGGGTAGATCACTTGAGGTCAGGAGTTCAAGACCAGCCTGACTAACACGATGAAACCTCTCCTCTACTAAAATTACAAAAAAAATTAGCAGGGCATGGTGGCGCGTGCCTGTAATCTCAGCTACTCCAGGAGAATCGCTTGAACCTGGGAGGCAGAGGTTGCAGTGAGCCGCCTGTGCCACTGCACTACAGCCTAGGCGACAAAAAAAAACCAAAAAACAAAACAGATACAATGTCAAGGACAGCACCTTAGTTTTCTACTGTAGCTGCCAAACTACTCAGCTCAGTGTCAAACACACAGAGGCTGTTCAGTGAATATTAATTAACTGAATGCAGATTGTTGGTTGTCTAGGAGTATCAGGGTGAAGCTGGAAAAAAGACAGTAACTTTTCTACCCTCTGCAAAACAGTACACTGTTACAGTACCTCTAATTAGGAAATGGATACTAGAGCCTGAATGGATTTAAAATGTCCCTTCAACACAGACTTACTTTTACAGGCGTTGCTGTTTCGGCCTTCAGCAGGTCTCCAAGGTAAATCATGGTAGAAATCCATGCAGAGTTCACAGTTTAAGCCCTTGGTGTTATGCCTGCACATGCAGTGTCCGTGAACCTTGAAAGTTATAAAAACAGGAGAGAACAAAGGAAGAGATGTATGAATAGCCACGTTTCTCCATAATCAATTGAAAGTTTAAAACCCTTTTTCATACTAATCTCTAGCTCACCACAGAAAAGGGTTGTTTGGTTGTTTTTATTTTCTCCCTGCCTGCAGTGAGTTGTCTGTCTTGTTGATGGCTACATGCCTCATCTCTAGAATGTTCCTATTACATAGTGGATGCACAAGAAATATTTTACTGAGTATCTATGAAAAGAACCCAGATGAAGAAAATTACTTAAAATTAAAAAAAAAAAAAAAAACTAGTTACTTAAGATTTTTTTAAGAAAACCTATTGTAATAGAAATCTACAAAAGTTATAATGTAGAACTAAATGCATACATACCACCTGGAAACCAATTTATATTACTGCACGATTTACCACTTAGCCAAATCACCATTTTTTTAAAAAGGTTTTTGTTAGCTAGCTTATTTTAGTTTTTTTTACTTCAGGCATAGCACTTAAATTTTTCTTTCAATGACAGTAAAATTTTAAAAATTAATCATTTATCACATTTACATTTATGTTTTCCTTTTATGTAAGGAAATATAAGATCTCGTAAAAGAAATATATTAATTTGCCTGATGAAAGGCCCATGATATATGATTTTGCCTTGTGTCACTGTAAGGCACACTTACGACCCTTGAGGCATATAAATGATAAATGAATTACGGCCTTTTGGTCCACTAAATATGCATGTATATGGGCATCTCACCTTAACAAGAGTTTCTACAGAATGGAATTCAGGAACAGGACAGACAGGTCCCTCCTGGACCCACCTTGGTGGGAATGCAGTTAGCAGAAGACTAAAGTCCTGTTATTACCAGGTGGTTTTACATAAACTGAAAACCAGTTCCAAAGCACATACCATAAGACCCTACTGGGCCTGAATCAACAGCACATGCTGTGAGACCCGTGATAGTAACAGGACATTAGCTACACAGCTGATTTGTTATGCCGTAAAGGGAACATAATCTACCTAGCATTCTGAAAGATGGACCAATAAGATTAGAGAAATACCTCCCTCCCCTTCAGGCTCCGTCAAAAATTCAACTTCTGTTGTGCAACAAAAGTTCTAACTGGAGTAAAGGGAAGGCAGAAGTTTTTAAAGGGCTGAATACACTCAATCCTGTACCTTCTAAGGACTAACAATCTTTGAAAAGGCAACAGCACATAAGCACAGCCTTCATGAGGGGAGGCCACAGCTTAGGGGAAGGAACCCTGGGGCTGAGTGAGGAGAGGCTTGAGCTTCCACCTGCTGCTCATTTACTTAGGGCTCTCTAGTAAATTACTTAATCCTTGGGCTCTATCACCAATAGTTGGTCTAGGTGATCTCATAAGTCCTATCTGGCCTTAAAATCCTCTAGGTCTGTAAGAATTCTCCTAGATACTAATAGAATAAACTCATCTATCCATTTGGCAAATCACCCAAATCCCAAATTTCAAAATGTACATAAGTTGCAAATGTGGCATAAAAGTGGGGAAAAGAATGGAATTAGGAGGAAAAGATAGAAAGAAACCAACTCCATTTGATCCCTAAAATGATATCCCATGGGTGTGGGTTAAAATTTTCCAGCCGTGGGCAGGGCGCATTGGCTCACGCCTGTAATTCCAGCACTTTGGGAGGCAGAGGTGTGCGGATCACTTGAGGTCAGGAGTTTGAGATCAGCCTGACCAATATGGAGAAGCCCTGTCTCTACTAAAAATACAAAATTAGCCAGATACGGTGGCACATGCCTGTAATCCCAGCTACTTGGGAGGCTGAGGTGTGTGGATCACTTGAGGTCAGGAGTTTGAGATCAGCCTAGCCAACATGATGAAACCCCACCTCTACTAAAAACACAAAAATTAGCCAGACATGGTGGTGTGGGCCTATAATCCCAGGTATTTGGGAGGCTGAGGCACAAGAATTGCTTGAACCCAGGATGCGGATGGTGCAGTGAGCTGAAATTGCACCACTGCACTCCAGTCTGGGCAACACAGCAAGACTCTGTCTCAAGAAAAAAAAAAAAAAATCCATTTCTTTGGGTTGAGATCAATTTATGCCTTCTAGCATAACTGCGGTTTTTAATCTTCCCTATGTAAAGGCAGACTCAATTGTTATTTAGACAACTTTTTAATCCTTGTTGACTAAAATATCTACTTTAGCAATAGCCTGAAGCAACAAATTCCAAAAATTCATCGTCTATGAAATGAGTAGTCTGTACATTCTCCGTGTCCAAGAAACTCTTCAAAGAGAAAATCAACAATCAGCTACCTGTATGGTGCAAAGGGCTAAATGTAACTCTGTAAAACTAAAACCCCCAGAAAATGTAAAAGGCTTAAGGTAAGACTAGCTTCACTTTGCATTTTATTACCAGCCACATAAAGGAGAAAGGTGCACAGAGGGCTTACTTACCATTCCTTCCACTTCTTCATTGAATCCATCCACAGGGGCACATTCGCTGGCATGACCATAGCAGAAGCAATTTCCTCGAACCACCATATCATAAACTGCATAATAATACTTTTCTCTGATTTCCATCCTGGAATCCAGAAGGTTATCTCCCAAAGTATGCAGTTTCACAAACTTGATTCTCAAGTTGGTAATTTTTAATAAATCTAGGAAGGTCATCAAGAAGATGAAAAGTCTGATCAGACAAGCAAGAAGTTTTTTTTTTTTTCCTTGCATCATTTCTTTTTAGAGAAAGGCATGACACATGAAAATAGCTTAAGTTCCTCCTCTTGTATGATCTAGATGACTCCAATAGTGAAGCCTAACATAACATGACTGCAAAGAGGAAAGGTTACTGCCCTCTCATCAGTTTCATAAGAATGTCGGCCGGGCGTGGTAGCTCACACCTGTAATTCCAGCACTTTGGGAGGCCAAGGCAGGTGGATCACTTGAGGTCAGGAGTTCGAGACCTGCCTGGCCAACATGGCAAAACCCCATCTCTAAAAAAATACAAAAATTAGACCGGGCGCGGTGGCTCACACCTGTATTCCCAGCATTTTGGGAGGCCGAGGTGGGCGGATCACCTGAGGTCAGGAGTTCAAAACCAGCCTTGACCAACATGGTGAAACCCCATCTCTACTAAAAATACAAAAAGTAGCTGGGCATCATGGCATCCGCCTGTAATCCCAGCTACTAGGGAGACTGAGGCAGGAGAATCGCTTGAACCTGGGAGGTGGAGGTTGCAGTGAGCCGAGATTGTGCCATTGCACTCCAGCCTGAACGACAAGAGCAAAACTGTTTAAAAAAAAAAAAAAAAAATTAGCCAGGTGTGGTGGCAGGCATCTGTAATCCCAGTTACTCTGGAGGTTGAGGCAGGAGAGTTGCCTGAACGACAACAAAAAAGAGTAGCTATTCTGTGATGGGTCTGTTTGCAGAACAGCTATTTAGGAAGAAGTGTGAAAGTGGAGAAATTATAAGAACGCAGCTGCATGACTGCTGGAACCTGCGGGCAGACAGTAATTTGAAGTAGCACAATGCCATCTGCTTCCCACAGCAATTAATGTCAGTTTCAACATGAGAAAATTCCATTCAGGTAGGAAAAGATTTATCAAAGCACTCCAGTTCTCATTGTTATTATAAGATAGTTAGAAACATTTTTGTCTCTATTTTTGGAAGGGAAAATTTGAAATTTCCCACCGCTTAAATGACATCCAAGTTACCAAAATAGTGTTAACGCTATAGAATAACTACAACCTAAGGAGAGAACATTTCAAGTTTTTAAGCAACATTTTGGTCCACAACTTTTTTGTCCCAGTTTTACAAAACGTTTCCACGTTTCTCAATATTATATAGTGACATAAGCATAAATAAGCTTAGTATTAGGATGTGGGGCAAATTATTTTTTCTCAAATACAAGTTACCTCTAAATCAATTTTATCTTTCCCTCTTCTTCCTAGGTCTGCAGACTTCTGCTTATTGTAAATGCTGGGCTACCAATTCATTCTATAGTAACTAGACAAACGAAGAGCCATTCAACCTTCTCCACGGGGTTTTCGTGAGTTACTAAGTTCTTCATGCTGAACTGGATCCCCAGAGATTGATTCATCTGTCTGCACTCTCAAGCTCTGTAGCCTGAAACGGTTCTTTACTGTCATTTATGTCTGTGCATTCTTATAAATTACAACATAAGACAACAGGGTAGTGGCCCAGTACATCAGATATTTTCACAGCCCAAATACAATTTCAAATGCTTTTAATACATGCATAGCTTACAATGAAGCTATAGAAATGGCTGCGGGTAGAAAGGAAAAGTCCATGTGTTAAACTTAGGTTCTTTGTAAAATCAAAAACTAAACAGAGAAACCGTGGTACTCCCCAACTGAATGGCAGTTATGAACGCCAACATTTTCTCCTGCACAAATCCTCCTGCACAAAATGAGCACAAGCGCCTATTGACAAGAGGCCAAACAACAAACTTGAAGAGCAGCTGGAGTATTTAGAAACCCTTGAACTGACCTTTGTGGAAACCCCTCAGTAGAGCAAATATGCTCCCCCCACTCTCTCCTGCCATATTTAAAAAGCGAGCCTCATCTTGACTGCTATTCTAAGTGGCAAATCACTTTTGAAGTGAGTCTCAGGTCTCAACAATAGACAACTAAAGAGATATTGCTCCCTTGATTACAAAGTAAATCAAATGCATGATCAGCTAACATGCATGCTTCCGTAACATAGAAAAAGATTCTCCGATGTCATTTAACCACAAAAGACAAAAGAATCAAAATTATAAAGACAACACATCCTCCAAGTCCCACAAATTTCACCTTAAAGGGAGCAGATGGTTGAGTCCTTTTAGGGACTTAGGGGGTGTCTGTCCCAGAGCCCTTGTGGACGTTTTTCATAACTGCATTTTGAGACATGCAGGAAAGGCCTCATGGCTCACTCAGAAATTGGCACAGAGCTGGACACATCTATTAAATATTTGTTTTACAAGAGAATGAATGAGTAAATTACAGACCAGAGACAGGCTGGGCCACATGTAAAATTAATTTAAATGGGGAAGCAGCATTTTTCTGGCAATATTCCCTGGACTTCTTCCACTCCACTCTTCCTTGCTTCAAGCTTGGAAGTTTTTTGGGGCCTTGGTTAAAAATAGGGCCTTGTGCAGCTGGGAAAGATCAGCAAGAATCAGCCCCGCCTCTACTCAACTGGTTGCACCTTAGTAGCAGGAGAGGCAGGCTCACCTTTCATTCCAACATTTGGAACTAGTCCTGTGCAAAACCCAAACCAAAGCTGATAGTCACAGCAACATCAACAGCAACAAATGTAGCAACAGCTTTGATGTACTGAACACATTTATGATTTATGAACACATTTAAATCCAGGACTTTGTGACTCCAAAGCCCTTTTTTTTTTTTTTTTTTTTTTTGAGACAGAGTCTTGCTCTGTCACCCAGACTGGAGTGCAATGGTGTGATCTCAGCTCACTGCAACCTCTGCCTCCCGGGTTCAAGCGACAGGCACGCACCACCATACCTGGCTAACTTTTCTATTTTTAGTAGAGACGGGGTTTCACCATGTTGGTCAGGATGGTCTCAAACTCCTGACCTCGTGATCCACCCGCCTAGGCCTCTCAAAGTGCTGGGATTACAGGTGTGAGCCACCGCGCCCAGTGAGCCCATTCTTTTAATTACCATACATGCCTCCCAAGAAGATTAAAATGTAATTGTGTAATAAGAGCAGTTGTTGAATGTGGTAAAGAGCTCTGAACTGAGCACCGTAACATATGGATTCAAGATCTGACTGCCATTTAATAGCCATATCACTTTACGTAATAACATCCAACTCTATAAGCTTCAGCTTATTTTTCTATTAAACGGAAATGCAACCCTCATTTTATTGAGTATATTGAGAATGGCAGAGACTTCTGATTTCTCTTCAGTATTCTTTCTTCCCTTGTTCCTTTGACAGTAAGAGCCCTCGCCAAGAGTGTTAGTAGAGCACATGAAACACCTAGAGATGTTTCCCAGTGTCTCCTGCAGTATAGCCACGTGACTAATTCTGGCCAATGAGATGTGAGCAGAAGTGACGTGTGCAACTTCCACATCTCATTTTTTTGTTTTTTTGAGACAGAGTCTTGCTCTGTCACCCAGGCTGGAGTGCAGTGGCACGATCTTGGCTCCCTGCAACCTCCACCTCCTGGGTTCAAGCGATTCTCCTGCCTCAGCCTCCTGAGTAGCTGGGATTACAGGCATATGCCACCATGTCAGCTAATTTTTATATTTTTAGTAGAGACACGGTTTTACCATGTTGGCCAGGCTAGTCTCGAATTCCTGACCTCAAGTGATCCGCCTGCCTTGGCCTCCCAAAGTGCTGGGGATTACGGAGTGAGCCTCCACGCCTGGCCCATGTCTCATCTTTAAATGGAATTTGCTTGCCTCGTCTTCCCTCTTCTCCCGAGTTGAGGTGAGGACATAGTGGTGGTGGTCTAACTCTAACCATGTGAATAAACCTGGAAACATGGATGGCCTTATAACTAGGGTTGCCAGATTTAACAAGTAAATATAAATGACACTCAGTTAAATTTGAATTGCAGATAAACAACTATTTTTTAGGATAAAGTATGTCTCAAATATCACATAGGACATGGTTATACCAACCACAAATATTGCATGAGACACACTTGTACTAGTCACAAATATTATATGGGATATATGGGATATAGTTATGCTAAAAAAAAGAATTATTTATTTGCAAATGTAACTGGGCATCATCCTGTATTTTATCTGGTAAGCTTAATTATGGCAATTGAGCTACACTTCTTCTCTAGAAAACTCTTTGGTGGGTTTTGTAAGAGAGAAAGAAACTTTCACCTTATTTGAACAACTAGATTTGGGGAGACTCTTTGATACAAAAGCCCAATATATACCCTAATATACTGAGCAATAAAATAAGGTATTATGATCAACACAATTACTTGATAACCTATCAATCTTATATCGGATGTATTGTATTTACATCTTATATCAGATGTAAATGTATTCCCTATCAGTGGAGAGTAATTATTGCTAATTTCAAGACCCTCTGGTCAGGTAACACAGAGAAAGAAGGAAAATGAAAAAGGTAGATTTAGCACTGAATATTTAGATTCTGAGTAAGACTTATTCCATGGCTGCTGTTTACCATCAAAACTTTTATTTGGGCCAGGCGCGCTGGTTCACGCCTGTAATCCCAGCACTTTGGGAGGCTGAGGCGGGTGGATCACCTGAGGTCAGGAGTTCGAGACCCAGCCTGGCCAACATGGTGAAAACCCGTCTCTACTAAAAATACAAAAATAAACTAGCTGGGCATGGTGGCGGGCACCTGTAATCCCAGCTACTCGGGAGGCTGAGGCAGGAGAATCACTTGAACCTGGGAGGCAGAGGTTGCAGTGAGCCTAGATCGCGCCACTGCACTCCAGCCTGGGCAATAAGAGTGAAACTCCATCTCAAAAAAACAAAACAAAACAAAACAAACAAACAAAAAATTTTATTTGGGTCAGGCGTGGTGGCTCATGCCTGTAATCCCAGCACTTTGGGAGGCTGAGGTGAGCAGATCACCCGAGGTTGGGAGTTCAAGACTAGCCTGACCAACATGGAGAAACCCCGTCTCTACTAAAAATACAAAATTAGCTGGGCGTGGTGGCACATGCCTGTAATTCCAGCTACTTAGGAGGCTGAGGCAGGAGAATCACTTGAACCCGGGAGGCGGAGGTTGCAATGAGCAGAGATCGCACCATTGCACTCCAGCCTGGGCAACAAGAGCGGAACTCTGTCTCAAAAAACAAAACAAAACAAACAAACAAACTAACAAAAAACACTTTTGTTTGAAAATGAACTTACTCTGTATCCTTGGGCTATAAGGATCTTCTATTTTGAAAGCAGGATCTAAAGCACGAAATATCACCTAAAAATGGAAACAAGAGTAATTGGTACTTCTGCAATAATCAAAAAGTAGATTTGCAAGTAGAATGTAAAACACAGAAGCAAACAAACCTCTCCTTCAGTTGAGGGTTCAATGTCAGAATATCGAGAATCACAAATTATGTCATCGACTTTTTTCATGGGGCCAGTTGAAATGCCTGGAAACGAGGCCTCACAGTCATAGGCGAAGTATCTATACACACCCCAGGTTTTCCCAAAGTCGGACGATCGTTCTATCAGCATAGCAGCTGGACGGAATGTCTAAAGGCAGGAGCAAAAATCTCATTTGATGTTTTTTATTGGTAGTCTCTACTTTTTTTAATCTCAGGTAAAAATGTCACTCAACTGCATGCCACAAACTTGAACTGCATATGGTTTGTATTTCAGACTGTGGCTGGATTTCAAATAATTCAAGCTGTTCCACAGAGACTCTTCTTGCAAGGAAAATGTCTAACCTCTAAAATGTATACTTTTCCCCACCCTACTGGATAAGTAAACTGTTTCTCTTTAGAAGCTGATTATAAACAGGCCTAAATAGCAAACACACTTTCGTATATTTAGTCACCATGTCCACTGTAATATGAGTGGCAAGTTTGAGTGCTCGTTCCTTCATTCGTTCATTTAATCATTCAATAAAGGTATGACTACCTCCTTAGTATCAGCCAGTGGACTATATGTTGTATATGTTATACACAGTCCAATGAGGTGCAGATATGGGTGTCAATAATTTGCAATATGCTATGTCAAACACCATAGTAGGGTTGCATGCAATGTGCTTTGGAAAAGCAAGAGGAAGAAATTAATAACTCAAGAAGCTGGAAAATCGAGCAATTCCACATTATTAGGTATACACCCGGAAGAATTGAAAACAGGAACTCAAACAGACACTTGTACATGAATGTTCACCACAGCAGTATTATTCACAATAGCCAGAAGGCGGGAACAACCCATGTACCCATCAACTGATGAAGATAAACAAAATATGATATATACATGCTGTGAAATATTACTCAGCCATAAAGAGGAATGAAATGCCAATACATGCTACAACATGGATGAACCTTGAAAGCATTATGCTAAGAGAAATAAGCCACACAAAAGGACAAATATTGTGTGATTCCACTTGTATGAAATACCTAGAATTGGTTAAGTAGACAGAGACACAAAGTTGATTAGCAGTTACCAGGGGCTGGGCAGAGGGACAGTGGCCACAGAATTTCTGTTTGGGGTGATGAAAAAGTTCTGGAAATAGACAGTCTTAGTGGTTGCTCAACATTGTGACTATACCTAACACCATTGATTTATACACTTAAAAATGGTTAAAATGGTAAACTTTCTGTTATGGATATTTTACTGCCAAGAAAAAAAAAGCTAGGAATACTTCACAGAGAAGAAGGCATCAAATTGGATCTTTTTTTGAGGCAGAGTCTCGCTGTGGCCCAGGCTGGAGTGCAGTGGCACGATCTCAGTTCAATGCATCCTCCGCCTCCTGGGTTCAAACAATTCTTCTGTCTCAGCCTCCCGAGTAGCTGGGATTACAAACACGCACCACCACGCCTGGCTAATTTTTCTATTTTTTAGTAGAGATGGGGTTTCACCATGTTGGCCAGGCTGGTTTAGAACTCCTGACCTCAGGTGATCCACCTGCCTTGGCCTCCCAAAGTGAGGGGATTACAAGTGTGAGCCCCCGCGCCTGGGCCAAACTGGATCTTAAAAGGGCAACAAGGTGTTTTCCAGGCAGTGGGTGGAGGCGGCTGCACGTGGCAGAAGAGGTTGGTCGGGGCAGGTAAGAAGTTGCCATGCTAAGGGACTTACGTTTTTGCAAGGAAAAGAGAACACTAAAAAATTTAAGTGGACAAATGAAATGATCAGATTGCACTTTAGAAAAATAACTCTTGTGGTAGTTACTGGACATGGATGATACAAAACACAGGAAAACCAAGTGAAAGAAAAAAGATGACGGTTTTAACCTGAGAAATTACAATGTAGATAGAAAGGGATGGAACTGACCACTCTGAAAATTTAGTGACAGAAGACTCTATTGAATTACACTTGGTGATCAATTAGATTGTAGTGGAAAAGGCAGGGTGAGGAAAGAAATACAGGCACCTGAACTTGGGTAGCCAGGTAGCTGTGTTGCCAATGACGACAACGTGGAAGAGGCGTGAAAGCATTTGGTTGTAGGCTAATTAGTCACATGTGTGATGTCCACTTGGAGACACCCATCAGACACTTGGAAAAAGTGGTCTGGCACTCAGCTGCAAGAATGGAGCTTGAAACATGAATTTGGGAGTCACTGCACACACATATTTGAAACCTCCAAGTATATGATGTCTCAAACAAAAAAAAAGAAAAAAGGAATGGGTAAGATAAAGAGAGCCTAAGTCTGTGCTCTAGAAAAACGTATCAACCAGGGGCTAGACAAGGAAAACAGAGTGGTGCCAGTACCCCTCATTACATTCTTTACTTTAACTCTCTATAATTTGGGCTGATTTGTGTGTCTGCAAGTTTCATATGCTGAAGACCTAACTCCATACTTCAGGTCACTAGATGTGGAGATGGGCTCTTTAAAGAGGTGATTAAGGTTAAATGAGGTCATGAGGGTGGGCTGTAATCATATGTCTGGTGTCCTTATAAGAACAGATGAGGACACACACATGCACAGAGGGAAGACCATGTGAAGACACAGGGAGAAGACAGCCATCCCGAACCAAGGAGAGAGGCCTCAGCAGAAACCAACCCTGCCAACACCTTACCCTGAGATTCCTAGCCTATGGAACTGTGAGAAGACACATTTCTGTTGTTTAAGCCACCCAGTCCGTGACACTTTGTTATGGCATCCCTAGGAAACCAAGGCACCCTCACAACACATTTGTCTGACAAATGAGAAAATTGAGGCTCGGAGACACTGACTTGCTAGTTACAGGCAGAGCTTAGATTCAAATCCATTCCTATCTTTCTCCCTCACTGGCTGAAGGCACAGAAGACTGAAAAATGAGTGTCAGAGGGAAAAGAGAAAAAAAGGCAGTCTTCTGAAACCAAGGCAGGAGGGAGATTTAGGAGGGTGTAGTGAACAGGGTCAACTGGAAGTAAAAGATGAAGCAGAAAGAGCGCTGAAAAATAGGCAAACAGGCAAAGGTTTTGACACTAACCAACACAGTGATGCATTTTGGGGAATTGGAAGTCAGATTACAAGGGAAAAAGATCAAAGGAAATTTCAGCTGACCTAGAAAACAGAACCTAAATAAAGACACTTACTTCCGAATTAAAACCAACGCTTGACAGAAATTTGGGTGAGGGTTAATGGTGAAAACTAGAAACATGCTTAGGCTTCCTTTAGCCCTCCTTAATAATCCTGCTGAGCTTTTTCTCTGATAAAAGATGTCAAGGATAAGAACATGGACAATTACATTTTGACAGATTCTTTGACTTATTCACTCACTAGCTGCTTAGGTTTATTTTTCACCTACCCAGGAATATAAGAAAATGATACCGTATTCAACTCAAGAGAATATCAGCCTAAGAATTTTAAAGTAAGAGAGAAAAATCCCTAAGGACTAACTGAACCATGTGTGCCACGTACCATGGCAAACTCCCCGTGAGAGCCTGGCTGGGAGGCTTGGGGAGAGGAAGAGAGGGGAAGGTCTAATCGGACTTCTCTGTGCCAATGGCTCTGTGAAAGCCATTTCTGGCTGTGCTTCCTTCTCCCTCTCTTTTGGAAACTTTTAAGTCCCAAAGGACCATTGACGAGTCATCCAATTTCCCGTGGAGTTAAGAAGCTGCTGGAAACCAGAACAACACATTTTACCTAACGAATAGAATCCTTTCCATACTCTCTGCTTAGTCATCAACCTTCCCAGGCCTGCCATTGCTGCACAGTTGCCTCCAAATTTATAATAAACAAAAGACCTATGAGTTTTTTGTGTTTTTTTTTGTTTGTTTGTTTTGTTTTTTGAGATAGAGTCTTGCTCTGTTGCCCAGGCTGGAGTGCACTAGTACAATCATAGTTCACTGCAGCCTTGACCTCCCGGGCTCAAGCAATCCTCCAACCTCAGCCTCCTGAGTAGCTGGGACTACAGGCGTGTGCCACCATGCCTGGCTAATTTTTTAATTTTTTGTAGAGACAGGGTCTTGCTATGCTGTCCAGGCTGGTCTTGAACTCCTGAAGCTCAAGCGATCCCCCCACCTCAGCACCCCCAAGTGTTGGGATTACAGGCATGAGCCACTATGCCTGGCCAAGAGTTATGAGTTTTGAAACATCTAGTAATATAGAAAAACATACTGTGTACATGCTAAATGAGCTTTTGCTAGTCTAAATCCACTTAGCAATTAGCCATCTCTATGGCGAACTTGGGGGAAAAAAATCAACAACCTCAGTTCTCTTCCTGATTTCACTACTGTCAGTGGCTTCACCATCTTCCTAGTTATTTCACTTGACTAACTAATTTTTTTTTAAGTGAAAGCAAGTTTATTAAGAAAGTAAAGGAAGAAAAGAATGGCTACTCCATAAGCAGAGCAGCCCTAAGTAATTTTTGATTCAGCCCTTTCCTTCCACTGTTCTGCTTCTAATCTTTCTCCATTTCATGGTTCAGCTTTTGATTTTAAAGTATCCAAATGACTGCCCTTAGAAAACAGGGGCACCTCATCTTGGCAATGATCCTCAAAGGCAGTTAACAGCAGAGAGTATCAGAGTATGGCAGTGAGTGGACACATGGGATTTGAAAAAGCTTTCTAAGATATTCTTACAGGACTCCTGGGTTGCAGGAAAAGGCTCCCTCCTACTTAAGAATCACAGCCAGTTTTTGCATTAGCAGTAACCCTCCATTAATGCTTCATCAATGCTGACATCAACAGAGCCTCCCAACATGCCCTTTATTCTCGCCATCCCAGTCCTTGCTTTGTATTTCCTCTTGGGCTACCTTCCTGAAACACAGGTCTCATTTTCTTGTCAATGGTTCCCAATTTTTTTTTGGTATTAATTTTTTTTAAAAGATTCAGAAATCTGGATCTTTAAGACTGGCATAAACAAAAATAAAGCACAAAATAACATGATAGCAGCAGTTATTAACTGCAAGAATACAGTAAAAAAGACTCATACTAAATGTTAATGTTTTTGCAACAGAATTATTGCAATCACCTCATAGTGGCAAATTTTGGCAAGAAATGATCATTCATTTCTTATTAAAAATACAAAAAAGAGGCTGAGCACAGTGGCTCATGCCTCTTTTGTATCCCTGCACTTTGGGAGGCAGAGGCAGGTGGATCACTTGAGGTCAGGAGTTTGAGACCAGCCTGACTAACATGGTGAAGCCCCGTCTCTACTAAAAATACAAAAGTAGCCGGGTGTGGTGGTACATGCGTGTAATCCCAGCTACTTGGGGGGCTGAGGCAGGAGAACTGCTTGAACCCAGGAGGCAGAGGCTGCAGTGAGCCAAGATCGTGCCACTGCACTCCATCCTGGGCAACAAGAGTGAAACTCCATCCTCAAAAAAAAAAAAAAAATTACTAAAAGAATTTCTAAGATTAGGCTGGGCGCGGTAGCTCACGTCTGTAATCCCAGCACTTTGTGACGCCGAGGCGGGCAGATCATGAGGTCAGGAGTTCAAGACCAGCCTGGCCAATATGGTGAAACCCTGTCTCTACTAAAAATACAAAATTAGCTGGGCATGGTGGCACATGCCCGTAATCCTAGCTACTCGGGAGGCTAAGGCAGAAGAATCGCTTGAACCCGGGAGGTGGAGCTTGCAGTGAGCTGAGATCGCGCCACTGCACTCCAGCCTGGGAGAGAGCGAGACTTCGTCTCAAAAAAAAAAAAAAAAAAAAAGAATTTCTAAGATTCATCAGTTGTAATGGCTCCCTATTTCTTATAAAGTTCACACTCCCTAGCAAGGAGTCAATGTCCTTTGCATCTAATCTGCTTTTCTACTTTCCTTTCCTTTCCTTCTCTCACTACCCCAAACTCGAGGCAAATCTACATAGCACTTGCTGAGCAAATCCTGACCCACTGTCCCACCACCAGTGCCTTGCTCTCAGACTGTTTCCCTCCGGCCATGAATGGCCTTTCTTCCATCTCCTCCCACTGACATCCCTGCTCTCCCTTCCTGGCCCAGGTCAAGTGCAGTCCCAGTCCTAGGTTTCTTCTTTATTCCAGGCTAAAATTAATCTCACCCTCCTCCAGGCTAACAAAGATTGTCTGAACTTCTGTTGTAGTCATTAGCACATTCTGTCACATACTGTAAGTTATTTGCAAGTATATCTTTCTCCTCTGGAAGACTGGAAGCTCCTGGAGGGCAGTCACTGTGCTATCTTTACAATTTCCCATAAGGCTTAAAGTAGGGTAGTTTCTTACAAACAGAAGATGGTTGAATTCATTTATCCACTTATTCTTTCATTCAGTAAACATTTGTAGAGCAATTACTATATGCCAAGCATCTGCATTTATAAAGACTTTCAGGTTCCCACTATCCGCCAGGGCAACAAGATTATCCCAGTTCCCAGAACAGAAGGGAACAGGCCAGGCGCGGTAGGCACGCCTGTAATCCCAGCACTTTGGGAGGCCAAGGTGGGAGGATCACTTGCGGTTAGGAGTTCGAGACCAGCCTGGCCAACATGGTGAAACCTGCCTCTACCAAAAATACAAAAATTAGCCAGGTGTGGTGGCATGTGCCTATAGTTCCAGCTACTCAGGAGGCTGAGGCAGGAGAATTGCTTAAACCCAGGAGGCGGAGGGTGTAGTGAGCCAAGATTGCACCACTGCACTCCAGCCTGGGCAATAGAGCAAGACTCAGTATTTAAAAAACAAAAAACAGAGGGGAACAGGAGAACATCACCATTCTGTCCTATGTCCTATGATGTAGGTATTATTCCTCTTCCCATTTACCAATGAGGAAGTCACAGCTCTGGCCACACATGCCAAGAAGGAGCAGGCAGGGATTCACACCCAATGTACCCAACCCCATAGATGTTGCTTTTCTCACTGGAGCTAGGACCCGAAGGATGAGTTGTTTTCTCATAAACCAGTGTGATAACTTGTACCTATTCTTTTTCTCGAGACAGGGTCTCACCCTGTCACCCAGGCTGGAGTGCAGTGGCATGATCTCGGCTCACTGCAACCTTCGCCTGCAGGGTTCAAACGATTCTCCTGCCTCGGCCTCCCAAGTAGCTGGGACTACAGGCGCGTGCCACCACGCCTGGCTAATTTTTGTATTTTCAGTAGAGCCGGGGTTTCACCGTATTGGCCAGGCTGGTCTTGAACTCCTGACCTCAAGTGATCTGCCCGCCTTGGCCTCCCAAAGTGCTGGGATTACAGGTGTGAGCCACCACGCCTGGCCCCAACTTGTAGCCATTCTGCATGTCTCAGTTCAATCATCACCCCCGTTTTACCTTCTGCGCCTACACAAGTAAGTTCATCTTTCTCCCACTGTATTCACCTGAATGAGTATTCAACTACAAAACATGTGCCTAAAGGATTTTGGATCTAGATGAACTCAGAACTATCCATGTATATGAACAGATGCCCTCTGCAAAGGAAAAAATAGGATCATAAACATTAATAAAGATGATTTTGAGTATTCTCAGGTGTCACATAACATAAAGGTAACATCCTTGTAGGCCGATGAGCATCAGTTTAATCACCAGATTGTGTGGTCAATGAAGGGACAAGCGGTTGGTGACAAGGAGTAGTTGACAATTTATTTAGTGAAACCTTCCCCACCACTCTCAATACCAGGTGTCACAGTCACAGTGCCCACCTTCCTGCTCCAGCAGGAACAGCAGGCTGCTGGGGAGTGGGCAAGGGGATAAAGGCTCAGAGGCACAGCCCAGCATCCCTCCTAGTTGCATTCTGACTCCCACACCCACCCTAGCTCCTTGGCCTCCCACTTTGGTGGCAGAGACAGTGAGACTTTCATGGCTACCCGCCCACATGGTAAATCTATCCTTGGCACCTTTTCCTATCCTGAGAGGGTGTAGATAAGGTTCCCAACTCCAACTGAAAGCTATTCAAAAGTGATTTTTAATCTGAGAAGCAATAACTAAATTATGGGTTTTCTGTGAGCCAATGTGTACTTTAAGCCATGTGAAGCCTGTCATTTCCAGGCAGCTGCTTAAGAAGAAACAAAGGGACTTTGTACAGAGACATTCCCTAGTTCTGGAGTCATTTTACATCTCTCAAAGAAAAATGATGAGAAAATCCACATTTAAGAAGGCATTACACATTTCTTAAGGAACTGTAAAACTGTTCCTTAAGCTATTATTTAGCTGAAACTAAATAATAATCCCATGGGCTTATTTAGGTGGTAAAGCACAAGTCGAATGATTCTTTAGTTTTCCACAAATCATTCTGGAGTTCAACAGATTGAATCTGCTCACAAATTGTGCAAAACTCTGAAAACCAAAGAGAACACACTTCCTTTCCAGTTACCAAAGTCAGTATTAAAACAGAAACACAAGGGACCAGGGATTTACTCTCCAGATGTTTTATTGCGGTTTGGAAAAGGGTCAACACTGCCTTACTCTATGGGGAAATAAAAAGATACCTAATTAAAAGTTTACAGTTGAATTACCTTAGAATAGAGGCTCTTTCTACTTATTGTCATGAAGATAGAGTATTTGTTAAATGCAGTTATTCATGCTCGTTTTAAAAACTGCTCAATTACCCCAATTTATGGCAACAATAATATTTAAGTTCCCATTTAGGTCAACTCACATCTGACATCCATTTTGAAAGGGGACATTACACAGTGCTCTCATGTGTCATTTGTGAGAAAGTCATGGATTTCTTACCTTGAAAGTCATTATGAGATGAGTAAAATGGAATTCTGCTTCCAAATCCAGTTGGATAGTTACATTTTCCACACCTACAGGAGATTTAAAAAAAATAAAACAATAAATGAAACTGTAAATAGAAACATCTGTGAATAGTTGAGACTATTTTTTAAATTACTTTTATGTTCCCCATAGAAATTATCCTCGCATTCTACCTTAAGCTGAAGCTGAAACTAAATAATAATCCCATGGGCTTATTTAGGTGGTAAAGCACAAGTTGAATGATTCTTTAGTTTTCCACAAATCATTCTGGAGTTCAACAGATTGAATCTGCTCACTGGAACAAGACATCTGGCAGAGTGCCTCTAGCTGCTGTCAAGAAAGACATCCTTTGCCTAGCCAGAAGTGAAACATCTTCCCAACCCTCTAAGCCAAGCTGCTCTCAAAGGAAAAAAGGGAGGGGCACTTCCTGTGCACAGTAGGGGGTCAGCTTGCAGTCTGATGCACAAGGACACAATCCTCCTCCAGTAGAAACACAAATATTCCTTTTTCTCTATGCAGCAGCAAAGAAAATAAATAAGAGTCTACCACATATGTTAGTTATACCACAACTTAGAAAAACCTATCCCTGATGGGGAAACCTTTGGATGCATTTCCACAATGAAAAACAACGCCAGAGAAAAAAAGAATCTGTCAAATAAACTGGCTCAGAACAAATACTAACATCTTCTCTTTCAGGGGAAAGCCTGAACAAACAAATGAGCCTTTGCACCCTTGCCCTGAGGGTCAGTCAGTCTCACTTAAACACGTTAAAAAGGCCACTGGAATTCCAGAGATGGAAAGCACCTCCTCCCCAGTCCCTAGAGCTCTCAAGCCTGCCTGTTCAGCAAGGGAGGCTTGCCACGCTTCTTGTGTTTGAGAGAGCTTTTGGGGTCCATCTTGAGAGCAAAAGAAGTCTTAAATGCGGAAAGACAGGAATGTGTCAGAATGAATCATGTCACAGACTGGTGTATTTTCAGGAAATCAGGAGGACCTTTTGAAATAAACTCTTGCTGGAAAATTGCCAAGTCAATTGAGGGGGCGGGGGGTGAGGAAAGTGGTCATTGGAACGGATATGAGTTAGCTGGAATGTTAAAAGAAAAACATTATATTCACACTAACTAATCTTACCTAACTTATCAAAAAGAACCATATTACAGAACTACACTGGGCATTTATTTTTGAGTGAAATGTTAGGCAACTGTACATCTCTCCTCTTCCAGGCTTTTAAAAACCTACAATATTTGTTCAAAATTAAGAGATAACAAAATAATGTAAAGTGCAAAGCAAGACTAGTGCCATTTCTGTAACCTAAGAACATATGCTGCAATGTGTGCACCAAAAGCACATTCCATTTAGATTTATAACCTGATAAAGCACTACAGGCTTTTTTTTATATGGGAAGAAAAATCCACAGAGAAAAGAAACAAGGTCATTCTTCTATAGTGTATTTGATTTCTGTCAGACCTAGGAAGAGATCATCACGATGGGTAAAAATAGTCGTACATTCCAAGCTCGTTTCTGTGCCTGGACACTGATAATTTAGCCCCGCCACGTATAAGCACAACTTGTGCACAACACACAGAAAATAGATAAAATCACATTCATAAACTCTTAAACTGTGATCAGACAACAGAGAGATGATAGGGTATAGTAACAATCAGTCTGACTTTCTAAAGACTAAGTTCCATCAGTCTAATCTCATCTAATCTCTTGTGACAGAGTGACAGAGAACTCAAGCCCCTCTACTGGAAAATCTCTTCTTTCTGGCATCTGGTCTCTTTTGTCCCAGAGATTCAAAGTTGTAGAAGTTGATTAACTCGACATAACTAAGAAAAACCTTCCTCTAGAACTACAGCACATGATAAACTGTTTCACTGTCTGCTGACTAAAATGGGGACAGTCTCCATCCTAATGTTGAGGCATCTTCTTCAAACGGTCTTTCACTAGAAGAATGTGGGAGATCAGGAAATGTTCCTAGTCTTTGTTCATAATAAGCTTGCTGCTGTTTCAGAAGTCCTCGGGGTACACTGCAGATTTACAGAAACTTCTCTTTCACACTGAAGTATCAACCAAAATATGCCCCCGTAAGAATGAACATGGCTCTAAATGATAAATGCTTTCTGATGACCCAATGAAGTTTGTAACCAATGAATTGCCAAGGCCAACCAATGAACAAACCAACTCTCCTTAGAAACCAATAGTCTAGAAAATATTGCAATTTAACAGTCGATGGCTGGGCGTGGTGGTTCACACCTGTAATCCCAGCACTTTGGGAGGCCAAGGCGGGTGGATCACGAGGTCAGGAGATTGAGACCACCCTGGCTAACACCGTGAAACCCCACCTCTACTAAAAATACAAAAAATTAGCTGGGCGTGGTGACATGTGCCTGTAATCCCAGCTACTCAGGAGGCTGAGGCAGGAGAATCACTTGAACCCAGGACGTGGAGGTTGCAGTAAGCTGAGATTGCGCCATTGCATTCCAGCCTAGGTGAAAGAGGGAGACTCTGCCTCAAAAATAAACAAACAAACAAACAAACAGTCAATGACAAAGAAATCTATTAAGGGCGTTTGTCTTTACAGAATGATAGATGGCTGCAGCGGCATCCAAAGCCTGCCCAGGTGTACTGCATAGAATAAAGAAATCTAGTAGTCTCCAGGCTTTTTAACGGCCAGGGTTAGGTTCACTTCTTTGAGGATACTTATTTATTTATTTATTTTAAAGATCTAACAGTACATTGTTAATTAACGAACACAATAACTCTACCTTTATTCCCCAAATTTCAGCATTCGAGTTTGAAACAAATGTGAAACTCATCTGGGCTTCATGTCACAGCAATAGTAAAATCATATTTGATGAATGTATTACACCAAATCCCAAATAGCAAAGACAGGAAAAAGGGTGTAATTCATGCAATCACTGGAGGAACCATTTGACTTGGGGTCATATCCATGTTGACAGAGTCTTTGAAAAAATTACATCTTGCTGCTTATTCATAGTGTTACTATTACTATCAAGACACTTTCTGTAGATGAAGGAAGGCAGTGGGGGGAGGAGTGGGGGCTATGATTCTGCCCCTTCCTTTGGGATTGATCAAAATGAAAGATGTTACATTTTGTGGAAGAATAAGGGCCTGAGATAGTACCCATACCCTCCCCAGACAGCCCCCGGCACACAAGTATTCTCTCCAAAAGCCCCTCAGAATAAGGACTATGAAATGCTCCTTTGGTCTAGCATGACAGACTGCTTTCTTATAGGAAATACATGCTTCAGGAAGAAGGATAAGATTTTACCAAGAGAAGTTAGTGCTCCAGGCAGTCAATCTGTCAGAGGCCATAATTACAGGACAGAGAAGTGAATCATAATTACAAACACCCAGGAACCTGTAAGCTCCACCCAAGTTATCAATCACACTCAACGGAACTTGTCCCCACACCAACCACATACCATTTTCAGATTGCCACCAAATCTTAAGGCGGTTTGGAGCAAATGTAGTGACCACATTTTCAATGAGATGGCTGTCAGGATTCAGGGTCTCATGATAAGGATCTTGGGAATTGCATATGAAGCATTTTTTGTCCTCCTACAAACAAAGTTGAGTTCATCAGTCTAGAAAGCAATCTCATTAAAAACATTTTTAATTAAAAAAACCCCATGAAGCTCCTAATACAAAAATCAACCTATTAGCTTCAAGAAAAATAATTGTGTGAAAATTGCTTAGGAGATTTGTATCACATCTTTCACTTTTAACTTGCTGAGTCTAAAATAGTCTTGAAAATAATTTCCTCCTTCCTTGCAAATTCAAGATCTAAAGTAAAAGAGGGCATTGTTTCCACAAGCTATTAATTTAACCAAAATCAAATTTCTAGGCTTAAACCTTAATCTCAATAAACAGCTAGAGAAGCTTACTCTACAGTAAAATGCAGAGGAGATATTAGAGAATTTTTGCTGACATAAAGCAAACTAAAAATGAAAGAAAAAAATACAGTTCACTTGGCCTGATTTTCTAAAACCTAAATGAAGCAGAAACCAAGTATTAGGCAGAAGTATTTAGAGAAGCTTTGGGAACCACAGAACAAGATTTCTTCGTTTCCACCCTGCCCGAGCAGTGAATCAATGGTGGTGGCATGCAGGCTAACCTGCAAATTGCTCAGAATATCTGGGGAAGGGAGGACCAGGCTGTTGGGAGGACCACGCCATGTTGGGCCCACTATAATCTGGGGCCAGTTCAAAGAACCCCAACATGGGCATGAACTAGGATGAAGATAGACTGTAAGTTTTAGGTTAGCTTTGAATTTCTCTTACTTTCTTTCTCCTAAAATGGGAGCCAGAGCCACCTGGGCAGTTGGGTTAGGAGAGTTATCTACTTCCTGTGCATTCCATCAAGGCAAATCATAAACAACAGAGCTTAATAGTTCTCTTTCCACAAGGAGCTTTGCTCTGTACCTACATTTTCTGAAATGCAGACTATTCTTAAGTCTGAAAATGAGGCTAAGACTGAAATACATAGAGACCCACATGTATGTTACAAACAGCATTTAAGGGTAATATTCTTATAAGGACACAATTAACTGACCGTACTTTTACGTTGTATTTCACATCGTATTTATTTAGTTATTACCTTCTTCTCAAAAGGATTTGGAGACTGGCAAGATGTACTGTCTAAAAAACAGAGACCCAAAGCCAGGGATGCATTAGGAGCCTGGATAAAACAAGCTTCCTGTCTCAATCTTGATGCCCACTAGATGTTTGAGAAAAGCATATGTCCAGTCCCTTTCTTTAGGCCCTATCTGTGAAAAGCACTTCACAAATGCATGGCTAATCATATATACCAGAGAGCCTGGCTCCAGTTGCTTTTTTTTTTTTTTTTTTTTAAGGGAAACTACTAAGACTGCATCCTCTTCCTCTTACTCTCCCAAAGGAAGAGAAGAACCAAGAAGCAATACCAAGAGCCAGCTTCACACTCAGGAGAGACCGCTGCACCTCTTTTTTGTGGTTTCTGATGCTCTCTACATGTTTAGAGAAACTTCTCTAGTAACGAACTATAGAAATCATCACTGAGAGGATAGTCTTTCCAGTTGCTTTTAATACAAACAGTGTGATTCTCATTTTGGTCAAAGCTGATTTCAGAATCTGGTGATTCATTTACAGGATGTCCTGGCCTCTCAAGTAAGTGTTAGCATAATATTGTAGGTAAAATTTAAATGCTAATATTAGAAAAGTAACATCAACTGCCTTCAATAACTTGTAGTCAAGGAAACTAGTACTGGAGAACAATCACCAGAACTCAAAAAAAAAAAAAGTTTAAAAAAGTTTAATTACAGCCTCCCTTCTAATCAGGAGGAAGCAGTCTAGACATCTCTGTATAAACCTGGAAGCAAATGAACGGAATCCACTTTACCACATTCCTTTGGTCTAATTGATCAGGTCTCCAGAATGGGCTTTCTGCTTTGTAAAAGTGACTCCATTTTAAGGGATCTGCTGTGCAAACCACACACAATACTCTGTCCTCCTTCTGAAGGGCAATTGTACAGGTGGGTGGGCTGACCATGTTCTGAGCAATTAGCTTGGAACTTGCCCCGAATGTGAAACTGATACTTTCTGCTTTTGTTAGAGGCCAGAAATATCAGCCTTTATTTAAAAAAATTTTTTGAGACAGGGTCTCCCTTTGTTGATCAAGCTGGAATGCAGTGGACTGATTATCGCTTACTGCAGCCTCGACCTACTGGGCTCAAGTGATCCTCCCACCTCAGCCTCCCAGACAGCTGGGACCACAGGTGTGGACCACCACGCCCAGCTAAGTTTTAAAAATTTTTTGTAGAGACTGAGTCTATGTTGTCCAGGCTGGTCTTGAACACTTGGGCTCCAGTGATCCTCCCACCTCAGCCTCCCTAAGTGCTGGGATTACAGGCATGGAGCCATTTTGCTCCCGGCCAGCCTCCTTTTTAAAAATGAAGGAAAAGTATTCTGATTCTGAATATTTTACACTTTGTGTCTTCTTTTAAAATTACTTTTGACTTTGTATAAATATGACCCCTGAAATCTAAAATTTGGGCCCTCTTTTAGAAACAGGTAACACCCTGAAATTTCACTGTGGTCTTCCTGTATCAGGGTACCATGGCAACCAGGGCATTTCGTAAAAGCAAGCATCTGATCCTGATATCTAGTTGGGAACAGCACCAAATGAGGAGAGGAAAACGGGTTCGTTCAGTGATTGGAATCACCTTGCAAGACGCCTGTCATTGCTGGAATCCTCTTTACCCAAGTGAAGATGCGGTAGAGGGGGGTGGGGAAACCCAAGGGTTTTAAAAAGAGGATAAATCACCTTTAATGCACACTTCCAAAACTAAAGTTTTAAAAAACACACACACAATCAGGCCTTTTGGAGGCTCTGGGTCAGGGCAGCCAGGGCTGTCGGCAGTCCTGCCTTTCCATACTCACCGCGCCGGCAGGAAATGTGTGGCGGATGCAACTGTGCAAACTGAGATGGGGCGAAAGGTTGAGCTACAAGCCTAATCCCGGGACTCCCCGGCTGGCTGCGCTTCCTATCTGGATTGCTGGAAGGATGCGGAGTCCCCAGGGCCTGCCCCTTAGGTCTGGACGGGAGGAGGCGCTAGCAGAGCCTCGAACCCCGCTCTCAGCCCTCACCTGCAAGTGGCTGACGATACAGTAGGGTTCGGGCTTGTGCAGCCCGCACGTCGAGGTCACCGAAAGCTTCTGTGCTCGGCCGATGAGAAGGTCGCCCGTGGCGGGATAGCAGCTGCCTTCTGCGCAGCCGTAGCTGAACTCGGGTTCCTGAGCGCGCACTCGGGCTCTGCACAGGGCTGCGGGAAGGACAGGCAACAGAGTTGGGGGGACACAAGCAGGGAGTGGAGCCCGAAAAAAACGAACAAGCGGGGGCGGGGGAGTGGGTGCGGAGAGAGGACAGTCCATTCGGAAGAAAGCAAAATGCACAGAAAAGACAATGGAGAGATGAGCGCAGGAGAGGCTGGGAAGGCAGGGACTCCGAAAGGAGAAGGACACGGAAAGAAACCCACACACGTCATCAGGTCTGTCCAGCAGCGAGAGCCTCCCTCCCGGGAAACCCACCGACGCTCGCGCCCACCCTGATCAGCCCCGGGGAGCAGCTCCCCCAACAAAGGGTGGATGTGTAGACCCTCCACTTCGACGTGTCCGGAGCCCGGCGCAGGGAGGCTGACCCCCAAAGGGCCACACACCCACGCACGTGAACCCGCGTGCACGCGGCAGCCCGCGCATCCTCGGTGTGAGTGTGCGCGTGGAGATCTGTGAGCTTGGGAAGCGAGAGTGCGTGTGCGTGCACGCGCGAGGGTCACCGGCGCTTCGCTGGGGACGAGGCGCCGGGGCTCGCGGTGGACGCCGCTTTCCGGAGCTAGGGGAGCCCATGGACAGTCCCTGGGGCTCTGGAGTGGTTTCAAGGCTTCTCCATTCCAGGGAAGCGCCAGGTCCTGCTGTTTCTGGTGCCATCCGGAGACAAACAGAGATGGTTAATTAAAGCCACATGGCCCCCATCTGTTCCCAGAATGAAGCCTCCGCTCAGCTCAGGCACTCTCCTGGGCAATGGATTTTTGGAGAGCCCTCCTCGGTCAGCACCGCCAACCCCAGGGAACCTGCCCTCTGCGGTGGGGAAACCCAGGGTGAACCGGCCGAGGGTGCAAAACCCTGAGCGGGGGCCGCGGGAGGCCGCAGGGGCCGGGGCTTGGGCGCAGAGCCCGGGGGATGAGGGTCCGCGGCGCTCCGCGTGCGCTGTCTCCAGCCACCACCGAAGCAAGGGCGGTGGCGTTTAATCCCAGGGGCGTCATTTCCATCCAGTCCCTCTCCCAAGCCCCCAGGATCCCACGAAGGTGAGCAAGCAGCTTTTGGGTTTTCCTTCCCCATGCCCAAGTCCGTCCGCCTCCCCGCACCGTTTCCACGGAATTACCTAAGAAACTGAAAGCTAGCAACTGGAGAAGCCCCATGCCGGCTCCCTGCAGCCACGGGGACGCGGCAGAGGAGTGGAGAAGACGCCCGCCGAGCCGCCTGCCCTTTCTTCCCGTCTTCCTTTCTGGAGAGGTGGAAAGGAGGGGAAAAAAGGCAAATGTTCAAAGAGAGAAGAGGCGCCCTTCCATTTCCTGTCGCTCCCACGGAAGCGGGGGGTGGGCTGGAAAGTGGGGAAAATCGTGCAGCCACTTTGTTCTCCTCACCCGGCGACGCGAGCTCTCGCCCTGCTCCGGGAGCCCCCGAGCCCAAAGAAGGGAATTAGAAAGTTTAGCCTTGGGAGGAACAGAGGGAGGCGCCTCTGCTCATGCGCATACGGAGAGCCGGGGCTGAAGGGGCGGGCGGCCGCAACTCTGCGAGGACCGGGTGAGGTCCCGGTCCCACCCCCCGGGGCGCCTCTTTTGTTTGAAAGCCGAATCTGCGATCGCTGCGGGGCTGGGGCGCTTCCAGGTCCCAGGGCGGGTCCGCCCCGGGGTGCGCGTCCCAGAACGGCGCGCGGCGGGGCCGTCCAGCGAGGGGGGCGGATGCGTGGGGGCGTCTCCGAGGTGGGTTTTCAGGTTGCCCAGCCAGGGGGCCGGCGGGACCTACCGCGGACTCGCGCATTTACGTTCGCAAGAAGTGAATCACCAAACGTGCCCACGGCTAAAACTCTCGTGCGGTGCGCTCGGGGAAGGCGGGTTAACCCTTTAGAAACAGGGTCGACCTGTCGTGTTTGTTCTTTAGAAAGTGACACTTCCTCTCCGCCCCTAGTATCCAAGAGCTTGGGATGGGCGCGACATCTACAGTGTCTTCCTAGGAAGGAGGAGAAGCTCTGTGCGCCCTGCAATTCTTTGCGCACACATTTATTCAGGACCTATCTGTAATCCCTGTTACCCAGGTGGTCACGGCATTGAATTGAACGTCCAGTTCTGTTTTTAAAAAATCTACTTCCAACATGGTGCAACTCCATCTCTACTAAAAATACAAAAATTAGCTGGGCGTGGTGGCGGGCGCCTGTAATCCCAGCTACTCGGGAGGCCGAGGCACGAAAATCGCTTGAACCTGGGAGAAGGAGGTTGCCGTGAACCGGGATCGTGCCATTGCACTCCAGCCTGGGCAACAAGAGCAAAACTACGTCTCAAAAAAAAAAAAAAATCTTCCTACCTATATCCAGATGATGGCTTTAGCTCAGGTAATTCCTCAAATGACACTATTATTGTTACTGACTCCGTTTCCCATCTCGCCGTGGAAGAGTTGACACAGCCAGGAAGTGGAAATCTCTCATGAGAGGCACTTCCCCACAACGCTCATCTCGACGATTCTCCATGGTGTGCAAATGCTGAGGTGGGGAGAGGGCCTCTAATGAAGGGTCTCTAACAACACAGTGTAACCTGCCTGGTGAAATTAGGGGTACATAGAAACTCACCACCTTCTAGGGGTTGGAGAGGGAAAAGAGGTTGGTGACGGGACCCCACCACCCATTCTGCTACCCTTAGCAATGGACAGAGTCAAAGCTTGGAGTCCTGCTCTGGGCAAATGTGGCTGGAATTCAGGGAGTATAGTTAGTTGTCAGTCCAGTCAGGAGACTTGGCTTGTTTTCCAGTCATTTCCGGGAGAAGAGTTTAAGCGGCTAGCTGGTCAGTTTTTAACTTAGCTGTAACGAAATAAGGCCCAGAGAAGTTTAATCATTAGACCATAGAGTCAGCTGCTTTACGAGTTCGTAAGCCTGCACGAGTCTGAGGCAGGCGGGAGCCTTGGGGTCTAGGTGAGTGAGGCATTAATTATTCACCAAATCAGCACTTGCCCTGCTACAGCCTGGGGAGGTTTTGCCTCTGCTGAGGCTTAGGATCCTCTGCGCCGGCTGGGTAGCCTGAAAGCGCTGAGAAAGTCCTTGCTGTTGGGAGGCTGTAGAATTGCAATGGAGGGTCTTCAGGGCTTAATTAAAAGAAAAATATTAAAAGGCAAATGTCTTTTCTTCCTGTTGAGCTTTTAATACCCTGGGCCAGAGTTTCGTATTTTCATGTGCACACACTGCAAGCATCTTTCAGCTCCTTTTCTTTCTTGAGCCTAACCTCTGCTCTCACAGCAGCTGAGCCCTCCTTGCTACCTGTCCCTGCTCAGCGTCCTCTCCCCTTGCAAAAGGTCATTTACTTTCAGCACTGTTCAGAAGCCTACCTGCTCTCCTGATCACCTCACTTGCAGTAGTAAATTGAACACTACTGAGAAAATTAGGTTTTTAAAAATTTGCCTGTATATGTGCAGGGGGAGGAGTGTGTGTAACACTCACCTTCTGACCACTTCATCTATGAATTTGCCTACCTCCCTTCCCACCTGTATCTTTTGTGCTTCTCTCCTAGAAGTGTGCCCTCCTCTCATCTACTAAGTTCAGTGCTCTCATATACTTGCTCAGCCTCCTCCTGTTTTAAGTAAAAACAACACAAACTCTACATTGTATGGAATCAAAGCTTGAGCTCTGGAGATTTGCTCATGGAATCAAAGATTGAGCTAAGGAGAAAAGAGTTTCAAGAGGGAGATCTTGAAGCATAAGCCACAGAGATCAAATAAGATCACAATGGGAAAATGTCCATTGCATTCAGCAATTAGAAAGCCAAGGGTGGCCAGGCATGGTGGCTCATGCCTGTAAGGGGTGTGAGGCGGGTGGATCACGAGGTCAGGAGCTCGAGACCAGTCTGTCCAATATGGTGAAACCCGTCTCTACTAAAAATACAAAAATTAGGTGTGGTGGCAGGCGCCTGTAATCTCAGCTACTTGGGAGGCTGAGGCAGGAGAATTGCTTGAAACCGGGAGGTGGAGATTGCAGTGAGCCAAGATTGAGCCATTGCACTCCAGCCTGGCCAAAAAGAGCAAGACTTCGTCTCAAAAAAAAAAAAAAAAAAAAAAAAAAAGTCAAGGTCAGTTACCAAGAACCGTGGTGGAGATGGAAGCCACACTGCCATGGAATGGAGGAGGAACTTGGGGAAAGCAGAGCATAAGAGCAAACTATACTTTCAAGAACCTGAGCTATGAAGCCAAAGGAAGGATTGAGCAAATTCTAGGGTTTGCTCAATCAAAGCTTGAGCTTTGTTCCATACTCCTGCTCTAGGCAATGTGGCTGGAATGAAGGATAAAGACTCTATACTCCCTCTCCTTCCTTTGGAGAATCACCAAACGGTGCCCACGGCTAAAACTCTCATGCCCTGCACTCGGGGAAGGCGGGTTAACCCTTTAGAAACAGGGTCCACCTGTTGTGTTTGTTCTTTAGAAAGTGACACGTCCTCTCCGCCCCTCGTATCCAAGAGCTTGGAATGGGCGTGGCATCTACAATGTCTTCCTAGGAAGGAGGGGAAGCTCTGTGCACCCTGCAATTCTTTGCGCACACATTTATTCTTGGTAAGTGCCCTTGACTTTCTAATCTGAATGCAATGGACGTTTTCCCATTGTGATCTTATTTGATCTCTTTGTGGCTTATGCTTCAGATGATCACACCCTCCTTCTTGAGACTCCTTTCTCCTTAGCTTCCAGGACATAATTCCAGAATTTTCCCACAAGACTTTGACCCCTCCTCTCCCATTTATCTTGCCCTTCTCTGATCCCTTAAACATTGGTGCTACCAAAGGTTCTGTCTCTCTTTTCTGCTCCCTTTACTCATCCATATCCAGGGGTGCATCACTTGGACTCTCCTCAACCTCTAATTCCCATATCTCTAGCTTGTACCTCACTTGGAATTTACATACCATTTCCAACAGGCCATTGAATATCTCTACTTTGATGACCCATAGGTAAATGAAATTCATCTGTGGCAAAACTGAAATCTCTCCACCCACCTCTCCTACAACAAAATGTGTTCTGTCTTCTGTTTCCCATTTCAATTATTGGCACCATAATCCACCCCTTAGCTCAAGACGGAGATCTGGGAACAGGACTGGCTGCATGATTAGCAGGGCACAAATGTGGAGCCCCTCTATTATTATTAATGTAAAGACAGTGAAAGAGCATTAAACCTAGCATGGGACTCTCCTGAGTGGGGTAGGGGGTGCTGTGCAATTGCACAAATCACATGCCCATGAAGCCAGCCTAGCCTGGGAATCTTGGGCACCTCTCGTTCCTTCATTCCCTCCCCTCCCCATCACTAGGTCCTGTCATTTCTACTTTCCTAGCAACTAGCCAGCATGTCCCCTTGCTCCAACCTCATTGCCCTCCCTTAGATTTCAGTCTGAATGCCTGCCAGAGCCCCCGACAAGTGTTCCTACTTCCAGACTCTTCCTCTCTTCAGTCTAATCCTTCCTAATACCCGCAGAAGGATTTTTTCAGAGTCAAAACTTTGATCATGTCATTCCCTTATTCAAAAGCCTTCAATGGCTGCCCTCTGCTCCTTCCCTGTGTATGACATACTTTATTCCTTCATGGCTTTCCTTTCACTACGTGGGTCCTCCTTGACCTTGTCAACTTAGTGAACTGCACACCTTTGAAGACTCCTCTTAAACATGACTTTCTCCATGAGCCTCTCTCTCCTCCTCCTTGTAAAAGCCTGTTACAGCATATATAACATAATGCTGTAACTATTTGTTTATGCCCTTATCTCCCCCAATAGACAGTGAGACAAGGACAAGTATTGTGTAACATTCGTTTTTGCATTAATGTTGCCTTGCATAAAATGAGGCACATTACATGTGCTCAATAAGTGTGTCTCGAATGAAAGTAAATGAAGACTAGTCTCCATGTTTTAAAAACTTCCTTAAATCTTAAATGTCCACTTTTTTCTACCTTAATATGAATTTCTAGCCAAAGAGAAAAAGAAATACCACCACTTGACTTAATTTTGGGAATAATTCCAAGTTTCACTCACAAATTCTTCTCGTCTATTATATTTCATACAATTTCCTCTGATTTGTGAAGATGTGACAAGTTGAGGAGGAATGAATCTCTTCTGTTAGTAAGCCTGTCCAGGGCTTTGCTCTGGCTGTCAACACAACCCTCTCTCGTCTATCATTTGTACTAAGCTGGCACTACCTGCTTTAGCATAAAGCAGTCTTTACCAAAGAATTCTGCAGCAGTTTAAATGGCAGATGGGATTGCAAATTGTTGGCTGTTCTGTCTCAAAGAATGTGTGACAGTTATCTCCCTGCAGCATTTATTATTTTCGTTTGAAAACAAAACAAGAACTGTTTTCAAGGTCACCTTCACTTTCACACAGTCTTAGAACACCGTGTGTGTCTCCTTTGAAATCCTGATTGACAGTAGAACAACAAGGATGCTACATTCTAGACTTCAATCTTTGGGTCCTGAAATGTGGCTATTTATATAACATTGTTCTCATGAAAAATACTAGATTTTTCTGTTTTAAAAATTAGATTTAAGTGCATTTTGTGAGATTCAGAATTGATCTAGAAAAGTAAATTCAATGACCAGTAAGATTCAGGTCAAATGTCATGCTATACTTTATATATATATATGTCTTTTATAATACGTACAACAGTAATTTGTAGTTTTGTTTTAGTTTCCTTCTTCCCAGAAGCAGAGACTGTCTTTCATTAGACTTTGGATTCCCGTCAGGTGGCAGTTTCTAGTATATTATAGACACACAATATCTGCTTGTTGGATGAATAAAATTGAGTAACCTTCTTTATAATTGTTAAGGGAACACACAGGGGACGTTATTGCTACCCTCTGTAATAGGAAAACCATCAGGGCCTGAAACCAGGCAGGAAGTCACAACATTTTAAGCCTCGAACCATATAATGCAAACAGTAGTTTGGGCTTGCGTTAACATTCATCCTCCCTTCATCTGGTAACATTGGCTGGATTTTCCTTGAGGGACTAGTCCTCTCCCATTTTCAGCTTACTTGATTTGAATAGGGCTAATTCCCCCATGAACTCCAGGCTATTCAGTGCATTTCCATCTTCCTCTTTCTAGTGAGTGGTTCAGGGATGGATATGAAACTCATATATTCTAGATAAGATGACTCTGGGATTTTTGTTGGAATTCCTGGGAAAAAACAAACAACCAAAAAACAAAAAACACCTCTTTTTCCCTCTGGACTTGGGAGTTATGTGAATGTCAGCCTGGAACTGGTGGAGGCTGCTTGAGACTGGAGCCAACACAAAGGAAAGAAGATCTGAGGGAACCAGAGGGTGGGTCCTTGAAGAACACTTTGGAGTATCTTGATCCAGCTATACCTGAAGCCAGTACACTTTACCTTAGCCAATACATTTTTCTAGACATGTAGCATGAGAGAGACCTAAACTTGTTGTTTTTAGCCTGAAATTTAGGAGGCTTTAAAAAAACTGCAGCATATTGACTGATGCAGGCAGGACTTTATCAACACTGTCTTAAAAATGGTCATTTGTTGGCCAGGCGTGGTGACTCACGCCTATAATCCCAGCACTTTGGGAGGCTGAGGCAGGCAGATCGCCTGGGCTCAGGAGTTCAAGACCACCCTGGGCAACATGGTGAAATCCTGTCTCTACTAAAATACAAAAAATTAGCCGGGCATGGTGGCATGCGCCTGTAGTCACAGCTACTCGGGAGGCTGAGGCACGAGGAGAATCACTTGAGCCCTGGAGGTGGAGATTGCAGTGAGCTGAGATCGCACCACCGCACTTCAGCTTGGGCTACAGAGTGAAACTCCATCTCAATAAAATAAAATAGAGTAAAATAAAATAAAATAAATGGTCATTTGTCTATTCTTAAATATCTCAAAGAGATCACAAATGAGAGCACTCAAATCTACATTCATTTGAAGACAGTCACTAAAATAGGTGCAAGAAAGCCTCATTCAAACTCTTTACAGGCTTTCTGCAAGGCTGCATACCCGTTGCATTTCACCTCCCAAGAAGGTGGCAGGATCCAATGGAAGAAAGGGTGCCGCTTAATTTCTACCCATCTATGCCCATAAATTCCAAATCTTTTTAAAAAAGTTTGAATCTATATTTAACAGGAATGCCTAAATGGGGCAAGTTTTTCTCAGTTCACTCTTGTATATGAATTTTGGCACCTGGTTGCTAACCTGGCACCTTAAAAATGAGTAGGAGGGAGATTGATGTCTGAGTTAGTGCTAGAGGGCCAGAGGAAATCTCTTTTAAAGAAAGTTTTATCAGATCCATAACAGGAGTAACTTAAATGTAGTCAAGTAAACGCCTTAAGACTTGAATACTAGTCATGAACCCAAGCTTTATTTTTCTGGTACATTAACTTTTACATCCGTTCATGAGTGAATCACGACGTTTATTGAAAAACACTGATGTCAAATTGAGTAGACAGCTAACACTCAGTGGGAAATACTTATTCCATATCAGAAAAACTTTTCCTAATTAAAACTCAGTTCATCTCTTACAGGAATCCACCTGAAATTGTATTTTAAAGATTATTTTGAAGTTTTTATTACAGCTGATGGTACTTTCCCCAGCTTTTAAGGATGCTGAAATTCAGCAAAATCTGGAGGAAAAAAAAAAAGACTGTCTTCCAAATATTTCAATTTTTTAGTCTTCCTTTACTCTGCTTTTTATCTAGGCTCTGTCTTTCTCTCTTTGAAAGGTCAAGTTCTGCTTTCAGTGAGTCCCTGAAATCCCCACCACACCTCCCTGTGAGTTCCTAATCCTGTGCTTGGCACATAGTCAGTACTCAGGAAATGCTTTCTAAATGAAAAGTGCTGCTTATTTCACCTTTATTTTAAAGCCAGTAAGGTTCAGGCAATATCTTTGTATGAGAGGATCAGAGTGATAGGTTTGTAGCAATAGAGTAGACTATCTCATAGTTCTGGGTTGTTAATTATTACCTAGGGTGATCCAGGAAACAATTCAATGAGCAAGTTAAACACTCTACTACTATTCATGGCTTGGACAGAAAGCGAATCCTAATTTTCAATCCAGTATTTTTACCCTGGGAAGATGGGTAAGATGGATCTTTGCTATGAGCACATTTCAGAAGTGATAAAAATACTAGTAAAAGCCATCTCCTCTCTCAAATAGAAGTGGTCTTGCTCCTCTCTCCAACCATAATGCCCTTGGCCTTCTACATTAATTAACTCTACAGTTACAGTTCCTCTAAAAGAAAAAGCCTGTTCTTCTGGAAAGAGAGCATTTATTTCATCATAGCTGCTATGCTTGTTGCTACTAAGGCTGCTAATCAGATTTATGAAGGCCAGCCCACCCAGAGCTGAGTGCTGTGTTTTTATCACATCAGAAACAAGTCAGCACTCGGTCTCACTCCAGGATTAGGTTCTATTTCAAATATTGGGCTGTTTGCCAGGCAAAGAGGTTGTAGGATGTGTTTGTTCTCTGCAGCATGGCTAATGAAATGCCAGTGTTAGCCTCCAGTCTAGTAAGGATCTGGGACTAAATGATTTCTCAGTGATCCTATTTGGAAATCATGAACTATGGAGCTGACAATCCAGTCATCTATCCAGAGGACTTTTTAATCCCGTTGGTGATAGACACCATTATTTGGTTGACCTTTGACTTTGGGAGTGCCACCCATCTTCCTAATTAGTACCTTTTAAAAGCCTTATCAGTGACATAACTCTCAGTCTTTTTTTTTTTTTTTTTTTTTTTTTGAGACGAAGTCTCGCTCTTGTCCCCCAGGCTGGAGTGCAATGGCACGATCTTGGCTCACTGCAACCTCCAACTCCCAGGTTCAAGCGATTCTCCTGCCTCAGCCTCCCAAATAGCTGGGATTACAGGTACCTGCCACCACGCCTGGCTAATTTTTGTATTTTTAGTAGAGACAGGGTTTCACCATGTTGGCCAGGCTAGTCTTGAACTCCTGACCTCAGGTGATCAGCCCGCCTCAGCCTCCCAAAGTGCATGGATTACAGGCGTGAGCCACTGCACTCGGCCCACTCTCATTCTTTAGCAAGCAATTCTTGAGACCTATTATGGGCCAAGCACTGCTGTATACTAATCATTGTCTGCATCTTAAATGTATATGCTATTGGTAAAATAAGGGTTGAAAAACATAATTTCTAATGTTCTATTTCCATAAACAAAATATAAACATATATATATATATAAACACATATGAATAAAGTTCTAGAAGGAGATGTAGCAAATAACATAATTTCTAATTTTCTATTTCTATAAACAATATAAACACATATTTATATAAAACCATATGAATAAAGTTCTAGAAGGAAGCATAGCAAATGTTAACATAATTTCTAATTTTCTATTTCTATAAACAAAATATAAACATATTTATATAAACACATATGAATAAAGTTCTAGAAGGAGGCATAGCAAACAACAACATAATTTCTAATTTTCTATTTCTATAAATAAAATATAAACATATTTATATAAACACATGAATAAAGTTCTAGAAGGAGACATAGAAATGATAACAATTTCTAATTTTCTATTTCTATAAACAAAATATAAACACATTTCTATAAACATATGAATAAAGTTCTAGAAGGAGGCATAGCAAATGATAACAGGAGGTACTTTATGGGATACGTGGACTGTATTTGGGATGGGGGTTAAGGGGACTCTTGCCTTACCTGTATTTTTTTAAACAAGGAGAATGTATTTGTCTATAACTGGTAATAATTAAACACAAACGTAAAAATTCTAACAAAAAATCAGTTTTGAAATATAAATGTTTGTTATACCTTGAAGAAAGTAGACTATAAGTTTTGATTAAGTCTGGGTTGTTTCTTCGAAATACAAATGTAAAGGTCTATAGAATTAAAACTCACCGTTTATTCAGTCACTAATGAATTTACTGAATGACAAGGCAAGCTCTTAAATTGGGATCATGGTGACTTACATCACATCTGTGTGCTTCAGCTTCCTTATCTGTGAAACAAGTACAAAGTTCACATGCCTTAGTCAGCATATAGGCTCTTAGTCAGCAATCTGGCCCTTATATAATCTCTCTTTTGTCTCCACATTCTCAGTTTATCAGCCTCCCCTGCCACCCTCAATATACTCACCATTTGCAAAAACCAAACCCAATTTTTTGGCTCCTACAGCTCCTTCTATCTGGAATGCCTTCTCCTTCTCTGCCAAGCCAGTGTTTATGGATGTTCAACACCCCGCTCTGATGGCACTTCACATGTGGAGCCCTTTCAGCCTCACTGCCCAGGCACAATATTTGGACACATGCTTATTGGAGAGGATCTTTCTAGATTATTCTAGAACAGATGTGCCATAAGGCCAGGCACCCCACCTCTCACACTCAGTGCTGTGTCCCCAGCACTAGCACATCTCAGAGCACATTGTAGCTGTGTGAAGAGTATTCATTAAGTAAGTGGTTAGTGTATGAATATAATTTTCTTATGTGCCAAATTGCAAGTGCCTTGAGAGCATCTTAGTTTTCTTAGCCCTAAACACAGAGCTGGCACCTGGCAGGTGCTCAGATATTTGTCAAGCACATTTAGGAATGACGGAATAAATGCCTGGGACTATGCCTCTTGTGCTTTCTGGGGAGAAATCATTTACAGATAATTGTCTAGTCACGGTGAGCCACAGCCAATACGCATTCGTATGTTAAAGAGCATATCACATGTTTCACTTTATTTGGTGGGAAATACAGAAAAGTGGGCGGTTTGCTATGATTTAGATGCATGAATATTAATACATAAAGTATTAATTCCTTATAAATGTGTTCAGTGACTGCTCTCTACTGTAATGCAGAAAGCATCATGCCCACTTTGGCTTTAGAGGCTCAAAGTGGCGATCATATAATGGTAAGTCAAAGTCTGCAAGTCTTAGTCACCTCATCGTAATGAGGCTCATGAGGACATTAGCATAAATTATAATCGGGAAGGTAAAATTGCCCCATTCTGGAGGGCAGTCTGAAATATGTACTAACGTTTAAAACAGACATAACTTTGATTTTGATTGGGAAAACTTGCCAAATTATGCACAGAAAGATGTTTACAATGTTGTTTCCAGCAGAAAAAGTGGAAATAATCCAAATGACCATCAATAGGAGACTAGATAAAATTACTATGCTGGACCCATGCAACAGAGTACCAAACAGTTACTTACAAAGATAGTACCTATTTCTGTGATTTAAAAGGGTATGTGTGGTTGTAGGTGGGGAGCTGTAGGGGGAGTAGATTCCAATGACAAAAAAGTATGTAACTCATGTATATATAATTTTTGAGGAATTAAAAAGGGCCACCCAGAAATTATTTTTATAGCTCAAAATATTAAAAGATAGCTGTTTCTTCTTTTATGATTTTACTCTATAATGAACATGTATAGTCCTTGTTCTAATACAATATTCCAAAATTATAGGCAACCAAGCTCTGTGTAAAATAAATTTTAAGATAGTTTCTTGTGGATGTATTTTCAGTAGTGATCCTTTATGTCGGGCAATGTTCACATCCCCAAGAAAAGAGTGTCTTCTGGCCAGCTAAAACTGGGAAAAATAAATCAAGCTTGCTGATATTCTGTAAAATATGCAGGTACTTTCTAGAAACTAGAGTTCGTTTGAGTTGAGTAGGAAGTGTTATGGTCTGTTTGGGTTTGGATGCAATGTTACAGTAGCCACGATTAATTTTTGTTAGCCACTTCCTGTGCTCATATGTTCCAATCAAAATATGTTTAGCTGTGTTGAGTTGAGAAAGTTGTTTTTTTTTCCTTACAGAGAAATGTTTACACAAATGTTTAAATCTTTCAAATTGTCTACATATTATTCATCTCCCCAAAGTGGGTTAAAAGAAAATTGAGTTTAAGGAGAAAATTTAGTATAGACATTTCTATTTATTTGCTGTATACAATGTATGATTGCCGTATAGGAATGTATGATTGCTGTATAGGAATGTATGATTGCTGTATAGAATGTATGATGGCAGTCTGAAGGATTGAAGACTAGAACTGGTTGTTGTTTTTTTTTTTTTTCTTTTTTGAGACAGGGTCTTGTTCTGTCACTAAGGCTGGAGTGCAGTGGTGTGATCTCAGCTCACTACAACCTTTGCCTCCCTGGCTGAACTGATCCTCTTACCTCAGCCTCCAGAGTAGCTGGGACCACTGGCGTGAGCCACCACACCTGGCTAATTGTTGTATTTTTGTAGAGACAGGTTTTCCCTATGTTGGCCAGGCTGGTCTCGAACTCCTGACCTCAAGCAATCTGCTAGTCTTGGGCTCCCAAAGTGTCAGGATTACAGATGTGAGCCACTGCGCCCGGCCTAGAACTGAGATTTTAAAAAGGAAAAATTCTCATTTAAGACATCCTATCAGTCATATCTAAATAGGTTGGCTTCTTTACACTGATCTGTAAAAAAATGTTAGATTTCTTGTTTCCAAGTAAAAGTAATTGTTCTCTTGATCCTGAATACTTAATCTTTTCCATTCATATTTTGCCTTCCCTAGATGAGTCACAATGCAGTGTGTCTAACACAAAGCTAAACCTGAATGTCATAAAGATCCCAGTGTTTATCTTTAGATATGGAATGTTTATACAGCTTTCCCAAGCTTTGAGCTTCTTCCCATGGTACGAATCTTAGGAATTCTCAAACAGTGGTTTGGTTGTTAAATATTCAGGCTCTATTTAACTTTCATTTCTAATCCTTTCTAGAAAGTTCGCAGTGAGGTGCTACCTTTAATTGGCTCAATAAACTAAGATTCAAGAGAAAATTTTGACTTAAATTGGATATTCACTTTAACAGAGGTAGTAATCTGGATTTCTGTTTGGGTTATGACAAATTCCTAGAAATTAGTTGTATATCATATACAACTAGTGTTTCCAACCAAGTAGTTATTCTAATAGGTTATTTTTTGTTTTCCTATATAATCAAATAAATTGTTTTGAATAAATACATTTGGTAACATCAAGCTTAACACCTAAAATTTAGCCTACTTTGTTATTTCTATATGTAGTCCTATTTTTAAAAACAGCATGGGAAGTTTTGAAGACTTTTTTTTTTTTTTTTTTTTTTACTTAAGACTCTTAAAACAATCCTATTGAATGTGTTTAATAGCTACAACTGTATATTTGCTTAGTTGGCTAATCTCAAGAAACATGCTAGTCCCCCCAGATTATACAGTTTTGTTCAATAACATTTCAAAGATGAAGTATTTCTATTTGGTTCGCTTTGTCTTTTGTTTTCTTTCAAGCAGAATTACTTCCTGTGAAATGTTTCACATGTCTCAAATATTTGACTTACAGCTTAGGTCATTTATGTAAAGAAATCAGTTATTCATTTTAAGAAAATGATTCACTATTTGATGGTCCATTTAATACAGCCTAAGACCAGTTAAAAGAGAAGTTGTCTTGGAAGAGGGTGCAACAAACTGAGTATAGTCGCAGGGCACATTTCCCATCACACCTGCCTTGCCATTTCTTCCAACTAACAGAGTGGCCCTGGCTAGGTTAGCCTTAGTATTCTTCAGAAAATGAGGGGGTAGGACGAGGGAATTTTTCAAATCTCTTGCATTTTGGAATTTTTTTTTTTTTTTTTTTTTTTTTTGAGATGGAGTCTCGCTCTGTTGCTCAGGCTGGAGTGGAGTGCTGCGATCTCAGCTTACTGCAACCTCTGTCTCCCAGGTTCAAATGATTCCTGTGCCTCAGCTTCCCAAGTAGCTGGGACTACAGGCATGTTCCATCACACCTGGCTAATTTTTCTATTTTTAGTAGAGATGGCGTTTCACCATATCGGCCAGGTTGGTCTCAAACTCCTGGCCTCAAGTGATCCGCCTGCTGCGGCCTCCCAAAGTGCTAGGACCACAGGCATGAACCACTGAGCCCAACCTATTTTGGAATTTCTTAAACCTCTTTCCTGAATGACAGGCAACATCAGTGAGAAAAATCATATGTGAGAGCTGATACCTGCATCTAGTGTCTCTAAAAATTAACCTAGCTGTGTTAGTAGTTTTCTGACAGTCATTTTATATCTTTCCTCATCAGAGGTAATATCTTCAGCTAGTAGATTTTAAGGTTTTTTTCACTATGAATGTTTTATTGACTAAATATTTCAAAGTCTTCACTGTAAGGAAATAACAGTACTAAAGATTAGATTTTAGTTCTTGGTGCCATGTTGGGATGACTGGAGAGAGCTTTGAAATATAGCACACTTAATCTGTTGCCACCTAGTGAATGTGAGATAAAGTGCAGCCAACCTCCTGCCTCCTAGTTTTGGTGTTTGCCATCAAAGTGAACTGTGGTTGTGTGTGGAACTATGTCAGATACTGCTATGAATCTTAGACACTTAACTGTTAGTCACAGAGTTTATGAATATGAAGAAAACACTGTATCTCTGCTCAAAAACTCTGTACATTCTGATTAAATATGTGTAATACATGTTGTGGCAAGCTTACTTTGTATCACTGAAAGCTCGTTCAGCTGGCAGGCTGAATCAGAGGCAGGTTGTTAGGGAGGGGGAAGCCTTCTAGAGTGGCCACTTTTAACATGTAATGAGTAAAGATAAAGATTATATGTAGGTTCAAGTTCTTCAGAAGAGAAAAGCTAGGTGCTGATGGATGAGCAGGTGTTAAGAGACATCCTACCTAGGCTGTTTCATGTTGCAAGAAGAAAAAATAAATTGCTTTTTTTCTGGCTCTCTTCCAAGGGGAGAGAAGAAACAGGGTGGAGGGCAGGAAAGGTGAAAGAACAAAACAGGGGACTGTCTTCTCATAAAATTGGAGTCAATTTATGGAACTAATACTTAAAGTGAATAAGTATTTATTTAGAGTGCTCCACACTGTGCTACATTCTCTAAAGGACTTAAACGTGTGCAAATGCATGCTGTGAGTCCTCATAAAACTTGATGTCTGGTTAGAAAAGGCATATCAGCCAAGTGACAATACAGGAACTCCAGAAAAAGGGCTTTGAGTGAGGCTAGAAAAGGAGCCCTAGGGCTATAGGAAAAGGTTAGGTTTGGGAGAGAGATGACAATTTTAAAGTAGGCAGGACCATAGGAGCAATGGTTCAGAAGGAGAATGCAGGTGTAACTTACACAGTGTAATAATAGTGAGGTCTTGAAGGATTCCTGTAATATCTCACTCTTCTCAAAGCTCTTTCATTCGAATTAGCTCTGTAACCCTAGGAGGGAGACCAGGTATATTTATTAGCATTTTACAGCTAAAGGAAATGAGGACATGAAATTCAGGCAGGCTGTGAATCGCCTAAGGTCATGCAGGGGACAAACCATGCTCTTCGCATTTATCACCTGATCCTTGGTCCACTGTGCCCATGCAGCAGGGCATAGAGGACAATTTTAGCAGTTTGGCAAGGAGTTGGGGTACCCGCAAAGAGACTAATGAGGATGCTGGTTCAGCTGCTGTAACAGAGGCCAAAGTCACAGGCACCTAAGGAGATGTGTGCTTTTCTTTATGTGCAAGTTTAAGCTGGTTGTTAGTCCAAAGGAGTCAGACACACACAGTTTTAATCCACAAGGGCATTGTGCCTCCCCACATCTATTTGCCCCCTTCTCTGTGCCTGTGGAGGCTGATCTACATGGGAACATCACCCCAGGCCCTTGGTTTAGCCAATGGGAGCCACCAGTAAGAGACTGGACATGGAGGAGCGTGCCATCAGGGCATCCATGCCCCAATGTCCTCTGCAGGGTTGTCGTGGCTGGTTGTATCCCTTGTCCAAAGATCACAGCTCCTGTTAAGAGGCCCTCCTGGCCAGGCGCGGTGTCTCATGCCTGTAGTCCCAGCACTTTGGGAGGCCGAGGTGGGTGGATCATGAGGTCGGGAGATCAAGACCATCCTGGCTAACAAGGTGAAACCCTGTCTCTACTAAAAATACAAAAAATTAGCTGGGCATGGTGGCACGTGCCTGTATCCTTGAACCTAAGAGGCGGAGGTTGCAGTGAGCTGAGATCGCGCCACTGCACTCCAGCCTGGGCAACAGAGCAAGACTCCGTCTCAAAAACAAAAACAAAAAAGAGGCCCTCCTACACAGTCTGCCTTCAATGTTCAGTTGTCACCCTCTCGCTTTACCCCTCAAACCAAGGGTGGGGATGTCCCCTGCCTGGTGCTGGCTCTGGGATGCTGTATTATCTTTTATGGCTTTCATCCACCCTACCCATATCTTTGTAAATAGCTCCCTTATGGAACTGCCCCAGGTGTGTCCCGTGTTTCCTGGTAGGACCCTTACTTGTACAGTCAACCAGGGACCTGTTTCTTCCACCTTGTTTCACAGTATTATCTTCATGTGCATGGGGATAGCCGGCTCTCCATATTCCCACCCAATTGAAGGTAGGGGGGAAACAAATGGAGGGTGTTTTTGTTTCCTCTTGTTGCTGTAACAAATATCCACACACTTAGTGGCTTTAAATGACATAAATTTATCTCATAGTTCTGTAGGTTAAAAGTCCAATTCAGGGCTAAAATCAATGTGTTGGCATAGTGGTATTCCTTCCAGGAGGCTCTAAGGAAGCATCTCTTTCCTTGCTTTTTCCAGCTTCTAGGGACAACTTACCTTCCTCAGCCATTGGCCCCTTCCTTCATGTTCAAAGCCAGCAACATCAGGTCAATCCTCCCGTGCTGCTGTCCCTCTGACTCTCTCCTGCCTTCTCTTCCACTTGAGAGAACCCTTGTGATTACACGGGGCCCACCTGGAAAATCCAGCATCCTCTCCCCATCTCAAAGCCAGTTGATGAAGACCTTCATTCTGTCAACTTTCCCTTTGCCATGTAACGTAATATATTCACAGGTTCTTGAGATTAGGATGTGGACGTCTTTTGGGGGCCATAATTCTGCCTCTCCCACAAACGACAAACAACTTCCTTTTAGGGTTGTGCCCTGGAAGTTGCACACAACATTGACACTCATCTGTTGGCCAGAATTTAGTCACATGGTCACATCAAACTGCAAGGGAGGTTGAAATACAGTCTCTCTCGCTAGGCAGCTGTGTGCCTGGTTAAAATGTGGAGAAGTCCTATTACCAAAAGGAAGAAGGAGTAGAATGGATGTCAGACAGCAATTTCCAGCCTGAGCCTCATGAGGCTCATGTGTTCTTGCCAGGGTCTGCTTTCAGCTTTCCTTCCCTTCATTGTGCCATGCCAGTGCTTCTGCCTAATTGTTTTCACCTGTTGGGTCTCAGCTGTCCTTCATCTGTGATTGGTTTCTAATCTGGGAGAAGATACAGGATAGTCTCCTTTAATGGGCCACACCAGCTACCTCATGGCAACTTGCTTTCTGATCTTCATATTGATTTTCTGATGTGGCTAGCTGGGTTCCAAATACTTCTACCTGGCCTCTGGGGTTCAAACGTGGGCTCTCTGACTCCTCCCCTCACTTATCCCCTACTCTGGGATGTGCAGATTCCATCCCGACTTCTTCACGCTGGTCCCTCACACACCTTATCAGATCTCCTAGTGTTGGGGAGATGTCATTTTCAGTCAACTCGAATTAAGAAAATGATTAGATTGATGCTGTAATCCCAGCACTTTGGGAGGCTGAGGTGGGCAGATCACAAGGTCAGGAGTTCAAAACCAGCCTGGCCAACATGGTGAAACCCTGTCTCTACTAAAAATACAAAATTAGACAGGCATGGTGGCACATGCCTGTAATCCCAGCTACTCGGGAGGGTAAGCCAGGAGAATCGTTTGAACCTGGGAAGCAGAGGTTGCAGTGAGCCGAGATCGTGCCACTGCACTCCAGCCTAGGTGACAGAGCAAGACTCCATCTCAAAAAAAAAAAAAAAAAAAAGAAAAGAAAAAGTATGCATGTTGTTGTTGCATATAAATATTATCAATTGACTACATATAGGTTCTTTACATCCTTTAATTCTTTTTATTTATTTATTTTGGCTACTCACATTAAATCCTCTTAGATGGGAGGCAGAGCTGTGCCTTCTACAATGAAAGCTGATGGAACCTCCTATAGGCAGAATACATGGATCTGAAACCAAAAGTGGAAATGCATGATACTGATCACAATTATATCCGAATGACTCACAAGCAAAAGGTTCCTTTTTGTACCTGTGACTTTGGGCCCTAATCTCTAAGGAAGTGTGTTTTTACTCGATAATATAATGGTTGTTCCACTGAATTAGAATATGTACCAATACCCAGCTATTTCAAGCTGTAAAGGATAAACAGGCAAAAAAGGGGGGTGTATAATTTTGGCTGGTGTAATTGATCCTGACAAAGATAAATAGAGCTGCTGGTTCACAGTGGCAACAGATGGATGTGACTAGGACCAGAGGGACCATGGAAGGAGCAGTAGAGAAAGCAGATCTTAAATCCCAGTGAAAGCCTCCTGAGTGGTTACAAAGACAAAGTCTACATCCTCAATCTGTGTTTCTCAATATGCTATGTTTTGTGTGTATTTATATTTTTAATTATAAAATATATTTCATTTTTATCTCCCTTTCCTCCCTCAGTAGTCTATATTTGGTATTTGTTGGTGGTTAACTTTACAATTTTGATTATAAGTTGCAGTATTTCCAGAAGGAATTATTAGCTGAAGTGCGGAAGAAGTGGACCTCAGCTGGAGGCCAAGGTTTCAGAGCTGGATGCACTTGGTGAGTGATGAGACTGTGGGTTGGTTTCCCTTGAAGACAATGTGGGTGTGCTTTCATTTGGCTGAGTGCTATATTTTGTTTGGTAGAAGCACTTATTTTTACTTTAGAAGGGAAAATGGGGGACGGGCATGGTGGCTCACGCCTGTAATCACAGCACTTTGGGAGGCCGAGGCGGGTGGATCACCTGAGTTCGGGAGTTTGAGACCAGCCTGACCAACATGGAGAAACTCTGTCTCTACTAAAAATACAAAATTAGCCGGGCGTGGTGGCACATGTCTGTGATCTCAGCTACTCGGGAGGCTGAGGCAGGAGAATCGCATGAAGCCGGGAGGCTGAGGTTGCGGTGAGCCGAGATCACACCATTGCACTCCAGCCTGGGCAACAAGAGCAAAACTTTGTCTCAAAAAAAAAAGGAAAATGGGATGAAGAATGTATTATGATATTTGGAAGTCAAAGAGGTTAACTTTATTCATATTGATTACATTTAATAGAAATTTATAATTTTTTTGATACCTGGCATCAAAATCCTTCCTATCTTGGAGGATTCCAAAGATAAGTAGAGGAAAAACTCCCCTTCTACTACCAAAGTCAAAGGGAATAGATATTCTCTCTATTTAGTCAATATGGTACCGAGGGCACATGAAGAGGCCCGGCCAACTGGATTACTTCTTCCAGGGTTGCTGAGTACTGAGAGAGTGATACAAGACAGAGAGACAGCTGCAAGTCACTGGGATGGTGGTGAGTGTCCAAGGAGGACAGCATTGGCCTCCTAACCTGAGTGTACTGAGGTGTGGTCTTGGAAATATCGCCTGATGCATAGTTGTCCTTAGTTACATTTTCTCCAGCCATTTCTTTTTGTATGCTGTCAGATATCCTTTGAATAAATTCCTTTCCTGCTTAATAAGCTACTGCTGGTTTTCAGTGATTGCATCCAAGAACTCAGACTGGTAAAATCCTAACGTTTAATTGGTTTATTGTTAGTTACTTAGCTTCTTTGAATTTTTAATATAAGATGTGCTTCAATGAATTAGCCACAAAGCTTTTCCCTCCATCTTTAAGATTATTTTCTTAACATACAGGTTCCACAGTGGAATTACTGAATTTTATAATAGCTCATGATACACACTGTCAAATTGTTAATACTTTAAAATGTAAAGAGACACTGTTTCACTGAATCTTGCATTGGTCACATCTTGAACAACTGATACAGCAAGTAATAGAAGTTAGAATGATTTATCTGGCATTACTGAGGAATGAGATTTTTTACATATATAGATTTTTTTTTAGATAACTAAAGTCTCAAGGCTGGATATGTGAACCATTGTAATTATATACTTCAAGAGAGCTTTCTGGGGTGGTCCTTCCTGTAGAAAAGTTTCTTTCTATTCTTCAGGATCTCTAGGGAAATAGATTCTGCAATTTTCTGTAACAGCCTACATTTTAAGAATTTTCATATTTATGTATAATTCTAAAGCCCTTTTGTTGAATTTTTAAATCTTTTTTGTTTGTTTGTTTTGTTTTTTGAGACAGGGTCTTGCTCTGTCACCCAGGCTAGAGTGCAGTGGCTTGATCTCGGCTCACTGCAACCCCTTCCTCCTGGATTTAAGCTATTCTCCTACCTCAGCCTCTGAGTAGCTGGGATTACAAGCGTGCACCACCATGCCCAGCTGATTTTTTTGTATTTTTAGTAGAGACAAGGTTTCACCATGTTGGCCAGGCTGGTCTCGAACTCCTGACCTCAGATGATCCGCCTTCCTTGGCATCCCAAAGTGCTGGGATTATAGGCATGAGTCACCATGCCTGGCTTTAAATCTATTTTTTATGAGTCAGTCCTTAATGGAAATGCTCCAGCAGATCTTCCTTTTTCATTTATCAATGTTGATGTATATTATTTCTTATTCAAAAATGTGAAACCAAACTCACTTAAAATAAACTTTCTGAAGGATCGCTTTCACAAACAGAAGCAATTTGCTCTATTAGAAATCATACGTGCAAAAATAGTTAGTATGAAATCAGACTCATTTTGAAATGAGACAATCTTATCTTTTATACTAAACAATAAGAACATGATTGATAGTCTTTTAAAAATAAGCAACACATTTTAAAGCAAAAATGTCCACTGATAAATGAGGAGAAGTAGTTCAATATTTATCTTTTTGAATATTGTTCCAGTTCTACTTGGGGAAAACAGAATTCCCTGGCTGAGAATGACCATGTAGGAACGTAGGTATAAAAGCAAGTTGCATTTTGAATTGTATGCAGTTTATTCAGAAAAGAATAATTTTACAAATAAAAGCAAATCCAAATAAACATAAAATATAGGACAATCTAGTACATGCCATACATATGTATTCCATCCTAATATTGGAGATATTTATTTAATGTTTAGGTTTATCTGACTGAAATGATTATTAGTTAGTAGAGTACTTACTTAAATTTCTACTTGTTATATGGAAACTGTTATTTTTAAGTTAGGAAAGAGAAAGGAAGGTAAGAGGAAAAGTTTCTGAAACCAGAGACAATTTCATTACTTTCCCCTTTCAATTATGAAGTGGCATTTTCCTGGTGGCATTTCAACCTCCAGCCACACTGAGCAGGTGTCTAATAAGGACAGGGTGTGGGGAAGGAAGGTAGAAGACATTGTCAGTATTTCACAGGTTCAACAGAGCCCCAGGGGCTTGTACATCAGAAACCAGAAACAAAGGCACAAGCTTTTGCTCTTTAACTCTGCCTAGCTATAGCACCTAGCATATTTTTTTTCTTGTTCAACAATTTCATTTTTAATGGCAACAACTTGATCTTCCAATATTCTCAGTTGATCAGCTTTTGCTTGTCTACTTAGATTCAAATCTTGGATTTTCCTTTCTAAATCTGAAAGAAGAAAATGAAAGAAATGATATATTTCCATTTAATGGATTCCTGCTGGATACCTACATTATACCAAACACAGGGATTTATGCGCCTCTCAAAGATATATTTAGTTTTCTGTTTGGATTCAATGGATAAATCATCTATTTTCATCAGGCTTCTCAAGGTTTTCACATAAATTAGAGCAAACTGACAATTTTGTCTAAAAACTTTTATATCTAAAGGCATTTATCAATGTGAGGCTATAGTTGGTTAGAATTCATTAGAAATGAAAAGACAGATAACATCCTTGATGGGATTTGCTGAAGTGCTATATTTCCAAAGGTTTGTTCTTATTATTTTAGCTTCATTTTAAAACATGTTCTTTAGTGTTTTCCAATCTTTCAGAAAAAAAGACTGACTTTCATGTGTTGATTCCTCCCTGCTGATATTGAAGTCCCTGAACAGTAACAGCTAAGTGATGCCTTGGCTTCACTCCTATCCATCCATCAATCCATTGATCCGTCGACCCATCCATTGACCCATCCATCGATCCATTGATCCATCCATCCATCCATCCATCCATCCGTCCGTCCATCCGTCCATCCATCCATCTATCTATACATTCATTTATATAGTCTTCATTCAACAAATATCTGGAAATTCTAGTAAACCTTAACAAGGAGACTATATAAGTGGATACAAGAGGCATAGAGAGCTACAGTTAATAATGTGAGGCAGCATTTTGCAAAGAAACTCTGACATTAGAGTTTTTGCAAAACTTCTAAAAGAGGGAAGATAGCTTCTAGAAGAGGGAAGGTAAATGTCTCACTTCATTTGGTCAGATCACACCTGAATACCGAGTTGGTTTGGAGTAATTGTCAAACTAACATGTGTTTAGAAAAAAGAATCAGATTGCTGAAGATACTTGAAACTGTCCTGTAAACAAACATTGAATTAACTGGTGATGTTTCATATGAGGAAGGCAGATTCAGGGCATGTGCCGTGGCTGTTTTCAAGTATCTGAAGGGCCAACCTAGGAAAGCAGAGTAAATGTGTTCTCTGTCATCCTGAGGCAATAAAATGGAAACTAGCAGGTGAAGCTCCACGAAGGAAGATTTTGTCTAAATATAAAAAACTCTCTAGGAGTCATGGCTGCTCAAAGATGAAAGAGCTAATGTGGAAGGTGGTGAGTGTTCTGTCACTAGATTCTTTCTTTCTTTCTTTTCTTTTCTTTTCTTTCTTTCTTTCTTTCTTTCTTTCTTCTTTCTTTCTTTCTTTTTTTTTTTTTGAGACAGAGTTTTGCTCTTGTTGCCCAGGCTGGAGTGCAATGGCGTGATCTCAGCTCACTGCAACCTCCGCCTCCTGGGTTCAAGCGATTCTCCTGCCTCAGCCTCCTGAGTAGCTGGGATTACAGGCATAGGCCACCATGTCTGGCTAATTTTGTACTTTTAGTAGAGATGGGGTTTCTCCATGTTGGTCAGGCTGGTCTTGAACTCCCAACCTCAGGTGATCTGCCCGTCTCAGCCTCTCAAAGTGCTGGGATAACAGGCATGGGCCACCACACCTGGCTGAAACTTTCAAATGTAGGTTATTTGGGATTGAAAAGGGGATTCAACATTGAAACCATATTTGGACTAAAGGAATAATAAAGGCCTCTGTTTGTACCCGGAAAGTTAATATGATTGAGCTGGTTACACCAGACCCATTCGCCATCCTCGTCTGTGTTCTGGAAAGCTACCCTTCCTGGATAACAGCACTTGGCTCCCTTGACCTCTGGCTTTCATTCACACATGGCCAATGGACAGTGCTGATAAGTGGTCAGAGGATAGGAGGATGAGCAGTCTCCATCTCAGTTCAGCACGGAGGTGTATGCAGTTCTTCCATCCCTCAGGCTCCTGTGGGGTGGCCTCTTTCCTAACACTCTGGTGTTCACAGGGCTCTGGTAACGTTCCTGCTTCCCTGGCCCCTTCAGGTGTAGAGAGGCTAATGCCTTCTCACTGCTGCTAGTCACCAAGTACCTCCACAGCCTCAGTGGGTTCCCTTCATTCTTGTGCATTCTTTGTAGTTCTTCCCATCAAGAAGTAGAATCTACTTACCCTGTTCCTACCCCCACGCCCCCGAATCTGGACTGGCTTTATAAGTTGTTTTGACTAATAGAAAAGCGGAAGAACTGATGTTGCAAGACCTCAAGAACCTTTCATCCTCTCTTCTCACTCTTGTGGTGCCCTGAAACAACCAAGCTGTAAAGCAGCCCAGGGTAACAGACCACGTAGAGAGAGTGCCAGCATCTCAGCCACACCTGGCCCCTAACAGGCCATCAGCCTAACGCAGCTGCTTGAGAAACCCAGGTGAGACCTGTCGAAGAACCAGCCAGGCAACCCACAGAAAAGTAAGAAATGGTGGTTATTTTAAGCCATTACATTTTGGGGTAATTTATTATGCAGTGAATAAATGACTGAGACAACTCCACTTCTAAATACTTTATCCAAAATTATGCCCACGCATGCTTTCTGTTTCTTGCTGGGACCCCGACTGACACCAAGTTCTGTGGAAGGACCCTGGCTGAAGACTAGAGTCCATTCCCCACTCTCTCAACATTGTTGCTGCCAAGGGCTCCATACTGGGATCCAGGGGCTCCTCTTCCTAACAGAGAGGAACAGGCACAGCCTTGTGGTTCCGCCCCTTCTCAAGTGGCAGCATGGGGAAGACAGCCAAATCAATGTCTCATTTTTCTATCTTGCTGAGTTCTGAAAACAGCCTCAAAAGGAAAAGAGAAAAGGCAGTAGAATGCCTTATTTTAGACCTCCCTGAGAAGCCCTCTAACTTCAACTTCTCTTCCAATCTAATTTCAAGAACTATAAAAGCTGTGGTCAATGGGGATCAGTGGAAACAATGTGTGTATGACATAAACAATATGACATAAAAACAGGACAGAAATATTCTCCCCATGTTTTTACTCCTAGAGTAAGGGCCAAGTTCTAGGATAATAGAAACTGACTTTCATGGTATTGTCTGACAAGTGGTCAGAGGATGGGAGGGTGAGCAGTCTCCATCTCAGTTCAGCACGGAGGTGTTGAATGCAAGATTAAAAAAAAAATCTGTTTCTCTGAATCTTTCTTAGTATTTCATAGTTAAAATAACATTTTAACGAAAATACTTAAAAATGAAAAAAAATTACCCACAAGCCTGCTGCTTTTAAAGCAATTATATAAGTGCAAGAAGCAGTGGTTTCTTCTTCACTCCCACTGCCTCCCTAGAGATAACTAATGTTAGCAGTTTGGTATGTATTTTTCCTGACTTTGGCCCATACTAATGTTCCATTTTCAGTTTTTTCATGTCATAGTAATGATATAAGTGGTTGTAAGGCCAAAGACTCATTTGATAATAAAAAAGAGGCATCTATAAGTGAGGAGTTTTGGTTACTTTAATATTTTGAGAATTACTTACACTCCTAGTTTTAAAGTTTTAGAAGATAATAAATACAACCAAGGGTAAAACTATAAAATTACCATCTGATATTTCTTGATGGTTAGAGATAGTTAAGGACATGATTGCCCCCAAAAATCATAAATATCAATTGTGTAAAAAAAGATTCTGATTAGCTTTCTGATTGTATGTATTTTATGTTTTTTGTTTTGTTTTTGAGACAGAGTCTCTCTCTGTTGCCCAGGTTGGAGTGCAGTGGCGTGATCTTGGCTCACCGCAACCTCCGCCTCCTGGGTTCAAGCGATTCTCCTGCCTCAGCCTCCCGAGTAGCTGGGATTACAGGCATGTGCCACCACGCCTGGCTAATTTTTTTTATTTTTAGTAGAGATAGAGTTTTGCCATATTGGCCAGGCTGGTCTCAAACTCCTGGGGTCAAGCAGTCCATCTGCCTCAGCCTCCCAAAGTGTTGGGATTACAGGTGTGAGCCACCGCGCCTGGCCGGTATTCCATGTTTGCAACACTTTGTGTGCATCAGAATGTCCATTTAGATCAAAATCCTTGTCTAGAATATGATTCTTTCTGGGTTGCTATCCAAAGATATATGCTAGATGACCTAGTGCCCTAGATTATATTGATTCTTTTGGAGAGTTATTTTCATGAGAGGAAAAATAAACAACATAGGTTAGAACAGGGTTTCTTAATCTCAGCACTATTGACATTTTGGGCGGGACAATTGTTTGCTTAGGCAGTTGCCTTGTGCATTGTGGGATTTTTAGCAACATCCCTGCCCTCTACCCAGTACATGCTAGTAGTACCTTCTAGGATGACAAGCAGAAATGTCTTCAGACATCTCACCCCCCGTTGAGAACAGAGTTAGAAAAAAAGGGCATTTTTTTTTTTTTTTTTTTTTTGAGATGGAGTCTCACTCTGTCACCCAGGCTGGAGTGCAGTGGCATGATCTTGGCTCACTGCAACCTCTGCCTCCCAGGTTCAGGCAATTCTCCTGCCTCAGCCTCCCAAGTAGCTGGGATTACAGGCACCCACCACCACGCCTGGCTAATTTTTGTATTTTTAGTAGAAACGGGGTTTCTCCATGTTGGCCAGAGTGATCTCGAACTCCTGACCTCAGGTGATCCACCCGCCTTGGCCTCCCAAAATGCTGGGATTACAGGTGTGAGCCACTGTGCCCAGCCAAAAAAGGGCATTTCAAGGTGACCAAAGGAAATCTCAGTTTGTTTTGACTAATGCAAGGCAGATGCTCATTAACCTTTCTAGGCAAATCCATGCAAGAGGCTTGTTAACTTCACAGTCCCCAAAACACAAGACCAATTTCTACTTCTCTCTCCTCAGTGGACCCAAGTGATAAAACTGTAAGCTGACATTGGTATAAATTCTACTAGTAAGGTAGAGTACCATGATGTTATTATCAAATTGGCAGGATGGATAAAAGAACAGATACCTGTTATTCTTCTTATCTTGGCCTCTGTATCTCCAGCCAATTTTTCTGCCGCATCTTTTAGCTGTTTAACTTTTCCTAATGTCTCCTTTGTTAGTCCTGTAGTGCTTGTCTTACGTTGGAGAATAGCATATTGTTTTTTCAGCTCAACAAATTCCTGTAACAAGCAACACTTGCATCATGAGAAAATATGTATAAAGCATGTACATATATGCATGATGATTCTCCTAATTCCATTCATAGAAGGAATACAGAGGAAACCTTAATCCAGTCAATACACTTGAGTTGCTCTGATATTTCCGGCAGAGTTTTATTTGCATGTTTGTTTTTTCAGATTGAAAAAAATGTCAACTTCTATTAAAAATAAAACTTCTTTGTTCAAAATAGCAATTGTTATTGCATGTTAAGGCAACTATGTCTGAGGCACCAATTGGTTGTTCTGCTCTATGTTAAGGTAGGATATGGAAGACAGAAATGACCCAATCCCATCCTTGACAAATCTCTGGTTCAGTTCGGTCAATCAGTTATATATGTAAAATGAAGGACGGAGTGAGTGATGAAGATTTAGAAACATCAAGGATATGTTATTTGGTTGGCAAAAAGGTGAGAGAGAAATGAGGTAGGAAGGGAGGCAGGTGGGGAAGTAGAAGTGTGGTATGGAGATCCCCCTTGAATAGAATGGAAATCTGTGGGTTACCTTGTGTGTTGACAACCTAGAAGGTTAAGTAGATGAATAAAGGCCAAAGCCAGAAATGAAATATGGAAGTGGGAACGGGGCGAGTAGAAAGTACCTTTCTTGGCCAGGCGTGGTGGCTCACGCCTGTAATCCCAGCACTTTAGGAGGCCGAGGCAGGCGGATCATGAGGTTAGGAGATTGAGACCATCCTGGCTAACATGGTGAAACCCTGTCTCTACTAAAAATACAAAAATTAGCTGGGCGTGGTGGCACGTGGCTGTAATCCCAGCTACTCAGGAGGCAAAGGCAGCAGAATTGCTTGAACCAGGGGGTCAGAAGTTGCAATGAGCTGAGACTGAGCCACTGCATTCCAGTCTGGTGACAGAGAGAGACTCTGTCTCACAAAAAAAAAAAAAAAGAACTTTTCTCAATCTCTGTTCCACAGAAAATGTTCTCAGTTCCTGTCAGTGGAAAATTTACCCAGCACATTAGGAATTAAAAGCAGGAGAATAGACCAAATGTAAATACACTAACATTTTTCTTTTGTTTAGGCAACTATATTAATGCAACCAACCAAAGGTTTCTTGCTAGGAAAATGAGCTGATAGGTTCTTTCAGCAACCTAAATTAATGGCCCACTTTCCACAACTGTTTAATTAACTCATTCTGATTTTTGTAACTTGATGTATTTTCTTTGGCAGGTGACTTTCATTTATTGTTTTCTTTATATGTTGTGTGACTGAATGAGAATAGAGGGCAAAAACATACAATACAGACAAACAACATAAATTGTGAAAAGTTTGGAAGTTCGGGGCAAATTTGATTTATGGACTGATTGACCAGGATACTACTAAGAATAATAGGATAGAGAGATGGGGGAGGAAACACTCCAACATGATTTGGCCAGGGACTTCTGCCTTCTACAGATAGAAAATCCTTTGTGCATCAGGATCCCCTCAAAGATATACCATTGAGTCATGGACCAGCACAAAGGAAATGATGAGAAATGGCACAAAAATCTGGGGTTAAAGAACTATCTTTCAAAGAAGCCCTGCTTTTCTGCTCTTGGTGGCAGTGGTAGAACTAATGACCTTCTCAAGACTCCCAGCCTGGTGTTGGGCAGATTCAGCCTGAACTTTCGCATTGACAGCGTGGTCTTGATGCCTTTGCAACTTGGTCTGCAGCAGGGAAAGTCCATCCTCCAGCCCTGATCGCTGCTTTGCTAACTCCAGCTCACTCTTCATTTCCCTGGTTTGATTTTCAGCCTGTTGTTGATTTAAAGACCAAAAAGGGAAAATCTCTTTATGAAACAAACAAGAAGATAAACGATATATTAACCCCTTGAAAAATATGCTGGGTGTAAAGGAAAAGAAAATAGTGCCTCCACTTTTTCTGTTGCATTTATTTAAAATATTATAATAAAATATTTCAGACATACAAAAGGGTCTGAAAAATATAACGTTAGCCTAGCGTGGGGTGCATGCCTGTAGTCCCAGTACTCGGGAGGCTGAGGCAGGAGGATTGCTTGAGCCCAGGAGGTTGAGGATGCAGTAAGCTGTGATTGTGCCACTGCACTCCGGCCTGGGTGACAAAGAGATAACTTGTCTCAACAATAACAAAAAAAAAAAAAAAAGAAAAAAAAGAAAAAGGAAAAGAAAAAAAAAAAAAAGAGCGAAGAGAAAAAAAGAAAAAATATAACGAATAGCCATGTATCCACCAGCCAGTTTAAGAATAAAACATTAACAATGAGCTAAGGCCCTCAGCGTACCACTCCCCATTATATCTTCTCTCTCTCCCCTCAAAGACAACCACTATCTTGAATCTAACTTCTGTCATTCCATGTATCTCTATAGCATTTTTTCTACAACCTATGCAGTATTCCTAACAATATATAGTATTAAAATTTTTTTTCACCTTATACAAATATATTGTATATTTCTGCAAGTTGATTTTCTAAAATGAAAAGTTATGAAAATTATGCTTATGTAGGTCATTTAAGCTAATTTACATAGCTCTAGTTCATTAATTTTTACCAGTTTAAAGCATTCCATTGTTTGAACATACAACAATGTATTTTCTATTCTCCGGCTGGTGCAAGTGGCTTCTAATTTTTTCCCCTTACAAACAGTAATAACACTTTATGCTTGTTTCTTATTTCAGTGACCATATTGATCATATCTAGAAGTCCTATTTAAATATTTTTCAAATATAGCTGGTTGTTAGACATTGTCTCTTGTTTGTTGGTCATACTTTCATACATTCTTAGATTTTCTTAAACATAGTAAACAATCTTATTTTGTATTTTGTATCCAATAATGGTAATATCCTCTGTCTGTTGTGTCCTGATTTTGTTGTTCATTATTTCTGATGACTCTTGTTTAAAGGCAATTTGTGGCTGGGCACGGTGGTTTACGCCTGTAATCCCAGGACTTTGGGAGGCCAAGGTGGGTAGATCACCTGAGGTCAGGAGTTCAAGACCAGTCTGGCCAACATGGCGAAACCTCGTCTCTTCTAAAATTACAAAAATTAGCTGGGCTTGGTGGTACGCACCTGTAATCCCAGCTACTCGGGAGGCTGAGGCAGGAGACTTGATTGAACCCAGGAGGTGGAGGTTGCAGTGAGCCGAGATTGTGCCATTGCACTCCAGCCTGGGTGATAGAGCGAGACTCCATCCCAAAAAAATAAAAAAAAAAAATCTTTAAAAAGGCAATTTGTTTCTTTACACGTCTGGGGGAAATTCTTGATGGCTAGGTTTTAAGGTTGTTCCTTTGGAGAGGATTTTTGTTTGCCTCTGCCAGGCATCTGGGAGCCCTACCAACCCAGGGCTACTTCAAATGATACCAGGGTTTTGAGGGCCACCCAGGTAGTATAAATTCTAGCCCCAAAATTGTGTTAGAGCCACAATCGCGGTTAGCAAATCTTAGTGGAGATGTTACTCCCCAACCCAGGGGCAAGTTTTTCTACTGACTCTGTGTGTTTGCGTGTGTGTGTGTGTGTGTGTGTGTGTGTGTGTGACAGAGAGATTTTAACATTTCATTAAGGATTTTGCCATTTGGGGTCCCAGTTCTATGCAAGAATCTTGTTGCCTCCTGTGTGGCCTTTGCTTTCTGTCTTATATGCATGGTGACCATTAAAACCCAAAGCTTGAATGCTCCAGGGATGGGCAGATGCCTGCTGCCTGCTGTCAAGTTAGTGCTTGATTACCTCTAAATTCATGCTTTCCTGTCATTTTTGGCCTCTGAGACTATCAAAAGTTTCTTACTAATTCAGCTATGCATTAAAAAATCTAAATATCCAATCTAATATTTTTATGTGTTTTTTTCAACTACCAGGGTTCCTTAAGAGATTGGTTCACCATATTTTTAGAAATGGAAGTCCCTTCCTGTACCCTTGGGCATATGTGGGAGTTTGCCTAGAGCAGCAACCTGCAAACTTTTTCTGTAAAGGGCCAGCTAGTAAATACTTTATACTTTGTGGCCTATAAAGTCTCTATCCCAAATATTTAACTCTCTGTCATTGTAGTGCAAAAGCATCCATAGACAATACAGCCTGTGGTCATGTTTTGCCATCCCTTGTTCTAAGTATATGCCTAGAAGGGGAAATCCTGGGGCCTTCCTTTTTACTACCCCATATATGCAACCTCTTCCTATCCAACCCCTTTATTTCCTCGTGTATTACTTCTTGTTCTGTTGCTTTCTGCTTTGTTTGTTTGTTTTGAGACAGTCTCGCTCTGTTGCCTAGACTGGAGTGCAGTGGCACAATCTCGGCTCACTGCAACCTCCGCCCCCTGGAGGAGCGATTCTGTTGCCTCAGCCTTCCAAGTAGCTGGGATTATAGGTGCCTGCCACCATGCCTGGCTAATTTTTGTATTTTTCATAGAGACGGGGTTTCACCATGTTGGCCCAGCTGGTCTCGAACTCCTCACCTCGGGTGATACACCCACCTTGACCTCCCAAAGTGCTGGGATTACAGGTGTGAGCAACCATGCCTGGCCAGATGGAGCATTTCTTTTGGATGAGTATTTTTTTTTTTTTTTTTTTTTTTTAGTTTTAGGATACTCTGATGAGATTTCATGCACATTTAATTATAAGAATGTTACAATAGTTAACTCATTTCTTTGGTTTTTGTGAGCTTTTAAAAAGTCTATTCCTTTCCCTGGTATCAGAAGGGAGATGCTCTGGCCTCATATCTACCACTAATTAGCTGTGTGACCTTAGGCAGTCACCTAACTTTCCTGAGTCATAGTTTCCTCATTTCCAAGCTGGTGTTAGTACCTGCCTTGGTGCAACCCCAGAATTGGTCGCAATTAATATGACGGTGAGACGTGCTCTGTAGAACATTAAATACATGCATAATACTACCCAAATCTTATTTATCCTCATAATAATCCCATCAGACTCGTAAAGCAAGCATAGCATTGGCATACATAAAAAGCACTGTGTTGTTTTTACCCTCAAAACCTATTTCAGGTTAGTTTCAAAGAAGACAAATACCTGCAGCACATTCTTTTTTATTTTTGTTATATTGGCAGTCAGCTGTGTAATGGTAGAGTTTGCCCGTCCTTGAGTGATTTGAGCTTGTTGTAACTGGTTCAATGTTTTGTCAAGATTTAATAGAATATTTGCTGCTTTCCTAAGGTAAGATATTAACATATCAGATTAGATAAATACACAATTATTCACTTATTTCACCTTGAGAGAGTTCATTTGACTCAACCAAATACTTTACTGAATTATTAAGTAAATTTAAATTACTCTTAAACAAGAGAAAGTGCTGAAGTCTTCATTTTGAGAAATAGGTATATTTAAATGCCAATAAAAAAAACCCCACACACGTATATATTCATAGCCAGTGGATATATATTTTGTTAAATATGGAAATTAAGGATACAGGTTTGGGGTGATATAACTATCAATCTTTGCACATAAAAACTATCCCGTGAATTCCAGTTTCCCTGATGTCTCAAATGTAAGCTACACTTTCTCAATCTCTATTGGAGTGGGGGTTGGGAGGGTCCAGAGGCCCCACAGAGAGCAAAGAGAGGACTACAGGCCCTGCATTTTTAGGCTTGTTTATTCAGAGTTAGCTAAGCTTCACTGACATTCCAGCCACTAAGAAGCCCAAGGTTAAAATCACAAGCATTCCAAGTGATAACAGTCTTTCTGCAGAAAGGAACTCACCTCAAGTCAACAATCACCAAATACTTAGATCTGTGGGCTCAAGACCACCTTGAGAAGAATGTACCGAGGGAGTGAACTATCAGACAGACCTTTGCAGAAGCATCATTAGAAATGAGTGTGCCCACAGTAGAGTTAGCTAAATTGCAAAATATTCCCTTTACCACCCAGCCTATCCTTTCCTCCAATGGTAATCTCTGTTTCCCTTTCTAACCTTCAGGAGCCTTCCCTCCTCATCATCCCACCGCCACCACCATTTCATTTCTGTAACATTCCCAGGGTACCAGTGTCCATTTTTTCTATTCCCTGCCACCATTATCTTTTTCTTATATTATTTTTTCCTTTAGATTTTTAATTTACGACTGCAGGCCAGGCGTGGTGGCTCATGCCTGTAATCTCAGGACTTTGGGAGGCTGAGGCAGGTGGATCACTTGAGGTCAGGAGTTCGAGACCAGCCTGGCCAATATAGTGAAACCCCATCTCTACTAAAAATGCAAAAAATTAGTTGGGTGTAGTGGTGCATGCCTATAATCCCAGCTACTTGGGAGGCTGAGGCATGAGAATCACTTGAATCTGGGAGGCGGAGGTTGCAGTGAGCTGAGATCGTGCCACTGCACTCCAGCCTGGATGACAGAATGAGACCCTGTCTCAAAAGAAAAAAAAAAAAAAAGATTTTCAATGTACTGCTTATTATAGCAAATTTAGAGAGTACCAAAAAAAAAAAAAAAAAAGAAAAAAAAACGTAAGAAGGGGAAAAAATACCAGTAATCTTGCCATCTTTTAAAATGTTAGGATATTGTAGCAAAATTTTTTATTTTCATAATTAAGATCCTCTTTCATGTATAGATTGTTACCTGCTTTTTATTTTCAACTTCCTGTTCAGTTTGGATGTTACCTGCTTTTTAAAAAGCATTACCATTGCAATATAAGAATCTCTGCCTGTTATTAAACATCTTTTATCAACTTTTTTTTTTTTTTTTAGATGGTGTCTCGCTCTTGTTGCCCAGGCTAGAGTTCAGTGGTGCAGTCTCAGCTCACTGCAGCCTCTGCCTCCCAGGTTCAAGTTCAATCAGTTCTCTGTCTCAGCCTCCCGAGTAGCTGGGATTACAGGTGCATGCCACCACACCGGCTAATTTTTGTATTTTTAGTAGAGACGGGTTTTCACCATGTTGGCCAGGCTGGTCTCTAACTCCTAGCCTCAAGTGATCCACCTGCCTCGGCCTCCCAAAGCACTGGGATTATAGTCGTGAGCCGCTTCCCCCAGCCCATCAGTATCACTTTTAATTGCTGTGTGATTACTTGATTTTTTTTTTTTGAGACGGAGTTTCGATTTTGTTGCCCAGGCTGGAGTGCAACGGCGCAATCTTGGCTCACTGCAACCTCCACCTCCTCAGTTCAAGTGATTCTCCTCCTCAGCCTCCCAAGTAGCTAGGATTACAGGCATGCACCACTACACCCGGCAAATTTTGTATTTTTAGGAAAGACAGCGTTTCTCCCTGTTGGTCAGGCTGGTCTCGAATTCCTGACCGCAGGTGATCTGCCCGCCTCAGCCTCCTAAAGTGCTGGGATTACAGGCGTGAGCCACCGTGCCCGGCCTACTTAATCTTTTAAGTAATTGCTGTGCAGTTAATCTTCCTCGTTTTAAATATTAAACCTAGAAGGGGTTGGACTTTTGGATGAATCTGGTGCACTTCGTTTATACACGTGGATGATGAGACAGTGACAATGGCTCAGATCTCAGTGATGGTGGGTGTTGATGATACTACCACCTAACTGATCCTGTAACCCTGACCCACAGCACCCCATGCTCATAAAAACATCAACCTGGCTTTTCTTTTTTGGTTGGCTAAGTCAACAGGACAAAAGGCAAGAGTTAGTTAACTCTGTATACCATAGATATCATTTTCATCTTGCAGTACTCCTGGAGCTCTAGTGTCCGTTCTGTTCCTCATCATTATATTGGGTTGGTGCAAAAGGAATTGCGGTTTTTGCCATTATTTTCAATGGCAAAAACCGCAATTCCTTTTGCACCATCCTAATATCTTTTTACTGAGAATATACTGAGGAAGTGAAATATCAGACAGACTTTAAAAAATAATTTTGATTTCAAAGTACTGCTTAGTGTAGTAAACTTAGAAAATACCAAACATAGATAAATAAGGGAAAAACTATACCAATATTCCAACCACCTGTTAAAGTATTGGCATATAATGAGTATTGCACATTTATTGGTATGCATTGGTATAAAAAGGTATCAGGCCACTGGAAAGGCATTTTGAGTCTAAGAAAACAGGAAGAAAACAACCCTGAACCCTGTCACCGAGTCACTCAGCTTCCCGGGGAATCTCCAAAGAGAGCTCAGCCCTCAACTTGGGCACTGAACTATCAGAAGGTAATTTCATTTGAATGCTATAGATCCCTAGGCAAACATTTTCCTGATGTCCTTTCAGCAGATGGTCTGTTAGAGCAAGATAAGAATATTAATACAGTACTTACTCAGCTGCTTTGGCCTTCACCAAAAGCTTTTGGGCTCCATCTGCTTCTTCATTTAACCTGTTTTCATCTGTCCTGTAATCCTCACAGAGTTGCATATGTTTCTGTATTTTGACAAGTTCATCGGTTAGATTTTGGGATGGAATTGGTAGGTGAATGTCAAGCACACCATTCGCAACCTTCTCGATGTCTTCTGGAGGCACGTTTTCCTCTTAAATAAGAAGCAGGGTTTTAGGTAATCATGTCTCCTTAACAAACACTGTATCTTAAAAGTATAACCACAATGATGTCTCAGCCAAATGCACTTGCACTTGATTATGTGCCCCTAGAATACAGGGATTAGATTGTAGCTTCCTATAGATTCTTCTTCATCCTCAGCTGTCCCTTCTCTCTGGAAGAAACAGTGCTCACTGAGTGCTGAATACTTGCTGAACAAGTGCTTGTTGGAAAAACAAAATACTAAAGACTTGGAACATTGTGTGTATTCTACAAAATGTCCTGAGAATGATTTATTATAAGTACATACTCAAAAGCAATTAACATGTTTAGATACCTGTCATGAAGATTTAAGCACAATGAATGAGACACTGGAGAAGCTCTGCGTTTGAAGTCAACAAAACTGGATTCTGGTCCTCCATGACATTAAAAAGTCTCACAATTTTTGCTCATCTATGTAATTGGGTAACTATACCTGATGCTACAACTCAGAGGCCTATTCTGGGATTGGAGTGAGACAATACAGAGTAAAGGAACATGTTAGTAGCATGTTATAAAGAAACTTTTTTTTTTTTGAGACAGAGTCTCACTCTGTCACCAGGCTGGAGTGCAGTGGTGGCACAATCTCGGCTTACTGCAACCTCTGACTTCCTGGTTCAAGCGATTCTCCTGCCTCAGCCTCCTGAGTAGCTGGGATTACAGGTATGCACCACCATGCCCAGCTAATTTTTTTTGTATTTTTAGTAGAGATGGGGTTTCACCATGTTGGCCAGGATGGTCTCGATCTCCTGACCTCCTGATCCACCCACCTTGCCCTCCCAAAGTGCGGGGATACAGGCATGAGCCACTGTGCCCCCCAAAGAAACTTTCAAATACATCCATGCTCTACTTTCCAGAAAAGTAAATTTGGCCCCTATTGAGAACTAAAGTGTAAGATGAACTGTTAGAGCAAGCTTGTTCGACCCACAGCCCAGGGGCCACATGTGGCCCAGGACGGCTTTGAATGTGGCCCAACACAAATTTGTAACCTTTCTTAAAACATTGTGAGATTTTTTGTGTGTGATTTTATTTTTATTTTTAGCTCATCAGCCATCGTTAGTGTTAGTGTATTTTATGTGTGGCTCAAGACAATTCTTCTTCCAGTGTGGCCCAGGGAAGCCAAAAGATTGGATACTCCTGTGTTACAGCAAAGCCATTTGTCACTCTCCAGCTACTTAGTGAACACCTACAATTCCCATAGGGAAGCTAGAGATGAACTAGACAAGGATCTTATCCTCAGGGGGCTTGCCGTCAGGTGAGGACCTATAAGTCATTATATACAAATATTGATCACACAGGAACAGAAGTGATCAATATAAGGCAAATGCTATGGGGTTCAGAGGAAGGAGAAAATACTCCAGGAAGGACTTCAGATGCATTGAAACTAGACCTGGGAGGACAGCAGGTTAAACTTGTGGAGACTGTGGGGTGTGGGGAGGGGTAAGAGATATTCTAAACTGAGAGAATTACAGGAGCTAAAGCTCAGGGTGGTACAAGAAACAGTGCATGGATCACTCTTGGCAGGAGAGTAGTGTGCTTAGAAGGGCTGGGAGCAGATGGCACAAGTCCCTGTGTCAGAGGCTAAGGAACTTACACTGTTCAGAGAACAGTGGGAGCCAAAAATGATTTTCAGCATTTGAGTGACATGACATGAATATATATTCTGCTTGTAGTCATTTTGCTTTAGCTATTTTTCTTAATATAAATGAAATATTTTACTTTCTGTAATATTTTTGAAGCAATGTGACAAGAATTTTTTTGTGAGGGAAGTAAAATGACATTTTAAATAGAATCAGGGAGTTGGCTCTTTAAAGAAACAGTACTTTCTTTCTTTTTTTTTTTTTTTTGAGATGGTGTCTCGCTGTATCGCTCAGGCTGGAGTGCAGTGGTGCGATCTCGGCTCACTGCAACCTCTGCCTCCTGGGTTCAAGTGATTCCCCTGTCTCAGCCTCCCAAATAGCTGGGATCATAGGCACGCACCACCACATCCAGCTGATTTTTGTATTTTTAGTGGAGACAGGGTTTTGCCACGTTGGCCAGGCTGGTCTCACACTCCTGAACTCATGTGATCCGCCTGCCTCGGCCTCCCAAAGTGCTGGGATTACAGGCGTGAGCCTCCATGCCCGGCCAGAAACAGTAGCTTTTTAATTAAAAAAGTTCTAGTACATCATACTGAATGGGCAAAAGCTGAAGCATTCTCCTTGAAAACCAGCACAAGACAAGGATGCCCTCTCTTACCACTCCTGTTCAACATAGTATTGGAAGTCCTGGCCAGAGCAATCAGGCAAAAGAAAGAACAAAGCGTATCCAAATAGGAAGAGAGGAAGTCAAACTATCCCTGTTTGCAGATGGCATGATCTTATATCTAGAAAACCCCGTAGCCTTGGCCCAAAAGCTCCTTAAGCTGATGACTTCAGTAAGGTCTCAGGATACAAAATCAATGTACAAAAATCACTAGCATTCCTATACATCAGCAACAGTCAAGCCAAGAGCCAAGCCAGGAAGGCAATCTCATTCACAATTGCCACAAAAAGAATAAAATACCTAAGAATACAGCTAACCAGGGAGGTGAAAGATCTCTACAGGGAGAACTACAAAACACTGCGCAAAGAATCCAGAGGTGACTCAAACAAATGGAAAAAGATTCCATGCTCATAGATAGGAAGAATCAATATCATTAAAATGGCTATACTGCCCAAAACAATGTGCAGATTCAAGGTTATTCTTATCAAACTACCAATGACATTCTTCACAGAACTAGAAAATATATTTTAAAGTTCATATGGAACAAAAAAACAGCCCGACTAGCCAAGGCAATCCTAAGCAAAATGAACACAGCTAGAGACATCGTGCTATCTGACTTCAAGCTGTAATACAGGGCTACAGTAACCAAAACAGCATGGTGCTAGTACAAAAAACAGACACATAGATGAATGGAACTGAAAAGAGAGTCCAGAAATAAGGCCACACATCTAGAACTATCTGATCTTTGACAAAGTCAACAAAACCAAGAAATGGGGAAAAGACTCCCTCTTCAATAAATGGTGTGGGATAACTGGCTAGCCATATGCAGAACGCTGAAACTGGACCCCCTCCTTACATCTTATATGAAAATTAACTCAAGATGGATTAAAGACTAAAATGTAAAACCCAAAAGTATAAAAACCTTGGAAGGCAACCTAGACAATATTATTCAGGACACAGGCATGGGCAAAGATTTCATGATAAAGACACCACAAGCGACTACAACAAAAGCAAAAACTGAGAAATGGAATCTAATTAAAGAGCTTCTGCTCAGCAAAAGAAACTATCAACAGAGTAAACACAACCTACAGAATGGGAGAAAATTTTTGCAAACTATGCATCTGACAAAGGTCTAATATCCAGCATCTATAAGGAACTTAAATCTACAAGAAAAAAACAACCCCCTTAAAAAGTGGGCAAAGGACATAAACAGATACTTTTCAAAAGAAGACATCCATGGGGCCAACAAGCATATGAAAAAAAGCTCAACATCACTGATCATTAGAGAAATGCAAATCAAAACCACAATGAGGTACCATCTCACACCAGTCTGAATGGTGATTATTAAAAAGTCAAAAAATAACAGGTGCTGATGAGATTGCAGAGAGAAAGAAACACTTATACAGTGTTGGTGGGGGTGTAAATTAATTCAACCATTGTGGAAAACAGTGTGGTGATTCCTCAAAGACCTAAAAAAAGATTACAATTTGACCTAGCAATCTCATTACTGGGTATATACCCAAAGGGTTAGACATCATTCTATCATAAAGACACACTCACATGCATGTTCATTGCAGCATTATTCACAGGAGCAAAGACATGGAATCAACCTATATGCCCATCAATGATAGACTGGATAAAGAAAATGTTGTACATATACGCCATGGATACTATGCAGACATAAAAAAGAATGAGATCTTATCCTTTGCCAGAACATGGATAGAGCTGGAGGCCATTATCCTTAGCAAACTAACACAGGAGCAGAAAACCAAATACCGCATGTTCTCACTTATAAATGGGAGCTAAATGATGAGAACACATGGACACATAGAGGGGAACAACACACACTGGGGCCTTTTGGAAGGTGGAGGGTGGGAGGAAGGAGAAGATCAGGAGAAATAACTAATGAGTACTAAGCTTAATACTTGGGTGATGAAATAATCTGTACAACAAACCCCTGTGACTCGAGTTTACAAACCTGCACATGTACCTCTGAACTTAAAAGTTAAAAAAAAAGTTCGAATGAAAAGTGAAGTTCCTTCAATCACTTATTCATTCATCAAATAGTTATTTGTATTTATTATGAGATTATAGATTCAAATTTTTATATATAGAACTTTCAGGAGAAGTGATACATCCCTTTGTTAATAAGGCATTCAGATTTCAAGAAAAATATTAGGGTGGTCAAACAAGAGCTGAATAGTGTGGTCATCATCTAATGTAATGATAATTTTATTGGGGCTTTATAGCCAGGCAAAGAGAAGCAAGAGGTCGGTGGAGGGCATTGCAAGGCATGAAAGCTTCCTGGTCACCAGGGCTCTAGGGACACTGAGCAGTAAGAAGTTTCTTGTAAGAAACAGGATTTTTCTCTATGCCTAGTTGTAATGATAGTTCTTTATGCCTTTAGTTTTAATAATCTGGACATAGATTTCTTTCAATTCCTCAAGTTAATTAAAGTAAAATATTTATTAGAAACGTATTCAGTAGCAATGAAGAGTAATAAGAGGACAGGCTCTATGACCCAGCAAACTAGATAGAAAGGAGGTCATGTAGACCCTATTCTACCAGTTCATGCAATTAGTTTAGCAACTTTGATTTTGATGTTTGTTTTGGTGCCTTCTTAGTTCAGCCTATTCCTAGACCTGGGTCCAGTCAATACAGATTCATCCAGCTTACTCATTGAAAGTTTGCTTTTGAATCAACAACATGTCCAGTAGACTGATTCTACCCCATTCGTTTTTACTGACTATTTTTGTCAAAGGTAATTTCCACCTGATTTTTGTTTATCTTGAAAACAACAGCTAGAAACTGCCAATTCAATTTCTAGAAATATTGAGACAGGAAAAACAAACAACAACAACAAAAAAACAAACCCAAAAAACCTTGGCCACAGGGGTCTCTCACACATATTAAGTAGAATAATGAAGTGATTGAAGAGATTGTAATGGATGCTCCAATTGCCAATTCATGTATAAAATGTTAAATTATTGAATTTGAAAAATGGTTATGGAAAATAAAGCCTCTTCACATTAATCATCTCTCTCTCTCAATCTCTGTGTGTGTGTGTGTGTGTGTGTGTGTGTGTGTGTGTGTGTATGTGTACAGAGAGTAAGGTTTCAGGTCAATTTCCAGCTTCAGTACTTGATTTTTTTAATCTTTACTAATTCTCTGGAGTTTAAAATGAGCCTCTCCCAAAGTAAGGCATAATGTACAATAAATCAGCTACTTTTGGTCAGCCACAGAGAACCAACAAAAGAAGACTTGGAAAATAGTCAATAATAGCTAATAATTTTTTTTAGATGCCAACTCCCTATGATATTTGATATCTAATTAAAATTCAGCATATCTTGATCTCATATCATTTCTGTCAGCAAAGAAAATTACTGAATCCTGATGTTAGGGAATCTGATAGAATTGTCATGTTGAACTTTCCTTAAAAAAAACATAAAATAACTTTAAACACAAAGTTCATGTGTTTGGAATTTTAACTAAATTCTAGCATTTGTTACCACATTTATCTTTTACAGAAAGCTGTAATTTTTTGGCACAGAGTTGGTATTTTGAGATTATTCTCATTAAGGAATTAAAAACCAAAGGGTATATCATTTTTCTGATTTAGGCTTGTCATTTCCAATTAATATAATTTGGAACTGGCTATGATGTTTTTTTTTTTTTTTTTTTTTTTTTTTTTTTTTTTTTTTTTTTTTTTTTTTTGAGACGGAGTCTCGCTCTGTCGCCCAGGCTGGAGTGCAGTGGCGCGATCTCGGCTCACTGCAAGCTCCGCCTCCTGGGTTCACGTATGATGTTTGACTATACATTAAAAAGGGAAAAAAACAAAAACTAGTCCTAATATATATTTTTAAATTACCTAACAAAAAGTTTTTCACTTTTTTGATGAAAAGATTGATGTTTTCTTCTTCAGAGTCACTTTGGTTTCTTATATTTCCCAGTTTTTCCCTCAGCTGTAAGGCATTGTTTTTGGAGACTTCTGCCTGTTCACTTATACTTTCGATCTGGAATGAGAAAAACACAATGAAGAATACTCGACAATATACTCAACAAAGTCATGTTCTTTGATGTTTAATTACTTAGCTGGACCAAATAAAACTGTCACTAAAAACTAAATAAAAGTCTAGATAAACCATAGATTCATTTGCAAGGAATCTTTTACAAGGTGATTATTATCTCTTCTCATTATCATGTTTTCTTTAATTTATCATTAATTTATCTTTTAGAACATTACTGACTTAGCACTAACGAATTTTTCTAATATAAGTCTAAAACACAAATTTTGTTTTAATGGGGCTTTAGCATTCTTTAATACCAACAACTTTCCCATAAATTACATAGGACTACTTACCTGCCATGGTCATCACGTTTAATAGGTTGAGAGCATTTTCTTTTATGTAAGTTAAAATGTTACTCTTCTAAACATTCCTCAAATTCAAGTAATGTACTTTCTTTGAAAACTAACAAAAAAGCATTCTTCCTCTTAATAAATGAGCTTGAACTGAGAGTGGGCTACAAAGATAAATTCCAGACACTTTGTACTCTTGGTAGAGGAATGACAGGAATAATAGGCTAGCAAACTAGAAGTGCAAATTCTTAATTGTGTGATCTGAGAAAGGTCATGGACTTTTTCTTGGGATTCCAACAAATTAGAGAGAGAGAAAAAACCCAGAAGCAATAGGACAATATTGCCAACAAGCTGAGCTTTATTGAATAAATTAATTGTGACAGAAGTAGGGCTAGTTAGGATCAAACATAATTAGGAAAAAATAAAATCCGCTGGGCATGGTGGCTCACGCCTGTAATCCCCAGCACTTTGGGAGGCCAAGGCAGACAGATCACTTGAGGTTAGGAGTTCAAGGCCAGCCTGGCCAACATGGTGAAACCCCATCTCTACTAAAAATGCCAAAATTAGCCAGGCATGGTGGCGCATGCCTGTAATTCCAGCTACTGGGGAGGCTGAGGCAGGAGAATCGCTTGAATCCAGGAGGCGGAGGTTGCAGTGAGCTGAGATCGCACCATTACACTCCAGCCTGGGCCAGACAGAGTGAGATTCTTGTCTCAAAAAAAAAAAAAAAAAAAGAAAAGAAAAGAAAAAAAAGAAAAAAAATTCCCTTTATTTCCCCACAAAAGGAGCCTGCTTAATTTGAGCCATACAGATTTTTAAGAAAAGGATTTAAATTATAGTCACTGGCAAATGATGAAATAAAAAAGTATTTACATGATTAAAAATGTGTATCTTTTTTTTCAGAGTTGTTACTTAATTCTCTAGAACTTTCTTAGCTTTAAAATGGATAGCAGTAAGAATGGATTGCAGTAAAATGAGAATTCCAGAAATAAAATACCCTAGGCAGCAAAGCACCAAGTGATACAGAGGAAATCTCAGGCTAGATTAGTTGATACCATATTCAGAAAGAAAGAGATCAAGAAATTACTTCACTCTTAAAACATCCCTCTGCAATCCATCTTCTGTCACAACTGACTCCTGAGAATTCTCTCACAATCTCTTCTGGCACTCTTCCTCCTTCTAATCAAGAGGAAAATAGCACACCATTTCATCAACATGACATCCCCTCTCATCGTTTTCCAGTTCTCCATTTATGTGCTGATTAAACTAGCTTCTGCTAATATGGATTTCAAGGATAATTTTTTAACACTGATAGCTTAACATATTATTGACTTAATGATATGATCAAGTGGCAATCAGGACTCCTTTAAATGTGGGTGAGGTTTCTATTTTTTTGAGAAGGAGCAATATAATAGTTTAAAATTACATTAAACAATGAAGGTGTGTTTTAAGCACTGGGACATAAGACCAGGATTTACATTGCTATGTTTGCTGCTGTATTCTCAACTTGTAGATGGATGCCTGGCACACAGTAGGTGGATATTTGTTAAAGCAATGAAGAACGACATGTGAATGGAAAATGATGTGGCAATACAGAATTGTGACTATGTAAGTAAAGTTTCAATATTTATGTAGGGATATGTTCCAGATTGGCTAATCAGATGCTTGCTCAAGGATATAGGGGGTGTGTGTGTGTGCATGTGTGTGTGTGTGTATCTTGGCTGTGGTTCTCACCCCATTCCCAAGCTTGGCCCTCTATCCTTTACTGGATTTTGAGGCCCAGATGTCCTTACATATATTTCCTTCTTGTTCAGGAGTGGGTCTTTTTGTTTTTGGTTTTGTTTTAAACGAGGTCTCACTGTTGTCGGTGCAGGCTGGAGTGCAATGGCATGATCTCGGTTCACTGCAACCTCTGCCTCCCGGGTCCCAGCAATTCTCCTGCCTCAGTCTCCCGAGTAGCTGGGATTACAGGCATGCACCACCACTCCTGGCTAAATTTTTTTTTTTTTTTTTTTGTATTTGTATTTTTTAGTAGAGATGGGGTTTCACCATGTTGGCCAGGCTGGTCTCGAACTCCTGACTTCAGGTGATCCACCTGCATCGGCCTCCCAAAGTGCTGGGATTACAGGTGTGAGCCACTGCACCCGGCCAGGAGTGGGCTTTTTTTGCTTGCAAACAAGAATGCTTAGTGATACAATATTCAACATATAGTGGTAAAAAATTCAGCTCTTTAAAAGCTTTTTCTTCTTTGTCAGAGGCTCTTTGCGTATTGTCAAAAAAGAAACAGATTGGGGAGCACACCACTATCCTGTTTTCAAACCACAGAATAAAATGCATTCTCAAAAAAAAAGTCTAAAGAAAACTAGGTAATTAAAAATGATGCTCATTTATAAATGACCAGAAAAGTAAATGAAATTATTTCAAATCATTATAGATTTAATTATAAGGTACTTAAATGTTAAAACAACTTTCTCAGTCTATCAACAGGGGAATGAGTTCAAGGTATGGTTTAATTCCTATTAAGCTATTTTCTAACATTAAATTCTAACATTACAATTTGTATATTTAGTAGGTTTTCAAATATACCCTTACATATTTATGAATTTATGAAAAATTATTCTTTGCTTTGAGAGATCTATAGTTTTCAACCCTTTTAAAAATTAATTTATATATTTCTTTTATTATTATTATTATTATTTTAAATAAAGTAGAGATACGGCCTCCCTGTGTTTCCCAGGCAGGTCTTGAACCCCTGGGCTCAAGGGATCCTCCTGCCTTGGCCTCCCAAAGTGCTAGGATTATAGGCGTGACCCACTACTCCTGGCCTGTTTCCAAATTTTTAATGCTTGGAGTCTTGACATTTCTATGTAGGTTTTGCTGTAAACAAACATGTCCACACGAGTCTATGACCTATGATAATGTATCTTGAATTCTTTCTCTCTCTCTTTACACACACACGTACACACTTGACTTTTGAATGACACAGGTTGGAACTGCACACGCCCACTTATATACAAATTTTTTTCAATAAAACTTACACTGAGTGTGCCTGCCTCTTCTGCCTCCCCTTCCACCTCCTCCACCCCTGCCATCTCTGAGACAGCAAGACCAACCCCTCTTCTTCCTCCTCCTCAGCCTACTCAATGTGATGACGATGAAGACCTTAATGATGATCTATTTCCTCTCAATGAATAGTAAGTATATTTTCTCTTCCTGATGATTTTTCTGATAATATTCTCTTTTTTCTAGCTTACTTTATGGTTATATTATGATATATAATACATACATAAATATATGTTAATTGACTGTTTAAGTTATGGGTAAGGCTTCCAGTCAACAGTGGGCTATTAGCAGTTAAATTTTGGGGGAGTCAAAAGTTACACATAAATTTTCAATTGTAGAGTGGAGGCTTGGTGCCCCTAACCCCTATGTTGTTCAAGGGTCAACTGTATACATATATATAACAGGAAATATATCAATATTAACCTCTGTTTCTAAATCTACATTCATATCATCTGTAATTTTATCCTATATTTCCAGGCACAAGAACACCAACTATCTAGAATCTATCTTCTCACTTGGAAGTTATATGGCAGTTTTATAAATTTTAAGCAGTCTGCTTCTTTATTGCTATAACTTTACAAATAAAGCAAGAGAAGATATTTACCTGATTTTTCAACCCACGAACCTGTTTGTCCAAATTACGAATAATGGATTTTGCTTCCTGGGCTTTTTGGAGGGCATTCGTTGAGAGGGTCAGGGAGCCGTGACAGCCGGGACCCCTACACTTCCTGTGCCCCTTCCGGCCCGTGCAGAGAGCACCGCCACAGGGCAAGGGCACACATGGCACATTTCCTGGATCTCCGCACACCTTGCAAGAGAAATGATTTACGTTAAATAGCAACTTGTTGTCAGAGCTTTTTTTTTTTTTTTTTTTTTTTTGAGACGGAGTTTGCTCTTGTTGCCCAGGCTGGAGAGCAATAGCGTGACCTTGGCTCACTGCAACGTTCTCCTCCTGGGTTCAAGAGATTCTCCTGCCTCAGCCTCCCAAGTAGCTGGGATTACAGGCACCCACTACCACGCCTGGCTAATTTTTTGTATTTTTAGTAGAGACAGGGTTTCACCATTTTGGTCAGGCTGGTCTCAAACTCCTGACCTCAGGTGATCCGCCCACCTCGGCCTCCCAAAGTGCTGAGATTACAGGCATGTGGCCTGGCTGTCAGAACTCTAATGCCATCCAGGCTCCTTGAGTCAAGGCACTGCTTTATTCATATGTTTCTTCAATAGTTGTTCATCCTTGGTACATGGGGGTAACCCATTAAACATTTCCTAGGTAACTAAACATCTAAATTACTTATCAGTATTGTGTCAGTCTGTCATCCTTTATATTTATGGTTTTCTGAGAAAACAGTCAAACTTTTAGGAATTACATGTGAGTTTCACTTTTTATTTAATTATTTATTTATTTATTGAGATGAGTCTCGCTCTCTCGCCCAGGCTGGAGTGCAGAGGCACCATCTCTGCTCACTGCAACCTCCACCTGCCAGGTTCAAGCGATTCTCCTGCCTCAACCTCCTGAGCAGCTGAGATTACAGGTGCACGCCACTACCCCCAGGTAATTTTTGTTTTTTGTAGAGACGGGGTTTCACCATGTTGGCCAGGCTGGTCTCGAACTCCTGGCCTTAAGTAATCTGCCCACCTTGGCCTCCCAAAGTGCTGGAATTACAGGCGTGAGCCACCGTGCCCAGCCTGCACTTTGTATTCTTTTGAGAGAATTAGCCTTTTTCTTGTAATGAGGCAAGAGGAGCAAATGTTCATAGCCTGTACTGTTTTAGAAATAGTAAATAATATCAAATAATCAAGCCACAATCTTTACTCTTTGATCAATTTTTGAGTTAAATAAAAATAAGGCTTTTTATAGTATATAATAAAACATATATATTTTATATACCTACATATATTTATATATTTCTAATATATAATGAAAAAGAAATTTAAAATGTAAGCTAGGGAAATATCATTGAAGAGGTTCATATACCAAGTAAAAACCACAAATGCTTTGACCTTACCATCATGAATATTTACCTTTTCATTCAATATTTGGATATCTGGTATCTTAATCTGCTTTAATCTTTCCAATGACAAGTTTCCTTTTGAGGTTAGTGTATCTAAGATGGTAAGTAAGTCATTCCTTGTATTTGCAGAGGTATTAATGGTGGAACTAGTTTCATTAATTTTCTTTTCAGCAGATGATGATATGTGATAATATTTCTTGATGTTTTCTGAGGAGTCTACGTCAATGCAAATTGAAGTAAGGTAAATTTTGTGAAAACAAATGAAATTATATATAAGTTATTAAGATAATCATTCTATAATTTGGCTACTGTCTTGGTCTCAACTATCACCATAAAATTTCAACATCTTCCTTGAATTTGCAATTGATGGGGGAAGGATTAGCTATAGTATAATAAATATGGATAGAATAGATACAGGGCATTGAGATTTAAGTCCACAGATGTGGTGTGAGTCCTGGCTTCACCCTTTACTGCCTGGGCATACCCTTGAGCAAATCAGTTCATCTCTTATATTTCATTTCTTCCTCTGTAAATTGGTGATAATAATTTGTGAGAATTGAGATAATATGAATATATTCTGTAAATAATTTCCACAAATATAAGATATTAACTATGAATACCTATATACACTCAAATATAATAAACCAACTAAATTTACTTAACCGTATAGAGCAGGAGTTGACAAACTTTTTCTGCAAAGGCCAAATAATTAACGTTTTAGGCTTTGCTGGCCATAGCATTTCTATTCCAACTACTCACCTCTGCCATTGTAGAGTGAAAGCAGCTACAGGCAGTATGTAAATAAAGAGGTGAGGTTGTGTTCCACTGAAGCAGTATTTACAAAGACAGGCTGTGGGCAGGATTCACCCTGATGCTGCGGTTTCCTGAACCCTGATGTTGAGGCTGCTAACAATAGCTAACAGCTAGTTGGGTGCTTTGTAGGTGCCTGTACTATACTTCCCATCAATTTTCTTCCTCAATCTTCACAAAACAGTGTGAAATGCACATTAGTATGATCATATTCATTTTCAAATAAGGAAACTGAGGCTCTATTGAGGAAACTTATTTGCCTAAGTTCTCATTGATAGTAAGAGATGAAGCCAGGATGTGAATCCAGGGTGTTTGACTCCAGAGCCTGTGTTCTTAAGCACTTCTCTACATTTTCTATGTTTGCATTATTAATACAAATTTGTGAAAGTAATAAGGTATGTATGGTATATTTTAATGTAAATTATAGTATATTAGGGGTTTAAACCATAACTCCATATTTTAGGAATCAGAGGCCCACGGTCCTGATCTGATCTTTACTCCCTATAGAACCATAATCCAGGCAGGAGACAACCACACCTTATCTTTCAAACTTTTCTGGTTCTATAAGACCATACTCTTAATGTATCATGCTTTTCACTTATCATGAAAAAAGTGTTCCTATTGCTTGGAATTAGTTTCTTCTTTCATTTTTATGGCAGATTTTCTCCTACCCTGTGGAGATAATTCAATTGCCACCTATTCCCTGAAGACTTTACTAATGAACCCAGGAAGGATTCCGTTTTTGCTACTCTGTTTTTGAAGCAGCTTGAAGATGCTCTAACAGTCTTAATGCTGTTTGCAGTGGTTTATATTCTTGTCCCCTGCCCCCATTAGACAGAAATAACTCAAAGGTAGGGACTTGCTGTAATGATCTGCCTGTTTCTACTGCACAATGTCAGGCATTGGAAAAAAGCCCAGTAACTGCTGTTGGACTGCAAATTTGAGAGGATTAGCATGGGGGCAGTTTCACTTTATTTTACCTGGCGTGGGGTGACCTCTGATGGATTTTGAGTTCTTTCAGTGGGAACTGTCTTCTAGATTAGGAATCAGAGTAGATTCCTTACTCATTACATGGCATTTATTGAACATCATCAATACATCTTTGCTAGAATTTGTTTCACTAAATTTAGGCATCCCTTTAGGGAAATTAGGTATTCCTACCTGCCTTCTATTTTTTTTTTCTCTTCTAGGTCAAAATCAGATAAAACACAGGAGTATATACATAGGACAATGAAAGCAGCCAAAGTTTTTTCCTGACATGGATTCATGTATATTTTCCATCTGTCTCTCAATTGGATGGCTTAGGTGTGAATAAACTCAGTGATGCTTCTCTCAGTAGTAACAGGTTGTCCATTTCCAAATATAACAGGGGTATGATCTTGAATAGGAGATGAACTAATCAAAAGTTTTGCTTTAGAGTTCCATTTCTCTTGCAAATTATCTTGGCTTAGGCATAGCTCACATTCAGTTTTAAGAACTATGCAATATGAGTTAAGGGTGTGTAGTATGTTGCATGACTCTCATTCTTACAAAGCTCTTATGAGAAATATTGTGGGGTTTTTTTTGCCTCACATTCCATTGCATTTATGGTCACTGAAAATGGAGTGGCCTATACCGAGAAAGGCATATAAACATGTCTCTCTCATTTGCTTATGGCCATATTAGAATTTCTAAGTTGTTGATTATTCAAGACCCCTTACATGGGTTTGGCACTAGATTACTTTGGGTGTTAGCATTTGTTTAATATCAGACATTGTTTACTTGTTATTTTTGAGTGAATGCTAGCCAGGCTCTGTGATGTTTAAAAAGTTGAAATATCCATGAACAAATAATACCTTTAATGGTTGTGTTTGCATGTTCTAAAGTGCTCAGGCACTATGGTGGTAAGCAGGGGACGACTCACTAATGGAATGCACTGTGGATTTCATCAAACTTTGTGCAGACACAGTCAAAAATACATTTTTCCCTTACCCGCAATGCTTGCATTAAGGACACTGGATTGCAAATCAATTTCTTCCTGAAGGTCTTCAAGTAAGAGGTCTGCTTCATTCTTTGCTCTTTCTATTGTATCTTTCAGATCTTGAAATTCATACACTGCTTTCAGTTGTTCATTTAGCTGCATGATTTGTCTTCTATAGAGGAAATAAGGGTAAATGTAGTTAAGCTTGTATTACATTTGATATATTGGTGAAAAAAATGCCACCAAAATTGCCCTCATTGTTAGGAATTCTTGATTAGAAGGGATTCCTTCTACTCGAGTTTTTCATTTGACGGTTTATAATTGTGTTTATGTCTCATCTCTTTCATCTTAATTCACCTTCCTGGACTATTGCAACATTCATTTAAAATATGGACAGCATACCAGGTCTAGTAGAATAAAGGCTCTCAAATCATTCCATTTTGACTGTTTATGCTCTGTCTTTCTTCGTTTTGGGTTTCAAAACATGCATTCAGACATGCTTCAATTAAATCAATCTAAGGGAGCTTTTGGCTTTCAACATATGGTAAAATAGAACCGTTTACTTAGCCTGGGGTCAAATCAGGTCTTCATTTAGAATCAATCTGCATTCAGCAAGGTTCTTTTTAGTGTAACTTCTGTTCAGGGTCCCAACTCTTATTTTCCATTAGTGACAGGGAGGTTTTCTTGCTGGTGAGTGTTCCCCTGGGTTTTTTTCCATCACCTTCTTCTTTGATGGGGTACACCTTTGTTGTGCTTCAATTTGCTGGGTTTAGCACCTACTGTTACTTCGAGGGGATAATGAACACATTCCTCATGATGGAGAAACTGTGCAAATCTTGAAGTGTACAGTTGGGGGAAGTTATAAAATGAATTTATGGGACTAATTTATCTTGGCACAATGGCAATGCTTCCTTCCATTTTCTTTTGTAACTCTCCCCTCTAATCTATAGACTCTTCCTTCAGGCTCCAATTGTCACAACTGCAATTCTTCAGGCTAACAATAATAACAATAAAAATAATGATAATTACTCTAATTGGGACTCCTTAAGCACTTACATATGCCGGACACTATGCTAAGTGATGGGTCTTGAGTAATTCTCACAAGAATCCTATGAAATCCAGACTTTCTCTCTTTTGATGAAGCAATTGAAGCTTGGAGGAGTTTAGTAGCTTGCCGAAAGCCACACATTTAGTAAGTGGATTTAAACCGGGTAGTTTGACTTCTGAATTTATGCTCATGACACCTGGGGTTCTTTGTCCTCCTGTTCCCCTTCCACCTGTAGTTTACCCAGCAACATTTTTTTTAATAGAACTACATGAGGCCTGGAGAAGACAAGCACGTGAGAAGGCAGGCCCTGTCCAGGGTGCCCCACAGCGAGGCAATGGCAAAGGAGCATAAAGAGGTGAGAAGATGGAGAAGGAAATACAGGCTTCTCTGTGAGGAAGTCAGGAAAGGCTTCAGGGAGGAGGTGATGTTTGTGTGGCTGTTAAAGAGAAGTAGGAGTTTGGCAGGTGGGCTAGGAGGGAACAGGCCTCTGGGCTGCTGGTTGAAGAAGCTCAGCAGCCACTGCTTTCTCCTCACTCCAGACCTGGGCTGGGCACTCCTCTTTCTCGCTCTTTCTCTCTGGCTCTGCCTGTGGCTCTTGCAGTCTCTGTCCAGAACGTCCATGGTGGATTGGCTCATTCTGCTTTCTTTGTGCTTTGTCCGACATTTTCCTAATGGTGTCTAACCACAAGCTTGTGGTCCATGGGCCAAAGCTCATTCTCAGACAAGTTTTCTTTGGGCTATACAGTAGGGCTTCTTACAAGTGCTATTGGATTAGCTGTATACATTTTGAAGTGGGGATAGTTCAGTAAAAATATGGATGTCTGACATCTCTTGAAAATTGAGGAGATCTGTTAACATAGGGGTCTAGATCTTGCAACGCAGAAGTTGTATTGCTTTTTTGTTTTTAGAGACAGGGTCTCATTCTATCATCCAGACTGGAGTGCAGTGGCACAATCATAGTTCACTGCAGCCTTGAACTCCTGAGCTCACATGATCCTTTTGCTATGTAGCCCAGGCTGGTCTCGAACTCCTGGCCTCAAGTGATCCTACTGCCTCAGCCTCCCAAAGTGCTGGGATTACAGGGGAAAGCCACTGTGCCCAGCCCAGAAGTCTTTAGAGAAGTATAGATGTGCCTGTTGTCACCTGCCAGCTTGACCCTGGCTGGCCATTTGTCCTCCCTGGGCCCTGTCACTGCATTTATGATGCAGTGGCCCTTTCCCTGAACTACCTAGGTGGGTGATACCTTCTTCCTTGTGCACCTTTTAAGCAATTATCATATATTTCTGGGATATTTCCCTATAGATAATGAGTTACCTTATATTTACACTCATGTTATATATGACATGAGCCTCTGCAGCTTCAACTATTCCTTAATCCAGGACCTTTTCTTGGGGAGGAAGGATATTTTGCTAGATAAGCACACTTTTGGAGTTCCTTAGCAGACTGTGTGCTTCTATGGGGGTAGAAACTATACCCAATTCATCCTGGTTTTGCCCTTAACAGGTTGGCAAACTTTGCCTTAGGAATCATAGCATCTCTGTCATAACTACTCAACTATGCCATTGTAGAGAGTGCAGCCACAGAGGAGGGGTAAATAAATGGGTGTGGCTGTGCTCCAAGGAAACTTTATTTACATAAACAAAGGCTGTGTCAGATTCCACCTGTGGGCTGTAGTTTGCTGAGCCGTGGCCCAAAACTATCAACATAATCTCAACAAATGGTTAAATTTTAAAAAAAGATTCAGTAATATGTAGTAAAAATGAGCTTGCATTTTCAAGAAATGACCATACTTGGTATAAGACTTCATATTAATGTATAGGCTTCTAAACAACTGAAGAACTTGGGAAGGTTTGGTAAATTTTCCCTAGGTGTATCATTGAAAAAAATATGTTGTTTTTGAAACTACCATACTTCCAATTTTATATCTTTCAGCTTTACTGAGTTTGGGCTTCCCCATTAATGACTGTCTTTTTGTTACAATCAATGGCATCTGGAAAAATCACATATAATCCTAACTAGGTGAGAAAAAAGTAGACATACATGATTTCCAGCTGTTTTTTTTTTTTTTTTGAGACAGAGTTTCACTCTTGTCGCCCAGGCTGCAGTGCAATGGCATGATCTTGGGTCACTGTAACCTTCGCCTCCTGGGTTCAAGCAATTCTCTTGCCTCAGCCTCCCAAGTAGTGGGGATTACAGGTACCTGCCACCATGCCTGGCTAATATTTGTATTTTTAGTAGAGAGGGGGTTTCTCCATGTTGGCCAGGCTGGTGTAGAACTCCTGACCTCAAGTGATCCACCCGCCTCAACCTCCCAAAGTGCTGGGATTACAAGCGTGAGCTATGGCGCCCGGCCCAGCCTGGTTATTAACTGAACAACTATCAGTCCCCTAAAGTCAACATAGGTACATTTCTAAATTGAAGGCTGACGATGTTAAAGCTTGGTGGGAGTTAAGGTAAATCAGGAGTTTGGCTGTCTGTTACTTGAGCATAAATCTTACCTAACAGAGTCATGATAATCCTTGACTTTTAAGAATTTCCCAGATGGGAAAACAGGATGTTTCAAAATCCTTTCTATTTCAGACACGTTCCCTCTGAGGTCTTTGAAGTCTGCCTCACAGACAGGCAGGGTCTCTCTTTTATCTTCCATGTTAGCAGCCAGTCTCATTAACCCTTGCACCGCTTTGGAGAGGGAAGAAATGGTGTGGTCCCACTGATCAAAGCACAAGTGACATTGAAGACAAGTAGGGAATTCCTGGCTGTGTCCCCGGGCACAGCGATCACATCTCTGGCCGCTGACACCCTCCCGGCAGCGGCACATGCCTGTGTCTGGATCACAGATGGGCTTCTGGGTACCTGCCCTGTTACAATCACATGCTAAAAAGGAAAACAGAAGGAGCAGAGAATGTCACTGGGCCTTTTGTTGATGACTAACTCAAGAATCAGGTCTTTTCCTCTCTCCTGAAAATCTTCCCAACTCACACTTCTAAGATGAATATTTAAAGCCAATATAATTTCAGAGATCTGTGCAATAGCCATTATAAGACAGCATGGCTCTCTATATTCCACTAAGAAATCAGTTTACTATTTCAATTTGGCAAATATCAGACGTTTTTATTGTGTGAGTGCAAGCATCTACAAGTGGGATCCTCATCTATTTGAGTAAGAAGTATGATTTAATGATGGACACACGATAGTAACTCTGCTGTTACAGCCTCCGAGGGTGGTTCAGGTGTGTCGAGACTCTCTAAGAAGTCCCATGGTCACACTTCTTCTGAGTAAAGCCCAGCTTGGGTGTGATGACCACGCTGTCTTCCATTACATAAGGAAAACAATTTCATTTTCCAAAAAGGAGGGGAAATTAAATTCATTTTGTCTTAATTTAAAAAAATTACTGACTCCACACGGTACTTTCTTTGAGTAGGTTTCTGACCAAGCCTGAAGATAGAGGATAGGGAGATCTATTGATCTTACTGCAATTTCCAAAAGGTTAGGGAATCACTAGCCTATGTTTTTGGACCAACTGCAAGGAACAAGTAATTTAAAAATGCATTTGAGGCTGGGTGCAGTGGCTCATGCCTGTAATCCCAGCACTTTGGGAGGCTAAGGCAGGTGGATTGTTTGAGCCCAGGAGTTCGAGACCAGCATGAGCAACATGGTGAAACCCTATCTCTACAAAAAATACAAAAATTAGCCAGGTGTGGTGGCATACACATGTATTCCCAGCTACTCTGGAGGCTGAGGTGGGAGGATCACCTGAGCCCAGGGAGGCTGAAGCTGCAGTGAGCTGTGATCATGCCACTGCACTCCAGCACAGGCAACCAGAGTGAGACCCTGTCTCAAAAAAAAAAAAAAAAAAAGCATTTGTCAGTTTATGTAAAAATAATGCCAATTACAAATAAAAACTAGTTAACACACTAGGGCTCTTCAGCTAGTTCATCTGTCCAGCACATTGGCCTTGGTCCAGAGGGGTGGTGTCATGTCACTTCATCACCTGGAGGCCATTTCCCATCCTTAGCCGCTCTTCCCCAGGAGATTTAGTGGGGTCTGTGGCCTGACTTGATTATTTGCAGTTTCTTCTACTGCTTCTCTATAAAAGATGAAAGCATTTTTATGAAATAAGATTATCAAAATAGTAGACGGACACAGGGAAATAGGCTCTAAGATAGATTTTCCAAGAGCCAAAGTTTCACCCTGGGTTTTAACCCAGCAATTCCACTTAGAAAACTGAATAAGTGGGGCCCAGAGAAAATCATTCAGAATGTGCATTTGAATGGGGCAAGGGAATGAGCAATATTTTTTAGCCACAAGGGCACATTTATAAAGGAATGGAGAGGAGGAAAGAGTTGCCATGCGTGGCTATGTATGGCTGACCATGGTGATAAGCCCATGATACCTGATATTTCTTTGGATTTTCTTCTTTTGGAAGCTGACTGTTCCATTTGTAATGAGTTTGAGGAATTTTAAGACAGGCTACGAATTTTAATATAGGCTAAATTTTTAACATAGGAGGAAAATAATCTTTTTGCAGGGCTATAGGAAGATTATTTTCAAAATGTAGAATTAAACTTTGTGAGTTTTCTAAGTCCACCTTATTAAAAGCACCAAAAAAAGAAATTTAAAATTCAGTTGGTTCATAGCATGTCCATGGTAGGGCCAGGCTGACTGTACGCATGAGTTTTTAGAAATCCCAATACTTACGAATGCATCGCCCAGGTGGATCACCATAATAATTTTCCTGGCACTCACTGCAACGTTTCCCGCCGTAACCTAATTTACACGGACACTGGCCTGTAAGCTGTGAGAACAGTCATGGGTGAGGAATTGACAAGTTTTATGGTCTAAAAAAAAATGCATTTTAATAGGAAATATTTTCCCCTCCAGTGAATTAGAACATACAGCTGTGCAAAGGCGGAGGAAGGATGATTCCCATGTCCAGCAGCCACCCCCGACAATACCAAGGATCAGGAGTTAATGTGCTTTGGCCTAAAGCTCCTGAATATATCGCCTGCTTCCAGCTGTTCAGGGACAGGTGGCCCAAACTGGGAAACATACACAGATGTAAATGAAAACAAAACACATAATGGGAAATGGGCCAGATTATTTTCCTCAACTGTTATGGGAGTTCCTCCATAAGTGAGTGAGGCCAAAGACCTGGTCTAACATTCATCAGTTAATGTGTCAAGTAATGTTTTCATTATGGAATGTATGATGTAGTTTTCACCAACTGGATTAGCGTTTTGCTCAAAAAAACATCTTTTTTTTGTACTTCAGGCTTAATGATTTAATGAGAGTTACTTAACTGTGTTTTTCAGAGAGGGCTGAACTTTTCTTTACCCTCCCAACTGAACTCTTGACCAGCTTTTCTGAAAACTGAGGAGGTTGGAAAATTAACAGGAGAAAATATAAAAGCAAATCACTATTGTTGTAGTCCTAAATTAGCTGCTTAAACAACAACTCCGTAAGTTTCCTGTGAATAAGTGGCTAGATTCTTAGAGTGACTGGATCTGCCACTTTTCTTTCCTTTTCTTTTCTTTTATTTTGAGACGGAGTCTCGCTCTGTTGCCCAGGCTGTACGGCAGTGGTGCAACCTCAGCTCACTGCAACCTCTGCCTCCCAGGTTCAAGTGATTACTCCCATCTCAACCTCCCAAGTAGCTGGGACTACAGGTGTGCACCACCACACCCGGCAATTTTTTGTATTTTTAATACAGATGAGGTTTCACCATGTTGGCCAGGCTGGTCTCGAACTCCTGACCTCAAGCGACCCACCTGCCTCAGCCTCCCAAAGTGCTGGGATTACCCACACCTGGCCTGGATCTGCCACGTTTCAATATCTTTGCAGTTCCTGCCAGCTTCTGCTCAAATATAAGGAGTTAGGTGGTGCTTGTTGCCCCGAGGCCTGTCGTACTGCTGATTGACCCAATTGTTGGGCAGTGCTTTCTTATACCGAAGTACAATCTGCCACTTTTTTTTTTTTTTTTTTTTTTTTTTGAGATGGAGTCTTGCTCAGTCGCCCAAGCTGGAGTGCAGTGGCGTGATCTCCACTCACTACGAGCTCCACCTCCCGGGTTCACACCATTCTCCTGCCTCAGCCTCCCGAGTAGCTGGGACTACAGGCACCCACCACCATGCCTGGCTAATTTTTTTGTATTTTTAGTAGAGACGGGGTTGAATCTGCCACCTTTTAACTTGTTCCCATTGTTATGTGTCCTTACGAAATTGCACAAACCAGTTTGCAATTGCCTCTTTCCCCTTACAGTCCTTCTCCCAACTAGAGATGGCCATCCCAACCTGCCTTGGCTTCTTTTCTTCAGGCCCATCACCTCTAATTCTCTCTAGCCTTCATCACGGAATAGCATAGTTCTGTCCATTATCTTGGTTGTCTCCCTTTGGGCACGTACTAGTCTGTCAGTATAATGTTTAAAATATGGTGCTCAGAAATGACAACAATGCTCCTGGCACCACCAGGCCAGTAGAACAGATAATGGGACAGTAACTGCCCTTAACCTGGGCACAGCACCCCCCTACTCCAGCCTGTTCAGGCGTCGCTTCTTTGGCAGCCCTGCCACACTGCTGGCTCACTGAAGCCTGCACGCAATGAAAATCCTCAGATTTTTCTCACAAGAGCTGTGCCAAGTTATTACTCCCACCCCGTATTTATGCAAGGGATTTAAAAAACCCAATTGCAAAACTTTACTTTTAACCTGTTAACATTTCATCTCCTTGTTTCCAGCCTGCATGACAGCCTATTGGGATATCTTGTTCTGTCTTTATCATATTAGCTTACGGCTTTGTAATATCTGCAAATTTGGGAAGCATGTTTCTCCAACTCCATCTAAAGTGTTGATGAAAATATTGGATGGCACATTTGGATCTCTCTGTGGGAATGTACCAGGAACCACCTCTTGGCTAACATAGAGACATCTATCAGTAGTTGTTTAAACAGCTGGGAATCTAAATATCCACGTCTTCCCCGTACTCCAGTGAACATGTTTCTTGATTGCAGAGACCAGTGTTCCCCCATGGGATCCCCTATGCACCAAATAACCCAAAGGACCCTTGTTATGAGGGGCTTCCTGGTTAAACCAATACCATCTAACTTTCAGCTTCAAGGCTACCTTGGAACTGTGGTTTTTGTTGAATGCTGCTACAAACATGCTTCCCAAAAGGTCTAAGAAACTTGCCACATAGTGTTGTCTTGAGCACTAGGAGTCCCTCAAGAATTGGGAAGCCAGGTGGTCACGTGGAGATCTACCACTTTATTCCATGGTTGGTGGCTGCAGGTGTGGGGAGTGGAGGGGAGCTTATAAAACAGGCATGACCATCCAGTGTCCAGATCTTGGTTTCTAATACCATTCTCTAGTAAAGGAATCAGTGCTCCCTAGATAAATAGCTGATTCTAGGACTGGGGCAGAGAATACATAAGATGAGCCTGAAATATTTTGCAGTGCCAGAAAGTAAGGAATGCTTTTAAAAACTCTACAGTATTGGCCTATGTCAAAGGGACACAGGAGCCACTGAGAGATCTTCTAGTGACCAAAGCTGGAACAATTTGAACCACAAAATAAAGTAGTGTTGGACTATCCCCAAAAGTATAAATATCCATGAGTCCATGCTGATATAAATAAATGGTCGAATGAATGAATAAACGTAAGACAACAGACAAATCTCCAGTGCAGAAGAATTCCAATGATTTGTGGAGATACTCTGTCCTCGAGGAGGAAGAGCATAGCTCCCTACTCCTTAAGTAGGTTGCACATAGTGACTTCCTTCCGTAGAGCACAGTAGAAGAAGGAGGAAAAAGAGTAACTTGATGATATAACAGTCTGACAAACACTGCTTCAGCCAGGTGACCAAGACTGACATTAACAGGGATAAGTCGTGTTAATAATATGTACCCCTGATAGGATGTGATGAGAGTGGCACTTGACTTCTCTGGTGTTTTCGGAACCTATAAACCCAGTCTAATCATGAGAAGAATATCAGATCAATTTGAATTGATGGACATTCTACAAAATAAGGAAGGCCTGAGAAACTGTCGCAGCCAAGAGGAGCCTCAGGAAATAAGATGACTAAATATAATGTGTTCTGAATGGACTCCTGGAACAGAAAAAGGACATTAGGTAAAAATTAAGGAAATCTGACTAAATTTGTTAGCAATAATGTATCAATATTCATGCATAGTGACAAATGTTATTAAATTAATATAAGGTGTTAATAATAGAAGAAACTGGATATGGGGTTTATTTTCTCTGTTCTCTCTTTACAACTTCACAAATATATTCTAAAATAAAAAGCTTATTTTTAAAAAGGTATGTTGTGGGGGCTGGGCGTCGTGGCTCACACCTGTAATCTTAGCAATCTGAGAGGCTGAGGTGGGCGGATCACTTGAGATCAGGAGTTTGAAACCAGCCTGGCCAACATGGTGAAACCCTGTCTCTACTAAGAATACAAAAATTAGCTGGGCGTGGTGGTGGGCGCCTGTAATCCCATCTACTCAGGAGGCTGACGCAGGAGAATCGCTTGAACCCAGGAGGCAGAGGTTGCAGTGAGCCAAGATCATACCACTGCCCTCAGGCCTGGGCAACAGAGCAAGACTCTTGTCTCAAAAAAAAAAAAAAAAAAAAGATATGGTGTTTGTGTGTGTTGGTGGATGAGGATTGGAGAGAAAGAAAAAGAAGAGAAGGAAAAACCCATTCTCCATATAAGAACTACCTTCAAAAGACTTGACCTTTGAATAATAGGTTGAATAGTGGAGCTGAAATTGGAGGTGAGCCATGCTTACTAATTGGAAAGACTCCAGTTTCTTAAATTCGCATTTTCATTCCAATTAAATCCTGATCCCTATATTGTGAATTTGGCTTTTTCTAACATTTCTTGTCATTGTTTTTACCCTTTCTCCCCCAAACTCTATTAATGTGAAAATTGTTTCAAAGAATAGATTAAGCCAAAAGACAAAAACAAAACAACCACCAAAAAAACTAAGCATGTTATTAACAAATAGTTTTTTTCCCACAAGTAATGTTATCCTCATTAAAAATTCTGTGCCCACTGGTTTATTGACTGAAAAATCACACGTGCATCTATCTATGTAGTATTAGTTGTATATGAAACATTGAAGATTTGCTCCTGGTACACATGCCTACATTCTTAAGATATGATTGATGCCAGTCTGGAAGTCAAGAAGACTTCTTATTTTACCCATATGTAAAGCAATTGGTGAGCAATAGGAAACAACAGCTCAGTTTTTTTAATGGACTTGTGGGTTTTGAAGGTATCTGTTTATTTTCATTCTGATTCATAATCTCTTCTGATTAACTATTTCTTAGGTCTTCCCTATGGTTACATGTATGAAATAGTGAAAGGTGAGGCTGATGTCTGTGTTTCACTGTGTATGAATTCTGACTTCCTCAGTCACAGAGAGAAAACTGAAGTAGGCGAAGCTGAACTTTGAGATGCTCATTCTCTTTTTTTGGTTTTCATTCCTTGATAGAGGCTGACTCCATCCCCTGTAAGGCCAATCCTGTTTCAATGCACTAATTAACAACAGTACATAAAAGAAACTTTCTTTACACATTTAGAAACCATGTCTCACTATCATGCTCACTTTGAGTGCACTAGTAAGCTTTAAAGTATCTTGCCTGGTCACAGTGGCTACTTTGAGAGGTCCTAGGGTCACAGTCACATGACTGACATCCTCTGCCAGGGACCAGATTCCAGTATCCATCAGCACAACGGTCACAGGCCAGGCCTGTGACATTCGGCAGACAAGGACATGCACCAGTGACAGGGTCACAGAGGCAAGCTCCCCCACCAGGGGGACACTCCATGGGACTCACGCCGGAAGCATGGCAGGAGCATCCTGTGATGACAAAACCATCATCAGAGGTAAATTCAATGATAAATGTGGCATTTAGCAAACCATACAAACAGCGTTTTAGACCTGGATGTATCATTTCTCCAAGGGGCTCAAAGAATGAACGCCTTATAATAGTAAAGAATTTACCAAAGAATCTATGTAGGTTGAACCCATTTAATGGTTTCTGATCTCCCCAAATGCAAGTTCATGTGGTCGAACTTGCTCCAAGAGCTCACAGTTAGGATGATTAAAAGTCTTATTTTTCCCTCATGTCACTCACCAAAGTTCCATTTATTTAAATGACTTGAAAACAATGGTTTACGTACACATTACAGTCACATGATGAGTTTGTTACAATGCAGATTCCTGGGCGTCACTCCCAGAGATTCTGACTCAGTAGGTCTGAAGTACAGCCTAGGAATTTGCATGTTAATACACCTCACCTCCCCACTGCTCTGGCACAGGTGAACTGCGGACTAAACTCTGAGAAACAACGCTTTGAATCCACTAGGACAGGTATTTCAGGCAACAGACACAAAAGGCAAACTAATAACACCAGTGAGAACATTGTGGCTGCATCTGAGAATACCAGTGGTTGCAATGCACTAATTTCTGTTGATGAGTTCCGTACAACAGCCCTGTCACCTAGTGGGTGCTGCTTTTGCCTGCTGGGACTGGCCTAACTGAAATGATCATGGGAGAGCTGACAACACACTTATGAGCTGTCACTCAGCTGACACATTTCCCCCTGGGAGTTTTGCAGACTTACTTCTGCAGGTCTGATTGAGGGCTGATCCATAGTGACCTGGTTTGCAGAGCTGGCAGTTTGCGCCCTGAGTGTTGTGCAAACATCGAAGGCACTCCCCTGTTACCCGGCTGCAGGACTCTGGATCGGTTACATCTATGTTGTTGTTGCAGGCACATGGTTGGCAAGGTGCTCCTGAAATTCTTGGATTTCCATAGAAACCAGTAGAGCATTCTCCACACTGAGTACCTGAAAGAAAGTGGGAGGAAAAGGAATGGGGTGAGGTATCAGTGTTGGGAGAGAGGAGGAGATGGATGTTGTAAATAGAAAATTATTGGGCTCCTCTAGGAATAATGAGAAATCACACATTCGGGGTGAATAACGAAAAGTGTTCTAAGTGAAACAAAACCTTCATTTTCATTATTATTCATTTAAAGAATAAAATGATTATTCGGCTCTCTAAAGTGTTTGGTGGAGAATGGATTCCAGGCTTTCTTCAAATACCATGGAGCTGTGGGCACAGGATTTCTAGATCCTTATATAATCAGCATCACACTAGCGTGCCCCAGGACCCAAGACTAATCTCAGCCCCTGGTCTCCTGGGGCAACCCACTCTCAGTTGATCCTAGAGGTGAACTAAGGTGAAAATAAAGCAGGCCTGAAGAGAAAGTCCCAAACAGCAATAGCTGTCACTTCTAGAAGTGAAGATGAGCAAGAGCAGTTTTCATGACATATGAGCCCTTGAGGGTGTTTCTGTTAAGCAGTCTGAAGGAACCACCTTTCTCTCTAACACTCTTTACCCTTGCAACCATGAGATGACTGCGGCTTTTTAGGTGCCCAAACTGTGGCTCCACTCTCCACATTTTGGTTCATCCCACTTGGAAATGTTCACTTAGCCCAAACATGGTCTCAGTTCTTAAAAACTGACCAAACATACCAAACCATGCATTGGGAAAGAGGCTGCAAGGGAAGAGGTGAGAATTAACTGTTAACCTTAGATGTAACAAATGAGGGGAAAATCAGGCATGTAATTTATCGTGATGGTAATTATCATTAGTATTGCCATAAGTTCTACATATCATTAAATCAAATAGACTTCATAAGTTATCTTCTTATTTTCAGTAAACATTCACACTCATGTTTCATGTGTAAATACCTTTTTTTTTTTTTTTTTAATTTAGAGACAGGGTCTTGCTCTGTTGCATAGGCCCCAGGCTGGAGTGTAGTGGCATAATCAGAGCTCACTGTAGCCATGAACTCCTGGGCTCAAGCGATCCTCTTGCCTCAGCCTCCCCAGTACCTAGGGCTACAGGTGCAATCCATCATGCCTAGCTAATTTTTAAAATTTCTCTGTGGAGACAGGGTCTTGCTTTGCGGCCCAGGCTGGTCTTGGATTCCTGGCCTCAAGTAATCCTCCCTCACCCACTTCCCGGCCTTCCAAAGTACTGGGATTACAGGTGTGAGCCACTGTGCCTAGCCCTCTTAAAGTCTTTAAAATAAAATTTTCAATTGAGCAAGAGATACATGTTTTGAATTAAGACTTATGTGATGGCTGTAGAATGCCCAAATATTGCTTCAAGCTACCTGAAAAAAATTAGTAATGTCTGTGAAATATCAAATTGAATATTTGAAATTATGTAAAGAAAGCATTTGACTAATTCCATTTATTTTTTAGTTGCTTGTTATATATAATATATATGCTACTTTATCACATTTATATCTTACTTAACGTGATAATTTTATTTTAAATAAATTAACTTGATTTGGTCTCATTTGGTCAATTAGTTTTCTAGAACATTATTTGCAAACAATCATAGCTCAGTGGCTGATGAGTTTTAATTGTCATTGGTTTGTGAATCATTCAAATTCTTTGTTCAATAAAGCAGCTATTTATCACATTGTGTCTTCTTACCATTTCTGCACCACACATTTGTCCAAGACAGATAAGTCATGAATATATGATCATTTTACAGATTACAGTGTGGGATAAAGAGAAAAAATTGCATCAAGCACTATACTGCATACCCGTATAACCTTGAAGACAATTGCAGATTACATCTGAGCTCCACAGATTCTGATAACAGGAATGGGCAAAATACTGATTGCTTGAGGGATCATCTGGACACAGGCAAGGACGACAGGGCTGTCCTGAAGAAGGATTTCCATAGTAACCATCAATACACCTGTCAAGACAATTTCCTTTCACCAAAATGTTTCCAGGAAAAGATCACATGTTAGCCAATGACGGTTTGCTATGCTTTAAAACAGTGCACCTCTGAAAACTGAATATTTTAGAAGATGTTCATTTGCTCTGCAAAACGACTTTTGGTTTTTATATCAAAAGTCTCAACGTATGGTCAATTAAACTCTATGTAATAGCACTCGATTTACATGTCACATTTGAGGAACATAGAAAGTAACATGCCAGGCAAATGTGTGTTATTGATTTAATCCTGCATTTTCTGGCTCGTAAGATGATTTTGAAGGGTGAGAAAGCAATGCTCTCCCCGACCTATAACAGTCCTCCCTCCCACACTTAAATATTGTTGAGTCTCTACTCAATGGATCTCTATTAGGAGATTGGAACAAAGTGTTAAAGACCTAAAAATTAAAGTGCATATGAATTCCATACCTTTCACAGTTTCTGCCAGTTGTAAAGCCTCCACAATTGAAGCATGACCCTGTCTCAGGATCACAAAGTTCAGCAAACCTATTACAAGGGCAAGGGTGGCAGCTGGGAAATCCAAAGTAGCCTGCCAGGCAGCGATCACAGCGGCGGCCAGACACCTCTCCATGGCAGGGGCACTGTCCTGTTACTTGGTCACATACAGTGTCCTTTGATCCTTGAGGATGGCAGTGACATGCTGGATGAAGCAAAGAGAAGTATGCTGGAGCGGGGATGAGTGGTGTGTGGTGGTGAAAGAGTTACAGTTCTGGTGTCTCATTTCCTTTCCCAATCCCAGTGAACTAAGCAAGCCTGTAACGTGCTTAGGACACAGCATATAATGAGTTCCAGGTAAACGTTAAATAACAATTCACTGAGTCACTGGATAAACAGTATGTTGCGAACAATTGGGTTTAATTAACGTTTGTTGTTAAAAACAAGTAACATGTTTTTAACGACTTAAACTTCCATATATCTTAGGTATATTAATATAACCTCTAGTATTAATATTTTAGTATTAATATAGTATATATAAATACTATACTAAAATAATGGTATAGTATTAATATAATCTCTAGATTATAAACCATATAAGAGCCCATCTTAACATGGTCAGAGTTTTCTTTTTCCTAGACAAGATGGAAGAGGCCCAATCCTTTTCTGATAAATTGTTGAATCCCTTGAGCCAATCTTCCCTGTGCCAAAATGTGATGCCAGTTTATGTGATAGGGTGGCGCATGGAAGAAATGTTTGTTCCTTTGTCTAGATCCCTCTGTGTATCTCAGGCATTTTGTAACTTTTCTTAAAAAAAAGAAAAGAAAAGAAAGCAATGATGGATCCAATGATGGGCTGGGTAGGTGGCCATGCCCAAGCAATGCCCAGGAAGGGGAACCATTTCTCTGGATTATGATTGAAAAGATATGTTTCCCTACTTGGAAAGGAAATTAACCTACCTGTAGGTTTTCATGGTTCCTAAGGTAGGAATCTGAGGGAACAGTATTTTCACTAATGATTTACACTGTGAAGAGAGAACTATATACCTGAACATATTAGCCATGAGAGCTGTATTATCAGCTGTGGATGAAGCCCCATCTAAACCTTTATCAATGGGTGACTTATAAAATGAGTTACAAGGCTGTTTGCAAACCTCGCATCAGAAAGGGTGATATCCTCATTGGGAGAAGTCTTGTCTGTGGTGACAGCATTGTCCCTTTCTTGACTCCCCAATCTTATCATTGTTTTAGCCTTTCCAGCCACTGGGTTTGTGAGCTAGATCCTCAAGCTGGCTTTGCCAGCTCCCTTCATGGTGTTCCACGTTTTAACTGAACTACCAACCATTTGACACAGACTGCAAACTTCCAGAGGCATGGACTATGCCTTGTTCATTACTCTCGGTTCCTAATGCAGCTCTGCCTACAGTCAGGGCCCATTGATGAATGGATGAATGAAGTGTAGCAAAAAAATGTTCAGTATATTTTATGTACATAGATAGTCTGAATAATGTAGTCAGGTTTCCAATCTCCTTCCCATTAAAACCCCCCTCCATGACTTTGCCTGCTGTCAAAATGTCAAGACTGTGAGCAAGTGTTTCCCCTTGTGTGTTTTGCTACGTACGGTGACAGCCGTGATGCCCCAAATCATAGCTTCCAGTTGAGCACCTGTCACAGCAGCGCCCGACCACAAGAGGTTTACACTGGCACTGGCCTCCAAGTCGGCTGCAGCTGGATCCGACTGAGCCCTGGGGGTGACACTTGCAGGCTGCAAGGAACAATGGAAGGGAGGTAGAAATGAATGAAGAGGCAGAGAAGCACCTCACCTTGTTAGTAGCTATAGTTCACCTCTCTCTCATTTAAGACCTCTTTAATACTCAACTCCCTCATCTGTTAAATAGGAATAATATAGAATCTGCCTTGTGGGATTGTTGTATGGATAAAAGGAAATAAGTTCTGCGAAGTAGTTAGAATAGTGCTGGTACATAGGGTGCTCAATAAACATTACTTAACAAGTTAACAGACTTAAAATTGGTTTTAAATAATTATTCTAATGTAATTAATACTATTGGCATTCTTAATACTTCAATTCCTGATGTTCTACATTGGTGCTGAATTATACCTACTACTTTATTTTTTAGAGACAAGGTCTCACTCTGTTACTCAGGCTGGAGTGGTGTGATCATAGCTCACTGTAGCCTTGAATTCCTGGGCTTAAGCAATCCTCCTGCCTCAGCATCCCAAGTAGCTAGGGCTACAGGTGTCTGCCACCATACCCCTTACTAGTGTTTTGTTTGTTTGTTTGTTTGTTTGTTTTTCTGAGACTGAATCTCATTCTATGGCCCAGGCTGGAGTGCAGTAGTGTGATCTTGGCTCACTGCAACCTCCGCCTTCCCAGTTCAAGTGATTTTCATGCCTCAGCCTCCCGAGTAGCTGGGATTACAGTCACGTGCCATCACACCTGGCTAATTTTTAGTAAAGATGGTGTTTCACCATTTTGGCCAGGCTGGTCTCGAACTCCTGACCTCAAGCAATCCACCTGCCTCAGCCTCCCAAAGTGCTGGGATTACAGGTGTGACCCACCATGCCCGGTCCCCCTTACTAGTTTTTTATTTCCCCCTATTCCATATATTTCATGACATGGTGGGTACCCTGAACTCATAGCTCTGTCCTAATGGAAAAAGCATTTGCCTAACATTCAGGAAGCCTCGGCTGTCATTGTAGCTGTCACTCTATAGCCATGCTTCTCAACTGAAGGATGATTTTGTCCCTTAGGTGACATTTGACAAAGTTTGGAGACATTTTTGGATGTCACAACTAGGGGAGGGCAGTACCGGTATAGGATCTGCAGGGCTGCTGCTAAACACCTGATAGTGCATGGGGCAGGCCCCCGCAGCAAAGAATTACCCAGCTCAAAATTTCAGTAGTGCTGAGGGAGAAAAGCCCTTCCATAGCTAAATGAAATGGGCAAGTTACATACAGATTTTGGGCCCCAATATGCTCATTTATTAAATGAATATTTTGGGATGAAAGATGTCTGGAGTTCCTTCCAGCCCTAGAATTCCAAATGAATATTTTAGGATCATTGTTCCAGCCATCTAGCCTATAAATGCTGCTGCAAAGTTCCTCTTTTATACACTCAATGTACTGTGCATTATGATTCCAACACATCAGCAGACCACTCTGTGTATCTAATCATTGAGTGATGGGTATTTTGGTTGTTGTTTGGAGTGGATGCTAACATAAATTGATTTGCTCCAAAAAGCATTTGTATGGATGTCAGTGCCTCAGTAGAGCCCATTAAACAGATACTTACCCACAGCCCCATCATGCAGCTTGGCAGACATGCTGATGATCAGCCTTTCACAGGCACCCGGGAGCACTTGAGGTCCCATTGCTGAGGCAATTTCAACACAGTTGTGAAGCTGATACTCATCTAAGTCCTGCTTGCTGCAGAAATTCTCCAATGAATTGATTTGGGGAATAAGGCCAAGCTTTTGAAAGAATGCAAAAAGACTTAACATTCAAACTATCTGCTGTGTACGATTCTACTTACATATAAAAAAATTAGATCTATGAAAATAATGGTTCAAAGAAGACTCAACTCAATCCTTTAAACTGGTTAAGACTGAAGACTTTAAAGATTTTCAATTTATTTAAGAAATCTTTAAATATTTATATTTCTGGACTTGTGGCTAAGAAAAAAAAAGCCTTTATCTTTCTACTATCATATTTTTTACTTGCTAATATGTTTGTCTAGATTTGAAAGAGTAATAACATCAAGTTGGTCATTTTGAACAACTCGTGTTAAAAGCAGCAGTGAAAATGGGTTTTAATTCAGCAGGTAAAGTCTGGAGACTAAACCTGTGCAGATACATCTCCTCTAGTCTTCTTTTTGCTTTATCTGTCCTGAAACCAGTTTCCATAGCCCTTTACTTCAACCCTCTTCAGTCTTTCCCTAGTTGTCCTTTGACACACCCAGCTGGTGGCATCACAACCCTAGATGACCAGAACTGACGCTTGAACAACACAGGTTTGAACTGCATGGGTCCCTTCTATGTGGATTTTCTTCCGCCTGCACTACTCCAAGACAGCAAGGCCAAGCCCTCCTCTTCCTCCTCCTCCTCAGCCTACTCAGCGTGAAGATGAAGAGGATGAAGACCTTTGTGATGATCCACTTCCACTTAATGAATATAAACATATTTTCTCTTCCTTGTATTTTCTTAATAACATATTCTTTTCTCTAGTTTACTTTATTGTAGGATACAGTATATCCTACATATACAAAATATATATTAATTGGCTGTATGTTATTGGTAAGGCTTTCAGTCAACAGTGGGTGATTAGTAGTTAAGTTTTTGGGGAGTAAAAAATCATATGTAGGTTTTTGACTGCATGGGGGTGTTGACACCCCTAACCCCCAAATTGTTCAAAAGTCATCTGTATTTACCAGTGTCTCCTCTTTCTGCTGTACTCTGAGCATATGTCGTTACCTCCTTACTACACAGAGGAAACAGACCCCAGCAAAAGGCCTGGAGCTTCCTACTACCTGCCTCCCAAATTCCAGGCTCTCGAGTCTTACCACCCATCCGGAACATTTAGTGCTCAAGAAGGAAGAGGTATTGGGAGTGGAAGAAGTGTCCCATTGGTAACTCCTCTAACCTTACAAAACTCTTCTGCATATTATGTTTGCTTTCTTCACTCTCTTCCTCTCAACTCACATTTAAATGTGCTCAAGTCTCTCCCATCTATAAAATCACCTCCTCAATCGTACATATTCCTCTTGCCACTGCCCCTGTCTCTGCCCTTTGACTCCTTGATAGGCAAATTTCTTAAAAAAATCATTTCCTTGTCATCACCCCTGCCTCATCTGCCATTCACCCTTCAAGCCAATGCAATACTTCTCCCCTATCCCATCCCTAAATGTTAGAGTTCCTCAGGGTTCTCTCATCAGCACCCCCCTAACTCCACACCTACTTCCTAGGTGATCTTGGCCACACTGGGCCACCATCTGAATGGGTGCCAGCATCTGAATTTACATCTCCTGTGCACCTGTCAGTCGTGGGCTCCAGATCTGCACTGATATCTAACGCCTATTAGTTGCCCCACAGGCACTGCAAAACAAACATGCCTGAACCCCACTTTCCTTTCTGTGCTTACTCTTGGTAGACAATGCCACTATCTGTCAAGCTGCTCAGTGGAGAAAACTGAAGGAGGTCATCTTTGACACTTGCCTCTTTGCTATCAACACTTTTGCCTAACGCACATCCCACACACATCAAATCACAAGCCTGGCCAATTCCTCCTCTTAGATGTGTCTAGGGTGCATTTATGGTTCTTTGTTCCCCTGCCACTTCCCTAATTCAGGCCACCTGGATGATTACAGTGGCAGCTGAACAGATGGCCCAGCATCCACTCTTGCCACACCCAATTCATTTTCTACACTAAAGTCAGAGTGATCTTTTTAAATGCAGTTTGTCCAGATAATCTCCTTCTTAAAACTTTTCAGTGGCTTCCCATTGCCTCAGGATAAAAATCTGAACTTTTTTTTTTTTTTCATTTTGCTATGCTCCTCCTGCTCATCCTCTCAACCCCATGGTCCTCAATATGGGAGGTACTGCCCCTCTAGGGAGCATTTTGGAAATTTGTGGAGGTGGTTTTAGTTGTCACAGCAATAGAGTGATGTTTATTACAGGCATTTAGAAGGTTGCAGTCAGAAACGTGGGACATTCTCACAAAATGGCCCTTATAGCTTTTGAAAGTTCCATTGGATATTCATGAAGGAGAAAACCCTGTTTATAGTTTGAGTCGAGAGCCTAACTCTATGTTTTTGAAACATGTTTACAACACACCTGCTTTCATGGCTCTCTCCATGAAAGCAGTGATTCTACCTATGTGAGCCATCTTCCTACTTCATTGTGTCTTCTGGTGTATTCATGCCTGTACATGTACGCATTGAAGTCTGATGATTTATTTATCCATACTTTCCTTTTGTTTTTCCTTTGTATTAATATTAGCATATTACATTGATGTTATTTGGAAGTCATGTATGCAGATAGGCTATAGTGCCTATGAATTTCATTTCAGGATGGTAAGGAATATTAGAAAATATTTGTAATAAAAATATTTTTAAAAGTTAAAAAAGGGGGCATGGGATTGGGTCAGATGAGGCTGAGAACCACTGCGAGAGTCATGCTGAGCTTTTTGGGTCTGTGCCCTGTCACGGTTCCCAGGACCTCTAACCCCATGCTCTCATTGCTTGCTTCTCTGCATCTCCCCTTTAGAGAATAAGAACCGGGGTGGCAGGGATAGTACATGTCTTGTTTACACCTATGCCTACCACAGTGTCTAATTTATAGTAGGCGCTTCATAGAAATTTGTTCAGTAAAGAATATTTACAGGTCTACTACTGTATTCTTAAGTTGATATGAAAATGACTCTGTGCTCTCCAAACACAAACCAAGTGGGGAGAGATGAAAAAGAAAGCCATATGGGCTGGGGTTGGGGATGAGGGCAGCCAACCAGAGATAATTTACAGCTCTTGGTCTGAGCCATTGATAGTTGGCCATTCTGGGAACTGAGAAGATAGACCAGATGACAAGAGTTCCTGTCAGCTATAGGAATTCTTTTTTTGATGGAGTCTTGCTCTGCTGCCCAGGCCTGGAGTACAGTGGCACGATCTCAGCTCACTGAGACCTCTGCCTCCAGGTTCAAGTGATTCTCCTGCCTCAGCCTCCCCAAGTAGCTGGGACTACAGGCAAACACCACCACGCCCAGCTAATTTTTGTACTTTTAGTAGAGACGGGGTTTTGCCATGTTGGCCAGGCTGGTCTCAAACTCCTGATGTCCGGTGATCCGCCCACCTCGGCCTCCCAAAGTGCTGGGATTACAGGCGTAAGCCACCGCGCCCGGCCAGCTATAGGATTTTGTAATGCCATGACTCACTTCTTCTACCAGAAACTTCTAAGGACTTTATGTTTACCAAGTATATTCCATTCCATGGTTTAAAAAGAAGAATGGCAGTTTTATATTCTAGAATGCCTAATATATTTTTTACTCTAAACACAGTTTTATAAATGCACATACCATGTAATCTGGGTAACTGAAAACAAATTTCAGTGATCTCACAGTGCTTGCCAAACAAGGCATTTGTGCAGAAGGAGCACCATGGATAAACAAAGGTTTCCTTTGGTCTTCTTGGTAATGTCCCCTGGTATCAGATGCAAATGTTAATCTGGCTGCAGAAAAGAATAAACTTTGAAAGGGCTGCGTCCCAAGCAGTCAAGTGTCTTATCTTCCCAGAGCAACAAAATTGGTGGTATGGCATTAATCATATTAGTCTGTAACAATGAAATGTGCAAGGACTTTCTCCTCCTGGACATTTTGGGTCAGAGACCACAGTGCACACTGTAGTTGCCCGCCCTAGGTTGGCCTTGGCAGGCTGGTGTACTCATCCTGTAGTGGGTGTGGCACTGGCTCCTTAAGGCTCACAGCTGTTCCCTTCTTCAGAAAACTGCACTCAGCCATCTGGTCCAGGGGTTTATGCACTCACAGTGGGGCGGGTGGTGGTGGTGGTGGTGGTGAACCTGTAGCTGAGCATTTATAAGGCACTGCTTTGCATCCAGGGAGGTTCAACTGTGTGGTGCAATCCAGGCTCCAGAGCTCCAGGTGGGATCAGCCTGAGGCCACACTTCAGTGGAGACCACATCCTTGCTTGGTTCCTTCCCCTGTCCTCCCCTATTTTCCTCACTCCTCTCCTCTCAGGAACACACCCTCAATAAATCACATCTACCTGAGTCCCTGTCTCAGCTTTTGCTTTAGGGAATCTGACCTAAAACAGGTCTGGGCCTCTTCCGAGATTTCTGACAGTTACCAATTATGGGTTATTCTCTTAACTTTTATTCATACTTCAGGTTTTCCATAGTTATATGTAAGAGAATGATCGACTGAAAACTAATTGAATGCAATATTTTATTTTATTTTATTTATTTTTTTGAGACAGCGTCTTGCTCTGTCGCCCAGGCTGGATTGCAGTGGTGTGATCTTGTCTCACCGCAACCTCTGCCTCCCAGGTTCAAGTGATTCTTGTGTCTCAGCCTCCTGAGTAGCTGGGACCACAGGCATGTGCTGCTACACCTGACTAATTTTTGTATTTTCAGTAGAGACGGGGTTTCGCCATGTTGCCTAGTCTGGTCTTGAATACCTGGCCTCAAGTGGTCTGCTTGCCTCAGCCTCTTAAAGTGCTGGGATTATGGGTGTGAGTCACCATGCCCGGCCCAAATGCAATATTTTAAAATTAGTTCCAAATTATTTACTTATTGCATCTATCAAACATCCTTGTAATGATTTTATATACAAGTCTCTCTTCTGTACTAGGCTGAGAATTATTTTTTAATAAGGAACCATATTTTACACCCCAGGACCAGCATACTTCCTGGCCCATATATACTCAGTGAATGGGTGATGAGTGGATAATTTGGATGAATGCCTTTAGTACAGCGTCAAGTGATAATCTTTGGAATTTACAAAGTTTAGAAATATTTAGGATATAGATTGAAAATCAAGAGTATGTTGGCTTTTATAAATTTGGGTTTCCTGATTATTATAGTAACAGTAATATCCCTTAGTGATCTGGGACTTCATTAGTTTCTTCCATTCTCTTTAATTTGCTTGGGTTCCCAATTTTTGGCATTTCCCCCCCAAATTAAACCTATCAGATTTGATTTTCTTCCCTTTGTAACTCATATGTTGGTTAATGAGTACAGTTCTATTTAAAGTTCCTCAGTGGAGAAATGGATTATATAGTTAGGGAAATCATGACGGTTTAAAATTCCCAATTAAGAGTTTGTTTCTACTTTCTACTTTATTTCTACTATAATATGGTAGAATCTACCAGGTAGATCCTCTCACCTGAACTGTTACAGAGCTCTCTAGGTACAGGATTTATAACACCTTTGATTATGGTTGCCAGATGAAATGTGGCTGTAAAGTCTCTGTGCAACTACTCAACTCTGCCTTTTAGCTTGAAAGCAGCCATAGATGATATATAAACAAATGGGACTGGCGGTGGCCCAATAAAACTTCGTTGGGCTATAGTTTGCCAATTAAGTAATGATATTAGAAGATTCTCACAAATATACAAAAATGCAATTTTAACAAAGAAATTTTATTTTTATCCATGAAATTACTTTTTAAAAATCCCACACAATTCTATATAATTCTGTTGAAGGTGGGATGAAACTGGTACCTTCATACTGTACTAATGATCTTAAAAATTAATTGGGGAGGCTGGGCATTGTGGCTCATGCCTGTAATCCCAGCACTTTGGGAGGCTGAGGCAGGTGGATCACCTGAGGTCAGGAGTTTGAGACCAGCCTGGCCAATGTGGTGAAACCCCATCTCTACTAAAAATACAAAAATTAGCCAGGTGTGGTGGCGGGTGCCTGTAATCCCAGCTACTCGGGAAGCTGAAGCAGGAGAATTGCTTGCACTCAGGAGGCGGAGGTTGCAGTGAGCCGAGATTGTGCCACTGCACTGCAGCCTGGGTGACAGAGAAGATTCCGTCTCAAAACAGAAAAAAAATGAATTGGAAAATATGTTCCAGAAAATATTTTGACAAATTATTTCAAGAGCCATAACACCTTAGGTAAAGTAGGAAAATATTTTAAAATATTTTTAAAAATATGTATCAAATATACATAGTAGTAATATATATCAAATATATGTATATTTCAAATGTATCAAATATACATATGTATCAAACATGTATCAAATACACATAGTAGTAAAAAATAGAAGCAACTTATATGACCAGGAGTAGGGAAAATAGATAAGTAACTTAAGTAAATCTACTCAATGCTCAACTCTGCCAAGGGACAAGCCTGGGTCTGAAGGGCTGCACAGAGTAAGAAGTTTGGAAGGAATGCCCATTGCCCCACTCTGTGGGGGAAAGATGTTGGAAGAAGTCACTCAGGAAATATTATGCATGGTTTCTGAAGATAAGAAGACTACATACATACCATAAGAAAATGCTTATGATGAAGTGTGAGGTGAAAAAAATTGGCCTACAACATTGTATAAGCACTCTGATTTCAATGATACAAAAGTGTAGGATGTATAAAATGGGAACTTGGAAAATGATAATGATTAATGTGGTTGGATTTCTTCCCCACATTTCCTATACCAACAGTGTGCTGTCGTGGCTCAGGGCAGGGATGTGGAAGCAGGCTGGGTGGCTCTGATTCTGGACTCCTCACTCACTAGCTCTGTGACCCTGTCACAGCGTCACAGACCACTAGCTCTGTTCCATCATCTGTGAAATCATGAAAGTATACCTACCACACAGGGTTTCTGTGATTAAATAATATGTAAAACACTCCAAACCATTACTGGGACATACTGTTAAATAAGATTTGCAGATGCTATTAGGTGGCTTTTATAATTGAGCAAATACGTTTACATTTTTAAAGAAATATTTCACTAGTGAGTTTAAAAGTAGTTATAACGGTGCTTAGTAGCGAAGAAAGCACCCACAAAACTCTGTGATACTTACAGAGTCCACCAGGACATGTGAATGAGCGTGGGACTCTCCTTGCAAAGGCTGAGAAAAATAGACATCTATGGAATATTGTACATCTGGTTCTAAACAGATGGGTGTGGGAAGCAGCATGATTCTGTATTAAGAAAGATAAAGCAAAAATTCAGACCACAGAAATACAATTATATTAGCTAAATGGCCATAGTATTTGGTAGCATTGCACTTGTACTGGGCAGTGACCTCCACTGTGGGGCTGAGGCCAGTGTAGGTCTAGACCAGCACAGGTGGGTTGGTTGGATGGTAAAGTCACATTCAGATCCTCTGTGGCTCTTCCACAGGATTGTGCCAAGTAGCAAAGTCTGAGAAACTATTGGCTGTGGGTTGTTATGACAGCTCTGGGGAAAGGATGGTACAGAGGTCCTCATCCCGTCTCTCATGCTAACATCAACAGGATCTCAAAAAATCTCAAAAAAAAAATTTTTGCGGCAGGGCATGGTGGCTCACACCTGTAATCCCAGCACTTTGGGAGGCCAAGGTGGGCAGATCATGAGATCAGGAGTTTGAGACCAGCCTGGCCAATATGGTGAAACTCTGTCTCTACTAAAGATACAAAAAGTTAGCCAGGCGTGGTGGAATGCTCCTGTAATCCCAGCTACTCAGGAGGCTGAGGCAGGAGAATCACTTGAACCCAGCAGGCAGAGGTTGCAGTGAGCAGAGATCATGCCATTGCACTCTAGCCTGGGCAACAGGGCGAGACTCTGACTCAAAAAAAAAAAATTATTTTGCCACAAGTTTCTGCTGAGGCAAAATCAGTGGCCTCAAAATTAGCAGTCTTTTACTTCAAAGACTCTCATCTATTGAGAGTAATCAAGCTGAATGTTTTACTCTTGTTCTGGTTGCATTTTCCTTTCTTACATTTCAAAGCCACCTGGGGACCGGAAAAGGAACATTCAATATTTAGAGTCAGGATATCCTGGCTAGAATCCTGGTTCTGCTACACATTAGTGATGAGTTTTCAGTAAGTCTTTTAAGTACTCTCCTTCTCAATTTCTTCTTCATCTAACGAAGACAAAACCTGCCGTACTGAGTTGTTATGAAGATTAAAAGTGATATTAAATGTAAAGCATAGTGCAGCACCCAGTAAGTGCTTAATATATGTTATAGTTTTCTTCAGACCTCCTCTTTCTCCACTTAGTTCCCAGAAACAAATTACTGATAAGTGAACAAAATTCTAAGAAGCTTTCAATGTTTGAGGACCGGTCTGAAACATACCTCGTAGCCGCTGGTAAGGCAAAAGACTGAGGCTTTGACTGTAGAGTCTTGGGTATGCAGTGCTCACTCCCTCCAGGGGGGTTCACCACAATCTGGACAGTCCAGTCAGCTGCAGACTAGACAGGCATGACATTAAGGCATGTCACTGCAAGGATGCAGGAAAATGTTTTGCACGTACACACATATAGCTAATGGAAAGTGCATGGACTTGAATTTGCAACCCCTAGGCCACTTGGCAAAGAGTTTTGGAGTTGAAAGAGTCTTAGAGGTTCACTCTCAGGCCCAACTCTCTGATGCCTGAATTGTGATCCAGGCAGAAAAAGCATTGTTTCTCATGGGCTCATGAGCCTGGAAAAACCTTAACTCTCCTGACAAGCCTAATCCTCAACCCCCATTTCCCAGGGAGTTGACTCATTCATCATGGCTCTGGATCACAGAACAAATAATAATAATTTGGAATCCTTTACAAAAGGAATCTATATACTGGGGAGATATGCAAATTAGCTTTATTCTGAAGCCTTACAATTTGGAAAAGCTTTTTAAAGGTGTCAGGGCCATATTCTCTCTACAGATAAATTAATCTATGTATATTTTTAATGGCTTTCTTATCATATTCACTGAGCCAAAGTTCACTGAAGTTCCTTGGCTTTCACTTGTAAGTAAGAAATAGAGAATTATGTCCTATCACACATTTCAAAGCAGATCAGCTGCTCTAGGCATGTGATGCACCGTGGGAGCCTCCAGAATGTGGTCCCTAGTGGGGCTTGGGAGCCTCTAAGACCACACCCCCCTCCAGCCATATCAAACATGTTTCAAAGGAGATGTTCAGTGGGCTTCAGATCCAAAGGAAGGTTAGGAACTATTGGTGTAAATCAACTATTTTTCTAATTTGGCTTCTATTCTGTTTTAGATATTTCTTAAAAGGTGGGCGGCAGGGGGTCTACTAGTGGGAAACAAGAGGGGCAGTTTGCTTTTGGTCTTTCTCTTGTCGCAGGGTAAGATGCAAATGCAAACAAATGCTTCTGCTGCATCACCTGTGAGTCTGAATGTCTGCACATGTGTTGGTTTATTAAATTTTTAGAAGAAAAGTACCAGGAGGGCATGATTTGTGTTATTTTGGTTATTTTTCTTATACAAACAGTCACCACTTCCTTAAATCTGGTACCTTAAATCTGTAACTCCAGCTGTAGCTTCTCTCCATGGGATACAGCATGCATGCATATGGCTCACTGCGCTGCTTCAATATCTTTAGGAAACCCTTGGTTTATAATGCTCCCCAGATGTTCACTTTTTACAAATCCTTTTCTGATGAACCTATTCTAGCAAGGCTGAAATGGAAACAGTTCAAGAATGTATTTCTGTCAGCTTTTCACCACCAAAGTTGGAGAGTTAAAGGATACCTGGGTTTCATAGTGAATGGCAATGGTGAAGTCCACAGGAAAGGGAATGTTGTTGACAGCAAATCTCAAGCCAGCCCCAGGGAGAACCCTGGCAAATCCAGGTCCAGTCCATGTAACAGGGTTCCCAGGAACTGGCTCTCCTAAAACAACGTGAACAGCAGGACTCTGGCCAAACGTCTCCGAGCCCTAAAATGGGAGAGGAATGTAAATAGCTTTGCCTACAGTCAAGGCCTGAAAGAGTTCAAGAAAACCAGTCCCCCACTGCACCACCCCCTGTATTTCCTGGTGTGTATATGATTCATATGAGTCACAGATAAATTATTCTAAGCAGGATACAGTCCAGAATCCAGCTGAGAATAATGTGCTAATACTGCAGCTTTGGAACATATGTTACTGTATAGAATGATTGATTTGAAAGCAGTGTTCCGGGAAGCGACTTTAATTTTAAGTACCCCCTGTGCTAATGAACTGAGCAAATTCCACATTGATAACCTTGGGTTTTCTTGGATATGACTGCGGAGTTCTTCCCAAAATATGGAGGCTATTCCCATGCCCACTTTACAGATTTTGCCTAATTGGGCATGACAATGAGAAAACCCACATGGATTTATTTTCTAGATACTTCTTCCATGCAAAATGAGAAACGCTCTTCTTCTATCTGCTTGGGAGCATGTAAGTATAAAACTCCTAACATGATTAATTAGAATCCCTGACGGTCTCTATACTGGATGTCAGCCTGAGGCCATCTGGACCCTGTAGATAAAACCTCTTTAATTACTTTTGCTTCTGCCTCTCCACACTCACAGCCTCCGCTCAAATTCCTCTTCTTGTTACTTTTGCCTGTGTTGCTGCAATAGTCTCTTGGTGCTGCTCTCTTCTCTCTCTCTGGTCCAATATATATCATGTACTGCTGCCAACCAAGCATCTCAAACTCTTTCTAACTGCCAACAGAATAATGCCCAAGTTACTTAGCCTGGAGTTCTAGTTGCTCTGTGATCTACCCCAAACTGCCCTTCATTTGATAAATGTTTAGTAACAATTATGTGCCAGCTCCTGAATTAGGAATGCAAAATAAGTAGGACAGAGCCTCTGCCACAGAGGAGTTTAGAATCTCGCATCTGAGGCAGAAATGTAAATAAGAAATTGTGCTGTCAGATTGGGTTTTAATAGACAGAGGTATATGTAAAGTCATCAATATACAATGTTTTTCAAACATTTAAAAAAAAAAAAACCCCTTGTAAGGCTGGGTGCGGTGGCTCAGGCCTGTAATCCCAGCACTTTGGGAGGCCAAGGCGGGTGGATCACGAGGTCAGGAGTTAGAGACCAGCCTGGCCAACATGGTGAAATCCCGTCTCTACTAAAAATACAAAAATTATCTGGGAGTGGTGGTGTGCGCTTGTACTCCCAGCTACTTGGAAGGCTAAGACAGGAGAATCGCTTGAACCTGGGAGGCAGAGGTTGCAGTGAGTCGAGATCGCGCCACTGCACTCCAGCCTGGGCGACAGAGCGAGGAATAAAATAAAATAAAATAAAATACCCTTGCAATTGCAGTAGACACTGTAGGTGCCCCTCCCAGATCTCCTTTAGCTGTTTGGTGCACCCATCCCCCAGTTGCTCTGTGTGTGGCTGCTGACAGCTCACAGTTGACCCTTGCTCTGGAGGATTGCTCTTTCACATCTCCCTCCCTAACCAGCCAACACAGCCTCTGGGAGCTCACAGCCAATGACTGACTGATACAAGGCTGACCAGGTTGTCTCAAGGGGCAGGACAACTTTGCCTCCAGTGTATGCCCCTGAGCTCCTCTGAGGATCAATTCAAGGTTTGTTTTACCTGAGACCATGTCTCGCTCTGCTCTTTCCTTTTCTCTATCTTTTCTCCTTCACTCTCTTAAGAGTATTCCTGAAGAACATTTCCTTAATAAATCACTTGCAGTTGAATCCCATCTTAGGCTCTCCTAGGGCACCTGACTTGACATAATTAATGCCAGACAGTTTACCTAAAAGTAGATCCTAAGATGCAATTCTGGAGGTAGATAATTTACTGTTTGGCTGGCAGTGAGGGCCGTGGTGGGTGACATGCACTGATGATCCCTGGCATGATGTAATGATACAATTGCTAAAATTGTCACCTGTGGAGAAATGGGACAGAATACAGGCAGGGAAGGGGAGGCACTGACTTGAGCAGTATTTCTGGCACTGAAAGATATGGGAGGCATCTGCATCCTTTGATGTTCCAGTAAGAACTGTGGAAATGGGTGGCTGTTGTTGAATGTCTTTGATGAGAGAAAATGACAGGGTAAGGACAATCAATCACCAATGTAAAGCAAAGTGTGAAAATCAGAGGGCCTCCTTGGGGGCATGTTTAAAGAGACTCTCGTCTCCTTAAACTAGAGGGCAAGAAGAGCTGAATATTCTTCACAAGCATTAATTGTAAGAGTTGCAGAACTTCGGCCGGGTGAGGTGGCTCACGCCTGTAATCCTAGCACTTTGGGAGGCCGAGGTGGGTGGATCACGAGGTCAGGAGATTGAGACCACCTTGGCTAACACGGTGAAACCCCGTCTCTACTAAAAATACAAAAAGTTAGCTAGGCACGGTGGTGCGCACCTGTAGTCCCGGCTACTTGGGAGGCTGAGGCAGGAGAATGGTGTGAACCCGGAAGGCGGAGCTTGCAGTGAGCCAAAATAGCACCACTGCACTCCAGCCTGGGCGAAAGAGCGAGACTCCGTCTTAAAAAAAAAAAAAAAAAAAAAAGAGTCGCAGAACTTCAGAGAAGAGCCTGAATTACCAGCTTAGGTAAATTACTTCTACAAAGATAACTGTCTATTGGGGAAGGGGGTATACCCATAATCTTTCAGTATTAGTGGATACAGGATCTGAGCTTATGCTGATAACCAGGTATACAAAGTGCCACCATGGTCCCCTTGTTAGAATAGGGACATATGTGGGTCAGGTAATAAATGGACTGCTAGCCCAGGTGCCTTTCATAGTGATGTCACTGGATTTACAGAACCACCTATTGATAATTTTCTTCAATTCTTGAATATATATAATGGAATGAACCTGCTTTGCAGTTGGCACTGGTTCTTTGACCTGTGGGGTAAGAGCTCTTGTAGTAGGAAAAGCCAAATAAAATCTTGTAAAATGAGCCCCCTGCCCCACACCCAAGCCAAGACAGTACATAAAAACACTATTGCAAATCAGGGTCATCCTCAGAGTGCCACTCTCAAGACTTAAAGGATGAATTTGTGGTGGTTCCCATCATATCCCCATTTAAAGCACCAGTCTTGTTTCTGCAGTCATTGGATGGATCACTGGCAGACGGAAGTCAATTACCACAAATTTAACCGTGGTATAGTCCCACTTGCAGCTGTTGGGTTGGATGGAGTGTCTTTACTAGAGCAGATTAATACAGCCTCTGGAACATGCTATGTAGATATTGATATGCAAAAATGTTTTCTCTTCCATACTTTTAAGGAAAAAGGAACATCGTCAATCCTTTGATGTTTCTACATTGTCTGCAAATGTGGTGGGGTGGAATAGTCGGGCTCCATTTTCCAACAAGGGCAAGTGGGTTCCTTCTGTAGTCTGAAAGTGCTGAGGAGAATACTTGGGAGGGTAAGAGTGTATGTTCACAGTCTTGCTCCGGGCCTATTTTAATTCTCTTGTTCTCTGTCACAATATAGCCCAAAAGGATCTGGACCATCCATATATTCTATGAAATACCACATTAATCCCCTACATTGAGGGCTAGTGAAGTGGGTGCCTTGACCCAAGTTGCTATTACATGGCTTCCTACAGTGAGAACCAGCCATTCTATGGCCTTGGCAGCACTCTTTTCTGAGGGCCGATTCACCAAGGTGGGAAAACGTAATATCCCCTCTGCACAATAGATCCACTTTCCAGCAAAACAAGTTCAGCCATGGTCATGCGATTTTGGGATTCACTGCCCTTACACAAACCATACTATCTGGAAGATGCTGATCTGAGATGGCAGTGGAATGGGGCCCCTTAAAGATGCAGCTGAAGCATTAGCTTCACAAACTTGGAAATGAAACCCCAGGAGATGGGCCAGCGTTCTTTGGGAAGTTATGTACTCCTTAAATGAAGGCATTTATTTGATGCTGTGTCCCTAACAGATAGAATACATGGGCTTGGGAGAACCAAGTAGGATTAGCCATGCCCACTACCACTCCCAGTGACCATGGTAATCTGGGCTTCTTGTCACTGTAACATTAGGCTCTGTGGGTCTAGAGGTCTTGATTCTTGGAGGGGGACAGAGTTCCTTCTGCTAATCTTACAGCTATGGCTGCTACATGGTCTCTTGGGCTCCTCATGCCAGCAGACCAGTAGTCACAAGAAGGAATTATCATAACTATAGGGCTGTGGCTATATCATGGGGACACGAGGAATATGTATGGCACTGAGGTGATCCACTGGGGCACATTTAGTGCTCCCATACATGTGGTCTGATAAGGCATGCAATGCAGGGGCTCCAGCCCATGAGGGATGAGAGTGTGAGTCATCTCATTCAGAAGTGCCAGTTGAGGATAAGGGGAATCTAGAATGTGTAGAGAGGAGGGAGGGAGATGGTACCAATTATAGCCTTGGTACCAACTGCAGCAGCCAGAGGCTGTAGTTTGTCTCACTAGTGTCATTTTGTAAATTTCCTCAGGAATTATGACTCATCAGAATCCTGGAGAACCTGTGCCTGCATGGAGTGAACTTAATGTAAGAAGCAAATGGACAGGGCCAGCTTCATGGTTACCTAGGAGCACCCCCAACCCCCTAAAGAAAGCCCCCATGCTTGATTTAATGCTTTGCTGTCACCATCTTGATATAGTTAATAATTTTATTTCTTTGAACTTGTTCTGTAAGTGAAATTTTTTGCGACAGTGGAGCATGCACGTGAGCAGAAGAGATATGCGCATCATGTATGTCTGCTTCCTTGTTGACCCATTTGCAGATAGTGCACAACACGGGCCAATGAACACAGAATTCTGGTGGACCTACTATGCCTGGGATTTCAGTGAGACTCAAAGTGAGTGCAAGGTAAGTGTGTTACTAACGTGATCGAGTTAGCAGGAGTGCCGATAGCCCCAAGAAGCCAAGCTTTCTGTTAGAACCAGACTTGTTTTGAATGCAGAAAGAAAGGCATTCCAAGAAACATAAACAACCAAGGAATCCTTTTTTTTTTTTTTTTTTTTTTTTTGAGACAGGGTCTCGCTCTTGACCTCCTGGGCTCAAGTGATCCTCCCACCTCAGCCTACTGAGTAGTTGGGACCACCAGCACACATCATCACACCCAGCCAATTTTTTATTTTTTTTGCAGAGATGGGGTCTCAAATCTAGTCTAGTCTCAAACTCCTGGGCTCAAGTAATCCTCCCATCTCAGCCTCCCAAAGTGCTGGGATCACAAGTGTGAGCAACCATGCCAGGCCCCATATATTTTCTTATTCATGTGACTTCCCTGCGTTAGCCAACTACTTCCACTGAAAAGGATGACTAGAAGGAAAGAGAAAGACAGGACAACGCACAGTTTCATTTCCTTTCAGTCCTTCCTTACTCATCAATATGCTGAAGGTAGAGTGTTGGTTGAACACATAGCAGGAAGTGAAATGAAAACAGTTGACTTAGTTTTGTGCAGTGTTCTCACAGTTCTGTTAAGAATGAAATACATATGTATATATGACTACAAATTGACAATGTGAATATGAATACAAATTTTGTAATTTCAGTGATTCCATGTGTGAGTTGAAATGTTCTTATGTTTGCAGTTAAAACTGGCACTGCACTCTGCAAAGATGAATGGTACAATTCATACTAATAATTTTAAATTTTAATATATCTTTACATAGAATGACATTGAACGGCAAATAACAAAATGCTCTGACAAACTGAGAGAAAGACCATGAAAGAAAGTATAAAGCTTTATATGTTAGTACTTTCAATGGCCCTTTGTTTCCTTCTGGTTTTAGAACACAAGCTCTGCATTGTTATTTTTTTATTTTTATGTATTTATTTATTTTTTTTTGAGATGGAGTCTCGCTCTGTCACCCAGGCTGGAGTGCAGTGGCACAATCTTGGCTCACTGCAAGCTCTGCCTCCCGGGTTCACGCCATTCTCCTGCCTCAGCCTCCCAAGTAGCTGGGACTACAGGCGCCCACCACCACACCCAGCTAATTTTTTGTATTTTTAATAGAGACGGGGTTTCACCTTGTTAGCCAGGATGGTCTCGATCTCCTGACCTCATGATCCTCCTGTCTTGGCCTCCCAAAGTGCTGGGATTACAGGCGTGAGCCACTGCGCCCGGCCCTGCATTTTTATTTTGCACTGGGCCCTGCAGGTGGGTCAGAGCATGCAATGAGTAGGTGTTGTAGGTGCTGTTGTTCTGCTGCCAGATCCCCTTTACTGGGTTAGTGCATGCAGCTGCCAGCTCCTGGGACTGTTGCTGCTATGGCTCCCGACTGACCCCTTCTTTTGGGCCTTGCTGTTGGCTGATGAGAGCCACCTCACCTGGAAGGTTACCTGCATCTGCCCTGGCAGTCCAGCACCAACGACTGACTGATGCAGGAACGCAACAGGCCAGCCCTGTGCCTCAGTGGGTGACAACTCTGTGGTGCAATTTATGCTTCAGAGCTTCCCTGGGGGATGAGACCCAAAGCTAAACTTGACCCTCGACCCCATACCTGCCTCCCCCTTTCTCATTTCCTAGCCTACTTCCCTCACTCCATTATAGGCTTTTCTTGACATACATTCCCTCAATAAAACACATGCACCTGAATCCCTGCTGTCATCTGCTTCCAGGAACCCAATCTAAGACAGTGACACTGTACACATGCACACATACACACATTTATATAAAACTGAAAAAAATTTCACAAAAATATGACTATTTTGTATTCTTCTCTTGTACTAAACTGACCCACTAAACTGGTCCCATGGCCTACTTATTAACTGGCATGGCCCGCAATTTGAAAAATTATGGCTGTATGGAACCCCAGAGATGGAAACAATTATGTCCAGATGTCAGGGTAGGAAATGTCAGAGAAAAATCTGAGTTGGGCTTTAAGGGATGAGAAGAAGTTTTCCCAATGAATAACACAGATGTGGTCATTTCAAGAAAGAGAGGAGCATGTTGTGGATGCTTAAAGCAAGGTTTCTCAGAGTGCTGTCATGAACCACCCATATTAGAATCACCTTGGGGCACATGGCAAACACCCAGGTTTCTTGGCCAGCCTCAGATTCCCGGATGTGGTATCTCCCAAGGGTCAAATCTGGATTTTAAATAAACTCCCTAGGTAACATGCACAGTAAAAATTGAGGATCACTGAGGGAATTAGGGGAGGGGACTAGCGACTCATTCCCCAGTCTCCTCTTTCAGGTGGACTTCAGATTGTGGAGAGCCACTTCTAGCCTAGAAGTCAGAGAAGGCCTCGTGGGGCTGTAGCATAGGAAGAGAAACAAGTAGGAGAAAGCAAGTCCCCATGACTGGCACACATGATCCTGGTAGGGGGAGCAATGTCCACGAAGCCTTCTCTGAAATTCTCAGCTGGGGTATTTCTCCATAATCTGAAGTCCATATCATGTTACATGCAGCTGTTTCATGACCCTTAGCCCCCACCACCACACATTAGCCATTTGTGTCCATGGCTCCTTCCCACTACAATGAGGGCAGGCTCCATGTTTAAGTGTTTCTGTTTTCTTTCATTCAGCCATTTTATTCACTTGAGAAGGTCTCTTATGTGTAAGAGGTACTGGCTTTGGGAACAAGACAGCCAACGTCTGCTTTCATTTGCTTCTCCAACATACTCATTTGTGCATATGCACACAGGAAGGCTCAGTAAAAAATCTCAGTAAAGCTAATAAATGAAGGAATGAACTAACCTAAAAACAAGCCTACAGTGGCTCTGACTTTCGTGAATAACAAGGGATGGCTACAAGGTCTTCTGGACTCTTTGGAGCTTCTGTAGCCATGGGAGGCTGGGCCGTGAGGAAGTGGCATCTCTCTGCCACTGATGCCAGCACTGACCAACTGCAACTTTCTCAAAGTCTGAGGCACAGCTACAGCACCAACCCAGAGCCATCAGTGTGTCTTTCCTTCTCCATGTAAGAGGAGAGCCACTCCTCAGCATTTACCTCTCCTTACTAAAATGACAAGAAATCGTGAATTCACAGTGTTCAACTCTCTAACCCTTCAGAACCCAGATTTCTAGAAATTACTTGTTTTGCAAAGAAATAAAGCTATTGATGTTTTTCCCCAGAGGCTCTGATTTCTTTGGGCTTGGTTTTTCCTTTCCTCCATTTCTATTCATGAGGGTAATAAGAGCTTTTACTAACTGAGTACATGCATGGACCAAGCACAGTTGTAAGTGCATTCATTACCATATCATTCATTTACGGCATGTGACTGTGGCCATTCATGAATGGTTTACCTCACTCTGCTCATCAGCATGTAAGCTTTGCTTCTGATTTCTCTTCAGTATTATCTTTTCTTTGTCAATTATGAAATCACTTCCTTGTTGCTGGAAATACACATCACATTCCATGCAAAGCTGTTGCTAAAATCTTTTTTTTTTTTTTGGGAGAGAGTCTCCCTCTGTCACCCAGGCTGGAGTGCAATAGCACGATCTCAGCTCACTGCAACCTCTGCCTCCTGGGTTTAAGTGATTCTTGTGTCTCAGCCTCCCAAGTAGCTGGGACTACAGGCGTGTGCCACCACGCCCAGCTAATTTTTGTATTTTTAGTAGAGACGGGGTTTCGCCTTGGTTGGCCAGGCTAGTCTCAAACTCCTGACCTCAGGTGACCTGCTCGCCTCGGCCTCTCAAAGTGCTGGGATTACAGGCATGAGCCACCATGCCTGGCCTAACATCTTAAAAAGAAATGACAGTTTAAGTACCCATCAGAAGTATTAATTATACCACGGACCAAGAAGTTCAGATTATTCCACCAATGAGCCATGGAGAAAGTTAATTGTAATTCTTCTTAGTTCTGCAGTTAGAATGTTGAAACAATTCTTCATAAGATGCAGTTGGGTTTGCTTTTATTCTTATTCATAGTTTCATCTCCAACCTTTCTCTTCTCTCTGTTACCTCTTAACTTAGGTCCTTATTTGTTCCTGTCTGGACTAGTGTAGTCTGTCCAGAAATGGGCTTCACTTCTGTTAGATTAAGTTTGTAAGAACACTGAGGATGGCCTCTGTCACATTATTCTCTTGCACAGAAGGTGTATGGTGAACTCATCTGACAGCAATAACTTAAGCATACCCTGAGAATGACCCTATGGTCTAAAAGGAATGTGTGTTTAGAGTTCCCAGCTAAGGAATCTGGGAGTAGCCAACCTGGAGATTCATTCCTTATCTCTGAGGAACATCTGAACCTCTGGCCTATCCTATGGAATACAGGCCATACAGGGGTTTGAGGCCCTTTGTTTTGGGTTAAATGAAGGTTGCATAGAAGAGGTTGCTAGGGGGAGGGCACTAAGTGAAAATGCTATATAAACTACACTTTTTTTTATAGCAGTACTCCTGTCTAGCCTGCTGCCAATGGACCCCCTGTATGTAAGTTCCCTCAATCATCCCTATGTCTCATTCTCTGGCTCTGGGTGTCTTCTTCAGTCTCTTTGAACATGGTGCAGTATCTACTGAGGTCAATAGGGGCCCAGCATGACAGAAGGCTTCAATGAGTTCTCAATGCCCAAAAAATAAAGTTTAGCCTCTTTAGCAGGACACTATAATTTTATTTTACAATAGTTCTTCTCTATTTACACTCCCTGCTGTACCTGTGACTATACCTGCCTTGGTTCTCCTCTGAATTGTTATTTATAACTTGCTCTGGCTAGACTGTCTTCTCATAAAGTCTCACTCATGGCTTAGAAATCCTAATATACTTACTGATTCTCCTTATCATTTGCACTGGCCCATCCTAAGCTATCTATGTAAATGTGTTAGCTGTAGTAAAAACTCCTAGAGCCAGTGACCCTAACTAATCCTTATCTATACCATCCTTAGCCTGGAGCTCAGCTTTGTGTGCACATTGTACAACATCTTAATGGGTTAAGAGTAAGAGTTGTGTTTGTTTTTTTGAGACATGGTCTTGCTCTGTTACCTAGGCTAGAGTACAGTGGTGCGACCACAGCTCACTGCAGCCTCAACCTCCCAGGCCCAAACTATCCTTCTACCTCAGCTTCCTGAGTAGCTGGGATTGAAGGCATGTGCCACCATACCCAACTATTTTTTGTCATTGTTTTTGTAGATATGGGACCTCACTATGTTGTCCAGGCTGGTCTTAAACTCCTGGACTCAAGTGATCCTGCCTTGGCCTCCCAAAGTGCTGGGGTTACAGATGTGAGCTACTGTGCCTGGCCAAGAGTAAGAGTTTTGAAACCAGATGCACCTGGGTTTCAATCCAGTCTCCCCCAACCCCACTATCTACTAGATGTATGACTTTGAGTGACTTACCTAACCTCTCTAATGTTTTTTCCTCATCTGGGAATTAGGGATAATAGATTATTTGGAGAGTTAAATGAGATAATGTATGTAAAGTGCAAAGCATAGCACATTAAATACATGGAATATTAATAATACAGCAACAGTAACAGCATAGCAAGCATACCATGAAATTTCATTTATGAATGTGCAAATAATTAAATGTTAACCAACTTAAATCTTTTCTACTACAATTAAAGATCATACCCTCAGCAGAGAACGAAAATTATTCACATTATTGCCCTTTAAACTCTTAATATCAATCCCACCTTGAATGCTTTTTCTTTTGTCATAGGTATTATTTTCTAACTTGTTAAGAAAAATTCACCTGCCCTTTAAACCTATTCCATGTCCTGGATATTTTTCCTTAAGCCATGGAGGGAGTAGTAAGGGTTCATATCATGCATGATATAACCCCCCTCACAAATGAAATCAGCATTGTTTCAGATGCTTTACTTACAACCCCTGGCTCAGAGCCGTATTGGCATACTTGATATTATTCTATTTAATTGGTAATAGGATAAACATTTGTTCAGTATGTGCCGTGCTGGGGGTGCTACAACCATCTATTTTAGATAATTATGTTTATTCTGTTTTCCCATCTAAAAAGTGAGACCTAGTTATGACCTAAACAGAAATACTCATACTTCTTTCTAAAATTGTTTTTTCAGTCACCATCATAAAGATTCAATATTCAAGACCACGAAGAAGAACCCAGACCAGGGATTGCTTCATTTGGATTCCACCTACCGCAGTTGTTACATCTAAGTAGGGACAACGAAAATCTCCTGCTATGGTCTTGATCCTAGTCAGTAAAAGAGCAAATTCCAAGCCTCCTAAGGGGCATTTTCATCCTTCCCCATCTGTCCTTACAGATAAGGAAGAGATTCCAGGAATGACTCGGTTCCTGGAACCTAGAATTAGTCCCCCTTGTTTTCTTTATCTATCCAAATCCTGTCTTAGGGATCAACTTTCACAAGCTTTCTCTCCTTAAAGACTTTCACCTCGAATTACCTTTTTTTTTTGTCATATTCCTATTCCTATCTGGAGTCACACTCTTGAGAACCTTCTATACTTTCGTCATGCATTTATTAGCAGATATCTATAAAGTTCCTACAGTGTGTCAGGCACTGTGCTAGGCGCTAGTGCAACAATGATGAATGCTATACACATCCACCTCACCCTTTTATAGTTTATAGTATCATGGGGAGATGGAGAAGTAGATGCTCAATAAACACATTTTGTCTGATGGGTATACCTTGAAACAGCAAAAGTAAAGTCTGTTTCATCATAATTTGATCCGTTCACATTTATGGGCCAGATCCTGTGGTAGACCTGGGATACAAAGATGAACTAAACAGAGACTCTGCTCTCAAGAGTTTATATAATCTGCATTTGCAGGTTATAATAAACTCTGATCTGCATCTTTGGGCAAAAGCATTCTTTTCTAGGTATCTTAACCACGATCTCAAGTATGTGCTCTGTGTGTTTACTGACATATCATCAAACACAGTCTGTAGGGAAAGTAAATGAAATACGAACCAAAGGCGCCAGTCCTTGGAGTGTTGTGGCTTCCTCTGCCTCGTAGAGATAGAAATTCAAAGGAGCAAAGAAGTAGCCAGGGGCTGGTTCAGAGCAGCTACGGCCAGTGACATGTGGGCGGCATTCACACTGCCCATTCTTGGGTGAGCACCTGAGGAAAAAGCAATTCATCATGAAAAAATGCAAAGTAGGTGAGCGGAAAATGAAGGTGTAGGGGTGCTGGGCTAATGCTCCCTGAGTTTGGAGCAATCCTTAGAATCAGTCAATCAATGGTCCTGTGGGAAGATGCAGAAAGGCCATGGGTTTAACATAACTGGTCTTGAATAGTGAATCCAGGGCCATGGAGCCCAGGCGGCCACTTTCCCCACCCTCCGCCCCCAACCCCCCACTGCCAGGTTCTGCTCTAAAATCTGGCAAAAAGGGGGCTTTAGGATCTCTCTTTACAACATGGCAAAAAGCTGGTGTTTTAGGCAGGTCACACGTATTCAAGCACCCATGCCACCAGCTTGTGGTGGGATACCCAGCAGAAGGATTGTTTACCTCACCCTTGGAAATATTTGAAGTGAAAGAAATCAATGGGCTGTAGTTAATGTCTCAAGATCATTGCTTGTCATGGAATGAAATTTTTCACCTATGACTATGAGCGTATCAGAATAAAATGTGCTTTTATGTTTAAATAAGGAATATTGCTATAAAACTTATTTGACTTACACGTTAGAATAAGCACCTCCAATATCACAGTCACAGGGAGAACACCCATGGAGATGATTTCCCAGGCCCCAGTATCCAACCTACAGAGAAAAAATGCTCAGCTGATTCCAGCTATGAAGATGCTGTTGCTCTGAAGTGCAACACTGAAATCACTACAATGCAATTGCCACACGTCAAATAGCCAAACAGCCTGCACCATCTCAGAGAAACCTTCCTGGCCTATGCGCTTGGCTAATGATCTTCCATGGACACATCTCCCATCTCCAGGATTTGAAGTAAGGGGACAGGGCTGGGTGCGGTGGCTCCTGCCTGTAATCCCAGCATTTTGGGAGGCCGAGACGGGTGGATCACTTGAGGTCAGGAGTCTGAGACCAGCCTGGCCAACCATGGTGAAACCCCATCTCTACTAAAAATACAAAAATTGCCTGGGTGTGGTGCATGCCTGTAGTCCCAGCTACTCGGGAGGCTGAGGCAGGAGAATCGTTTGAACGTGGGAGGTGGAGGCCAGAGTGAGCTGAGATCGTGCCACTGTACTCCAGCCTGGATGACAGAGTGACACTCCATCTCAAAAAAATTTTATAAAATGAAGGGGACAGGAAGGTTGTCCATGTAATGTGTCAAGTGGAAAAGAAATGGGAGCCTTAACAATTCCTCTCACATCATCAGTTATGCTCAATCTGGGTTATATAAATCCTATCGGAATAGAAGTTCTTCTACCAGCCTATGTGTAACTGCCTGTATTTTTCCCACCCCACAGACGGAGTCTTGTTCTTTTGCCCACACTGGAGTGCAGTGGTACGATCTTGGCCAACCTCCGCCTCCCAGGTGGAAGCAATTCTCCTGCCTCAGCCTCCCGAGTAGCTGGGATTACAGGCGCCTGCCACCACGCTCGGCTGATTTTTGTATTTTTAGTAGAGACGGGGTTTTACCGTGTTAGCCAGGCTGGTCTTGAACTCCTGACCTCGTGATCCATCTGCCTCGGCCTCCCAAAGTGCTGGGATTACAGGCATGAGCCACCAGGCTCGGCCGTGTAACTGCTTTTAAAAAAACTGATAGGTTCCCTTACCACAACAACCCCTGGGAATTTTACCCATACAATACTGAAATACTTGGAGGCAGAGAAATCCTTCAAGCTAATTTTGAGATATTACATGAATACCACACTTTAGCATAGGCATTTGTTTATCAATCAGTTGTTTTGGCATAATAACATGAATCCATATGAGAGAGTCAACTCTATTGTTCCAGACTTTTTCCATCATTGCAACATCTTGACCGTTGTTCAAAATAAACAGCTGGTGAGATACAAGTAACTATTTTCTAAGTGTTATAATATTTAGTATAAAATGCTAAAAAAAATTCTCCTCCCACACATCTCAATTGAACATGCTCCGATAAAACTTAAATTTTAGTAGGTATGAAATTCTCTTTGGAAATGGTCTTGTTAAGCATCCATATTTTTTGTATCTTGGTATAATTTTATGCATGATTTTACTCAAAAAGGTGTCTTTTAGATATTAAACATTGATGTCTTTGGACACAATGCGACAAAGGACTTGATGTTTTTCCCCAAACCAAAACTTCAGTTTAAGAAAAAAAAATGATGTGATAGGAACTGCTTCCCACAGGATGTGGTTGTGAAAACTTCCTCTAGGACAGGGAATGCTGCCATGCTGGCCACCTCAGGGCAGATCCAGGGCACCATCAGAGAGATGTGGATGTGGAGAACCTAGTGGGTGCATGGGCTCAGCCACGATGGACAGTTCCCCCATGGGGGGGGTCCCTGTTCAGTTATTTTGCTTGCTTGCCCTGCAAGCAAAAGTGAGTCTGTACTGCACACGTAGCAGTTAACCAGCCAGTGAAAAAAGTCAGCCTGAGCCTAAGCTTTGTCTGGAATTACATGATTTGGTCGATCACATAATTTCAGGATTTGTTGATCCTGTAACCAACTGTGCTCCTTTTTTTGTGTTACACACTTATGGTCATGGAGGTTGGCGTGGCTGACCTTTCTCTTTAAGGTACAATTTTCAGATTTTTTGACTTGTCTTCCAGAATCCCTTCTTCATATTTCCTTCCTTGCTTCTTTCCCCCACCCCCTCTGCCCCATCCTGTTTTCAGTAAAATGACTTAAAATATCAGCACAAAACCATGTCCTCATAGGCATATGTTTCTTATTCATCAGCTACATTTCTTCAGACACATCGAGGTCACTGTTCTTTTATTAGGTTAAGATTTTGTGGGTTTTTTTTTTTTCTCTCTAAAATGTCATGGTGAGCTGCCAAGATTGGAGAACAAAGAAAAGAGTTGGGTTTGAACTCCCCAATTGCATCATGCATTTCTTATGGAGTGAATATGTTTTATTTTACTAATTTTAGATGATACATCTAAAATTGTATGTTTAGTAGAGTCTGTGAAAAATCCAAGAGTTTATTTCCCACAGGAATCTAAAATACATTAAACCTAAGCTTGTTTTTTTATAAGACCTTATCCAAAACATTTTTAGGAAGGGAGTGGTAGGGATGATAAGGGGATTGTGTACAAGGGATAGAAGAAAGTTCTGGTGGCCCAAAACATAGACAGATAAATGTGCTTCTATTCTACTGCTTGGCATTTTCAGGAAAAGAGTGGATAAACCTAATAATATCTGTGCCTGGGTCGGTTTAGTCCAGTCCAGTGGTGAGCTGGTAAATGTTTAACAGGCAGCTCAATGCAGGGGTGAGGGGAGGCTGATAGGTAGTGTTTGCTGATTTCTGTAGTGTAAATACTCATACCACTGGAGTATTAAAACACAATAGGACAAGAAAGAGATTAGCAAAACCAAGTCTTACCTAGGCAATGGCAATAGAAATCTGTATCACTATAGAAAAGGGAAACTATAGGCAAATACATACAGTGCATTCTTCGCAGTGTGCTCCGGTGACATATGACAGGCACAAGCATTGGCCTGTATCCACATCACAGGTCAAGAATGGCAGACTCCCAAGGGGGTTACAGTCGCAGGCTGAAAGCACAGCATACACAATTATTCTCATTCTTAATTCCTCCACTCTTGCAAGTGTACTTAATAGCTCACACAAAGCAAGAAGCATAACCGCAAGAACACAGAGAAGCCTGCCCTGCCAGGTTTATTGTGTGCCTGGCTGCGTGATTATTGTTTTGCATATAACCTCACAGAGGAAATCCTGTGTCAGGCACTTCCAGAGCCTCATGTAGTTTTACTGGATGGCAATTAGGAGGAGGAGACAAGTAGGTGTAGCTAGTTGTACATGCTGCAGTACTGGCACAGTAACCCTAAGTGATGCTGACCAGGCTGGTGACTCAGAGGCAGGAGTTTCTGGGAGTCATGGTTATTACTGATCGCTCCTTCTCTGGCAGATGCATCTGGAATCCCACTCTCTCTTCTCTCCTTTAGTACTTTGTTACTTTTTGTCTTAATTCCCCCCTCCTTCTTCTCCTCTACCCGTAGACATTTCTGAGCCCTGCATATGTTGCAAAGGCTAAAAAGACATGCTACCAGAGCAAGGAATACACTTGCAGCAAATACCAACGTTCATGGAAATAACCCAAATGTCCCATTGACTAATGAATGGATAAATAAAAGTGGCACCTCTGTACAATAGTATGTTATTCAGCAATAAAAAATAAAGACCGATGTAATCTGCAATATGGATAAAACTTGAAAACATTACTAATTGTACCATCTTAACCATTTTAAGCAGGCAGTTCAATTGTGTTAAGCACATTAACATCGTTGCATAAACAAACTCCAGAACGCTTTTCATCCTACAAAACTGAAACTCTATGCCCTTTATATAATAACTCCCCACTCCTTCTCCCCTCTAATCCCTAGCAACCACCGTGCTGCTTTCGGTCTGATTTTGACTACTCTGGGTACCTCATATAAGTGGAATTATATAGTCTTTGTCTTTTTGTGACTGCCTTCTTTTACTTTGCATAATGTTCTTAAGGATCATCCATGTTGATGGATGTGTCAGAATTTTTTTCCTTTTTAAGGAAGAATAAGATTCCATTGTATGTAAATACCACATTTTGTTTACCCACTCATCCATCAGTGGATACTTGGGTTACTTCCACCTTTTGGCTAGTGTTGCTGTGAACATGGAAATACAAATATCCCTTCAAAGCTCTGCTTTCAATTATTTTGGGTATATATGCAGAAGAGGGGTTTCTTTTGTGGGGGGATGAAAATGATTGTGGTGATGATTACACAACTTCCAATATACTAAAAATTATTGAATTGTTTACAGGGTGAATTGTATGGTATGTAAATTATATTCAATAAAGCTGTTATGGGCTGGGCACAGTGGCTTATGTCTAGAATCCCAGCACTTTGGGAAGGTGAGGCGGAAGGGTTGCTTGGGATCAGGAGTTGAAGACCAGCCTAGGAAACACAGTGAGACTCCGTCTCTCAAAAAAAAAAAAAAAAAAAATTAGATGGCTGTGGTGGCACATGCTTGTAGTTCTAGCTACTTGAATGCTGAGGTGAGAAAATTGCTTGAGTCCAGGAGTTTAAGGCTGCAGTGAGCTATGATTGTGCCACTGTAAGCCAGCCTTGATGACAAAACAAGACTCTGTCTCTCTCAAAAAAAAAAAAAAAAAAAAAAAAAAAAAAAAATTTAAAGCTGGTATACACCCCCACACACCAAAATAATGTTCAGCCTGTTCTTGGAGGACATCATTTTAGTCAGAGAGTCAGAGAAACATGTGGAATGCTGAAAGGTATGATGGGAAATTGGTTTGACTATATAATTCATTATCATGACATTTAATTTTGCCATCAAACTTAAGAAGAGCGTTTTATTACAGAAAGATTCAGACCAATGTTTTCTAAACATGCAAATAATCCACAGTTCCTTATATGGGCAAAAATATGGAGCAGGAGGCTGTGACCAAATGGAAATTATTTACCCAGGGTTTCTGAGGAATCTGTAGCTCTACGGAGGCCCGGAGCAGCTCTAAATTTCTGTGATCCTATAGCTAAGGGTCTGCTCATTTGGCCTTAGAAAACTGCTGAGGTGTTTTTCTATTTCCGCTCCCCCGCTTCCCTGAGCTCTTTAATTATTTTTTCTTTTATCAGAGAACATATGGACCAATATTAGAAGGGGTGTGAGAAGAAAGGGGAAACATAATTTAAAAAATAAAAAGAGGCCGGGCATGGCGGCTCACGCCTGTAATCCCAGCACTTTGGGAGGCCGAGACGGGCGGATCACGAGGTCAGGAGACAGAGACCATCTTGGCTAACACGGTGAAACCCCGTCTCTACTAAAAATACAAAAAATTAGCCGGGCGTGGTGGCAGGCGCCTGTAGTCCCAGCCACTGCACTCCAGCCTGGGTGACAGAGCGAGACTCCGTCTCACAAATAAATAAATAAATAAATAAACAAACCACCACTTGAAAATTGCCTAAGATGACATCAATCTTGCAGAAACACATAATGTAATTTAATGGATTTGTATGTAGAGGTCTAGTGGAAACCAAAAAAACTTTTGCAACTTGGCGTTAAATTTCTTGCCATTTCCCCGTGTTTGTTCCAGTGGGGAAAATGTGAATGCCCCCTGCTGGTCCTTTATGATAAACCCAGCAAACCACAGAGAAAAGTTCTCCACTAACCGCTTAGGATTTACGGGAACCATTATGTTACTTTTTAAAACCCAGAGGTTGGCAGGATTCTTAGGTATTCATGATCATCAATTTTTAGGGCAGACAGAGACAGCCCCAAGCTTTAAAACGCATAGGGGCCGAGGTGGGCGGATCACTTGAGGTCAGGAGTTTGAAACCAGCCTGGCCAACATGGTGAAACCCCGTCTATATTAAAAATACAAAAATTATCTGGGCGTGGTGGTGGTCGCCTGTAATCCCAGCTACTCGGGAGGCTGAGGAAGGAGAATTGCTTGAACCTGGGAGGTGGAGGTTGGAGTGAGCCGAGATTTTGCCACTGTACTCCAGCCTGGGCGACAGAGCGAGACTCCATCTCAAAAACAGACAAACCAACCAACCACATAGGGGTTGATGGACACTCCCCCGACCCCCGATTATGGACTTACGCTGGCAGCCCAGGGGGTCGGTGGCGCTTAGTCCGTAGTGGTTGGGTTTGCACTGGTCGCATTTGGCTCCTTCCACGTTCTCTTTACAAAGGCACTGGCCGGCCACAGACCCTAAGGCAGGATCAGAGTGGCTCACACAAATGCCACCAGATATGGTCCCATCGGGGTCACATTCACAAGCTGGGGACACAGACATTCATTGTTTTAGTTAATTGCAAATTGTGGGAAGCCTGAAATATAAGCACGGCATTTTACTCATGCTATAACTATCTTGCTTTGTTTAAATAATTAAATGTTTAAATAATTAGACCACCTGGCAAGAGCTATTCAGAAATGTCTCCCAGATCTCTAGCCTTGGAAAACGTTGAATAAATCCATGCATATATTTTTAAAAGACTTTTAAATGATTCGAAAGTCAGAGGACCAGAGGAAGACTGCTGTTATGAAAATTAAGACTAGATTATGTTAAGAATAGACTGATTCTTCTGGGGATGATGAGAACGTTTTGGAATTAGGTAGATGGGATGGCTGCACAACATTGTGCTGGTGAACTGTTGTTCATTTAAAAATGGTTAATATTTTATGTTATGTGAATTTCATCTAAAAATAGATTTTAAAAAAGACTCTAAAGGTGAAAATAAGGTCAAAATCTCTGAAACGTGCTTAAAAAGTAAGTCTCTCCTCTATCACAGAAAAATATGTCACAAGGAAAAGTGACATTCTATTTTATTTTTCCTGGAAGAAACACCTGTAAGAAGGAAAGGGAGGGAATAGTGAGAAGTATTCATATCCTTGGTTTTGTTGGGGGGAAATCTGCTGACAGGTCAAGAGCTTGATGGAAGAGATTCTGGAAAATGGGATAAACAGTCACTTGCAGCAAAGGAGCCACAATGGTAGCAACCTTTTTCCTGTTGTTGTTGTAGACATTTGAACAACTCAAGGATGGTGTGTCATATGAAAAAGAATGTTGACAGTTTGAGTTAATTCCAGAGGGTAGAACCAGGAGAGAGTAGAAGTCACAAAAGGTAGCACTTGATTGAGTTTGAGGAAGAACTCTCAAATAGTTAGGGGTGCCCAATACTGCAGCGAACCCCTCATCATCGGAGGTGTCCAGGTAGATGTTGAAACAGCACTTGTGGCTTTGGTATGGATGACAAATGTGTTGTTGGGCATTAGATGACCACCAAGGTCTCTTGTACCTTTGTGGTTCTGTGTTTCCATGGGGTTCCACTTTTAAGGCGTGTAATAAAAATAAAAATATGAATATCCTGATTTTAAGGAACAGTCACATTCACATTTATACATGCTTGCTTTGGATTACTAAAAACAAAACTGTCAAGTCTAAAACCATGTCTATATAACCACCATTTAGGTTAGTGAGTTTAGTGGAAACAATTCAGTCAAACCAGTTGTTTCGCATTATTGAAGCAACTGGTGTTTGCTCTCTGACACAATCTTTCAAATTTCAATGATTTGTTACTTGTTATTGTTTTGTGACTGGTGACTTACTATGAAAAAATAGCATTGAGTTCTGTTTAGTTTGGAAAAGCCACAATTTTCTTCTAATTAAAGCCAGTTGCTTCTAGAAAGAAGGGAACAAACTGGATTCATCTTAATAGTGGCCAAAAGGAAAAAGCTACAATTTCTTTGGGAGACACTCCAAAGAATCAGTATTGAGTTCCAGAGAATAATTTAATTATGCACAGAAGTATCCTTTGGGAAAGAGATGTGGGAAGGGTGGATAGTAAATGTTCTTTGAAATAGCCTTATGTCATGACCTTTAGAAGTCTAATTGAATGTCTTGGTGTCACATAATTCTAGCAAACTTTTATTATCAAGTAGTTGAGTCTACCAAATCTTGGTTTTTCTGTATCAAATTTAATGGCAACTTAATTGTAGAAAACTTAAAATTAGTCAACTCTTATGCCTGGAATCTGCTTATGTAAATATTTAGGTTCAAACAAGGACAACTTAGAGAAAATTTATATGAGAATTCTAATCAATCTTCAAATACACATCATTTGTATATATACACATAAACATTTGTTTAGGTAAACTGGGAGAAACTGGGGTGTCTCATGATAGTAGTTTGTTACAAGCTCCTCATCTACCTTTTATGGAAAAATTCCTTGTTTACAAAGAATGACTTCTTACTTTCATACCAGGAGTACTAGTTTTCTTTCCAAAGCACTATCGAGTTAATACTCAGTGGTTCTTAAGGAACAAGACTTTGATTGATGTGCTCAAAATATTTGGTTTGTTATTTCCAAATCTCTTTCCAGATTCCTAGATTATCTGTTTCAATAATTGTATTTCCCTGATTCTACCCAAGAGAGCAATTTAATCTTCTTTTATAAATACATAGTTTTAAAACAATAAAAGTTATGTGTGTGCATGATTACAGATTGTGGTAAAAACTGTGTGGTAGGATACTTAGGAAATTGCTCTAAAGAAATACATTTTCTGAGAATCTAGTTCTTTATATCAATTTTGAACAGGTCACGTAAGGTAAATTTTATATAGTCAGGTGCCTACTGAGTAATCCGAGCTAAAACATTTCATTGATGCATTTTCTATATTGTGATCACTTAAAGTTTGAAATCTAGGACATTGAATCTATTCAGGTGGCCAGTGAATTACACTGTATAAGACTTCATTTTATATATTATGATTATATAAAAGTTGAAGTTAGATTTTATAGCAGCTTCCCTGCCCCCACTTTAGCATTATATGGATATACCCTAAGAAGCGGGATCCCTGAGTCCTGGGAGAGGCAATCTTCCATGGATGCTGGTATCCTGAACGTTCTTGCTAAGTGTGCCAGCCGTTCAAGTCCCCACTGGCTCTTTACCTAGCCATTTCTTAGAGTTGTGCTTGCAGTAAGCAACTTTGAGGGATGGAGTGGCATCTTCCCTGGATAAAAAATAGGCTTGCTTCCACTTGCTATAAAGCAATGAATCCTCCAAGTTCACTGTTCCTCAGCTTTATCATAAACTCACTAGATATGCACTATTCACATGGTATCCGTTGTGTCACTCCCATGGGACATGGGGACATGGAAACTCAGGCCAATACAATGATCTTGTTGCTTGCTATGCCATGAGTTACAAAGTCTTTTGTCTTTGGCCCAAGAGTTTTGTGTCTTCTGTTAGTATCCATGAAACAATAACAGGCTAACTTGTTCGTCGGCAAGTAAAGATTTCAGACCCAGTTACTGACACTGGGTATTTGAAATCAGGATGGAGTATTTCTGTAGGCAAAAATGTATAGCAGTGATGGGATGAGAGTGAGCAAGCAAGGTGGCTGGGGTGCAACATTTAAGGAGGTACCCACTCTCAGATTTGTGCAAGCAGCAAGTGTTAGCCCTGCACTTCCATCACCCTGATAGCGAGTTCTTCCTTACATTTTGGAACTTAAGTGCCTTCCTTGGCTCACTCTAGTCCCAGTCCTGCAGGAAAATGCAAATTAAAACAATGATGAGATACCATTTTTGATTAGTGAAAATTAAAGTGTGATAAAACAAAGATAGCAAAAATTGAAGTTTGACAAAACCAAGTGTCGGCAAGGAAGCAGAGCCCCAGGAACTCCCATTTACTATTGGCGTGAGTGGCCATTGGCACACTCACTTAGGGGACCATGCAGTGTTATTTAATCAATTTGAAGTCCATACTCCATGGCCCAGAAATTCCACAGCTAGGTATATCTCCTAGGGACAATGTTTGCATAGATGCACAAGGTCACATACACAAGAATGTTTACTGTAGCATCCAAAGAAAAATGAACAAATAAGTTTTGTCATACCTAAAGGAAAAACTTCTATAAGAAATTAAAATGGAAGAACTAAGACTACCTGATATAGAAAAGTCTCAAAAATATAATGTCGAATGAAATACCCAAGTTGCTGAAAGACACATACAAAATGACATAATCTATCTAAACTTTGAAAACATGTCAACATATATTGTTCATAGATAAAAACACATGTGAAAGAGTGAAAAAAATCATGATAATGCAAAATATATGAGTTTACCACTAGCAAGGAGGGTAGACAAATGGGACAGTTGTGTACCTGAGACATCAATATAGTGCCTGTCATGTTTTATTAAAGAAAGTCCCAAGAGTGACAGGCTAAGACTGTTCTAGAGAAAGCTGATGGTGGGGTATAAGGGTGTATATTATATTATTCCCTATTATTTTGTACATGCTTGAAATATTTCATTTAAGAAGTTGAGATTCAAGATAAAAGATTTTTAAAGGTTTTTAAAAAGCGCAAGGTAAGTAACATGTTAGCTTATGCATCTTAACAGCAAAATTGAATTGTCTACAGCCAGTCGAATGTTTTAGCCAATTTTACCACTTTGGTTCCTCCCCCAGCAGGCTTCCATGATACTCAAGGCGTCTGCCTCTCCTGGTGGAATCCTGCATAATTTCCCAACTACCAGGACAGACACAGATTATTTGGATCAACTTGTTTGCAGAAGGATGAGCTCTTAAAGCTGAGGTATTTTTGCAATCCTCCACTCTCCAAAATAGGGTAGTTTGGAGATGCCGTTAAGCAGATAAGGTGCGGGCAGCCCCAGTAAGATCAAACTGAACTTTGCTCAGACAGTGGGTAGGATCCAGGCAGACCCGGGGACTCACGAATGCACGCGTAGGGATCTGAGATGGTCTTGAGCGGGTCCCTGTAGAAGAGGGGTCTGCAGCGGTCGCAGTGCTGCCCCTCAGTGTTGTGCTGGCAGTCTTCACACACGCCCCCGCTGAGGCCACCGCTTGCCAGGTACGTAGTCATGTCAAAGTGACAGCGGCTGGAGTGGCTATTACAGCTGCACGCTGAAAGGAGAAGACAGTGACTGAGAGGTAGACTAAGGCCTCGGGTGGCACAGCCAGTGCCCCCGCACTGGTCAGGGCACCCGCTAGTCCTCCTTGTCCTCCTGCCATTTCGTGTTCTTTGTATAGATGCACCAAGCAAACACAGGGCCAAAATGTGTGCCCTCAGGGGATCGTTCTAACACTCTGATTCTGCTCCTACGCTTTCTATAAAATGTGCTCCCCATATGTTAAATATGTAGTTTTTAAAAATCAAGTGAACAAAAGTAAATCATTTCGGTGATCTAAAGCCACAGAGTGCAATATTTGTGGTGTTCATTAAAGGATGCTTTTACTGACTTATGCTTTGTGCAACTGAAATTTTTACATGAAATATTCTGCATGCTCTGGGATTCCTAGAGAAGACGGCAGAGGAAACCGGCCTGGCCCCTCTTTCCACAGCAGCAGAGAGCTGCAAGGGCTGCGGTCAATTTTATCTCATCTGAGGCTAGGCCAGTGGCCTGGAGGGAAAGGCAGTCTGTTTGGAGGAATTTGTCTTCATGATAATGTCTACACTGTTTGTCTTTTTGTTTCTTTTCCTGTAAACAGTCTAAGGTCAGGCTGCATATTCCCCGGTCTTGTATACTGTGACTCTCATGGATGAGGCTTTTTTATTAGAGCTCTTCTAGGGACATTTCATTCCCTTAAATTCTGTTTTTCCTAGTCTAGGAAAAGAAATTGAATAACAAATTTGTTTGGAAGTTCATTAAAATTCAGAGGCAGCAAACATGTTAGCCAAAACAAAACCAGCATCTTATTAGCCTGAGTATTTTATTTAAAACAATACAATGGCCTGTCAAACTCATTCCTGGGCCTCATTTCTCCTATTATCCTACAGATGGGTTTAAGGTCACGTTCATGGAATGTATGACTATTCAGGATGACAGTGCAGATCTCTGGACCAAGCCTAGTGTTCACCAAATTCTTGGAGTTGCCTTGTCCCCACTGATATTGCCATTAAATGGCTCCATCCCTCTACTAGAAGGGTGCCACACAACATGCTTACTGTTTCATTTTTAAAGTTAAACTTAATTTGTGGTGGGAGAGTTGGAGAAGTTGGCGATTCTTCTATGTGGGATAATTGGGAACACTGGGATATCACACTATAGGAGCTGGGAGGACAGCCTCCCCACTTTGGTGCCTGCAGCCCCACAGAAGTGAACGAAGTGTTTCTTAAATAAGGAAATGCAGAGCACACTCAGTCTATGCAGGGAACTGAGTTTCACCCACATCTGCAAGCGTTGTCCTGGAGGTCTGCAGCTGGCCTCCAAGGAGCATCCTGGAAGAAGTCCTTGCATCTCTCACAGTTCGGACCATCTGTATTGTGCTGACACACACACTGACCGTGAACCTGCATTGTGCAATAAATAGAGCGTTGAAAGAGGGCTTGTCCTTGGGGACGTTGGGGTTCTTTAAATGGGAAATGAAATACCAGGTCCTGGTACCTCTCTGATCCTTAGTTTCCCATATGTTAATTACAATACCAACCTTGATTATCTTCTATTATTTTCTTAACTAGCTTTAAACTTTATAAAAATTTTAAAAGTTCAGTGAACTTCTAAAATACAATACTTTTTTTTTGGCTTTTCTGAGTTCTAGTTTCAGGGCAGCACATTGCAGCCCTCAATAAAATGAGGGACAGGATGGCTAAGGGGTTTGTGGGGAGTTGGGGGGGAGTAGTATATAGGATTTTTTAGGAGCATAAGAGAAAATAGAGAGTTAGAAAAGGGAACGAAGCTGAAGAAAGCCATGTGATTCTCCTGGATTTTCCCAAAAATGCTCTAAATGGCTCACATGCAGAGAGAGAAGCTCTGTTTCCAGTGAAACAGAGGTAGCTGAATGGGAAGGCACACTAGCTCAACATTAAGCCTTGTATAATTTTGCCTAATAAACAGTTGACATTTATTTAGTAGACACACTCCCTGGGGCTCTGCATAAAACTACAACTCTTCTACAATGTCTTTTAAGGCTAGTCCCCCAAGATGAGAGAGATCTGCCATATTAAGACACAGCCATTCCCAGGGTAAGAATGCTATTTGGATTGAACATTTTACGATATCAGATATTGCTGAAACACCTTAGCATTGACTACAGGGTCTTGCACACAAAAGTCCTTCAGTAGATTTTTGTGAGAGAATGAATGTGAAATTATTAGGTTGGTACAACAGTAATTTTGGTTTTTGCAATTAAAAGTGTTGGCAAAAACAGCACTTTTGCACCAACCCAATATGATCCCTCCCCACCAAATCTCCATGCTCTACAAAATAAATGAAAAGAGGGCAAGATGAAGTATCTTGAAATCCTAAAGTATAAATTCTGCTCACTAGTTCAATGATGTCCATATGCTGCAGAATCCACAAGCACTTGTGGCTGGAGGAACTGGAGGGCCCTAGGTGGCCTATCAGGATAGGTTGAATGGTACCCATCTCAGCATAAAACTGGCACTTAGATTTGTTGATCTCCATGTGGAGTGTCTCATCTATATATAGCACCAGGACAGTGAAAGGCAGGTAGGACAGCCCACTGTTCTTTTGGATTAATAACTCACCATTCCAGGAGGGCTGAAAACATCTCCCCGCATCTTCTGCATAGGGCGACATTCGCTAGCATGGCCATTGCAAAAGCAGCTTCCCCGAACAATCATCTCGTACAGAGCATAGTAGTATTTATCAAGGGAATCATTTTGCCTCCTTCCAAGCAAAGCATCCCCAAGGGTGTGGAGCTTGGTAAAGTTTATCCTCAGGTTTGTCAATGTCACAAGGTCTAAAGAAAGGAAAATAATGAATCAAAGTGAATTTGAGGTGCATCAGTTCAAGGGACTCTTCTTGACTGATATACACTTAATATACTATAGAAAAGAGATTACAGGCCCGGTGTAGTGGCTTGCGCCTGTAATCCCAGCACTTTGGGTGGCCGAGGCAGGAGGATCCCTTGAGCTCAAGAGTTCAAGACCAGACTGGGCAACATGGCGACACCCTGTCTCTACATAAAATACAAAAATTAGCTGGGCAGGGTGGCGCATGCCTGTAATCCCAGTTACTTGGGAGGCCGAGGAACAAGAATTGCTTGAACCCAGGAGGCGGAGGTTGCAGAGAGCTGAGATCACACCACTGCACTCCAGCCTGGATGACAGGGCAAGACTCCGTCTCAAGAAAAAAAAAAAAGAAAAGCAATTACAAGGAATATGCCAAACATGAAATTTTTTTAAAGCTGATATGAAAAATATAAAGGAATTCATACCTTGGATGTAGGGGCTATAAGGGTTTTCAATTTCAAAACTGGGATCCAAAACTTTTAAAACAACCTGTAAAACAAATATAGATACATTTATAGTATATTACCTGAAAACGTAATTGTCAAACACACTCTTTTTTTTTTTCAAACCTCCCAGGCCCAAGAAATCTTACCACTTCAGCCTCCCAAGTAGCTGAGACCACAGGCATGCACCACCATGCCCAGCTAATTTTTAAAGATTTTTGTAGAGGTGGGGTTCTCCCTATGTTGCCCAGGCTGGTCTCGAACTCCCAGGCTCAAGTGATCCTCCTGCCTCAGCCTCCTAAAGTGCTGGAATTACAGATGTGAGCCATCACACCTGACCGTGAAATGCACTCTTACAGAAGAGACCCTGATCTTACAAGAAGGCTGAGCCATTGCTTCCCAGCTGGCATAGAATACAGATTATCATTTGGGTTAGCATATGAATAGAAGTACCAGGAGCAGAAATAAATGAAAGGTATTAATCAGTCATTTCCGGCTCTTTATGTACAAGTGGTTCATACAGGCAGAAAAGTCAAAAAGAGTGCTTATGCTGGGTTGGGATGGAGTGACAGACAATTTGGCAAGCCATGATCAATTTGGATTTGGTGGTGAACTCTGGAGCTGTCTTCTGCCACTAATTCTTTCTGCTCTACCTGGCAAAATAGTGCCTGTTCAATCCCACTCACTCCAACCTTCTGCCAGGCACCAGCTTTGCTCAGAGGGATGTTCCCGGCAGATTCCCCTGGGGTGGTGGTTTACAGAGTATGGGGATGAGATAGCTAATGTCAGGCTGCTGCTAGCTTACATGGCTCCTTTGCAAGCATTAGAAATGGGTGTTCCTTCTTCTGGGTGCCTGGGGCCATGGTGCCCCGTTTAAGTGTTATCCCATGCCCACCTTCAGCTGAGCACTCTTGTGCAGGATTGCTTCTAAAAATGTATTTAGTATTTATTTGGGAATCATTTCAGTTTAGACACTTTCATTTTCAAAAAAGCAACAGCCCAACTTACATTACAGTAAACACTATCGAAAGTTTTTCATTTAAGTTAATTATACTTTTTAAAAGTTTAATTTATACAAAATAAATACAAGGAAGGAAATGCTACCTCTCCACCTGTTGAGGGTTCAATATCCGAGTATTTGGAGTCACAAACAATGTCTCCCACTCCCTGGGCCTGGCCAGATGTGATGTTAGGAAAGGAAGTGGCACAGTCTTTTGCAAAATATTTGAACACTTTCCAGTTGTGTCCATAGTCTGTGGAACGTTCAACTAACATTGCAGCAGGCCGAAAAGTCTAGGAAAAATGAGTAAAAGTTGGCACATTTCACAAAGGCAGATTTTATTATCAACTTCAGATTGAATATTTGTATTTTCTAATTCCATTTTTAAAAACTTTAGGTGTATCTTTTTGTTGTTTGTTTTGTTTTGTTTTTGAGACAGGATCTCACTCTGTCGCCCAGGCTGGAGTGCAGTGGCATGATCTCGGCTCACTGTAGCCTCAACTTCCCAGGCCCAGGTGATCCTCCCACCTCAGCCTCCTGAGTAGCTGGGGCTAGAGGTGCATGCCACCATGCCCAGATAATTTTTTTGTAGAGCCAGAGTTTTGCCATGTTGCCCAGACTGTTCTCAAACTCCTGGGCTCAAATGCCCACCTCAGCCTCCCAAAATGCTGGGATTATAGGTGTGAGTCACTGTTCCTGGCCAGGTCTATCTTTTAAAATCTACTACACAATACACACACCACAGTCTCTTTTCAGTATTTATGAGTACACACTTTGTCCTCATAATCTAATTACATTGTAAAAATGTTTATGGCTTTGTGAATTATTAATTGAAGAAAGATGGCTTATAAATGGAAAAGCTAATGTAGTTAATATTTTACAGCAATTTGTTGTGATTCTCTTTGCCAAGCATGCTTTTCCTCTGGCAAACTCTTATATATCCTTCAAACCCTATCCATGAAATTTATCCTGGTTCCCCACAGCAGATTTAGCCTCTTAAATTCCCCAGCATTTTAAATCAATCATCCCGCTAATTCTGTACTTATCACTTTGTATTATAATTTTCTATTATATTTATATGTTTGTATCCATGACTAGATTGTGAGTTCTTTGGAGACAAAGACTGGTGTTTTTTTTTTCATTTTTTAAATTTCATATTCATTTTTTCTTACCAAAACGAGCATAAAGTCTGACATCAAAATTAGAATTTTCCTGAATGATTAAAGAAGCACTATAGCACAATGATTTTCTCTGTCATCTGACTAATCTTAGTAAAGACTCTTTTAATTTTTCTTTCCCCTTGATTACAACCTTTCCATATTTACCTAAATAATTTCCAGTTCTTGCCCTTTTCTCCCAAAAATTATCTTTATAGTTCTTATGGTTCCTATCACCTCAGTACTAGGAGTTTTCCTTTTCTCTGTGTCTTCTAATTTTTTAAAAAAATCATATAGTCATGGTCATTGATTTTTAAAAAGTGTTTTTTTTTTCTTCATGTAAGAGTCAAAGCTCAGGTGGCAAAGGTCAAGTCTGAACTTATTCTGTTTTTGTTCACTGCAAGGAAGCAAGGCAGTGAAATTCCAGATAAACACTGAGCATTTAGGGAATAGATAAAAGAGGGGCAGCAGGCCTATTAGTCTGTACCTTAAAGGTCAGGATAAGGTGGCTGAACCGAAATAATGCCTCTAAGTCCAGTCTGATGCTGACATGATCAAGACCTAAGGAAGAATCCAGAAAGAAGAAAATCAGTGATTTTGAGAGACTTCTGCTTATCATGTTAATTCCCCATTGTGGCTTATCTGTAATAAAATCTCTTTGATGCCACAAGGCTGACGATCACTCTTCCCAGTCTGTTGGAGTGGTATCCCATGCCACTCCAAGCCCAGGAGGTATGCAGAGCAAGATAGGTTTCACCCTGACTGTGCCCACATCTGTGTTTTAGTGGCAACACACATGGCCACTATGTGGCAGCATTACATATGACCAAGGGAGTTTCAGGACATTTGCCCTAGGTGGAAAGAGAGAAAGAGAGGGTTCATTTCCTTGTACTGAAATCTTGACTACACATAAACATGAGCTAGCTAGCCAGAGGGTGGTAAAAACCAGTGCACCCATTTCTTCCAAGAGCTGCTATAGTCATTTGAACTAGAATTTCATTGTCACCTGGCATATAACACAGCTTGGAGTATTCCCCTTGGAGTGGGGACCTGTGGGCTCCTCTGTGGCTGAGGCGGTGGTAGAGGTAGCCTGGTCAGTGTTTTGCACTGAGCTAGTTATGATCCATCTCTAGCAGAGATGTGGGGTATCAGCCCTAACCTGGACACAAAAGAAGCCCAGATCTCTCTAGAGCAGCACTGTCCAACAGAAATAAAATATGAGACATGTGTGTAATTTTGAATTTTCTAGCAGCCACATTAAAAAAGGTAAAAAGAAACAGGTAAATTTGTTTGTAATAATAAACCAACATATTTAAATGTTATTTTGACATATAATCAATATTTTAAAAATTAGTGATTTTTTAAAGACAGAGTCTCGCTCTGTCCCCCAGACTGGAGTGCAGTGGCAGGATCTTGGCTCACTGCAACCTCTGCCTCCCGGGTCAGGGGATTCTACTGCCTCAGCCTCCTGAGTAGCTGGGACTACATGCTTGCTCCACCATGCCTGGCTAATTTTTGTATTTTTAGTAGAGACAGGGTTTTGCCATGTTGGCCAGGCTGGTCTCAAACTCCTGAGCTCAAGTGATCTGCCTATCTTGGCCTCCCAAAGTGCTGGGATTACAGGTGTGAGCCACTGCACCCTGCCAGAAAATCAGTGATTCTTTATTATACATTTTCTCCCAAAACTATGTCTTAGAAGTCTGGGATGTTTTTACACTTCCAGCCCATCTCAATTTGGATTAGACACATTTCAACTGCTCACACGGGACAGTATGGCTCCAGACGAAAGCGGCTGGACTACAGTGAATCGGGGTTCAGCCTAGAGTTCTAGGGTGAAAAGCTTAGGTACGTGTTTGCTGCTGAGTGGGCAGCCACATTGCAGGCTGAGTGTCAAGGGTCCTAACCCTTTCTAGGAAAGAGATCTGTCCCTCTCTCTAAGGTGCTTGGTTGAGAATCCTTGCTCTATGTCATTGGCTTGGACAGAGTGACATTCCCTTTGTGAGGAGATGTGGAACAAATGTTAGATGTGGGGGTCAAAACAGCCATTAAGCAAAAATGGCACCATTCATCAGGAGGACAGGTGGCTGTGGAAAAAACACCTCATATTCATTAAGGAGAGTCCAGCTGGAGATCAATAACAAGGATCCAAAATGAAATGGCATTTAGTAGACACAGTCAATCATTGGTCAAGTGGATGACATAAATAAAACAACCTCATCTTATGCTTGCCCTAAACTATCTTATATATTATGATTATTCCCACACTCCCTTCTAATGGTCTAAAATCTCTAAAGGAAATACATTCAGGAGTTTGTAGAGAATAGAGGAATTATAGTCCAAAGTGCAACACATAGCAATGTAGTGAATGAAATCATCTTGTGGGGGTTAAGGAAAACTGAAGAGTTCCAGACTAGTGTTAAAGAAGGGTCATCAAGAGTAGGCAAGCCTGCATTAGGAAAGTCCGGCCTGGATGGACATACATTTGGGCACATGAGGCCCATGGCTGGGGGTGGGACATGAGGATCCCTGATCAAGTCCACATTTATAGCGAGCATCTAGGAATCTGGATGGTCAGCGCCAATGTAGGCTCAATATCGCAATTGTTCATAAAGAGAGAAAGGCATACTTCAGTCCGTAGCCAGCTATCCTTTCAATTCAGAGATTTTACTTTGGCTTACAGTAAGAAGCAAAATGTTCTTTTCTCTTTCCCTTCATGTGTTGAAGGAAAAAGCACTTGGCGCTAACTCTCAGACTTCCCCTGGCATTATTCATTCAGTTTACATCAGTGTTTTGTATTAGGCTTAATTTACCAACACTTCATAAACTTTCTTCTTATTATTATTTTTTTACAAAGAACAAAAGGATGCAGAGATATTTTCTTCCACATGGAAAGAGTGAAACATTCTGAGTTATGTGCTTAAAATACATTTTGATTTTCCTGTAAAGGAAAGTATTCTTGTTAAAATGAAAATAAATTGTATTCTTATATGGGTCTCTACATTCTTGGAGGATACTGTTCCATTCCAATATAATACTTTGCTGTGACATTATTAAAACCATACAAGGAAGAGGATGTCATATTAAAATATTGAAGAAATAAACAACTGGAAAGGAACTTAAATCATACCATTTTCAGATTGCCACCATTTCTTTTCTCTGTCTGGTTCAAAACTTACAATGACATTCTCAATGGTGTGGCTGTTGGGTTGGTCATACGGATCATATGGAAATCTAGAGTCACAGATGAAGCATTTTTGTTCCCCCTGGAAAACACCATTATTAAAATTAAAAATAAAAATTGGAATTACATATTGTTGGGCTAAATTAAAGGCAAGCTGTACATACTATATTTGTCTTCCAAACTGGCTAAAAATAAAAGGCAGAGGAAATAACAAGACATCAAAATGCCTATCAGTAGGTGCCTAAGTACAACAATAAACTATGAACTAAAATTTTATAAATTTATACATTTGGAATAAAAATGCAAATTTATGTAAAACTAATTTTCTGTCATATAAGAGGCAGAGGATCTGGAAGTTATTTTAAACTGTACACAACTAATATGAAGAAATAAAAAATTAGAAATAGACCTCTTAGAAGGTCTTAGTGAATTGGAACTAGTTTTGCTTAGGATTTTTTTTTTTTTTTGAGACAGAGTCTCATGCTGTCACTGAGGCTGGAGTGCAGTGTTGCAATCTCCTGGGTTCAAGAGACTCTCATGCCTCAGTCTCCTGAGGAGCTGGGATTACAGGCATGCACCACCACACCCGGCTATTTTTTTGTATTTTTATTAGAGACAGGTTTTCACCATGTTGGCAGGCTGGGTCTTGAACTCTTGGCCTCAAGTGATCTGCCTGCCTTGGCCTCCGAAAGTGATGAGATTACAGGTGTGAGCCACTGACCCCAGCCTGCTTAGGATGGATTTTTGAAGGTTACAACAGCAAAGGCTGGCCTTTGAGTTTGCTTAATTTAATGCATCTACTTGCAGCTATACTTGAAACTCCTAAGGGGCTCTGTAAGGATTTCCAAAGCACTGTCAGTGGCCTGCAGTTATTCCTGGCTAATACTCAGAGGACTCTGAAGGAGCTCTTTTGCAAAGCTTCTGGGAAGCGGGGGCTGATCATTATAACCTTCTGTGCTGGAAATTGCCTACAACAGCATAGGTGCTCAGCTGGTGGCACTCAGTGCACGTTGCTTGTATGTCCTAGCCATGGCTCACAAGGCCCAACATGATCTGGCCAGGGCCACCTCTTTGCCTTTATGTCTACTTGGCTTTTCACTCTCTTGACTCTGGCTACACATGCTTCTTGCTATTTTTTAAGCACTTAGAGTCAGAAGAGTTCAAGTTGTTCTTCCTCCCAGCTAGTCTTATCTCTTGCTCCTTCCCTTATTTCAGGTTTCTGTTAGAATGCCTTCATTTCAAAGAGCCTTTCCCTGACTACCCTATTAAAATGCCACCATCTTTTCACCCCCATGGCCCTCTGCCACTCTCTATTTTTTGTCCTGCTTTATATATTTCCTAAGCCCTTATCACTACTTGAGGCTATATTATACAGTTGTTGGTTTATTGTCTGTCTCTATAATAAGAATAAAAACTGAATGGGGCAAGGACCTGGTTTTATTTATTGCTGTATCTCCATTACCTAGAATAGTGTGTGGTACATAGTAGATGTTCAGTAAAATTTATTAAATGCAGGATGATTTTAATGATTATTTCAGCTACAGTCAAAACAAATCAACCCTTCGAGAGATTCATATAATCAGTGTATCTTAGCATCACTGGTCACTATAGGCCTTATTGTTGAAGAAAGCCAAAATGCCTTTTGAAAATTAAGGCAAAATGGATCTAAATAAATTTTGCATAGGGGTAGGCCCATCCCAGTGACCAGTAGAAGCTTTGTGATTCTATCAAAAGTGATGGTCTTCAAATAATTTCCAATAATACTATGGAAATTACTTGAGAAAATGTTTAACTTCAGGGCTTGTGGACCATTTTTTGGTTAACATTTTAGAAGTATAATCTTTGATGAGGTTGGCTTCAGAGGATGCTAAGTTGTGGCCACTAAATGTGAGTTCCATCTTGGATAATTTAATAGGTCAATGTTGACTGGAAGCTTCTGAACAAAATGTTTTGCTTGGTAGCTCTTTCTTAGATAACAGATGGGAAAAAATCATCCTCCATGCTGCGTGAATGTTTGTCTAGACCAGTGGTCGTAGCCCCTTCTATAATACACTTTGTCAGCCTGAAATATTTTGAGGTTTTTTCCAGCTCTAAGCTTTCTAAGATTTCTGTCATTCTCTAGACAAAAGAAGCCTCCACAGTTGGAGTTACTTCTATTTTTGGTGGTATAACTTTGAGATATAAGAACACCAATTTCTAATTATCATCAGAGTATGTTGGCTCAGGCAACAGTAAGCAAATGCCAGTGGGAGAACAAGATGGCTGGCGCTCATATTGGAAAGTGGCGGTGGCTCATGCCTGTAATTCCAGCATTTGGGAGGCTGAGGCAGACGGATCACTTTAACCCAAGAGTTGGAGACCAGCTTGGGCAACATAGTGGGACTGGTCTCTATAAAAATACCAAAAATTAACAGGGCATGGTGGTGCTTGCCTACTCCACCAGTAGGTGGAGTAGCCTCCCCTACTTGGGAAGCTGAGGTGGGAAGATCACCTGAGCCTGGGAGGTTGGGGCTGCAGTGAGCTGTGATCATGCTACTGCATGCCAGCCTGGGTGACAGAGCGAGACCCTATCTAAAAAATAGAGTTGAGAACCAATTCTTTGTCCAGAGCACCTGGACTTAGTAGTCACCTGGCCTAGAGTTGAGCAGAACTTCCACCATGTAATTTCCTTGCACATGCAGAGAATTTGCTTTCTTACACAAGTACTTCCCAAACTTAGAACAGTGATATGCACCCAAGTATTGTCTCCACTTATTTATAATAGTCACCTTTTACTAGAAACCAATTTGAATACAAAGCATTTCCCAGAGACTTAAGCAGTTGCTTTAAATGAACAATACATGGAAAAGCCTGGACCACTAACATTAGGCTTATGTCCAACTTCCTTCCTGCACATCCTCTCATTTATGGGGTGGACGTGATTACCTCAGGGTTTTTGGTAGGGACGATACTCAGATGACCTTGGATGCTTGTTCTGTTCCCAGTACATGGAGAGGAAAAGAAACCTGAAAAGCCACTTATCCTTTTATAAAACTGATCTTTAAGGGGAAAAGGCACAAAACTATGTTCACATTGGGAATTTATGATTTTTAGACAGTATAACTTCCAAGTAGTATTATGTTGGTGTACAATCAATTCAAAGTTCTACACCTCTTCCATCTCAAGGCAGAGCAATGAGGACTCATGTTCAGCATAATGGCAGCAGGCCCTGATGAATCTTCAAACTTCATTAAATGAGTCAATTAGGTTTCCTCTATGGGAGTGGCAAAGGTAGCCAAGTAGACTAGTAAATTTTATAGCAATTCCTTACAAAGACTAACCAAAAAGACTTTTATGTCTCATTCTGAAGGTAACAGGAAATGGAAATTAAGCAAATCTTCCTTATTTTTGATCAGTTAAGGTTTCCTGGACTTTGAATTACATGAGAGTTGGCTCTCTGCATCTGCAAGTTCCATATTTGTGGATTCAACCAACCAAGGATTGAAAATATTTGGGAAAAAATAACAACAATAAAACAATAACAGGGTAGGCCCAGTGGCTTAGCCTGTAATCCCAGCAACTCAGGAGGCTGAGGTGGGAAGATCGCTTGAGGCAAGGAGTTCGAGATCAGCCTGGGCAACATAGTGAGACCCTGTCTCTAAAAAGACAAAATTAAAATTAGCCAGGTGTGGTGGTGCATGCCTGTATTTTTAGCTGCTTCAGAGGCTGAGGTACACTCCAGCCTGGGCAGCAGAGTGAGACCCCTGTCCCTAATGAAATAAAAATAAGATTAACAATATAACAATAAAAAGAACACATTTTAAGATGTAGTGTAATAATTATTTACATAACATTTACATTATGTTAGGTATTACAAGTAATCTAGAGATTATTTAAAGTACATGGGAGGATATAGGTAGGTTACATGTAAATACTATGCCATTTTAGATCAGGGACTTGAGCATCCATGGATTTCGGTGTTGGGGGAAAGGGTCCCGGCACCAACGCCCCGTGGATACTGAGGGACAACTGCACCAGTGTCTCCATTGTTTAAAAAGGAAGTTGTCTCCTTTAATGTCTGAGTAGCCCCAGGTGTACCTGGAAAAATCTACATCATTGATTAAATAATGTCCCAGCAAATAAACAAAGAGCCAACCCACCTCCAGGTAACTGAGGATGCAGTATTTCTGGGCTCTGCTCAGCCCACAGGTAGAAGAAGCCATAAGCTGCGTGTTCCTGCCCACCAGGAGATCACCAGTGGTGGGATGACAGGCACCCCTGTTGCAGTCATCTTGAGCTTTTGAGTAACTGAGCCACCCTTGAACACAACAGAAATAGCTTACACGGAAGGCAGTCTAAGGACAGCACAGGGCCTGCAGAAATGACTGGTTAAGGGGGAAAGTTATGTATTTATTTAATATTGGCCAAAGATGTATCAGACTTTTAAGTTTATTAATAGATGACAAATGGTCCCTACTTTGCTTGCTGGGTGGCATGAGGTGTAATACCTCTTTGAGTCTTTTGAAATCTGTATTTCAAAATACAGATTTGGATTAAAAATAAATACTTCTAAAATGTGTTGAACTGAACTCCATATCAGCAGGATTCTCCATCAAAAAGAGATACCGAGAATAATACACTTGAAAGATACTGCATTCTGTATCCCTTTCTTATTTGCAATGGACACCCGCATATGAAAGTCCAAGAGATGCTTCCATGAAACTAAAACGAACAAAACAAAACTCTTTAATGTTGTTTAATCTAGCATTTCCCAAATTTATTTCACCATGGAAGGCATTTTTTATTCAAATCAGGTTAACATTTTGTGCAATACTAGGAAAACACTTGGGAAATCCTAAACTCAATTTTGTTTAAGTGTCTTCCAGTCTTAAAAACCCTATGAATTTTGCCAGGCACACTGGCTCATGCCTGTACATCTCAGCACTTGGGAGACTGAGGTGGGAGAAGTGCGTGAGGCCAGGAGCTCAAGACCAGCTTCTTCAATATAGTGAGACTCCCATCTCCACAAAAAAATGAAAAGAAATTAGCCAGGCATGGTGGTTCATGCTTGTAGTCCCAGCTACTCAGGAAGCTGAGGCGGGAGGATTGCTTGAGCCCAGGTATTCAAGTCTATAGTGAGCTATAATGGTGCCATTGCAATCCAGCCTGAGTGACAGAGCAAGACCCTATCTCAAAAGCAACACCAAAAACAATCCTATCATTTTGGAAATGGGGAGGTCAACATGTCTTACTTAGAGATTGAATTTAAAGTTAAATCTCAGGAATTAAGTTATAAACCCATATAATCAAATTATTCTGGAAAATTTCATAAATTACCTATATAGTACAGCATACATGGTTTTGTGTAGACAAATCCTAACATAACGTTTGAGAACTATCAAGTTAGATAAAGAAGGAAACAAAGGAAACTCTACATGCAAATGAGCAAGCATTCTAATCATTCCGAGTTAAGATAACTGTTAAACATCTATACGGGCATGAGGGGCAAGTAGGGTCATCTGAAATAGTTCTTTCCATCATGTTATCTAATACATTTTGGTAAGCAATAATTTATTAATGGATTTGTTAATTGTTGGGAAGATTGAATAAAACAAAGTGGAATCTTACTGGGGGTTAAGATCTAAAGTTAACACACAAAGTTAAACATATATATAATGAGTGTCTACTGTATTTTGTGGGTAGCTACTTATGTTACAGGAAAGGGGTCCCGACCCAGACCCCAAGTGAGGGTTCTTGAACCTCACACAAGAAAGAATTCAGGGCGAGTCCATACGGTAAAGTGAAAGCAAGTTTATTAGGAAAGTAAAGGAATAAGAGAATGGCTACTCCATAGACAGAGCAGCCCCAAGGGCTGCTGGTTGCCCATTTTTACAGTTATTTCTCGATGATATTCTAAACAAGGGGTGGATTACCCATGTCTTCCCCTTTTAGACCATATAGGGTAACTTCCTGATGTTGCTATGACATTTGTTAACTGTCATGGCACTGATGGGAGTGTAGCAGTGAGGACAACCAGAGGTCACTGTCGCGGCCATCTTGGCTTTGGTGGGTTTTGGCTGGCTTCTTTACTGCAACCTGTTTTACCAGCAAGGTCTCTATGACCTGTATCTTGTGCTGACCTCCTATCTCATCCTGTGACTTAGAATGCCTTAACCATCTGGGAATGCAGCCCAGTAGGTTTCAGCCTCATTTTACCCAGCTCCTATTCAAGATGGAGTTGTTCTGGTTCACATGCCTCTGACACTTATAGAAATAGTTTTTTTTCTTTTAAAAAACTATATATGAAAAAGACAATATTATTTTATTGTTAATTCAATTAAAGCATTAGAATCCTGTTTGATTCTGGAGGCCAAATCTAAGCTCTAGTTTTCTCTTTATTGCAATTCAAAATGATAGTGATAATTTTGTAGATGTAAAATAGCCTCTAGATGGAAGGGCAGAGGACCTAGAATGGCTAAAACATTTTGAAAAAAGAAAATAAAGGCGAAGGAATAGCTCTATTCAATATGAAGGCTTACTATATAGCTATAATAAAGAACAGACTGCGATTTTGGCAGAGGAAAAGACACCTAGATCAATGGAACAGAATAGAGAACCCAGAAATAGACCAATAAAAATATGTCCTACTGATTTTTGAGGTGCAAATGCAACTCAATGGAGGAAGAACAGCCTTTTCAATAAATGGTGCTGGAGCAATTGGATCCATAGCCAAAAAAAGAAAAAGAAAAAATGAACTGCAAGCAAAACCTCACACCTTATATTAATATTAATTAAAAATTCAGCATAGACTTAAATGTAAAATGTGAAACTATAGAGCTATGAAACTCATATAAAACATAGGAGAAAATCTGGCATTTAGGGCTAGGTGAATAATTTTTAGAATTGCCAAAAAAAAAACCATGATCCATAAAAGGAGAATTTAGAAAATTGGACCGTGTCAAAATTAAAAACTTTTGCTCTGAGAAAGACCTTATGAAGAAGTGAAAAGGTAAACTATGGAGTAAGAGAAAATACTTGCAAACCATATATCCAACAAAGCTCTTGTACTTACAATTTAATAAGAGCTTTCAAAACTCAACATTAAAAAAGCCAATCAAATGAGCAAATGGCAAGTGACATGAACAGAACACTTCAGTGAAGAAGATACACAGATGGCAAATAAACACATGAAAAGAGGTTCAACATCATTAGCCACTGGGGAAATGCAAATCAAATCACATTGAGATATCACTACACACCAATCAGAATAGCAAAGATAAAAATAGTGATAACACCAGATGCTAGAAAGGATGTGAAGATCCCGCATACCCTGCTGGTGGGAATGAAGAATGGTATAGGCACTCCTAGGAAGAATATGGTAATTTCTTACAAAACTAAGCAGGTACTGATCAAGCAACTCAGCAAGGGAACTCTTGAGTATTTATCGCAGAGAAATTACAACTTATGTTCACACAAAAACCCTATACAAATGTCCACAGCATCTTTATCTGTAATAATAAAAAACTGGAAACACCCAATGTCCTTCACTGGGTGAAGGGTTAAACCAAGTGTGGTACATCTGTACCATGGAACCTAGCAAAAAAAAGTAGTGAACCATTGATACAAGCAACAACTTGGATGGATCTGAAAGGAATTGTGCGGAGTGAAAAAAGGTTATGTACTGCATAATTCTATTTGTATCACATTACTGAATGACAAAATTATAGAGATAGAGAACAGATTAGTGGTTGTCAGTGGTTAGGAAGGCAGAGGGGGAGGGAGGTGGATGTGGCTATAAAAGGGTAGTACTAGGGATCCTTGAGGTGGTGGAACTGTTCTGTATCTTGACTGTGGTGATGGGCACATAAATCTATATGGTGATAAAATGGCATAGACTCAAATACACGCACACATGAGTACATGTATAACTGGTGAAATCTGAATAAGGCCTGTGAATGACATCAGTGTTGATTTCCTGGTTGTGATATCGTGCTATAATTATATAAGATGCTATGACTGAGAGAAATTGGGTGAAGGGGTATATGGTCTCTCTCTGTGTTATTTCTTACAGCTGTGTGTGACCTTACAATTATTTCAAAATAAAAAGTAAAAGAGACAAACAATCCCCAACCCCCATCAACCTCTGGATGGTAAACCAAGCAAATCCCAGACTCTAAAAATACACATGTGACATGTTCTAGCTGCTCTTATACACTTTATCCTTGAGACATGAAAATTTGTGCCAAGCCTTATTTCAGTAGACAGGAGTGACAGGGATGGGCCTATAATAAAAAATAATAACCATACAGTGAAATCAGCTTGGTTTCTTTTCAGTTTTCTCCATTTAAAAAATATAATAATCTTTTCATGAACTTGTTTTACATTTAATGGCTTTCTTTCCTTCGATTTGACCTCCAAAATAGCCTATATGGTTATTGAAAAAAACGTGTTATTTCTCTTACTTAAACATTATTCACATGAACTATTAATCTAGTCATTTTGTATTATTAGGCATGTAACAGACATGGATCATAAGTTCTACAGCTAAGAACATGATAATGTCTCCACCCACACAAGTTACTAAATGACACTTTGAACAGGAAATTTTCTATTCTCAATCTCAATGTAAAGATTATTATTCTAAAACAAGGGCACATTTCTTTCTCTTCTGAGATAGCTATGTGAAGAAAGCTAGCTCCATTGGACACTTGCTGTTTTGTGGTATAATAAATGGTTAATGCGGACTTTTATTTAACCAGCAACCCACATTCATATTTTGTTTGTTTGCTTGTTTTCCGGAATTGGTATCTAGGATAAATAGCTATTCAGAAGTTTGGACTCCAATAGACCAAAGATTTTTAAGGACAATATCAGGTATAACATTTCCGTTGATGTTACATGTGAATAAAAGAAGACTTCCCTTCCAGGGATTTATACTTTTAGACAAGTTCCATCCTGGATTTTTTTTTAATTGGAATTGTTGCCTTAGAGATTTAACATGTTTTTATAACCTGACTTGGCCAAACTTGTTTTTGTCAGAATTTTTTTTTCAGAAAATATATTCCAGGACTTAGGGAAATTTAACTATTATTCCTGTAACATTATAAGTGCAAATATGAACTTCTTGTCTAAAATATTTGGCAAAAAGTGACTAGAAATGTAAATAGTTAAAGTTTCATGCCTGAACATAGACTAAGCAATATCCTTCCTGGGATGAAGTTTCCAAATGCCAAATCACATTAGCAACGGGTTGGAATTAATTCAGAAAATAAACATGTTTATGTCTTTTGACAATCAACACGTTCCTAAAAGATGACGCAACCTGAAGATAGAACCTGAAGATAGAATGTTATGAACTTTAAGAATGTTATGAAATTCCAAAATGAATTTAGGAGATCTGGTCATTTAAGGAAAATATACAGTAAATTTTCTGTAAAGAATTGTTTTATAGAAATTACTGTTACTATATAATTTCTCTAGTATTTCTGCATGTTGTCATAATTTTCTCAAACACATGAGATGCTTTCTCACACTTTAGAGTTCACATCAGAGCTTTAGAGGATGTAAACACATGTTTATACGTTCATGCAGATTATAATGGGTGAGAAAAAATACCAAGAATGCGGCCTGGCACGGTGGCTCACACCTGTAATCCCAGCACTTTGGGAGGCCGAGGTGGGTGTTTCACCTGAGGTCAGGAGTTCAAGACCAGCCTGGCCAACATGGTGAAACCCTGTCTCTACTAAAAATACAAAAAATTAGCTGGGCATGGTGGGAGCACCTGTAATCCCAGCTACTCGGGAGGCTGAGGCAGGAGAATTGCTTGAACCCAGGAGGTGGAGGTTGCAGTGAGCTGAGATCGCACCATTGCACTCCAGCCTGGGCGACAAGAATGAAACTCTGTCTTAAAAAAAAAAAAAAAAGAACGCATGTAGATAAGGTTTGCACTTTTAGTGAAGTTCCTAAAACCTATGGGGCAGTGCACTTTTTATGATTATTTCTCCTTATATTGCTCAGTCAGAAGATAAAACTAAGTGTTTAAATAGGCTGCAGTATTTATGTAAGTGTCTATGTTCAAACTATCAATGGGAAAATTCCCAAGCTGATGATATGTAGCTAACCTGCTTGGGAGTTTGACCATGGCAACTCAAGAGGTTTGGTTAAGGTCAGGGCAAGCTTATATTTAGAAATGTACGATTGATTGCAGTGAGGTCTTTTCTGCCCAAGCTAATTTAGTTTAGAAGATTGCTTCTCCAGAGAGAGGAGTCCCCTAATTGAGGAGGGCTCTCTCAGCAACTGTGGATCGGTTTAGAACTTTTGCAAGATGTAAGTAAGATATTCTATACAAAGGCTGGGGAGAAGGTAGAGTGATCCTCAGTGGTCCCTTCTGATTTTGGATATTGGTTTAGTTTCAAAGAGAACATGTAAGGCAGGTGCAGGTTAAAATAACTGTTTTTCTGAATGAGACCAGTCCTGGGATGTGGAGGATGAACTGAGGGCTCCAGATGAATGACAAGTTTCTGTTCCCACTGGGCTGTGGCTCACCTCTCCAAGGCAGGGGATTTTCAACAGAGAACAAATGAGTGCTTACCATCTGGACTATTACCAGCAAATCTAACTGGAAAATTACCTCAGGGTTGGAAAATTGTGAAGAAAAAGAAAAAGGTGAGATTCTGAAGGTTTGTTGTCATGAAGAAATTCAGCATAAATCTTTGAAGTGAAGATTCTAAGCAATTTAGTTAGTAATCAGTAACCAAAAGCAGGCCTGTTTTCGATGTAGAAAAGTCAGATCAAAGAGAGTAATTGTTGGAAACATCTTCTCTATGATTAATGTAAATTGTTCTCAGCTTATTAAAGACAGCAGGAGCATGGAGAATTTGGCCTTTTAGCTTAGAGCTGCTGCTTACTTAGAAGAGGGAATTTTGCCTGTAACTTCTTCACAAGACCTCATTGCTGGGAAAAGTGTTACATTGAAAGCACAGCTATTAAAAAAATTAGATGCATTGTATTTGTAAATTAAGACACTGAAACTATTCTCTGTTCTTTAATATTTTACTTATCTGAAGATAACATTCCATTAAAAAGTGATAGAAATAGCTATATGTGGATACTAAACATGTTGGAGTGGAATTTTTCAGTTGCTTGACACAATTACACAACAACAACAGAATAGCTACATAAGCATACAGCACTATAGAAGACAGAAGTGAATATGTTTAAAAACTATTTCCATTAAATATTTTAGGACAGCGCAAGCAGTAAATAGATTTTGACAACAAATACTCACCAAGGTGCAAAAAAAGGGTCAGTTGAAATTGCATTCTTTTGTCAGGAGATGATTAAATTCAATTCTACTGGGTTAAAAAAAGGTTAAAGTCAATCACTGATAGAAGAAATAATTGCCATCATCACATGTTATGTAAAAGTGCTTAGGGTTATCGAATGGTTCTTATGCTTTAGACATACGAAATAACCACACTGTCCAGATCCTCAAAAAATAAGAGTGCATAAACATTTTAACAAATATTTGTTTGCTCTTAATGTTTGCCATTTTTTGAAATCACAGAATTCAATTGTTTGTGGGAAATAAGAGGAAACAAATATAATTTCCTTTGCATATTTTAATTTTAACCTACTTTTTGCCCATTCTTATTTAGAAACTTTTTCTTCTAAAAATTACACAGTTAATACATACTTATTATAGAAAAAGTAGAATATTCAGACAGGCAAAATGAAGAAAAATATCACCTATAATACCACCCGCAGTGGGCCATGATTGCACCACTGCACTCCAGCGTGGGCAACAGAGCAAGACACTGGGGATGGAGGGAGGCCCCTCTCTCAAGAGCCTTTTCTTCCATACTTTTTCCTTGCACAAATAATTTTCAAAAGTATTATCACACTGTTTTCTTATTTCGATCAATACATTCCAGGCATCTTTCTGTACTAACAAATGCACTTTTAATTAGTGATATTTTATCAAGATTAAGATCACCTGGAGTCTCCTATAAAGCAAACTTGTGATTTTCTTCTTTGTAGATTTGGCCATGGCCCTTGAGAGAGAGGCTTCCCTCCATCCCCAAGTTACCATTGAAGAGAGTTCTGATCCAGAGTGGAGTACATATACACTTCAGTGGGTCTGGAGAAAAGAAGGTAAAATTTGTAATGGTTTTTTTTTTTCCTTTTTTTAAGACAGTGTCTCACTCTGTTGCCCAGGCTGGAGTACAGTGGTGCAATGGTGGACCAGTGCAGCCTCAGCCTCCTGGATTCAAGCTGATTCTCCCACCTCAGCCTCCCCAGTAGCAGAGACTATAGGCATGTGCCAGCATACCCAGCTAATTTTTATTTTTTGTAGAGATGGAATCTCATTGTGTTGTAAGATGGACAACAGTATTTTTAATTACTGCATAGTATTAGTCTGAATGTAGAAACTAGAATTGATTTAATGAATTCTCTATTGGTTGATGTGTACTTGGTTTATAATATTTTCCTATTATAAATATTTCTGCTAAATCTTTGTTTATAGCCTTATTCACTATGATATAGTAAATGGAGCAGAAATAATGAGCCAAAGAGTATATGTGTGTGTGCATATAACCATATATGTATATAAAGATTGTATATATATACACATACACACACATGCATATATACAAATATACATATGTATATGTGTGTATAAAGCTTTTGATGTCACTGTCAAACTACCATGCAGAAAGTTTGTTCCAATTTACACTCTTATAACCAGACTGTGAGCACTGCTAACATGAGCCCTTACCAACATGGAGTATTATTTTTAAATATCTGTCAGTTTAAAAGGCAAAAAAAAAACAACCTCATTATAATTTATTTGAATAGTAGGAAATATAAAACCTCTTTCACGTATTTTCAAGTGAGACTATTTTTTCACATTCTACCTTCGAGGCTTTTCCTTGTGAATCCGTTACCCTCCTACTCCCATATTCCCAGTCCCTGCACATGCACAGTCCCTGCGCTCCAGCCTTAGCACTCCAGTTTCTGTTTTCTGAACCTTCTTTGCACGCTGTTTCCTTTGCCTTGAATGTCACCCTCCTAAGCCCAAATGTCAGCCTCCCTATGAAGTCTTTTTAGGGTGTTTTGCAATGCCTGATTTTAGGCAAATATCCCATTCTGTGATTCAGGCTCTTTATGAAGCCTAGGGTTCACTTTGGAAGTCCAATGCTGGAAAGTGACTCACTGAGAAACAGTCCTCCCATAGTAGCTCCATCAGAATGAGCTCTACCTGTTGGAAAAGTCTGCAATCTTGGGCTAATGGCCTCATACAAAACCTTGTGAAGACCTATAGGAGAATCCAGGTTACAGCTATAGGAAGGTCCATTCTGTATAGGCCACCCGAACCTGCACAGGCACTTTTCTAGGTGGTACTTTCTTACTGCTTTTTTCTCACAGGCAAGTCAGGAGCTTGGCTTCTGTTCAGCCGCCCAGATATACTTCTGATAAATGAAATATCTAATCCTGATGCTGTCCTGTATTTAGAACTGCCCGTGTGCTTCATTCTGTCTGGAAATGCAAAATGATTGGCATTATGGGCATTTAATAAGAATGGGCATTATTAGCAAAGTTTGAAAGTATGATTCTCTATAACCAAAGAAACTGAATTCAGTGAGATGACAATCTCTGTGAATAGCCTACGATTCATGGCTTGTAATGATCTAGGCTCTGAGTTGCTGGGGTAAAGTGCTACATAGGATATATCATGGCATTCCTGCTTCTCTCCAGTGGAGAACCTATTCACAGGGCAGAGTCCAAAGCAAAAGACTGTTTCCAGCTACAAATGATGGGCTAATCTTTTCCTACATCGGACAGGTGGGAGTGAGGCAGACTGCCGAATTCCCAGGACTCAGATTTAGAAAGACAGGAGGTGGAACTGTAATGCTGAACGCAGGAGTAAAAGAACAAGCGGAATGCCTTTTGCAGAGCATTTGGGGGAACAAAGCTTCCTCAGTATCACAGTTCACCACATTTCTATGATAAAAATGACCTGCTGAAAATTTCTTCAGTCCATATGGGAATTCTCTTCAAGCAACAATAAAGGTCATGGTACAAAGACTACTGGACTTCCCAGTGTACATCAGCCAGGTTTAAAAATGACCTGCCCCAAAGGAGCAGCAGGAGGAGTCAGAAACAGATCCCAAATTGAACTAGAAGAGATACAATTTCCTTATTGATAATTGGTTAAGGATTATCACAGTTGCTATGTGAAGAGATAAATGACAGAATCACACAGCTTGCCAATAATTCTGTTAGATCAGCAGGCCACAGCCCTGAATGCAACTGAGAATCACTTGAGAAGATATTTTTAATGACTTCCTTTTTGAAATATTTATTTTTAATTGTGGTAGAAATACACCTACATAAAATTGACCATCTTAATCATTTTTACCTGTACACTTCAGTAGTGTTAATTACATTTACATTGTGTGCAACCGATCTCCAGAACACTTTTCATCTTGCAAAGTTGAAACTTTGTATCCATTAAACAAGAAGTCTTCATGTCTCCCCGAGCCCCTGGCAGCCACCGTTCTACTTTCTGTCTCTATGGATTTGACTACTCTAAGTATCTAACATATGTAGAATCGCACAATATTTGTCTTTTTTGTGACTGGCCTATTTCACGTAGCATAATGTCCTAAAGGTTCATCCATGTTGTAGGATGTGTCAGAATTTCTTTCTTTTTTTTTTTTTTTTTTTTTGAGACGGAGTCTCGCTCTGTCGCCCAGGCCGGACTGCGGACTGCAGTGGCGCAATCTCGGCTCACTGCAAGCTCCGCTTCCCGGGTTCACGCCATTCTCCTGCCTCAGCCTCCCGAGTAGCTGGGACTACAGGCGCCCGCCACCGCGCCCGACTAATTTTTTTTTTGTATTTTTAGTAGAGACGGGGTTTCACCTTGTTAGCCAGGATGGTCTCGATCTCCTGACCTCATGATCCACCCGCCTCGGCCTCCCAAAGTGCTGGGATTACAGGCGTGAGCCACCGCGCCCGGCCTTCTTTCCTTTTTAAGGCTGAATAATATACCATTGTATGCACCTGAGGAGATATTAAACTACCAGTGCTCAGGCCCACCTCAAACTAATTAAGGCAGAATCTCTGGGGTGGGACCCAGGTGTCAATGTGTATAAAACACTCCCTAGGGGATTCTGAGATGTAGCCAGGGTTGAGAACCACTGATGGCTTGCCAATACCTAAAACGGATTAATTTGCCCCTCACACTTGCTCTGCTCCTGGATTCCCTTCTAAGAGAAGGGCATAACCCAGTGCTTTCCAAACTTTACTGCACATTAAAATCACCAGGGTTTTTTTTTTTGTGTTTTTTTTTTTTTTTTGAATCCTGCTTCCCGGGTCACATTCCATACCAATTACACCACAATATCTGGGGTTAAGGCCCCGACATCAGTATTTTTAAAGATTCCAGGTGAGTCCAATGGGCAGCAAAATTTGAGACCCACTGCATAACCATGGACCAACTGTCTCAGACTAGAAACTTGAGGGTTACCTTTGATTCCTCCTTTTCTTACCCTTCAAATCTAAATTCTTCTCATCAAGCCTATTTGATCTTATCTCCTTAAACAGTGGTTCTCCAAGCGTAGTCCATGGACTTAATAAGATAACCAATTCATCCTAGTTTGCCTGGGACTTTTCTGATATTCTCATTGCAAATCCCCAGGTTCGGCAATCTCTCTCAGAACCAGGCAAACTTACATGGTTGGTCACCCTACCAGATGAGCAGCATCAACATCATGTGGAAATGCCAATGATCAGGGCCCAGCCAGGGACCTACTGATTCACAGACTCTGGGATGGGGCCCAGCATGCTGCCACGTGCCCTCCAGGTGAGTCTGATGAACGCTCAAGTTTGAGAACCACTGCCCTAAGCAACTCCCAAGTCTTTGCACTCCAAAGACTGATGGCTCCTCAGTAGTAAGACTCTGCAGGCTGTCGTGTTGGGGTGAGTACAGGACATTTGGCAATGTTTGCAGACATTTTTGGCTGTCATAATGAGAGGAAGATGCTGTATGGCAGACACACCTGAAAGCAATAACTTAAGCAGACCCTGAGAAAGACCTGTGGTCTAAAAGGAATGTGTGTTTAGAGTTCCAAGCTAAGGAATCCGGGAGTAGCCAACCTGAAGATTCATTCCTTATCTATCAGGAACATCTGAACCCCTGGCCCATTCTATGGAACACGGTCGATACAGGGGATCGAGGTCCTTTGTTTTGTTGTAAACAAAGGTTGCCAGGTGGAGGTTGTTAGAGGGAGGGTGCTCAGTGAAAATGCTGTATGAACTGCATGACTTTTACAAGCAGGAGCGGTTCTCCAGTGCAGCCTTACATACAGCCATGGGTCTGCCCTGTGTATAAGTCCCCTTCAATAAACCCTATGTCTTGTTCGCTGACTCCAAGTCCCTTCTTTGGCCTCTCAAACATGGTGCCATCCCTACTGAAGTCAATAGGGTTCTGGCATGACAGACGCTACTGGCATTGAGTGTGTAGAGGCCAGGGGTGCTGCTAAGTAAATATTCTACAATATTTCTGGGCCCTACAACATAGAATTAAGCATCCTAAAATATCAACAGCGCTGAGCTTGAGAAACTTTCTCAGTGGCTTCAGTGCCCTTAGCTATGGGCCTTATCATCTCAGCCCTTATTTCCCAAAATCACTCACCTCTAGTCTTCCTCCCCATTTTCTATTTCCCATTTTAGGAGAGCTAAGCTCCAAACTAGATAAGTATTATAATGAATCTGGCAACTTCTAGAAGTTCTGTTATCTGAAATCACCTATCCAGTCATTATAAAACCCACAGCTGCACATACAGCGCAATATCAGAAAATGTGGTAACCCTGTGCATGCCTTCCTTCGTCAAACTATAAGTTTAATTGGTACTGCTTTTCGGGTTGGTTTACCAGAGCTGACATTGGAAAGCCTCTCAGGGGCTACATGGCACTCTTTTCTTGTTAAATTCATCAGTGAGTTTTAGTAATATATGTAAAAGTGATTAGGAGTAATAAACAAAACATTTTCCCTCCTTTGGATGAGATATGTATAAACGTATTTCCAAAGGCGCTGGGTGCATTTTGGTAGCCGTTTAATGAATGCTGCTAGATGACACTGGTCTTAAAATGTATTAAGTGTTGCAATAAACAGTGAAATATATTAGACTGAAAGTAACTTTCTGGCATTGCTAATTTATTTAATTTACTGACCATTCACTTATATTTGCCTCATCTGCTCTCACTTGAAGGCTGCAAAGAGTTTACTCTTTTTTGTCAAAACAATTTGGATGAAACAGATGAAGAGAAAAGGGCCATGTGGTGCCCATTTGCCCAGCTCCTAGAACCACAGGTGCATCGTGTTTGATAAGAGCCTCTCCGCAGGAAAGACATGCATTCCGCTCCTGTTTCTACTACAGCACCTTTCTTCTGCAAATTGGACAGTAATTTATAACACAGAAGATAATTATAAATACATTTATATTAGCCCTTAAGACTTTTTCTGGTACACAAATAATTGTCTATAAAGTGACAGTTCTCAGAAATCTTGTATTTAACTTTCCTTTGTCTAACTTTTTTTCATGTTATGTCAGGACTCATTAGATATTTCAACTGTTTTGCCTAAATTTCATCATAGTGAGGAATGCAGAATACAGAACTATAAAGTTTACTTTTTTTTTTTTTTTGGAGACAGAGTCTTCCTCTGTCACCCAGGCTGTAGTACAGTGGCACATTCTTGGTTCACTGCAACCTCAACCTCCCATGCTTAAGCAGTCCTTCCATCTCAACCTCCTGAGTAGCTGGGATTACAGGCATGTGCCACTACGGCTGTATAGTTTTTACAGAGATGGGGTTTCGCCATGTTGCTCAGGCTGGTCTTGACCTCCTGAGCTCAAGCAATTTGCCTGCCTCGGCCTCCCAGAGGGCTGGGATTACAGGCATGAGCCACCATGCCCGGCCAAGTTTATGTTTCTTTTAGTTATAGCAGACTTGCTTTTCTTAAAACAATATTTACACATATCTAGAACATTAACAAAATATTTTGAAAATATGGGTAGTTCTAATGCATTTAAACTTTTATAAGTTGTCATAAGTTTTATAACCATAACAAAAACAAACATTTGCTGAAAACACAATACAGTTGTACATTTCAACACTACATCATTTGAAGCTCCCTTCAAGGTACAGTAAGGCTCAAGTTGTTGGCTTCATATCACAATGCACTAACATCAATTTTCCCATTGGATACTGTTTTATGTTGCAAGAACCTTTATTTAAGTGTCATTGGACTATCATTCTGTAAAAGTAATAGTAATCTATGTGCTAATATGTCCCATTTCTTACTTTATGACAACTCCACTTACCCCCTAAATTCTAATACCTTCATTTAATCCATAAAAATGCCAATTTGCTAGTGAGAGAGCAGGCAAGACTTACCAGGATCTGGGAGTCTTTGTGGAGAGGTTCAGGCAGCAAACGGGGCATGTGAAGACACACCTGAAAGTTAGAGCCAGTTTATGTAGAAAACATTCTCCCCGAGGCACCTAAAAGTAGGGAAAAAAAAAGACAAGAGGTATTCCAATGCCTGTCAAAAAGGTGATTTGTGAAGTCACTTAAGTTTTAACTTATACACACACACACACCCACACACACACATAAACAGGGAAATAGAGCTCAGTTTTACAGCAAATATTTTTCTTGTTTTCTCTAAAACCAATTTTAATAGCCAGGAATAATGCACAGACATTTTGTTCCCTGATTTATTTATGTTTTTCTGGTTCATGTTTTAGCGGTCATTTTCAGACAGCTTGATACTTACCAGCTATAAAATGTGCGGAATTAGATGGGCTTGTTTCTCAGGAATGTGAGACCCCTGACTCCATCCCAATCTACTTTCAGGCGGACCAGGTGGAATAGTTTCAGATGGGTTCCCAAGGCTCTGACCAGTCCTACCTGGCTCAAGATCATCTTAAATGGCTCATAGATTTCTGTTTACCTTGTGATTCGGCAAGTACAACTAACCATTGTGGGAATGGCAAGTTTAAGTGGTTTTGGAATCCATGTGGTTTGAAATTTCATTCTCCTACGAGGAAGGTTTATAGTATAGAAATGAACCTACAGCAATCTTACATTTTATTCACTTGTCAGTGGATTAATATCTCCATTTCAAATCTGTGCAGTTTCAATGGGTAAGTTTATTGGTTGCTTGAAAAAACATTTAGGATTTCTAGAAGCTCATGGAAAATACCCTTAGGGAAGAAAAATGATTGTGAACTGAGCCAAAATGAGATGCTCATTTTTACACAACATTTACAAATCAGGAAATAGATTCAACAAACTTTCACCAAATACCACTCTTACAGGCCTTTAAGCTTTTTCAAGGGTATTTTTCAATGCTTCTTACCTGTTATTTGTGTTTTAATTTATTGCTCTATTTTTCCATCGATGCCACTGTTTTTAATTTTGTTCCCTATAGGTCAGGTTCATCTGCTCACTTCTGATGTACTAGAAAGCAAACTCCAAGAGGGCAGGAACATGTCTTTTCCATTTTAGGATGAAGTATAGAAGAAGCTTGCAGTCAATATTTGCTAAACTAACTTGTTTTATTTATTTTTTACAAGCCAACAGCTGCCACAAAGTACCAGGTGGTAGGAGACCAAAGAGCAGTATTTGGTTTTTAGGTGGATACTTCAGCAAAGTGTGTGAGTGAAATCAAGGGACTTTCAGTTTGTTCAATTGACGGGTTTGTGATCTGTTTTATTAGACCAATACTATTTTCCCTTTAGACTCTTAAATTATTGTGCAAAGCATAAACTCTAGGCATTAAAATTTATATAATTTTTAAACTTATTTCAAACATTGGAATTTCATATTGTCTTTTTTGCCTTTTGAGATATGTAAATTTTAAAAG